>NC_000002.12:219364618-219989618 GCF_000001405.40 Homo sapiens | reverse complement strand
ACAAGGCTGCACTTGCGTCTGTGCACACACTCAACTCTCAGCCACGCAGGCATTTTCTATTTGGTAGCTTATTTCTAAGGGAGGGACAGGGTTGGTTTTTGATTTTGAGGTCCTAACTTTCCTATTTTGTCTGTCAATTTCTCTACTGCCCATATTAGTTAGTGTGCAATTTAGATAGAACATGATTCCAAACAAAGGTAAACAAGCAAGATACATTCATTTCCTGTGGCTGCTCTAACAAAATACCTCAAACCAGATGGCTTCAAACAGAAATTTATTCTCTCACAGTTCCAAAGGCTAGAAGTCCGAAACCAAGGCACAGTCATTCTCTTTACAGGCTCTAGGGAAGAATCCTTTCTAGCCTCTACCTCGTTTCTGATGATTTTCAACAATCCTTGGCATTTTGTAGCAGAATAATTCCAGTCTCTGCCTCTGTCTTCATATGGCTGTGTCCGAATACAGACACAGAGACACACTGGATTTAGAGCTCACCCTAATCCCGCATGACCTCATCTTAACTTGATTATACCTACAAAAGTCCTATTTCTAAATAAGGTAAATTCGCAAATACTGGTGGTTAGGACTTCAGCATATCTTTGGGGGAGAGGGATACAATTCAATCCACAACACAAGATAATCCAAAACTTTAAAAATAAATTTTTAATTCTATGAGTTAACTTTATTCCTGCTCCCTTCAGGAGAGGATAAAGATATCAGAAGCTGACACAATAACTCCCAAAAATCCTACTCGTCACTTTAATATGATTAAACACACCAATCCTAAAGGCAGCAAAATGCTCTGGAAATGAACTCAGGTTGGATACATAAGACCTGATGTGTAAGTATCATCTTTGTTACTAGCTAAGTATGAAGTCTGAGTAAGTCACTTCACCTCTCTGAGACTTTAATTGTTAAACCTAAAAGGTGGGGCTTGGACTAGATCGGTGTTTCTTGAAGTATGAGATATATACCATTCATTGTAGACCAAGTGGTTGTACTCAAAACCAACACTAAAGAAATTATACTGATAAATTTTATGCTACGAAATGCCTGGAACAAATCTTAGTTTAGGGTCTAAGTTAACTCTGGATGAATAACAAACCACCCTGACCAGGTGCAGTAACACATGCCTGTAGTCCCAGCTACTTGGGAGGCTGAGGCAAGAGGATCACTTTCACCCCAGGAGTTTGAGACCAGCCTGGGCAACATAGCAAGACCCTGTCTCAAACAAACAAATTTTAAAAACAAAACAAAACAAAAACTCATTCAAGCAAAGAAAATACAAACCACCCTGAAATGTTTTAGTGGCACAACAATAATTTATTAGTGCTCTCATGTCTATGGGATTATTGGTTCTGCTGACATAAGCCAGGCTCAGCTGATCTTGGCTGAGCTCACTTTTGTAGCTGGAGGATTCACAAGCGGTAACTAGCTAGTCACATATCTGGTCATTGGTTGCCTGTTGGCTGGAGTGATGGGGTGATTGGATCATGTGTCTCTCATCATCCAGCAGGCTAGCCTGAGCTTATTCATGTGCTGGTCAGAGGTTCCAAGAACAGCAGGAGAAGAAAAGCCCCAGTGAGCAATCACTTTTCAAGTCACTGCTAACATGACATTTGCTACTGCCCATTGGTCAAAGCTAGTCACATGGCCAAGAATGAACTCAGTGTGGAAAGAGACTGCCCAACGTTGTGGATAAACAGCAGCATAAACAGACTCAGAGGCAATGATTCACCACTGGCTTACTATGTCTTTTACATCTTTCCAGCACTTACTAATCTCCCTTGTTAGCAAACAAAAAACAAAACTCGGGTTCAGACAATCAGTATCTAGTAAGAATTTAATAGCATTATTTTATTTCAGAATATTTATTTTATGGTTTTCTTGTATTCACATCAATTGTTTTATTCATTTATAGCAGTAATAGAAAGTTTCCTTCATAAATATATGATTTTTTAAGTGAGTTATTTTCAAGAAGATAATATCACTGGCATATATATTGCAAAATCGTGATACAAAATGATGGAAATTTGGAAAACACTGGGCCAGATAGAGGCCCAAGTTCCCTGCACCTCCCCCTGTAATCCTGAAAGTGGAAAACAGGCCACGTCTCCACATAAGTCGTAAGCGTTGGTCTAACATGACCAACATGTCACTGGTCATTAAAATAGTTTCACTGCTATTAAAGAAGCTGGCTTTTCACAGAGCTCAAAGCAATAAATTGAATAGTAAAAATCAACTGGCTGAGACCCATTCTAATCAAATCGTGCAGGTGACCATGAAGCACCTACTTATTTGTCCACCATCCCACACACACCCTTGGTGATACTGACGTGCTGGCATAATTCAGTCGTGCAGCTAAGTGTAATAGGTTGAACACATTCATTGGTCCCTTCATAGCTGACACTGAAAAGCCATACACTGAGGGACTGCCATCACCCAAAGCAGCAGTCCCCAACCTTTTTAGCACCAGAGATTTGTTTCATGGAAGACAATTTTTCCATGGACAGGGTGGGTGTGGCTTCAGGATGAAACTGTCCCATCTCAGATCATCAAGCATTAGTTATATTCTCATAAGGAGCACACGACCTAGATCCCATGCGTGTACGGTTCACAATAGGGTTTGTGCTCCTGTGAGAACCTAATGCCACCGCTGACAGGAGGCGGAACTCAGGTAGTAATGCTACTTGGCCCACCTCTCACCTCCTGCTGTGCAGCCCGGTTCCAAACAGGCCACAGACTGATACCAGTCCATGGCCTGGGGTTTGGGGCCCCTGATCTAAAGAGTTTCCAGAAGTTTGCTTGGGAGTAGCCTTTGGGGTCTGTTTGCAAACCACTCAAGAAAATCAATTTTACTACTTTGTGTGTCTTCTTTTTTCTTTTTTTTAACTCCATTTGATCTCACACTTTACTCATAGAATTGGCTCTACATGGTTTTTGGTAAATTTTTAAAAAGCACAAAGTTTGATCACCACTGGATCTTGGACTCTGAATGCACTCCCATAAAAGGAGTAATAGTAAAGTTTGAGCCATGTTATTGGAAATAACTTGGGAATAACACATAGATTTCTGAGGTGATAATTTAAAGGAAACAACATCCCTTTGGAAATTTCTGTATGTTCACTTAAAACAAATCCAGCTCATTGCCATGCCCATTCGCAAATACATGCATCAAATCAGATCTACAAATCACCCATACATATGCCACACATATATTCTACCTTAAGAATAGTATCTATTGTTTCCCAGATGTTTTGGTAGAAGAGAAACCTACTTAAGAGATTAAGTAGCTGACCCAGGCTAGGGAAAGCAAAAGAGAAACCTCTTCTTAGAGCTAGAATTCTAATCCTCAGAACACAAAGTACCATCTAATGTGGTCCAAGTAGACACATCCTAGTAAGATGTACTCCATACACAGCACAGCAGCATTTTAAAGATACCTTTAAAATACACATCCTATATATGTAGTCAGTTCATAAATCCTACATACAGGCTCAGTCCCATTTTTCTTCCCTCAATGTTTAGATTCATTGATAGTCATCAGTTTCTCCCTTCTATGTATAATCAAGAGTTATACTTGGAGAATATGACATTAATTAAATGATTCAGTGATTTTTCCTTTCCTATATATAAAAGAAAACAACCACAAAAATCTAAGCTAAACACCAGCTGCTCTAGCTTAGCCCTAAGACAATAAAAGTACTGCTATTGTTTCATGCTGGCTGGGCAAGGTGGCTCACACCTGTAATCCCAGCACTTTGAGAGGTCAAGGCAGAAGATTGCTTGAGGCCAGGAGTTTAAAACCAGCTAAACATTGGGTACTCATGAACATAAAGATGGCAAAAATAGCTGGGCGTGGTGGCTTACACTTATAATCGCAGCACTTTGGGAGGCCAAGGCGGGTGGATCACTTGAGGACAGGAGCTTGAGACCAGCCTAAGCAACGTGACAAAACCCTGTCTCTACAAAAAATTAAAACATAGCAAGACTCCAGCTCTACAAAAAAAGTTTTATAAAAAATTAGCCAGGTGTAGTGGCACATGCCTCTAGTTCTATCCACTCAGGAAGCTGAGACAGGAGGATCTCCTAAGCCCAGGAGTTAGAGGCTGCAGTGAACTATAATCATGCTGCTGCACTCCACTCTGGGTGACAGAGCAAGACCCTGTCTCTAGAAAAATTAAAATTAAAATTAAAAAACTAAATTAAAAGGTAAAAATAATATAGCATGCAGTCCTAGGCAATTAAAAGTTGAGAAAATAAAGTAGTAAGTGCCTTTATGTTAAGTCAACAAAGTACTCAGATAACCCCAAATCCACAGATTTAACCCAGCACAGTCAAATTGAAAAGTGTCAGGACTGAGATCTGGTTTTACCCTTGTATACAAGTTAATAATTTAGCTAGTTACTGTTTCATGGGTGCTAGCAGAAGGCAAGAGATTCCTGGGTCAGAGACAAAGGACGTTATTACTCATAGCACAGCAAGAAGCATGAGCATCAGCATGTGTATCCATTCTCCTTGCCCCCACATCTTATCGGAGCAATATTGTGGGCCCAGATGGATGCTCTGCACACAGTAGGCTCGCAGCACAGATGAGGAGCACTGAGCTTAGGGAACATGTTGTTTTATAGTAAGTAGTAAGCAACCCTGTTTCCTATCCCAAATAGAGACATTACCATATTTCTCAATCTGCTCATAGTAAACACAATACTAGCAAATGTCCAGGTAAAGAATGGTCAAAGCTTAGCATTGTTAGCATAGCCAGCAAAAACTACAGGGATGCTCAGAGCCCATGGCAGATTGCCTCTTGCAACAATAAGTAGTCTCTGATTGTTAAGAGATAAGAGAGCTGGCTGTTTGTAGTAAGGACAAGCCTATAGCAGGTACAGTTATCCTGAGACATAACATGCCATCTGTCTATCTTTATGAAGAATCTAAACTCAGAGCATGCGTATGTGTGTGCTCTTACTTTTCCCAGATGTATTTCTGTAAACCATATTTGTAAATCAAGTTATATTTTAAATATTCTAAGAGAGAATCCTGTAGGCAAATTCTTTTATAATGGAGATACTCATCCCCTAATTCATAATTCACAATTTATACATTTGTGGGGTTATAAATATTGAGTTTTCTTAAAGCAGTCTATACCTATACTAGTGCAACCCTGCCATTTATAATGAGTTGCAGTAAATTATAAAAAGCAAACATTTCAAGCATGTCTCATTTGACCACACCTGTAAAATAGTCATAGACCAAATGGATCCCATTCCAACTTTAAAACTATTCCAGTTTTCTTTAAAACTTCCCCATAACTATTTTTATATTCCTCAATTCCTGGGTCAAGCCAGATGCTTTGGGTGGATGATCTTATTTGTTGCAATTCAAACCCAGTATAGTAATCCCCCTATACACAATCTTCTAGGCACAAATTAGAAGGGTTGTCATTAAAAAACTTTAGAATTTGTATTCTTTTTCTGTCTCATTTTCCTACATAATTCTTGACCTAGGTTTCCTCCCACAAAAGACTCACTCCCCACACCAAGAATATGCTGTTTTCTTACTGATAGGAATTTGGAAATTCCATCATTATTGCTCAACATGGCAAACCTACAGGCATATCAGGAAGAAAAATGTCTGCTTTTCTCTTGAGTAGATTACATTTCATAAACATGTGAACCATAGTAGCAGTGAAATCAGGTCAAAGTGACATAAAATATCATTTCCCTGCCAGACAAGAAAAACAAAACACTAATAATAAGAAAGAGAATTTGTAGCACCTGCCAATGCTTTTTAATAGTCCTCCAGGAATCCACAGAACAGAGCGAAGAACATAGAAGGTGCAAAACAAATTTTGTTGAAAATAAGAAGGTAGCTAGGCATGGTTGTTCACATCTATAATCACAGCACTTTGGGAGGCTGAGGCGGGAGGATCACTTGAGCCCAGGAGCTGGAGATTAGCCTGAGCAACATAGAGAGACCCCATCCCTATACAAAATTAAAATATAAAAATAAAATAAATTTAAATACATATATATATATATATATATATATATATATATATATATATATATATATCCCACTCAGTATAATCTAATACCAAGTCTTATATTGGCATAACACTTTCTGACTTATACAGTATTTTCACATGTACACTTTCATCAGATGCTCACCACAACCCAAGAAGGAAGGGTAGGCAAAATACTTGGGTCAAAAATACAGAACATACTGCATGTTCTCACTTATAAGTGACAGCTAAATATTGAGTACTCATGAACATAAAGATAGCAACAATGATAGCCGGGTGCAGTGGCTCACACCTGGAATCCCAGCACTTTGTGAAGCTGAGGTGGGCAGATCATTTGAGGCCAAGACTTTGAGACCAGCCTGGCCAACATGGCAAAATCCCATTTCTACTAAAGATACAAAAATCAGCTGAGCGTGGTGGCGCACGCCTGTAATCCTAACTACTCAGGTGTCTGAGGCGTGACAATCGCTTGAACCCTAGAAGAGGAGGTGGCAGTGAGTCAAAATTCCACACTGCAATCCAGCCTAGGCAACAGAGTGAGACTGTCTAAAACAAAAAATTAAAAAATTTTAAAAAGAATGGCAACAATAGATACTGGGGACTAATAGAGTGGGAGTAGGAAGAGGGGCAAGGGCTGAGAAACTAACTACTGGGTACTATGCTCACCACCTGGGTGATGGGATCGATCATATCAGCATCACACAGTATACCCATGTGACAAAACTGCACACCTTGAATCTAAAAAAAAAAAATTTTTTTATTTTTGAGGCTGAGTCTCACTCTGTCGCCCAGGCTGAAGTGCAGTGGCACAGTCTCAGCTCACTGCAACCTCTGCCTTCCAGGTTCAAGTGATTCTCCTGCCTCAGCCTCCCAAGTAGCTGGGATTACAGGTGCCCGCCACCACACCTGGCTAATTTTTTTGTATTTTTATTAGAGACAGGGTTTCATCATGTTGGCCAGGCTGGTCTCGAACTCCTGACCTCGTGGCCCGCCCTCCTCGGCCTCCCAAAGTGCTGGGATTACAGGCGTGAGCCACCGCGCCTGGCCAGCATTTTAAAAAATAGGTACAAAAACTGATTTTCTTTCAAAGGACAAAAACCAACAAACTGATCCCCCTGAGTCCTTTGTTCTTTCCAACGCCTTGACTCCATGCTTGGTCACTGGAAAGTGTCAGGCAATTGTTATTACCACCTACATCCAGAGATGGGACCAAATGACAATACACAGTTCACTCTCATCTCTACAGGGAACATAAAGATGACCACTGAGCTGGCTAACATCAAAGGAGAAATAAGAGAGTCAAATTTGTAGCCGCACATCTTTCCTGAGCAGGACTCAAGAAGCTTTAATCTGCCCCATTGCTCATTGCTTCTTCTGTAAGGTTTTAGAACCACCAAGCTAATGGCCTTGCTTCAAGGTTTGATCTGATATTTTCTCTCAACAACCTAATTTGTTGCCTCTTATGATGACATTTTGCTTCCACGTTTAATGCTTAGAACTGTCTAATTTTCTTACCTATCTAGATTTCCAGGAAAATTGATGCAACCTTGGGTCTGAGTTTATGGTAAGTGACATGCTCTTTAAACAGCCTCTGGGTATTGTGCCTGGTTTTCTCTACTTTTCCACCTTATTTTTTTCTCCTCTTGACCCCACTTCCTCATTCTTAAAAACTCCTGTTTTAGTGGTATTGTGGTTATCTTTAGAAAAACTTGGAGATACATACTGAAGGCACTGTGGATGTAACAATATGACATCTAGGATTCAATTTAAAATAATCTGATAGTAGTCTCAGTTTGGGGGTGGATGAAGCAAGACGGTACATGATCGGCCATTTGCTGTGGTAGATTGCTACACAATTATGTAAAAGCAGCCAGAGACTACATGTATAAGAATGAGTGTGACTGTGTTCCAATAGAACTTGGTTTATGGATATTAATTTTTTTTTAATTGAGATAGAGTCTCACTCTGTCGCCCAGGTGGAGTGTAGTGGCACCATCTCAGCTCACTGCAACCTCTGCCTCCTGGGTTCAAGCAATTCTCCTGCCTCAGCCTCCCAAGTAGCTGGGATTACAGGCATGCACCACCACGCCCAGATAATTTTTTGTATTTTTAGTAGAGATGGGGTTTCACCATGTTGGCCAGGCTGGTCTCGAACTCCTGACCTCAGGTGATCCACCCACCTTGGCCTCCCAAACTGCTGGGATTACAGGCATGAGCCACCAGGCCAGGCCCTCTTTCTTTTTTTTTTTTTTTAAAGACAGGGTCTTGCTCTGTCACACAGGCTAGAGTGCAGTGGCATGAACACAGCTCACTGCAGCTGCAAACTCCTGGGCTCAAGCCATCCTCCTACCTCAGCCTTCAGAATAGCTGAGACCACGGGTGTGCGCCACCACACCTGGCTAATTTTGTTTTTTAATTTTTGTAGAGATGGAGTCTCACCATGTTGCCCAGGCGGGTCTTGAACTCCTGGGGCTCAAGCGATCCTCCTGCTTCAGCCTCCCAAAGTGCTGGGATTACAGATGTGAGCCACTGTGCCTGGCTAAAAACAATTCTTAGCTCACAGGCTGTACAAAAATAGGTGGCAAGTTGGGTTTGACCCTTGAGCCATAGTTTGCTGACTCCTGATCTAGCTATATATCCTCCACTCTCACCCTCCCTAGCTATTTCCTCAAGAAGGCCCCACACCCTTGTTCCCCGTAATAGTTCTCTATTTCTTCTGTACAAATTACCCAGAATTTAGTGGATTACAACAACATAAGCTTAATCTCTTACAGTCCTAGTGGTCAGAAGTCAAATAGGAGTTTTATAGGGCTAAAGATCAAGGTACCTGTAGATAATGATTCTTCCTGGAAACTCCCGGGAAAAATCTGTTTCTTGCTTCTTCCAAGTTCCAGAGGCTGCAGGTATTTATGGCTGCATTACTCCAACTTCTGCTTCTGTCCTCACATCTATGACTGACTCTCTTGCCTCCCTCTCTTTTACTTATAAAGACCCTTGTGATTACATTGGGCCCACTGGATAATGCAAAATAATCTGTCCATGTAAAAATCCACAATTTAATCACATCTGCAAAATCTCATTTGCCATGTAAAGTAATATATTCACAAGTTCCTGAGATTGGGACGTCTTAGACATCCACGGAAGGCAGGGTATTGTTCAGCCGACTACACTCCTATTTAGATTTTCACAGTGTCAGTGCACACAAAAGAAGGTGGCCCCACTTAGCATGCAGAGACCTTGTGTTCACACAGAAGGTGATTTCCCTTCTCTCCTTATTGCCTCCAATAAGAGGCCCCTTCTCCCCACAGAGCAAGGGGAAAGCTGAAGTCAATATTTTCTCTAATCTCATCCTGTGAATCATGACCATTAAACAAGACACTGCTCCAGTAAGTGATGTAACTCCTAAATCTTTGAAAACTCTCTCAATTCTAATACAAAAATTAGCCAGCTGTGGTGGCATGCACCTGTGGTCCCAGCTACTCAGGAGGCTGAGGTGGGAGGATTGCTTGAGCTCCAGTTAAGGCTGCAGTAAGCCATGATCATGCCACTGCACTCCAGCCTAGGCAACAGAGCAAGACACCGCCTGAAAAAAATAAACAGAAAAATACTAGAAAACTCTCTCAATTCTGGCCTTGTTTTCCTCTGAGTTATTTTTAAAGTTACACAAATTCTTCTCAAAGGCATGCCAGAAATTTGCTTTCAGCTTCTTATCTATGCACAGCGCAAACAATTGCATTATACCTAAGAGAATTAATGTGATTTAATTATATTATATTTGGGGGTATTTTAATATCAAACTTCTTTTGTATGAGGAATTATTTCTGGGTGAAGTTAAACTCATTTATTATACTCATTCTTTATTCATTAAACTCATTAAGATCAGTGGGATTTGCTTATAAATAACTATGCTACTGATTTGAAACATAGCAGATAAGTGAGGATATTCTAAGAGTACGAGAGCATGATGCCTCTTAGTTATTTTCTTGGGAATTCATATATTGGGATTCTATGTGTAGCACTCTTGCAAGACTAAATATGTAACATTTAAAGGTTCTCTCTTGTCTTACAAGGGGAAGATGGACAATAAAGAGAATATTGTCTTTCTCAGGAATCTGTTAAAAGGTGCTAAAGCCAGGGCCAACACGTGATTATATACAATATTCACTGCACAGGGTTATCCCCCAAAAAGGAAAGTGAGGCTGAAATCTGACCCATGCTCTGCTACCAAACCGTCCATCCTGGGACAGCACTATCAAAAGGAAGGGAACCTTTCTTAAATCATACAAAGTCACTGTGTCATTGTATGTCTATGGGCCTAGGCAGCCCCACTCATAAGGTGTGCCCTTTTCTACTTTGCAAAGTCACCCCATGGACTAGCACAGGCCTTGGCTAAAATCCACTTGGGCTAGCTTAAGCAAAAAAGGGAAAATTATTGCAAGATTATAGGTATTTTCTTGAAACCCAAGAGCAAGCGGTATAGTAGATATCATGTAAGATTAGAACAAAAAAAAACAGCTGTTAGTAGAGGGAGGCGATAACCAAACAAATCAATATTTAGTGGTATATGTAGTCCTTACAACAACCTTGTGATATGAGAATAATCTCATTCCATAGATGCAGTCCCAGTTGGTAAGCGACAGAACGTTCCAATCTAGGTGCACCTATTGACAATATCCTTGTGCTATCCACTATTTGACACAGCCTCTCTTGCCCTGGACATACAGTTGGTGTTTCTTAGTCTGTTTGTGTTGCCATGACAAAATATCTGAGACTGGGTAATTTATAAAGAATGGAAATTTATTACTCGTCATTCTGGAGGCTGGAAAGTCTAAGATGAGGGCATTTGGGGGCTGGTGAGGGCCTGGTCTCAACTTTCAAGATGGTGAGCCTTGTTGCTGTGTCCTCTGTAGGGCACAAATGCTGTGTCCTCACATGGCAGAAGAGGGGAAAAGGAAGAAGCCTAAGCTAGTTCCTTCCAGCCCTTTCACAAAGCACTAATCCTTTCATGACAGCAAAGCCCTCTCTCATGACTTAATCATTTCCCAAAAGGCTCCATCTCTTAAAACTACCACATTGGGGATTGTTTTAACACAAGAGCTTGCGGGGACCGATGCAGACCATTGCCGTGCTCTAAGAGATACTCTGCGGTATTTCCTGTACTTTTTCTTGCAGGAACAAAGGAGAAATCCACTTCCCCCTTGACATTAAGCTTATACATGTGATTAGCTTTAGCCATGGACCTAAGAAGCTGCATGTGTCATATCCAGTTAGAAGCCTGTAAGAGCCAGTGTGTGATTTTCTCTTCTCTCCTTCCACCATGGTGACCAGAGGCATTCCAGGGAGTGGTGACTCTCTCAGCCTGCATCCCTGAGAGAGGACAATGTAGAGTCCTCAGCCAACCTAAATTTGTAACTCGAATGAAAAAGAAACTCTAGTTGATTTAAGCTAAGATTTGGGCTTGTTTGTTTCTGAAGCATAACCTAGACTATCCTGGCTGATACAGCTGTTAAGGGCCTTCTCTCTATGTCTAGTAGCTGGTAAATCTTCTCACCCAGTGAGCCACACAAGTTCTTCCCTTTTACTACTTGCCCATATCCTGCCCATCTTTTACAGGGCAGCTAAAATCTCTGCTGCTCAAAAGGATTTCCTTAACCCCCACAGCTGGCATTAATCCTTACTATTAGTAATTATAATCATACTCATTATCAACATCATATAAATTAGAACTCAACCCCATCACACATAACATATATTCCATCATATGCTGTTTTAACTTGTTTCTTTCTTTGGGAGATGTCTTAACTCTCCAACTAAATGAAACAATGAAACAGCCTTTTGTGGGCAGCAATCATATTATATATTTCTGCAGCCTCCAGCAGAGTGGCCAGAATGTTGGCAGGTAGAGCATAGAGACCCAATAAATAGCTATGTCATCAAACTGTCCCAGAAAAGAAACACAGGACAAAAGGAACAGCAATTCTAATCATTCTGTGCCCTGCATACCTAGGCAGATTTGAACAGTGGAGCACTCTTCCACATGGAGGAGAGAAAGAGTTAAAATTTAGTACACTATATCCTGAGACAGCTAACATCTTTGGAGGTTATATTTCTCATTAATATAAAAGAGTTAATTATATATCTTGGAAATTCTATTCACACCAAATCTTCCTTTAGGGTTAAGTCATGCATGATCCATTTATATTCAGGCATTAGCTTTGACAGTGTCTTGTTCTGTAGGGCTGTCTTATGCGCCTGCCCTAAAGATCCATGGGGGCTTTAGGAAGCTGTTCTCAGAGTAGAACATTTTGCTGAGAAGATGACCTACACTGCAAAATACTGTATATAACCAAAGGCAGGGCATAAATATTTTATAGCATAGAGTCCATGAAAACACATCTTCATTTCTGTAATGTGCTATCTCAGGACATATCACTGGGGGAACAGGACTTGCCTGAAAGATTCAACAGCTCCAATTTGCCATAGCTCATTAGAATGCCCTAGAGAACAAGCACAGCAAATAATTCTAGATCCCTGCTGCTCGTGGGGTAGTTAATGTGGACTGACCGCACAAAAACCACCTTGTGCTTGCAAAGCACATTCAACAAGGAATCAGACAATGTAGGCTGGGAGGAGCCTCCAAGACATCCTTTTCCTGTACTTGCAGAAAGGAGGCCCAGAGAGATTATATGAATTCTCTGAAGTAACACAGTGAATTGGGGTTAGACTCACTGTTAGTCCTTCCTTTTTTCTGACATAACCACAAAATAAAAACCCGTGGGTAAAGCAAGAACAGTAAACTCATCCACTGATTAGACACATTCTCGACTTTGAAGTCAAGTATCACGTTACCATTGTGGCTTTCAGCAAGTGGTGCTGTGTGTGAATATCTGCAAATAACTTCAAATTTCTCATTAATAAAATATGTTTCCATAAATACCATGCCTCATGGAATCCCTCTTTTGGCATTTGTACATCAACATCTATCATTAATGCGTCAGTGAGAAAATTATTTCCCAGTAAGTGCTCTATAGTGATGAAGTAAATTCCATTAAATTCCATTTCACATCATTTTTTTTCCAGTGATTTCCCACTTTGTTCAAAATTAGGTATACCCACCCAGGTCTCTTGAACCAAGATGTCACTACACTGTGTAATTAAATTCTAAAATAAATAGCAAGTCCTCAATACAAAACTGACCTTTTTGACTCGGAAAGTCCTTCAAAACTTCAACAGAAAAACTAGAAAATTCTTGTTGTGAGTTGCCAGTGAGACTAACAATAGCTTTGTTATCCCTTTGTCAAGCCAAGGCAGACAAGGAAAGAAGGATTCACTTTTTCACTTGCTATCTGAGGTTTCTTTTACGCTTCCTTAGATTTGAAGAAATCACTCTATAACCCTGTTTTCAAATGGTCCTTTCAAATGTGGTTTGAATTGTACAGAGATGAGAGAAAAGGGTGGCCCCATTAAAGGCAAACCTAGGCAGAAGCCCATTAAAAGCAAAGCTGAAATCATGGAGCTTCTCAGCAATGCCACTGCTGGCTTTGGAAGGAAGAGTGATCAAATGATAAACAACACAGTTGCCTGAGAAATCCTAATTTAGAAAAAATAAGTCAAGCATTCAGCTGAAAATATTATTGAGCTAGCAGTCACCCACCTGACACAGCCTCTCCTAACTTCCCACTAAAAGACTCTCATGGCACTGGGAAATGCCAAAATTCCCAACAACAAAAACCAGCAGGGAGGTCAATCTAATTCCAGAATCCAGAAAGAGTCTCTAGTGTGCATTAAACTAAACTGGACACCCAAATTCCCCATTGTACCATATGAAGGATCCACCTTTGTATTAGTCTTTACTCATGCTGCTAATAAAGACATACCTGAGACTGGGTAATTTATAAAGGAAAGAGGTTTAATTGACTCAAAGTTCCATGTGACTGGGGAGGCCTCACAATCATGGTGAAAGGTGAATGAGGAGCAAATGTCTTACATGGAGGCAGGCAAGAGAGCATGTACAGGGAAACTCCCATTTATAAAACCATCAGATCTCATGAGACTCATACACTACCACAAGAACAGTATAGGGGAAACTGCCCCCATGATTCAATTATCACCACCTGGCCCTGCTGTTGACAGGTGGGGATTATTACAATTCAAGGTGAGATTTGGGTGGGGACACAGCCAAACCGTGTCAATCTCTATGAAATAAAAGATGACAGATTAGAAGAGAAGGGGCTGAAAGACAGAACACTATGCTGTAGATCCTACCTTCCTTCCTATTAGGAAATTAAGTGCGTATTAAGTGTGTGTGTGAACCAGAAAACTGTGTAGGTGCTGCTCCTTCACGGGGCTACAATGTGGCCTTCTTATAACTGTACATATTCCTTCAGAAACAGTGACTTTCTATAATCACTTCAGAAGCTGGTTTTCTGTCTCCCCTCAAAATAATACGGGCAACCTGTGGCGCACTGCATACTGGGAAGTGTGGTCTCCATAGGTAAAGTAGTGCTTTAGGGTCAAGGAGGGTGAGACAAGAGCATTCTGGGAATTGTGGTTTTCTTTGTGCATGCACTGTTTCAAAGAATCAATGAAATGGGCAGTGGACTCCCAGGAGCTGAGTTGCCTGTTCTATATGGGGATTTTCACTCATAGAGTTGTACCTTCAGCACACCTCCACTCAAGAAATGAGGAGCATTAACCATCAGCTAGATGGATGGAGAAAAGGGTGAAGGGCAAGTGAATAGACTAACATGGTCATTTGGCAAACTCTGGGTCTATATAGATCTTGCTTTATTCAAGGAAGGAAAATAATAAACATCATAGGGTCTATGGGGAAATGCAGCGAGACAAGAGAAAGGGGACAGTGTCTTGAAGACTAAGAGATAGGATATACTTCTGAAAATATATTACCTAGGGATAAAGAAGAAAAGCTGAAATTTAAAAGGATACAACACAAGGCTTCTATTAAAAAGTCAACATACAAAAGAAAACAACAGAATGATATGAAAAAAAAAATCAGGTCAGATAAGTGATATGGTTTGGCTGTGTCCCCACCCAAATCTCATCTTAAATTGTAGTTCCCATAATCCCCACGTGTCATGGGAGTGGCCCGGTGGGAGGTAATTGAATCTTGGGGGTGGTTACCCCCATGCTGCTGTTCTCATGGTAGTGAGTGAGTTCTCACCAGGTCTGATGGTTTCATGAGGGGCTTTTTCCCCTTTGCTTGGCACTTCTCCCTGCTGCCTCTATGTGAAGAAGGTCATGTTTGCTTCCCCTTCCACCATGATTCTAAGTTTCCTGAGGCCTCCCTAACCCTGCAGAACTGTGAGTCAATTAAACCTGTTTCCTTTATAAATTACCCAGTCTCAGCTATGTCATTATTAGCAGCGTGAGAACGGACTAATACAGTAAGAAAAGACTGCCCCAAACTGAAAACAGTAATACCTTCACAGTGACAGTGACGAAGGTAATAAAATACAATAAAAAGTCAAATCAATGAATCACAGGACCAATTTGAGATGCTATCTGAAAATGCAATGGGCAGACATGAAAACAATGAGAGTAAATACAGAAGGAAAATGGAAGAGGAAAAATAAAGAATAAAAAGTAAAAAATAGGGATAATTGATGTTTTTGAAGAAAATACCAGAATAAATAAAACTAAAGCAACAATAAAAGATGAAGGGAAACTATCTTAGGTGAAAGAAATATGGATATGCTGTATTCTGTTTGAAAGGATTTATCATAAACCAGAAAAAAAATCAATGAAAAGGGGCATCTCACCTAGATTAAATTTTGCAATTTCTAAAATGTATGTGAATAAAGAAAATATCCTTCAAACATCCAAATAAGGAACAATAGGTTATCTATGAAAGAAAAAATAATTGAGTCAGCCTCAGACTTCTGTTCCATAACACTAATTGCCAAAAAATAATTAGATAGTATCTAATGAGTTTGAAGGGCAGAAGTCCATTTGTCTTTTATGTGTAAATACAATATGAAATTATTCTCAGATATACAAAGGCTAAAAATATATATTACTCATCTAGCTTTTCTTTTTTAAAAAAAAATCACTTGATGTAATTCAATCAACCAAGAGATTAAACAAAGATAAGGTTTTAAGAATGAAGAAATCAAGATATGAAAGAACTGGTGAGACACACTAAACCCAGCTGACCATAAAGATAAGTCTAAATAATTGTGGCAAATGTGACTATAACACCAAACACAAAGGTCAAAATTTATTCTTGAATGCAAAATCATATAATGTAAAAAAAATGCATTAAGTCACAGTTATCAGGATTTGAAACCCAGATTATATAAACAAAGTTGGAGAAGAAAAGAAGAACACTGACAGTATGCTAAATTTCAAATATTCGCTAGAAGTGACTCAAAGATACTGGTTTGGCTGGATTTTTACAATTAGAGAAATATAATCTAAAAAAAATGCATTAAGTTACAGTTATCAGGATTTGAAACCCAGAATATATAAACAAAGCTGGAGAAGAAAAGGAGAACAGTGTGACAGTATGCTAAATTTCAAATATTGGCTACAAGTGACCCAAAGATACTGGTTTGGCTGGATTTTTACAATTAGAGAAATACAGGTTAAAGAATCTTTTTGAAGACCTTAAAATTACTCATTAATAGAATGTAAAAGAGAATGCCTACTTGGGAAAGACAAAACAATAAAAACTTAGCATTTAGCAATAACTATAAACAGTCCAAATATCTATCCATAGGATATTGATGAAATAAATTACTATTACTCCAGAACCATAAAGGAATAAAATACAGCCATTAAAAAAGTCAGATCATAAAATACTTTGCCTTGGGAAAGAAAATGTAGACAGTATAGGAAGTAGGAGTGAGAGTTTCAAAAAGTTTGTGCCCTGTAATCCCAACTTTGAAAAACATAATATTTTATATATTATGTATTTTATATTTTAAAAAATACAACCATGGTGTGGGGTGGGGAGAAGACTAAAAGGATATCTGCCAAAAGGTTAACAGCAATTATTTCTATTTTCTTCCACTCGCTTTTCAGAATATAGGTAGAGTTTTTGACAAAACACACTTAAAATAAATATTAACACCATAAATACAAATCAGTTTCATGCTATGTATCAAGGATCAGCAATTTTTTTTTCTGTAAAGGGCTAAATAATATTTTAGGATTTTCCATTCATATGATCTCTGTTGCAACTATTCAGCTCTGCCATAGCACTGCAAAAGAAGCCAGACACTATGTAATCTAATCAGCATGACTGTGTACCAATAAAATTTTATTTACAAAAACTGCATTTAGGGCCACAGTTTGCCTACTGCATATCAATATCTGATATTGAAGTTTTAGAAATGATTTAAGTGTACTATTTTTCTGTTTTCTGTAATTGTTTAGCGCAAATAGTGTGTTTCTAGATCAGTACTGTCCAGTGGAAGTTTCTCTGATGTTGGAGATGTTCTATATTATTTGTGCCATCTCATACAGTAGTCAGTCACATGTGGTGTTGGGCACTTGGAATGTGGCTAGCACAACTGAGGAGTTCAATTTTAATTTATTTTAATTAATTTAAATTTAAATAGCCACACGTGAACAATATTGAACAGTGCAGGTCTAGATCACATGCTATTTGTCTATACTTTCCATTGTGCACACATAGAAGGGTACAACTACTGATTTTACCACTCTGCTTTCCTACCAGACAACATCGTCTCAGACTCATTGCTTCTTAATTCTTATCAAAACTCTCTTGTGAGGAATGAACATGGTGAAGATTGTCTGAAGGACACTTTTTCATCAATGTACTTATGCATGTGTCTAACAGTATTGACTCAGCTCCAACTATGTGCAAACACTATGCCAGGCTCTGAGAAAAAAAAAAATGTGAGTGGCCCTACCCTCACATTTTGTTCCCCAAATGATTTAAAGATGCTAAAAAATAAAAATGAATAAAAATGAGCACATGTTCCAAATACACACTGCCTCCAGGGGAAACAACTTAAATGTAAGAATAATGGCTGGGCACAGTGGCTCACACCTGTAATCCCAGCACTTTGGGAGGTGGGAGGATCATGAGGTCAGGAGTTCCAGACCAGCCTGGCCAATATGATGAAACTCTGTCTCTACTAAAAACACATAAATTAGCTGGGCATGGCAGTGTGCACCTGTAGTCCCAGCTACTCGGGAGGCTGAGGCAGGAGAATCACTTGAACCTGGAAGATGAAGGTTGCAGTGAGCCGAGATCACGCCACTGCACTCCAGCCTGGGCAACAGCACAAGACTCCATCTTAAAAAAAAAAAAAATAGCAAGGCCAGGCATAGTGGCTAATGCCTATAATCCCAACACTTTGAGAGGCCAAGGTGGGAGGACTGCTTGAGCCCAGGAGTTCAAGACCAGCCTGGGCAACTTACCAAGACCCTGTCTCTGCAAAAAAAAAAAAAACAATAGCCAGACATGGCATGTGTCTGTGGTCCCAGCTACTCAGGAGGCCAATGCAGGAGGATCCCTTGAGCCCAGGAGGTCAGGGCTATAGTGAGCCACATTCACACCACTACACTGTAGCCTGGGAGACAGAGTGAGACCCTGTCTAAATAAGTAATAAAATATCATAATAATCAGGGCTATGGTGAGCCACATTCACGCCACTACACTCTAGCCTAGGAGACAGAGTGAGACCCTGTCTCAATAAGTAATAAAATATCATAATAATATATAATAAGTTTTTTTTAAAAAAGAATAGTGAGAGGTTGATTGTAAAAAGGTGAAAAGGAGCCCATAATAATTAAGTTATCAGGGAATCTGCAGAACTAATGAGGGTTGCCCGAAGGGCTAGTCCAATTCAAATCATGTATGCTTAACACTCTGTAGGCCAAGTAAAACCTATCTGCAGGCAAGAGCCAGCCCACCAGTGGCCAAACAGTAACCATCTAATTTCTACCTTGTTTAAACCCAGAGGAGAAATTTCTATCCTGAAAATCTGGGTTTCAGCTGATTGATAAATACACATTCTTTATCTTACGTGTAAACTATAAATTTTTTTAAACATAATTTACATTATGCTTAAAATTAAGTACAAAATAAACACAAAAATTTAGACAGTAATTTGATGAGTTTTACAGATGGATATTCCCAGGTAACAACCACCCTAGTTGAAATTTAGGATGGGAGCTGCAAACTCTGGCCTGCCACCTATTTTTGTATGGCCAGAAAATAATGGATTTTATATTTTCAAATAGTTGAAAAAAATTAATAACATTTCATTGCATGTGAACTATATATGAAATTCAAGTTTCAATGTACAAATAAAATTTTATTGGGACACAGCTATGTTCATCGTTTACATGTCTATGGCCACTTTTTGGCTATAATGGTAGAGCTAAGTAGTTATAACACAGACCATAATATGAAAAGCCTAATATGTTTACTATCTTACCCTTTGCAGAAGAAGTTGGCTGACTCCGACTTACAACAGTGCCATCATACCAGCAAATTGTCTCATGTCTCTTTACAGTAAATTTTTCACATATTATACCCATCCCCTGCGACCACTGATCTGATTTCTCTCCTTGTAGATTACATTTACCTATTCTAGAACTTCATATGAATTATATAATATATATATCTTATTTCTCTGGCTTCTGTCTCTCAAATAATGTCTGTGAAATATATCCATGTTGCATATACCAGCAACTTGTTCATTTTCATTGTTGAGTACTATTTCATTGTATGAATATACCACAATTCAACTGTCTGTTCACCCTGGGACAACTAAGTTGTTTCCAGTTCTTAGCTGTTATGAATAAATCTGCTGTTGTCATTCACGTGCAAGTCTTTTGCGTACAAGTCATGAATGAGTCTCTCAGTTACTTAGTGGAATTGCTGGGTCACAAGATAGGTATGTGTTTAACTTCATAAAATACTGCCAGACTTTTATTCTCTTACCGGCATTGTGTCAGAGCCCAGTTGCGTTATATTCTAATAGCACTTGATATTGTCAGTCTTTTTCATTTAAACCAATATAGTGAGTATAATGTGGTAACTCATGATTTTAACTTACATTTCCTTCATGACTAATCATGTTGAGCATCTTTCAATGTGCTTATTGGCCTTACATACATCTTCTTTCATGAAGTATCTAAACCGAACATTATAACCATTCCTGTTTTTTCTCCTTTGCTTTGGTACTTAGAAGCTTAGAGCTTAATTAGAGGCCTAAATATAACAATTATACAGGATTTCCTGGCATGTTGGGGCTCCAACTTGAATTTTTATTTCATCATCTCTTTATCCCCTTATTTCCTTTCTCTCCTAAATTTTCATCTACTTAATTGTTATCCTGTGTTTTCAATTTTTTTTTTTTTTTAGCATGACTCAATCTTATCTTGGAATGAAGCCGGTTACAACCAAAGGAAAAAGGGCTGAAATCGGCTGGCTTACCACTTACACACAAGGAACTGTGTTGGGCCCTGGGAATATGGAGAAGAATATATCCCTGCCCTTCAGGAACTCATAGGAAAAGAAGCCAGAAATTAAAAAACAAGGCAACAAGTGCAGCAACAGAAGGTGCTCCTGAAGGACCCTGGGGCGTGTGGGAGGTGAGGGGGCAGGAGCTTTCGGGAGAAGATGATTCTTGACTGTGTGTTGACTGAAGAATGAGTCAGCAGTGCCCTGAAAGAGTGTGGTGCCCTCGGGGTGTGGTGGATGTGGGGATGCATGAGAGAATATTGTAGAACTATTAATAGGAAATATGTGATGCCAAGGTGTGTGATGTATTCCAGGAATGCACACGATTTAGCACAAGTGGAACACCAAGTAGGGAAAGTCAGGAAGTGAAGAATAAGTCATGTGACATCTAACAGCCCAAAGCAAGTCACATGGCCAAACCCAAAGTCAAAGGGCAGGGAGACATCACTCCTCTTTAGTGGCAGGAACTGCAACGTTACATTGTAAAGGATGTAACCAGGGCGAGGATGAAGGATTGGGGCCATTCATATACTCTATCCCAGCAGCTTTCCATGGGAGAAGTGTTAAGTGCCTACAACAAAAATCTGGACAACAGCTCAGACAAAGTGGATTTCTGAACCACATTTGGGTACAAAGGGTAGGCCGGATGATGTAGTTTCATTCCTCTGGGATAGTACAGGGAAATATGAGAACAGCACAGAAGATTTAGACTGTTCCAGAAATCCATTTCTAAATAGCTACAACTCAGGTACCAACCACAGAGGACAAAGGGAACCCGAGCCTCTTCTAACAAACTGAAATCTACCAAATGCTGGTAGATATCACACTGTTCTCTGGATTGGATTTTTGTATTTAAAGCTAAAAACAGAGATTCTGCCTCAAAAATTCATGTCAGCATTCTATTGCTCAATTATCATTATGCACGTGAGTATAACCATCCGATGGTTAAACTATAGCTGGCACTAATGCAATTGGATTGTTAAAAAATATTCCTGAGCACCACTCTTATCCCAGTACTAGTTAACTGCTATGCTAATGTCTTGGCACATGAGACTAATAATGAAATGAGTTATAACTGTGTGTTTGGATCACATTACATTGCTTCAAGTGTATCATAATATTTTATAGCTTAATGGAGAATCTGGCTTATAGCAATACAGGAAAAATAAATCTCAGCCAATCATCATCCATTAAAAAAAGAAATCTACGGTCAGCAGCCGACAAGATTTTAACCATCAATAACAATTACCCTGAAACCTTTTTGACACAATAGGTAGATATTTAATAACAATAACATAAGATACACCCTTGCTAATGGAGATATATTAAGATATTGATTAGTTATGCAAGAAAGTTTATGCTTATTCCATTGCCACTAGTAATTATGAGCAGGCTGTTGACTACTCCTTGAACCACATCTTTTAGTCCATTTCCCTTTTTCTACCCAAGAGTATACTTGGCTGGCAGATAATCAGAACAAACAGACGTTCCTAGAAAATGTGAACCATATGTACAACCTAATGCAGCAAGCGTTTGCTGAATGCCTACTACGTGCACCCTAACTGTGCTGGAGGTGCCAGGACTACACAATGGAAAGGGACAACCCCTTTGCTCAAGAAGCTTATGGTCTAGTGGAGGACAGAGAGAGGACCAGAGCACACAGAAAGATGGGAATGGGGCATGCAGAGAGGCAGCTAAGCCAGCCAAGTGGGGAATTGGAGGAGCAACTAATGACTGTACCAGAAGGCAGAGGAAGCAGAGGAAGGGCTGGGAGGAAGCAGGGGAGCTGGAGCACAGGCTGTAAGAGCGGTGCCTTTTCAACATTTTTCTCAGGTTAATTTGTAGACATGACAGTTGCTAGGACACTAAGGGGAAAAATGTTAAAGGAAGTAATGGGAAAGCAAGATGTGTGGAGATGTATACAAAGGCAGCGGAGGACTGGGGGCTGCCTAACACATTCACTAACCCAACCAGAGGGCCTAGCTCAGTTCCCCGCAGGGATGCTGGGGCCCAGCTGCTCCTCCCAAGCTGGAGGTCAGGCCCTCAAAGGAAGCACAAGTGTAACCACCTATGGGTTCTTCCTGCCCATCTCACAGACAAAAACAATTCATTGAGACCATGACATTGCAATAAAGGAAAAGTTTAACTGACACAAGGCCAGCCATGCCACTTGGGAGACAGAGTCATTACTCAAATCAATCTCCCTGAAAATTCAGAGGCTAGTGTTTTTCAAGGATAGTTTGGCAGACCAGGGAATTGACTTCGGGTGGGGACAAAGGACTGGCTGGCGGTTCCAGGTTAGAGCCATTGGTCACCAGAAATGCAAAAACCTGAAAAGACATCTCAAAAGGCCAATCTTAGGTTCTACAATAGTCATGTTATCTTCAGGAGTAATTGGGGATGTTACAAATCTTGTGACCTTTGGAATAATGGCTGGTAAGACTCCTCATTCTCCTAACCTGGTGGTCTTTCATTAGCTTTACAAAAGTGGTTTAGTTTTGGGGAAGGGCTAATATCATTCAAATTATAAACTAAGTAGCTCCCAAAGTTAGCTTGGCCTAAGCCCAGGAATGATTAAGAGCAGTTCGGAGGTTAAAAGTAAGATGGGGGTTGGTTATATTAGATCTCTTTTACCGTGATAATTATCTCACTGTTAAAATTTTTGCAAAGGCCGTTTCACAAGGGTTCTAGGGCTTGGAAGGGGAAAGTTCAAGACCAAGGGTGAGGAGGAACAGACAATGGGAATTCAGAAGAGGATCCATGGAGGAGTGGCATTCGGGAACAAAATAACTTGAAAATGATTCAGAAAACCAATGTGCTTTTTTTGTATTTCAATCACTATGGATGATTTCAAAGTAAGTTTCATAGTCTCTGTCTCTTTCTCGGAAACGCCTGCCTTGTAGTTTCCATGCCTACATTTAGAAGGGGTGGTGCCAGCCCCCATGCTGACCCTGGATCCTTACTTCCTGCATGTGTGATGAGCACAGAGGTCTAGAAGAGTCTCAGAATTGACCAAGGAGCCAGAGCTACCACTTTCTGGCAGCCAGTATCTTATCCACCAGCCACACTGGACTTCATGAATCCCCATATCGCTCTGGGCATCAGGAAACCAAATGGTGAAGGTGCCACCCCTACTCTGTCAGGTCTTCCAAGAATGAAGCTCATTTGCAATGCAAAGCAACATGAAAAGTACATTCTTTTAGCATTGAAGACATGTGCCAATTCCCCAGGCACTGGAAAATGGCAAAGACTGACGTTTTGATGTTATTTTTTAAGGCATTTTTAAAAAAATAAAGATTCCCATTTTTTCATTCTCCTGAATAGAACAGAGGTAAATGGAGTGAGAGAAAAAAAGACTCTTAAAATATGATCTGGTTTTTTTGTGTGCAGGCTGCTTAGAATGCCACTGCCTGCAGGCTATAGGGGAATTCAGATGAGAGCATTTCCTTCATTCCAAATTAAAAAACAAGGGAACTAGACCTCAAGGCTATTTCTGCCTTGAAACTCTTCCTCAAACGTGGTGTTTCACAATTACAATACAGCGATTAACAAAGAATGATTTTCTTTCAACTAGGAGTTGAAGTAAAACACAGACACCCTGCCGGTCACTCTTGGTGGCAAAGTTGCTGCAAAGCAAATAACAAAGAACTGGGGGCTTACTATGGCTTTCTTATCAGAGCCAGTCAACAAGAGGTTTATATATAATGGTTTATACAAAACCTAATTTTCTGCTTTGATGCCCAGGGAGGGGGTCTCTGCCTCACTACAGGGGTTAGTAAAGTACTCCCTGCACACAGAAGGTAATTCCAATTAGATCATGGTAACCAAGACCTCTAAAGCTCACCAGAGCCCCATAATTGCCTCTACCTAAAACTGTTGTAACTCAAGGCAAATGTTAATGCACCTTTGTACTGCTGAGTCCCTGATGCTCTAACTAAAGTTTCATCCAGCCCTTCTAATGCCTATCCAACACCTTGGAGTATCTGTCTTCTTCAACTAACTGGTGAGCATCTTAGAGCTGGCCACATCCCATTCATCTTCCTATTCTCAACTCCTACTGCAAGATCTGCCTACTGGTAGGCAACTACTATGTGCTTGTTAAATAAACGATGCAGACCTTGACCCCCAGCAAGTTTGTCCCTTGCCCAAGATCACAGCTAATTAGGAACAGAAACAACCCAAGTCTCCCAATTCCCAGGCCCTTGTGTTTCTTTCTCAATGCCCAGAAATGAAGTAGGATATTTCCCTGACCCCTTCACAAGTGGGAACTGGAGAGCACAGGCACTAGAACTAGCCACTGCTTTGGTGCCAGCAGGGGTGGACTCTACTCGCTTGGTCCCACTGTCTTCCACCCTCGTGGGAGGAGGGGAAGCACAGGTGAACAGGTGCAGGAGCCAGGGCAAGTGTTTTTGGGTGCCAGCAGGAGAAAAACTATGTGGGCCCCACAGCAGTGTCTAGTGGGGTGCCTGTGACCCCTAGGGCCCCAGAAGGAGTGTTACAGTGCCCTTTTAGCTTTGCCATCTGCAAACAGCTTAAGTGTTAACAGCTCAGTGGAGGATCACTGTGACAGCCTTTTGCACCCACACTTGTGGCACCCGAATTCTTATCCAGCATCCAGGAGGAATGAGGTCGCACAAATGAATTGGAGATGGGCAATGCAGGGAATTTTATTGCCGATGAAGGTGGCTCTCAGCTGGAAGGTGAGCTGAAAAGGGGACAGAGTGGGAAAGGAAATCTCCGAAGTTACGACATCAAGCTGTCCCTCTGAAGTCAAGCCGCTTCTATCTGACATCCAACTGTAGTCTCTGACAGTCTCCAACAGTCTCCTACATCCAGCTGCTTCTCCTCTCTGCTGGCTAAGCCTGGGGTTTTTATGGGCATAGGATGGAGGGCAGGGTGGGCCATGGGTAGTTTTGGAAAAGGCAACATTTGAGCGGGAAAACAGGGATGTAAGTTCTCACTTTGGGCTACAGTATCAGGCTTTTCAGCTTGAGGGTAGGGCCCTTGCCAGGGACTCACCCTTTTCTGCCCAGAATTTCCCTGAATCTTGTCCCTATCTGAAGGGGGTCAGAGATTATTAATAATGGCTTCCACTTATTGAATACTTACACACCACATCCCTCCTCCGGTACTATGCATGCATTATTAATCTTTGTTACAACCCTAAATGATAGACAGTCCCTATTTTACAAATGCCCAACCAAAGGAGGCATTTGTCCAAAGTCACAGACCAAGTAAATGGCAGAGCTGGTGAGTGGGCCAGACCAGCCTGTCCCCACATCCCATGCTTTCTCACCCCAGCATCATCTCCTCTCTAATGAACAGAAACCAAAAACATTTGTTGAAATGAATCACAAATGGCAAAAAACCCTGGTTACCAAACCACACTGAGGCCTGCTCGCCCAGTGCAGTAAGGCCAAACATTTACACCTGAGATTTTGCAGAAAAGGAAAGAGAAAGGGAGGTGTTTGTTTATGGGGCACTATGTAAGAGAACTAGGTAGTTCATGCTTAAGACCCCCCTCCACAGTGGCTTATAACAGGGGTGCCCAATCTTTTGGCTTCCCTGGGCCACATTGGAAGAATTATCTTGGGCCACACATAAAATACACTAACCCTAATGATAGCTGATGAGTTAAAAAAATAAATAAATAAATAAATCACAAAAAAATCTCATCATGTTTTAGGAAAGCTTACAAATTTGTATTGGTCCACATTCAAAGCCATCCTGGGCCACACGCGACCCACAGGCTGTGGGTTGGACAAGCTTGGCTTGTAAGCAAGGGTTTTTAAAGTCAGGGCTAAATTTCAGGGAAGCGGAAGTTACAGGCAAAATTATAAATCAATACATGAGGTTAAACATGGGTTTGTCCTGAAAGGGTGTGTGGTATCTTGAAGTAGGGACTTACAGGTCATAAGTAGATTCAAAGATTTTCTCATTGGCCAAGGAAAGGAAGCTTTCTTTAGATGCTAGCAGAAAAGAATGTTAGATCTGGCCCATGGATCTCACTTCCTCCAGGCCCCTCTGGAAGAAATTTAGGACAAAGAATGGTTCTCAGAACTCAGTCCTCAGTTCTCCCTTATCTGAGGTCTGTGTGCCAGTGGATTCACTAGGTGGGGGTCTGGGTTTCTGAAAAAGAACCCAAGGACTAACTAAGATGTTATCTTTAGTTTCTACAGGGGACCAAACGTCTCCTGACTCTAACTTCTTTGGCTATTGTTTTAAGCTATTATTACTTTCTTTCTTATCAAGTCACTCACCAACTTCTCAGGGCTAGCTAGATGCCTGGAATTTCCCTTAACGGAACTCCAGGTACTTCTTCATTTTCATGCCTGAGAAGGAACCAGCAGACCCCTAAGAGGGGTCCATGCTCCATCTCACCCTGACATGACTCAATAAATAGTTGATGAATTTTTTTCAAAGGTATGAAAAACATTGGTTTCCTTTCAGTGAGTATGTTATGAAAAAAATCAGAGTCAAATTAAAAATAAGAAAGGAGAGAAAAAAGTGTTTGAATAAGTTGTTGTACCTGTTTAAATAGTAATAAAACACAAACTAAGGTCCTTTCGGTACAAAAACATGAAGAGGTAAAATCTGCCTGAGAGTTGGGAGGACCCACAGGATTCTGGGAGCAGCTGTCTGCTATGTGCTTTGGTCCTGAGAGGTTAGTAATTTAAGGGGTTCATAAAAATAAGCAAACAAACTTTCAAAAGTCTGGACCTACATCTTCCTCTAAAAAGCCAACAAAGAGTTCCCGCTAAGAGATTGTCACAAACATACAAAGAATCATATTACAACCTCAGCAGTCTTACCTACAGCTTGGAAATGTGATCTTTTCTGCTCAAATGTGGTTGAAGTTTGTTGGGACTGGAAAATAGATTACTCTTTCCTTAAAAGGGCACGCTGACTGCTCTGTGGCTAACACAAGCAGGTTATATCTTGGCTGATTTAGACTTTACTTGTGTCAGATCGGACCCAAACACGTGTCTGGTCTGATTCCCCCTCTTATCCAGACAGCTGGGATCATGTGGGCTTTGGAGATTTGAGCCCCAGGATACTGAATGCTGGTCATGAGACTCAAGCTCCACATGCAAGAATAAGAACTGCAATCAATTTAGAATACTGACTCCAACACCTTGGACTGTTTGAACAAAACAGAAGCAGGAAAGATATAGTCCAGTCTCCTCATTTTATAGATGAGGAAACTGAGACCCAGAGAGAAGGAACCTGTGGACTTACAGACTGTTCTGGAAAATGCCAGTCTGGAGATCACAAGGCCAGTCTAGCAGAATGGCTATGTTTGTTGTTGCTGTTGCTGCTTCAATTGGAATTAATTACAAACATTTAAAAATTAGAAAGCTCAATATGGTGGTTCCTAAACATAGAATTACCATATGCTCCAGCAATTCTACTTCTAGGTATGTACCCAAAAGAATTGAAAGCAGGTCAGTCAAACAGATATTTGTACACCCATTTCCATAGCAGCATCATTTACAATAGCCAAAAGGTGGAAGCAACCCTTGTGTTCATCAACAGACAAATGGATAAACAAAATGTAGCGCATACATTCATAAGTGAAATATTATTCAGTTTTAAAAAGGAAGGAAATTCTGACACATGCTGCAACGTGAATGAACCTTGTAAACATGATGCTAAGTGAAACAAGCCAGTCACAAAAGGGCAAATACTATGTGATTCCACCTACACGAGGGACCTAGAGTAGTCAAATTCATAAAGACATAAAATAGAACATTGGTTACCAGGAGTGGGGAGTTATTGTTTAACAGTTTGGGTTTTTCTTTTGGGAAGATGAAAAAGTTCTGGAGACGAATGGTAGTGATGGTTACACAGCAATATGAATGTATTTAAGGTACACTTAAAGATGGTTTAAATGGTAAATTGTATGTTATGTATATTTTATCACTGTTTAAAAATTAGATGTTTCTATGTAAATACCCAGACTTCCAGTGTCATTTGAAAAATAGAAGGGCTGGTGACAGTGGGCCCGCATCCCCACAGAAATCTGCACAGCAGCTGCCCCCTTAGAGAAGATGCTCTCCCATTTTTTGTGGCCACCCCCTATGCCCTCTTCATCCCTCTCCTTTATCAGCTGGGCACCTGAAGCCACCAGTTCCCAGACTTGGCTATGTGAAAGGAAAATATCCTGGGCCCCCAAAATCACTAAGCTAAAGGGAAAATTCAAGCTGGGAACTGCAGAGGGCAAACATGCCTCCCATTCTATTCAAAGCCATCCCTCTGCTGAAATAAATGCATATGTGACTGCCTCCTTTGGAAAGGCTAATCAGAAACTCAAAAGAACGCAACCGCAACCGTTTATCTCTCATCTACCTGTGACCTGGAAGCCCTCTTCCTACTTCGAGTTGCTTCAAGTTGCTTTGAATTCTCCTGCTTTTGCTTGAGTTGTCCTGCCTTTCTGGACTGAATCAATGTTCATTTTATATATGTTGATTGATGTCTCATATATCCCTAAAATGTATAAAACCAAGCTATGTCATCAGAACCTCCTGAGGCTGTGTCATGGGTGCACGTCCTCAACCTTGGCAAAATAAACTTCTAAATTAACTGAGACCTGTCTCAAATTTTGGGGGTTCATAGCTACACACTGGAATCAGCTGGAGAACTTTCTGAATACCCCAAACCATACCCCAGGCTCCACCTCAGATAAGTGAATCAGAATCTCGGAAGGGTGGGGCCCAGGCACCAGTAAGTTTTGAGAGCTCTTGAGGTGATTCTAAGAGGCATCTGGAACTGAAGACCGCCTGGGTTCCTGCTCTGGGACTTGGCTGCACATTGATATTACCTGGCGAGCTTTAAAAATGACTGACGTCTCCTCCTACGGGTTCTGTATTAATTGGCATAGGGTGTGGCAGGAGATCAGGATTTTTAAAAGTTTACTGGGCCATTGAATATATGGCAAAGATTGAGATCCACTGCTCTGGGCATTTGAGTTTATATCCCATGCTGCAGACACACAGCACTTATTTCACCTCCACCCCACCACCCTGCCAAATTAAATACATAAATAATACATACAATTATGTTATATGTTTTATATACATATATATACTTACATACACACTGTTGGCTAAAGGAAAAAAATGTCAAGCTTTTAAAGAATTAAAGTTAGTTTCATTCAAAAGTCTGATGGAGGACAATAAGACTGTAAATCAAGGCCTCCAGCCACGGAGCAGTCCTGGCAGACCACCAAGGCAGTGTTTCAGCCCATTACTTACATACAGGTGGTGGAGGTTCTGAATGTACAAATTCATCTCCAACTTGTTCAGAAGTTACATCGAAGTAAGGATCATATCAAGGCTTCAGTGTGAGAGTATATCTGGTCATAGATTACAGAAGCATAGTCACCAACCCCGTTGGACATTATCTTCTGTGTAGCAAAAGGCAAAGCTAAGTAGTGACTCAGGCAAGAGACATGGGAAGCACGTGCCTTACCCCATTTTGTCTTCAAAGCATCTTTCCAGAGAGCTGCAGGTTGTCACTGAGTCAGGGGGTTTGGGAAATTATGCTGGCAAGCAGAAATGAACAAACATGGCTTCTTACATTTGTTACTTTGTCTACAAGACACACACACACACACGCACACACACACACACACATCCTATGAGATCAGTAATTTAAGAGCTCATAAAAATTAGAAAACAAATTGCGGCATGCACACACCCACCACACACACACACACACACACACATACACACACAGAGTCCATTAGCCCACCACCTTACTCTCCATGGTTGACTCCAAATTCATCCCACAGACCAGAGATAAAGCTTCATTGGAACACACAGAATAGTTTTCACATTGGAGTTCTAGTGATGAATGAGTAATTGTAGTTTCTTTGGAATTGAAGACAAAACCTACTCTTTTCTTGAGCATTTACTGCACCCATGCATTTTCTTAGCTATCTCGTGTAAACCTCTAGGGCAACACTGTGAGGGAGACACTGTCATCCTCATTTTCAATGAGGTAAGTGTAAAGACCCACATGGTGATTACTTTGAAGGGAACACCACTCCTTTGAATGTATAAGTCCTGGAATTTTTCTTCAAATCAGCCACAATCTTTTACAATCACACCTTGTATGTTCCCAGAATGTTCTGTTAAATAGGATTTTTGTAATGTGATTCTCACTTTAAAGGCACCAAGGGAATTTGGTATTTTTAGGGAACACTTCAGAGAACCATTTTATAAAAACAAATAACCCTTTAGTGCTGTGAACACTAAATTCTTAATGTAGCTGTTTTGTGAGTTAGGTGTTTTTTCAGAGCTGATTTTTTTCCAGTACACTGAATCTGTTTTCAATGCATATCCCAAAAAGTGTATGAGTAAGTAAGAGAAGATTTAAGAAACTAAGTGTTCTGAGTAGAAGTCGTAAGCTTTCAAAGTCTGCCCTCTAACATAATAATGATAAAGAAATTTTAAGCTCCCTCCCTCTCTCAATTTTCCAGCTGCAAAATTTGAGTCATTTCTTCCTAGAAGAATGTCTAATAGAATTTAAGATCACGTCTCTCCATTCTACCTAAGTGGCCTTTCTACCATCAATTTTCTGTCATTGTGGCGGACGGGCTGACTGTCTGCTGAAAGGCTGGGGTGACTTGGTTGGCTAAAACAACAGCACGGACCATCCCTAACCCAACTGTTCTGTACTCCACTGTTAGTAACATGAGAAAAAAACTAACTCAGTTGCAATGGTCTACTTGGTTGTACCATAGGCAGAGAAACAAACAGAGGCATAGGACTTTACAACAGAGTGTTCATTTTAAAAAGAGAACTGAAAAGTCAAGTGTTTTACAAGTTAGCAACCAAGTACAGCAGTTATATCCTAGGGGCCTAGCAGAGATAACCTCTCAGGAGCTACTGGTAAAAGAAGGGGATGGAACACAGAACAAACCCCTGGCACTGGACTGAAACTTAGAAGAAGTTGCATGTTGAAGTATGGGCAAGCTTTATTCAGAGGCTGGCTTCTAAATGTTCAGAACCCAAATTCACAGGCGGTGGTTACATTCCCCAAGTAGCCTAGAAATGCTTATTTAGTCCTTAGCATTCTTGGAGAGTAGCCCAGACACTAGCTTTGCTAAGGTCTGGGCCCTAAAATGAGGTAGATGACATGATACTGGGGAAAGAGGAGGAAGTGAAAAAGGTAGACATAGAGAAAAAGTAAAAGGTAGAGGTAGTGAAATATGTTGGCCTGAAACAAAATTCTGAAGTAATAAACATTTAGGTTTGACATTTCTCAATCTCACTTTTTGAACTACATTCCCAGTACTTCATCAAATTAACACTCAGGCCTATACTCTCTCCACCCAGTGCTTAAAACTCATCTTTATCTGCTTAAATCAGAGCTCCATTGAGAGAATAGAGGAGATGTTCCCACCAGACTAACCCTCTCATAGAAAACAGCTATAAACTCTTTTAAAAATATAAAAATTAACCCTAAGGCCCTAAAAAGTCACCAAAGCAGTGAGAAAATGGAGGAGGGTAGAGGGAGTCTTGCTTAGGAGAATGCTGAGTGCTTTTATAGTTCTTTGTCTCTGGACTCAGTCAACACTAGGCCAGACAGCTAAAACTGGGATCAAAAATCAGCAGCCTTTTAGCTTGGATAATGAGTAGACAGTGGTGTGACCACCACTGCTGGAAAGCCAGAGGGGAAATCCTGGAAAGGGGGTGACCAAGGAGAGTGCTAAATTGTTCATATAAACTAAGCCCAAATCTCTGGCTCATCCCTAAACTATGCATAGCACAGGGCAGACCCCAAGAAGCCCAGCCAGGGCTAAAAGATCTGAATAGATATTTCATCTGCTGCCTACCTCAAAGGAAAAAGAGTTTGAGTCTGAGCCCAGCTAATGCTGCTGAAACAAACAAGCAAAAAAATCAGTACTCTTCAGAGGAACATAACAGAATTCAGAGCCTCAACAACATATTTCTTACAATATACATACAGAACACAATCCAAAATTGCTAATCATATATTGATACAGGAAAATGTGACCTATACTCAAAAGAAAAGGCAATCAATAGTGACTAACCCCACGATGGCCCAAATGTTAGAATTAGCAGGTAAGGATTTTAAAGCAGTTTCTATAACTTAAGAATGAAAAGAAAAACTGGCTCATAATGAAGAAACAAATAGATAATTTCATTAAATAGAAACTATTAAATGATTGAAATTCTAGTACTAAAAAAAAACATCTGAAATTTAAAAATTGACTAGATAAATTTAACAGAAAACAAGATAACAAAATAGAGCACCTGTGAACTTGAAAAAAAAATCAATACAAATTATTGAATCTGAAAAATGGGGAAGAATTGTTTTTTAAAAAGGAGAGTATTGGCCAGGCATGGTGGCTCATGCCTGTAACCCCAGCATTTTGAGAGACCAAGGCAGGTGGATCACGAGGTCAGGAGATCAAGACCATCCTGGCTAACACAGTGAAACCCCGTCTCTACTAAAAATACAAAAAATTAGCCAGGCATGGTGGCAGGCACCTGTAGTTCCAGATACTCGGGAGGCTGAGGTAGAAGAATGGCATGAACCCAGGAGGCGGAGCTTGCAGTGAGCCAAGATTGCGCCACTGTACTCCAGCCTGGGTGACAGAGCAAGACTCCATCTCAAAAGAAAAACGGAGAGTATCAGCATTCACTCACACCTGTAATCTCAGCACTTTGGGAGGCTAAGGCAGACAGATTGCTTGAGCCTAGGAGTTCAAAACCAGCCCAAGCAACACGGCAAAACCCAGTCTCTACAGAAAAATACAAAAATTATCCAGGCGTGGTGGTACACACCTGTAGCCCCAGCTACTCAGAAGGCTAAGGTGGGAGGATCACTTGAGCCCAGGAGGTCAATTCTGCAGTGAGCTGTGAACACACCACTACACTCTAGCCTGGACAACAGAGCAAGACCCTGCCTCAAAAACAAAAAGGACAATATCAAAAGATGTAACATATGTATAATTGGAATTCTAGAAGGAAAGTAGAGAGAAAATGGGATAAAAAAAACATCTGAAACAAAGTAGGGCACAGTGGCTCACACCTATAATCCCAGCATTTTGGGAGGCCAAGGCAGGTGGATCACCTGAGGTCAGGGGATCGAGACCAGCCTGGCCAATATGGCAAAACCCCATCTCTGCCAAAAATACAAAAATTAGCCTGGCATGGTGGTGGGTGCCTGCAATCTCAACTACTCTGGAGGCTGAGGCAGGAGAATCACTCAGGAGGTGGAGGTTGCTGTGAGCCAAATCACACCACTGTATGCCAGCCTGGACAACAGAGTGAGACTCCATCTCAAAAAATATATATATATTTGAAACAATAATGACCAAAAATTTCCCAAATTAGGGGAAAGAAATTAAATTTGCAGATTCAAGAAGCCTAGTAAGGGCTGGGTGCTGTGGCTCACACCTGTAATCCCAGCACTTTGGGAGGCCAAGGCAGGCGAATTACAAGATCAGGAGATCAAGACCATCCTGGCTAACACAGTGAAACCCCATCTCTACTAAAAATACAAAAAATTAGCCAGGCGTGGTGGCGGGCACCTGTAGTCCCAGCTACTCAGAAGGCTGAGGCAGGAGAATGGCGTGAACCTGGCAGGCGGAGGTTGCAGTGAGCTGAGATTGTGCCACTGCACTTCAGCCTGGGTGACAGAGTGAGACTCCGTCTCCAAAAAAAAAAAAAGAAAGAAAGTAAGAAAAGAAAAGAAAAGAAAGAAAGAAAGAGAAAGACAAGCCTAGTAAACCAAAACAGAATAAATAAATAGAAAAATACAGCTAGGCACATTATAATCAAACTGCTAAAATCAAACAAAGAAAAAATCTTGAGTCCAGACAGAGAAAAACAACACATTATATACAGGAGAATAATAATAATGAATGACCATTGACTTCTGATCAGAAAAAAGAATGAATACCAAAGGACAGTGAAACAACATCTTTATGATGCAGGAAGAAAAATCTGTCTACTTGAAATTGTATGTAAGAAAAATATCCTTTAAGAATAAAGAAAAAATAAAAACATTTTCAGATACACGAAAACTTAGTGAACCCATTGCCATCATACCTGCACTACAAGAAATGTTAAAAAAAATTATTCAGACTGGAAGGAAATGACCAGTTGAAACTTGAATCTTTAGGAAAGAATTAATAGTATGAGAAGTGGTAAAATATGCATTAAAAAATTTATATTTTCTATTTATTTAGAAGACATATGAGCACTTAAAGCAAAAATTTAACGTCCTATTTATTGTGCAGTTTATGACACATAGATGTAATACATACGACAACTACAGAATAAAGGATGGAAGGTGAGGATAAAAGGGACAAAGAATCTGAATAGTTCTTGTATTTTTTATAAAATAGTACAATTTCAACTCTATATGAATGAACTATGAAAAATTAAGGAATTAAGGTTATATATCATAATCTCTAGAACAGCCAGTTTTTAAAAAACTGTCAGGAAGTATTCATTCCTATTAAAAAAAAAAAAAAAAGCCTTAAGTTTACAGAAAGAATTCCAAGAAAATGTTCACAGCAGCTTTATTCATGAGTCAAAAATTGGCATGCATTAACAGGACAATAGCTAAGCATCCTGTACTATATTAATACAGTGGACACATACAACACTATATAACAAAAGAGAAGAACTACTCATACGTGCAGCAACAGGAATGAATTTCAACAACATTAAACTTAGTAACAATGTTCTAGAAGAGATTCAATTTACCTATAGTGAAAAATTACCAAACTTGGAATAGGACAAGATTTGCTTAAGAAAAAATGAGGGAACTTTCCAGGGAGAGAGTAATGTTCCATATCTTCTTTTTTTTTTTTTTTTTTTTTTTTTTGAGACAGAGTCTCGCTCTGTCACCCAGGCTGGAGTGCAGTGGCGTGATCTTGGCTCACTGCAAGCTCTGCCTCCCGGTTTCACTCCATTCTCCTGCCTCAGCCTCCCAAGTAGCTGGGACTACAGGTGCCCGCCACCACACTCGTCTAATTTTTTTGTATTTTTAGTAGAGATGGGGTTTCACCATGTTAGCCAGGATGGTCTCGATCTCCTGACCTCATGATCCGCCCTCCTCAGCCTCCCAAAGTGCTGGGATTACAGGTGTGAGCCACGGCACCCTGCTGTAATGTTCCATATCTTAATAAGAGTTTGTATTACACAAGTATATGCATTTGTCAAAACTCATTGAAGGGCATGAGTAAGATTTGTGCAATTCATGATATGTAAATTTACCTCAAAAAAATAATGGGGTCAGACGCAGTGGCTCATGCCTGTAAGTCCAGCACTTTGAGAGGATGGGGCAGGAGGAGTGCTTGAGACCAGGAGTTTGAGACCAGCCTGGGCAACATAGTAAGAGCCCATCTCTATAAAAGTTTAAAAATTAGCTGGGCATGATAACACACACCTGTAGTCCCAGCTACTTGGAAGGCTGAGACAGAAGAATCACTTGAGCCCAGGAGTCTGTACAGTGAGCTATGCTGCCACCACTGCACTCCAGCCTGGGTAACAGTGCAAGACTCTATCTCTAAAATTAAAAAAGTAAAAATTGAACAATAAACAAACATCAAACTCTAGTTAATGATATATGTGTTAAGATATATAGGGAAAAGTGCTCTGGTGTCTTCAATTTATTTTGAAATGCATCCAAAAAAATGAATTAATGGATGGTGTATTAGTCCATTTTCATGCTGCTGATAAAGACATACCAGAGACTGGGCCATTTACAAAAGAAAGAAGTTTATTGGACTTACAGTTCCATATGACTGGGAAGGCCTCACAGTCATGGCTGAAGGCAAGGGGAAGCAAGTCACGTCTTACATGGATGGCAGCAGGCAAAGAGAGAGCTTGTGCAGGGAGACTCCCATTTTTAAAAAACCATCAGATCTCTTGAGACTTATTCACTATCACGAAAACAGCATGGGAAAGACCGGCCCCCATAATTCAATTATCTCCCCCCAGGTTCCTCCCACAACACATGGGAATTCAAGATGAGATTTGGGTGGGGATACAGCCAAACACAGGAATGAAGAGATAGCTATGTAATAAAGAAAAATGCCAATGTTAAAATATAGGAGGTAGCTTATAGTAAGCTGAATAATGATCCCCAAATGTGTGCACACCCTAATCCCTAAAACCTGTGAATATGTTACCTTACACAACAAGAGGTATTTTACCAATGGGATTAAGAATCTTAAAATGCAAAGATTATCCTAGAGTATCAGAATGGGCCCAACGTAATCCCAGGGTCCTTAAAGAGGGAGGACCCTGGCAGAAGGCCAGAGGCAGAAAAAGTGGTATGACTGCAGAAGCATAGAATGATGTGACCACAGCCAAGTAATATGCACATCTTCTAAAAGCTGGAAAAGGCAAGGAATAGATCCCCCCTAGAATTTCCAGAAGTAACACATCCTGCTAGTACCTTGATTTTTTATAAGCCTCATTTTAGACCTTTGACCATCAGAATTGTAAGATAATACATTTGTGTTCTTTCAAGCCACTAAATTCATGGTAATTTGTATAGGAGCAACAGGAAACTCATACATAACTATAACATATATATGGCTGTTCACTGCATAATTCTTTGGATTTTTCTGTATATTTGAAAATTTTCATGTTAAAATGTTGCAATTTTTAAAAAGCTTCCATTGGCCAAAGGTAGGAATAGGTCAAATAAAAGCTAACTGAACTATTTTACTCCAATATCTGCTCAGCTAACAATTTCTCAACCCTGTCAAAGTTACTTAAAGGTTTTAAGTAGGACCCCTGTGAGTCATTAGAATTTTAATTGTCCTGATTAATAAAATCGATAAAATTCTATTAATCTTATTTATCTCCTACTGATTGATAAAATTACTATCAGTAGGAGAGAAAGTGAAATAAAATTTTCTGGAGAATGCAGAAGAAATCACTGTTTTTATTTAAGGAATCCATCACACAGAGAGGTGGGCCTGGCCTGGAAATTCTCCTGGATCCCATTCCCTCAGACGTTACCATTGTTTATTTCTTCCTCTACTTCTGAACCCACAGGTCCAAATACCCAAGATGTATTGTTATATCAGGTTGGTGCAAAGGTAATTGAGGTTTTTGTCATGACTTTTAATGGCAAAAACCACAACTACTTTTGCACCAACCTCATAGTTTATTGTTTCTCTTCTTCCCAGGAATCCAGGAATAGAAGGAAGAAAGTAGGATGTGGGTAGGGGCCAGCAGCAACTCTTTGATTAGGTCAATGACTTATATGTAAAGATTATTTCTAAGTTAAGTGCTTATGAATCAGAAATCAGCTTTATTAGAGAAAACTAGTCTCCTTTTTACCCAAATAATGATCAATTTTGGTCTTTTCCCTTTTTCTTCTTTTTTTTTTCCTTTTAGATTTTAGTCACCCAAATCTAGAAGTTAGCCTTCATTATATTATTCTAAAAGTATTACTGCCTTTAAAAAGAACAGTAAAAATTCATACTAATGAGAAAACAAAAAGCAGGCAAACCTTAAGTTGATCTTATAATTTCTGGTTCCAAATGGCAAACAAAAACTTAAACAAAAATTTTACACCAAGTTGATAGGCTAAGCCATGAATAAAAATAGTTATCATAGTCATGCATGAAAGAACTTGTACACACCCTCTACACAGTTGTGTTCTCAGAAAGGGGGAGATCTGACTTCTCAAAATCTGTTTTTCAAGCAAAATGAATAAATATCTCCAATATTTTATAAGTGCCAAATATGGCAGATGGCATTTGCATGGGGATTACATAATCACACTGAAAACCAACCATAAAGTTCTAAGAATATACACAGAGTGAAAATACCTCTAACTCATCCTCTCACTAACCAGAAGAGCTGTCCTTCAGGAAGGGCCCACAGTCTTTGAAGGCTACATGGAGAATTGCAATCAGGGGAGAATTCCATTTCTCTGGCTCAAGAATGAAACTGAAATCAAGAGTTCAGTCAGTGCCAGTGTTTTCTCATTATCACAAACAGCCCAGTGATTTGAACCTAACATAGCCAGTGAATTCAAGGAGGATCTACTTTGTAAACCCTTGAATTATTTTCATGAAACATCCAAATTTTTCCATTTTTTAGTTTTTCGAGCAACAGATATATCTTCAGAAATCACTTACATCCTGTTTAGTACTAAGCTTTAATCATGTCTCAATATACATTTTGGATAAATGAATTTGTGAATATGTGAAGTTATGTTTTAATACATGGTCTTGTTCTGTAATGAAACATGAGGGAAAATCTTTCTTCCCCTCAATCAGACCATAACCTCTTTCTTTTTAGAAAGGGACACAACATTTATCCCATTGCACCTAGCAAAGGTGGCACATTTAGCCTCTCTACAAATACACGTTGACTGGTTAATATGGCTATAGATAGGCAAGTACAAATCTTTGTATGGTCATATGTTTTACGTTTTTTTGAGTAAATTCTTAGAAGTGGAAATGCTAAGTCATGTGGTAAGTACATGTTTGACTTTATAAGAAATTGCCAAGCTCAGGATTTACAAGTAGCTATGATTACAAGTGGCTATATTGTTAAACTAGCTTTATTGAGCTACAGTTTTACATAAAATTCACCAATTTTAAGAGTACAATTGGATGAATTTTAACAAAGTTTACAATCATGTAACTACCACTATAATCAAGACATAGAAAATTGCCATCACCCCAAAAAGTATTTTCCTGCTCTTCCATCTCCCTACTCCCTAACCCCAGGAAACCACTGTCTATCACTATTGTTTTATGTTTTCTAGAATTTTATATAAGTTGAATCATACGTGTCTGGCTTCTTTCACTTACCACAATGCATTTGATATTTATCCACACTGTTGTATCAATAATTCATTTTTTTAACTTTTTTTGAGATAAGGTTTTGCTCTGTTACCCAGGCTGGAGTGCAGTGGCACAATCACAGCTCACTGAAGCCTCAACCTCCTAGGCAGAAGCAATCCTCCCACCTCAGCCCCCCAAGTAGCTGGGACTACAGATGCCAGCCACCATGCCCAGCTTTTTTTTTTTTTTTTTTTTTTTTTGTAAAGATGGGATCTAATGATGTTGCCCAGGCTGGTTGCAAACTCCTGGGCTCAAGTGATCCTCTTGCCTCATCTTCCCAAGGTGTTGGGATTACAGGCATGAGCCACGGTGCTTGACCCATTCTTATTCCTGGGTAGTATTGTATGGATATATCAAAGTTGATGGATATCTGGATTGCTTTCAGTTTCGAGCAGTATGAATAAAATGGCCATGGACAGGCAAATATAAGTCTTTGTGTGCTCATATGTTTTATGTTTTCTTGGGTAAATTCTTAGGAGTGGAATTGCTAAGTCATGCAGTAAGTATCTGTTTGAATTTATAAGAAACTGCATTCCCACCAGAAGTATATAAGCATTCTGGTTGTTCCACATCCTCATCAATACTGATGGCTCATGGTGGTATCTCATTGTGCAGTTTTAATTTGAATTCCTCTAATGACTAAAGTCATGAAATACCTCTTCATGTGCTTAACAGATTAATTCCAGTCACTAGGTTTTGTGCATATTATTAAGAACAGCATCAGAAGGGTCAAACATTTTCTTCTAGAACATAGCCACTTGTAAACCCAGAGCTGGGCAGAGTCTTGAATGACTGTCTTGAGATAAACCACACCTAGAAAAAGATACACGCCTAAAAGGGAGCCATACTTTAGAACAATATTTCAAAACTAAAGTTGGATAGTTAAGGCCAGATTAATTATCCATTTCTTCTTCCTTAGGAGAGAGAGGGGGGAAAAAAAACTCTCATCTCACAAATAGATCTGGAAATGGTGCAGCAGTTCCTTCTCTAACAGTCTTAACTAGACACCCCCACACAGCACATCACTAGCTATCAGATGGCCATATGAGATGTGAAGCCTTCAGAACACTAAATTTGCCTCTCAAAAGAACCAAATGTTAAGCTGTACCACACATGTCGTTAGTCTCTTGTAGTATTCAATTTTCTCTTCATCTTATTATTTTTAGGTGGAATTCAAAACACCCACCAGGGATTTTTTTTTTTTTCTTATGAGCGAGAACGTTGTTTTGGTAGAAAATGTGTTTAACTCCTAATCATTTGTCAGGGTTTTTTTTTTTTTTATATGAGATGTAACTTTCCATCTACTTAAAGTACAGTAAATTACTCATATTCAGGACATCAAAAAATGTTACCTCTTTACTTAGGAAAAGAATAAAATCAGTCTATACAATTACCTCTCCATCACTAACAATCTTGAAAAAAAGTTCCAGGGAACTACTTCTCTCTATAACCCTTCCAAATTCTTCACTAGAAATTAGTATAGGCCCTGGGTCTCTCCTCCCAATTTTTGTCTTCACTCCAACTGTATACTGTAAAGCTTGCTCGCCAACCATTAAGTTGGAGAATCAAGCTCAATAAATTGGATTTTTTTCCAAAACAAGAAGTCTCTTCAGAAGTAACTTATATAATAACCTTATTGCTTTTCATCAGAAAAGAAGAAAAAAAAAGATTTGAGGCAAAAATCCATTTACAGCTGAGATCCATTAATTTGCATCATCTCCTTCTGTAATCTTAATTTGTACTTATATCTGCTTGGTGATTACAAATTTAGTTGGCCAGCCCACACTTTGACTCTGTGGGTACAAAAGTATGGCCAGGATGAAATGAATATATCTTTCTTTCAGGGACTCTGGATGAATCTATTCTCTTTCATAAACCGTGGGTGATGGTAACTACATCTGTATCAATCTAGATTTCAGTTTCCACCTTTAGGAAAAAGGGACTATTCCATTTTTATAAATATTAAATGCTTGATTTATTTCTTTAACAAGAATATTTTCCAATGTGACACATGACATTTTAAATAAATATAAGTTTAAATGAAACATAAGCTTAAATGCCTAAGATTTAGCTAAAGAAACAGACCGGGTACCAGATGAGAACAGTGTGTTTCATTCACTTACGTGTTAATTACTCCAACAAGGAATAAGTCCCCAGCGACATTTTTCTTGACATCCATCCATCAGCTCTTTTGTGGAAATTGAAGTTTCAAAATTCAAAAGGATTGATAAACACAATTACAGCTTGCCTCCTTTTCTATTTTCTCATAGTAGTCCTTTGCCACAATCCATCTCTATATCCAGCGCCAGGACCTTTTAACTCCCAAATAGTTGCCCCTGCTGCCACCCCCAGTATACTCCAAAACACCAGCCCCATACCATTCATGAGCTAACCTTCATTCCCTTCATCTCTGCAGTCGCAGGAAGAAGAAAAACATGGTCTAACCCATTTTTGTAGTTGTGCCCTCTTGTGACTAAAAGACTTGGTATGCTTGAAGCCAAATTCACAATGCAATGTGCAGCAGAGGCATGAGGGAATCTGAAAATAGCATTCTTACAGCTCAAAGCACCATCTTAATAAGAAGAATCACTGATTTTGCTTTATAAAAAATTCACTACACATGGTAATTATTTAAACCATGCATTAGTAATGCCTTCCCAATATCATATATATGTCCAAACACGGTTATTCCCTTTAACAATAAGTCCACTTGTGGGTATAGGATAAGGGGAGAAACTCAGCTCATGCTGCCCTAGTGAGCTACAGATGCAGAGCCCAAGAAGGGTTACAGGCTGGGGCACAACAAAGGTGGGCCAGTGCCCTAGAATTCTCAAGCTACCTGTGCCAACGGCTCTCTTCCTCCTTGCCTCCTCCCCCGACTAGAGCAGGGCTGTAACTATGCCACTTTGGAACAGTTCTTCCATGAGGTTGCTGCAATAAACACTTGCTGGTGGGCCAGTTGATTGAACCTGCAAAGCCTTCCAAACCCTGAAGGCTCACAGACCTCAGGCCTTGGCTAGAATTTGCTCACCACAGGAGCCCAGGGGAGTTTCCGGGGTCCCCCACTTTCACTCTCATGCCTGCCAAGTGGGACTCTCAAGTAGAAGGAATTTAAAGGAAAGGAAGAAAACCAGCTCAGAACATGGTATTCCAATAAAACTGGTCCTTTACAGATCTTCACAGCATTTACTGTTGCACCATACATGAGGCTTTCCCTCCACTTGTGCTCTAAGGATGCATGGTTTCCATAAGCTGAGAAATGAAGTGAGAAGGCCAAAGGAGGTTAGAGAATGTGTACCCTGGAGTCATCAATTCTTAGAGCCAGAGTGACCTAAAAGTTCCTCTAATCCATTCATTTTGTTTTACAGATCAAAGTATTATGATCAAGAGAGGGTAGGTATGGCTTACCCAGGATTATAGTCTGGTGATCAATAAATTGATCTAATGCACCCTCTTCCCTTTACAGTGCTCACTGCTGCCACACACTGTGCTGAGTGCCTCACTTCAGAGATTATTTCATTTAAACCTCACAACAATCCTTATAAGGAAGGTACTCTATTCTCATGTTACAGATGCAACTGAAACCCATTTAAGACACTGACCAGAGGTCACATAGCAGGTGGATGGAAGAGCCCATGCCTTTAACCATACATCTTATACTCTGACATTCAATATTCCTGCTGTGACCCTAGGCATTTCCTGAATCATCACTACCTACATTATTTTCAGGATCCTTGTAGAATCATACGTAGTCATAGAGAGCCAGGATAACCCATTTCTCCAAAATATCAAAAAACAGATTGATTGTAGCTGCTTCCCATGAGTAGGATCTGATAACTGTTTCAGTCTTCTCCATGCTCCAAGCAAACTGGAGGATTTACAAAAAGGCCAAGTCCACTTGACAAATCTTGAGAAAACAAATCCTTGTTTAGTTTTTAAAGGGCTTCTCAATATTTTCTACATTTCTCACTACCCAAACACTTTTTACCCCAGCACTTCCAGCAGTCACAGGCATCCAACTCTGCCTCTGAACACCTAACATCAACACATTCACCCAGCTGGCAGCATCCCAGAACCTGGGAGCATGTACCACAACCCCCAGGGTGTGTAGGCATTTAGTGAGGACTTTCCACTCATTCGAAAAAAAAAAAAGGCATGAAGACCTTCTATTGAAGAAGTCTGGTCTGGGATATTCTTTTTTTTTTTCCTTTTCTTCTTTTTCTAGAGAAGGGCTTCACTCTGCCACTCAGCCTGGAGTGCAGTGGCACGATCATAGAACTCCTGAGCTGAGATATTCTGAAATGTACAAAGTGGTACCAGAGACATTTGAGATGAGTTTCCCTCACCAGCAGTATTTCCCAACTGAGAGCACAGTGGTTGGGCAGAAAGATGTTCTCAGAGAAGCAGTATAGGGTCGTAATTAAAGAGAACAGGCTCTGCAGTGAAACCTTGGTTTGAACCTTGTATCTTCCATTTCCCAGTTTAGAGATCTTAGGCAACTTAGCAACCTCCCTGAGCCTCTAGTTTCCCCATCTATAAAAGACAAAGAATAGCAGCTACCTCACCAGGCTAGTGTGAAGATTAAATGAGATAATGTAAGTATCTAGCACTATGCCTGGCACATAGTAACTCAAGTTAACTGTCATCTTTTTATATTTTGGTTGTATTAACTCTGCCTCATTTCAGTGGAGGATGTTTCTTCATCTTCATTCCAGGAGAGAAAAAAGGATGAGATGGGGGTCAAATTTGGGGCAGAAAATTCTAACACTGGTGAATTCCAAGGCCAGGAAAATCTAAAGGAATGACTCTAAGTCTGGGCACGAACAGAGAATGCAGCCAATTATACCTACTTTTCAGTACTTCAAGTATATATTTATAGCATATGTTTAGGTGTTTATGCTGTATATATAATTAGCCATTTTTCTTCAGCATATCCAGTAATTATTTTATCAAATGCACATCTGTTTTAATTAGGCATGTACACACTTTACTCTACTGTAAAATGTCAAATGCACTGTAAAATAGCTCAGAGTACATTAACACATAAAAACAAAAATTCATGTGACATATCACAAACAGCTGCAAGAAGCTCATAGACCCAACCAGCTGCTACTCGACAACTTCTAGCCAACGGCTGTTCTGTCAGGTCCTTTGGAGATTACTCCCATGCTGGAGCTGCAATTTCTGTTTTCAGTTCTCTTGCTTTGACATGATTGTCAGAAATGATGTGTGGTGACACATGTGTAACTTCGCTGATACCACGCATGCCAACCCATCTTCCATTTGCCAAGCCAGAGAATCTTAGTGCAGATAATAAGACCAAAAACCTCAAACCCAGGAGGGCTTCAGCTGCCAACTGGTACAACTCCCTTATTATACAGATGGGGACACTGAGAACCAGATGGAGGAACTGAGCTGGTGAATGAAGTAGGATCACCCTGTGTCATTCAATGCCCGATCCAGTGTTCCTTCTACCCCACTGGTTTCTAATCGTGACTGTGTCAAAATCATCAAGGGTACTTATATAAAATGCTGATTCCCAGAGCTCACCTTGACCAAGAATCTCATGCAGAAGATCTGAGGTAGAGCCAAGGAATAGATATTCTAACAAAGGTTGCAGTAATCCCAAAGCAGCCAGTTCAGGGTCCTGCATTGAGGGATTGCAGTGGCCACATCTCACTGTGTTTCTCCTGACATTTCTTCATACTCTGTTTCTGAGGTTCTCTCAATTACTAATTGGCAGTCACTGACAGGACTTTAATGGCCTATGACTGTTGACTTGCAGAAATATTGGAATTGACTAGCCCGGAAGGTCACAAAATCTTTTCTGAAGGGAATATTTAGTGGTAGATTATCAATGTTACCCCTTAGCTAAGCCATTTCTAATGGCATTGCACTCTGGCAAATGCTGTGTGAAGAAGCACATAGTTCCCATGTTCAGTTACTTTCCACAGAGAACTCACCAGAAATCCCTCAGCACTGCTGCTAAGCTATAATCTCTGACAGGTTTTCTGACTTGTTGATCAGCAATAGACCAGCCAATAAGTAACAAGTCAGAATAAAGAAAAATATCACCTGATTATCTAAATAAATACAGATTTGGCAGTTATGACACTCATAATTTTATATTTTTTAAAAAACTGCTCAGTAAACTTTGAGTAGAAGAAAAACCATGTAGTTGTATAAAGGGCATCTAGAAAATATAAACACAAACCTATAGCTAGCATCATATGTAATGGTAGAAGAGTAAATACTTTCTTCCTAAGATGGAAACAAATATGTCTGCTTTCATCAGTTCTATCAAACATTTAATACCTGGAGGTCTTAACCCAAGCAATAAAAACAGAAAATATGAGGATAAATATTAGAAAGAAATAGGTAGAACTACCTTTATTTGCAGAAAACATGATTGTCTATGTAGAAAATTCTAAGGAATCTACCAAAATTAAAACCTACTAGAACTAATAAGTGAATTTAACAGGGTTGTTCTACATAAAGTCAACGTTTAAAAAACTCAACTGTATTTCTACATACTTGCAGCAAGTATTTGAAAAATTGAAAATTTTTGAATAACATAATATCATCAAAAACATAAAATACTTCAGAATAAGTTTAACAAAAGATATGTAAGACCACTACACTGGAGACCATAAACATTGCAGGGAAAAATTAAAGAAGACTTAAATGGAGAAAGATACTATGTTCATGCATTGGAAAACTCAATATTGCTAAGACACCAGCTCTCTAAAATTGATCTATAGCTTTAATGCAATCCCAACCAAAATCCCAGATGAGTTTTTTTTTTTTTTTTTTTTTTTGCACACAACCTGTTTTCAAGACTTACTATAAAGCCACAATAATTAAGACAGTACGATATTGGTATAAGAATAAACAAAAAGGGAGGTAACACTCTTTTCAAATGCTCTTGGAATATTCTCTAGGATTGATCCTATGTTAGGCCACAAGTCTTAACAAATTTAAGATGAAAATCACATCAAGTGCGTTTTCCAACACAATGATATAAAACCAGGGGGAAAAAATGAGAAAAATTGGAAATTTCACAAATACATGGAAATTAAACAACAAACTCCTGAACAATAAATAACTCAGAGATCAAAAGGGAAATTAAAAATACATATATCCTGAGACAAACAAAATGTAAACAAAACATACTGAGATTTACAAAATGCAGCAAAAGCTATTCTAAGATGGAAATTTATAGGTATGAATGCCTACATTAAGAACAAAGAGATCTCAGATAAACAACCTAACTACAAACCTCAAGGAACCAGAAAAAGAACAAACTTCAGCCCAAAGTTAGCAGTAAGAAGGACATAATAAAAATCAGAGCAGAAATAAATAGTGATTTGAAAAAACAACAAAAAACATCAATGAAACTAAGAGCTGCTATTTTGAAAAGATAAACAAAATTGACATTTAGCTAGAATAACTAAAGTGAGAAGATTCAAATAAAATAAAAAAGAGGAAACATAATTAATACCACAGAAATACAAAAGACCATAAGAAACAACTATGAACAATTATTTACCAGCAAACTACATAACCTAGAAGTAATAGATAAATTTCTAGAAATACAATCTACCAAGATTGAATCTCGAGAAAGTAGAAAATCTGAACAGACCAATAACAAGGAAGGGAATTGAATCAGTAGTCAAAAACGTCTCAACAAAGAAAAGTGCAGGAGTTGATGGTTTCACTGGTGAATTCTACCAAACATTTAAAGAAGTCATGCCAATGCTTCTCAAATTCTGCCCAAAAATTAAAGAGGAGGAAATGTGTCCATATGCATTTTATGAGTGTAGTATTACCTGCATACCAAAGCCAGGTAGCCACATTACAAGAAAAGAAAATTATAGGGCCACTATCCATGATAAAGATAGATGTAAATAATCCTTTAAAAATACTAGCAAACCAAATTCAACAGCACATTAAAAGGATCACACACAATGATGAAGTGGGATTTATCCCTAGGACAGAAGAATGGTTCAATGTACACGAAGCAATAAATGTGATACTTCATGTTAACAGAATGAAGAATAAAAATCGTATGATTATCTCAATCAATGTGGAAAAAGAATTTGAAAAGTCAAAGTTCTTTCATAATAAAAACTCTCAACAAACTAGTTATAAAAAGAATGTGCCTCTGTGTATATCTATGTAACAAAAATGCACGTTCTGCACATGTAACCCAGAACTTAAAGTATAATAAAGAAATATGGTAGCATATGATGAAAAATTAATATGTAACTAGAAAATATAATTTTGAAGATAACATTTAAAATGGCAATTACAAAAATATAAACCACCTAAAACTAATCTAAAAAGTATATACCCTTTGGAGAAAATTACAAACTGTATTGAAAGACATTAAAAAAGAACTAAATTTTAAAAAATGTGCCTCGACACAATAAAGGCCATATATGAAAAGCCCACAGCTAACGTCATACTCAATGGTAAAATGCTGAAAGTTTTTTCTGTAAGATCAGGAATAAGACAAGGATGCCCATACTCACCTTTTTTATTCAGTATAGTAATGTCCTAGCAAAAACGATTAAGCAAGAAAAAGAAATAAAAGGCATGTAAGTTGGAAAGGAAGAAGTAAAATTGTCTGTTTGCAGATGATATAACCTTATGTCTAGAAATCCCTGAAGACTCCACCAAAAATCTCTCAGAATAAACAAATTTAATAAAATTTCACGGTACAAAAATCAACATACAAAAATTATTTGTGTATCTATATACTAACACTAACAAATGATCTGAAAAAGAAATTAAGAAAACAATGCCATTTACAATAGCATCAAAAAGAAAATCAAATACTTAGGAATAAATTTAACATAGGAGGTGAAGATCTATGTGCTGCAAGGGGAAGAAACTAGGAACCATAAAGGATAAATTGATACACTGGATTGCATCCAAATTAGAACCTTCTGATCATTAAAAGATTCTTTCAAGAAAATAAATGGGCAAGGCACAGACTGGGAGAAAATATGCTCAACACATATATCTGACAAAAAAATTTGTATGCAGAATAATGAATTCCTACAACTACATAATAAAAAAGATACAACCCAAAACTTAAGCATTCCAAAAAGAAAACCATAAAACTGGTCAATTAGCACATGAAATCACGTTCAACTCCATTAATCAACAAGAAAATGCACATTAAAAATCACAATGACATATTATTTCACATCCATGCAAATAGCTGAAATTAAAAACACTAACACCACCAAAAGTAGGTGAGAAAGTATAGCATCTGGAATGTTCATCCACTGTTGGTAGGAGCATAACATGGCACAGCCATTTTTGAAAGCTATTTAACAGTTTCTTATGAAGTTAAACATACATCTACCTATGGCCCATCAATTTAATCCCTAGATATTTCCCCATCTTCATCCATTTTGCACTGGTATAACAGAACACCTGGAACTAGGTAATTTACAAATAACAGAAATAGACTACTCACAGTTCTGAAGGCTAGGAAGTCCAAGAACAAGGCACTGGCAGGTTCGGTCGTCTGGTGAGGGCTGCATCCACAACAGTAGAGGAACATGGTGTCCTCACCTAGGAGAAAGAGGAAGGGCAAGCAAACCAAATGCTGCATGAAGCCTCTTCGATAAGGACCTTAATCCCATTCATGATAAAGGAAGCTTCATGGCCTAATTACCTTTTAAAGGCCCCACCTGTTAACACTATCACATTGGCAACACCTGAATTTTAGTGGGAACATATTTAAACCATAGCATTCTGCCCCTGGCCCTCCAAAATTCATGTCATTCTCACAGGCAAATTACATGCATTTTATCCCAATAGCCCCCCAAAAGTTTTAGCTTGTGCCAGAATCAACTCAAACGTCTAAAGTTTAGCATCTCATCTAGATATCATCTAAATCAGATGTGGGTGAGATTCAAAGGTGTGTTTCATCCTGAGGCAAATTGCCCTCCAGCTGCAAACTTGTGAAATCAAATAAATTACGTGCTTCCAAAATACAATGGTGGAACAGGCACAGGACAGACATCTCTGTTCCAAAAGGGAGAAATGGGCAAGAAGAAAGGGGTAATCAGTATCAAATTAAGTCCAAAACCCAACAAGCCAAACAAAATTAAATCTTACAGTTTGAGAATAATCTTTGACTCCAAGTCCCACCTTCCAGACACACTGGGGTGGAGGTTGGGTCCCCAAGATTCCAGGGGACCCTGCCCCCTGGCTTTGCTGGGAGCAGCTCATGCCTCACCTCTTACGGGCTGTAGTACAGTTCCTGCAGATCTCTCTGGCTGGTGTTACACACCAGTGGCTCTGCATGTCTGGGATCTCAGGAGTGGCCCCATTCCCACAACTCCACTAGGGATTGCCCTAATAAATACTCTCTATGGTGGCACCAGCCCCTTGGCTATACTGGGTATTGCCCTAGTGAGGACTCTATAGTGACTCTGCCCCTGCACCAGGTTTTTGCATAGGTCCTAAAGCTCTATGAGGCATCCTTTGAAATGTAAGTGGGGGAAGCCATACCTCCACAGTTCTTGCACTCTGTGTACCTGCAGAATTAGCACCATAGGGACACCACCAAGGCTCATTGCTTGTGCCCTCTGAAGTGGCTTGAGCTGCGTCTTGGTGTGCCTGAGCCACAGCTGGGGCAGCCACAGAGCATTGCACTGGAATGCAGGGAGCAGAGACATAAGGTGGCCAAGCAACAAGATCCAAGGTTCCACGGGTGCCCTGTACTCCTCTCTTGAAACCATTATGCCCTCAAGGCCCTGGCACTCTGAGCCTGTGATGGGCAGGACAGCCTCGAAGTTCTCTGAAAAGCTTTGGGGTCATTGTCCTGATGAAGAGTATCTGGCTTCCTTCTATCCATACTAATCCCCTTATCAAATGGTCACCTGGTCATACCACTGGTTTTCTCTCCTAAACATGCCTTTTTTACTCTTTACATGGCCAGGCTGAGAATTTTTCAAATTTTGTGTTCTACTTCCCTTTTGATTATCAATTCTGCCTTTAAGTCATTTCTGTTTTCTCACATCTTGCTGTAAGTAGTTAATAGAAGCTATGCAGCATCCTGAACACTTTGCTGCTTAGAGATTTCTTCTGCCAAATATCCTAGTTCACTGCTTATATCCAAATATCCTAGTTCATTGCTTTTTTAAAAGTCCTAGGATTTGGACATACTTCAGCCAAGTTCTCTGCCATCATAACAAGGGTGGCCTTTCCTCCAGTTTCCAATAACTTGTTCCTCACTTCCATCTGAGGCTTCATCAGGATAGTCGTTACTGCCCATGTTTCTATGAGCATTCTGGTCACAACCATTTAGGTGATCACTAAGAAGACAGAGCCTTCACCTCTCTTCAAGCCCTCACTAGAATTGCCGTTAATGCTCTGTTCACAACCGTACAGGCTTTTTCCAGCATTCACTTGAAAACAGTCTCAGCCTCTACCCACTACCCAGTTCCAAAGCCACTTTCATAATTTTAGGTTTTTGTTGTAGCAACACCCCCACTTATTTGGTACTGATTTCTGTCCTCATTCATTTTGTTGCCGCTACAACAGAATATCTGAGCCTGGTTAATTTATAAAGAATAGAAATTTCTTTCTTGCAGTGTTGGAGGCTGAGAAGTCTAAGATCAAAGCACCAGCAGGTGCAGCTGTCTGGCAAGGGCGGCATCCTGCAGAAGGAGGAATGCTGTGTCCTCACCTGGCAGAAGGTGAAAGGGCAAGTGAGCCAAAGACTGCGTGAAGCTTCTTCTATTTAATCCCATGCAACAGGGACGAGACCTTGTGATCTAATAACCTCTGTAAAGCCCTATCTCTTAATACTATCACATTGGCAACACCTAAAGTTTGGAGAGAATACATTCAAACCACAACATTCCTCAAAATAAATAAAGACAAATTCCCTCCCCCCCCCCAAAAAAAGGGTACAAGAATGTTCACAGCAGCTTTATTCATATTCTTCAGAAAACAGTGCAAATGGTTATCAACAAAACAATAGAAAAATAAATTATAATATATTAATACAATGGAATACTACTCAGCAATAAAAAGTAGCCACTGAAATATGCAAAGACATAATGAATCTCACTGACATGCCGAGTGAAAGAAGCGAAGCTGGATACAAAAGAATGCACACTATAGGATTCCATTTATGTACAGTTGTAGAGTGCGTGAAACCAAATTATGGGATTGAAGTCAGGATAATGATCACCTCTAGAGGATGACAGAATTGACTGGGAAGGAGTTTTCTGGGGTGATAGAAATGTTCTATACCTTAATAGGGGTATAAGTTACATGGATGTTTATATTTAAAAAATTCATCAAACTGTACAACTAAGATCTATGGTTTTCACAGCAAATAAATTAAACCTCAAATTTCTTTTTATTATTATTATTATTATTATTACTATTATTATTTTTTTTTAATTATACTTTAAGTTTTAGGGTACATGTGCACATTGTGCAGGTTAGTTACATGTGTATACATGTGCCATGCTGGTGCGCTGCACCCACTAACTCGTCATCTAGCATTAGGTATATCTCCCAATGCTAACCCTCCCCCCTCCCCCCTCCCCACAACAGTCCCCAGAGTGTGATATTCCCCTTCCTGTGTCCATGTGATCTCATTGTTCAATTCCCACCTATGAGCGAGAATATGCGGTGTTTGGTTTTTTGTTCTTGCGATAGTTTACTGAGAATCATGGTTTCCAATTTCATCCATGTCCCTACAAAGGACATGAACTCATCATTTTTTATGGCTGCATAGTATTCCATGGTGTATATGTGCCACATTTTCTTAATCCAGTCTATCATTGTTGGACATTTGGGTTGGTTCCAAGTCTTTGCTATTGTGAATAATGCCGCAATAAACATACGTGTGCATGTGTCTTTATAGCAGCATGATTTATAGTCATTTGGGTATATACCCAGTAATGGGATGGCTGGGTCAAATGGTATTTCTAGTTCTAGATCCCTGAGGAATTGCCACACTGACTTCCACAATGGTTGAACTAGTTTACAGTCCCACCAACAGTGTAAAAGTGTTCCTATTTCTCCACATCCTCTCCAGCACCTGTTGTTTCCTGACTTTTTAATGATTGCCATTCTAACTGGTGTGAGATGATATCTCATAGTGGTTTTGATTTGCATTTCTCTGATGGCCAGTGATGATGAGCATTTTTTCATGTGTTTTTTGGCTGCATAAATGTCTTCTTTTGAGAAGTGTCTGTTCATGTCCCTCACCCACTTTTTGATGGGGTTGTTTGTTTTTTTCTTGTAAATTTGTTTGAGTTCATTGTAGATTCTGGATATTAGCCCTTTGTCAGATGAGTAGGTTGCGAAAATTTTCTCCCATGTTGTAGGTTGCCTGTTCACTCTGATGGTAGTTTCTTTTGCTGTGCAGAAGCTCTTTAGTTTAATTAGATTCCATTTGTCAATTTTGGCTTTGGTTGCCATTGCTTTTGGTGTTTTGGACATGAAGTCCTTGCCCACGCCTATGTCCTGAATGGTAATGCCTAGGTTTTCTTCTAGAGTTTTTATGGTTTTAGGTCTAACGTTTAAATCTTTAATCCATCTTGAATTGATTTTTGTATAAGGTGTAAGGAAGGGATCCAGTTTCAGCTTTCTACATATGGCTAGCCAGTTTTCCCAGCACCAGTTCTTAAGTAGGGAATCCTTTCCCCATTGCTTGTTTTTCTCAGGTTTGTCAAAGATCAGATAGTTGTAGGTATGCGGCGTTATTTCTGAGGGCTCTGTTCTGTTCCATTGGTCTATATCTCTGTTTTGGTACCAGTACCATGCTGTTTTGGTTACTGTAGCCTTGTAGTATAGTTTGAAGTCAGGTAGTGTGATGCCTCCAGCTTTGTTCTTTTGGCTTAGGATTGACTTGGCGATGCGGGCTCTTTTTTGGTTCCATATGAACTTTAAAGTAGTTTTTTCCAATTCTGTGAAGAAAGTCATTGGTAGCTTGATGGGGATGGCATTGAATCTGTAAATTACCTTGGGCAGTATGGCCATTTTCACGATATTGATTCTTCCTACCCATGAGCATGGAATGTTCTTCCATTTGTTTGTATCCTCTTTTATTTCCTTGAGCAGTGGTTTGTAGTTCTCCTTGAAGAGGTCCTTCACATCCCTTGTAAGTTGGATTCCTAGGTATTTTATTCTCTTTGAAGCAATTGTGAATGGGAGTTCACTCATGATTTGGCTCTCTGTTTGTCTGTTGTTGGTGTATGGGAATGCTTGTGATTTTTGTACATTGATTTTGTATCCTGAGACTTTGCTGAACTTGCATATCAGCTTGAGGAGATTTGGGGCTGAGATGATGGGGTTTTCTAGATAAACAATCATGTCATCTGCAAACAGGGACAATTTGACTTTCTCTTTTCCTAATTCAATACCCTTTATTTCCTTCTCCTGCCTGATTGCCCTGGCAAGAACTTCCAACACTATGTTGAATAGGAGCGGTGAGAGAGGGCATCCCTGTCTTGTGCCAGTTTTCAAAGGGAATGCTTCCAGTTTTTGCCCATTCAGTATGATATTGGCTATGGGTTTGTCATAGATAGCTCTTATTACTTTGAAATACGTCCCATCAATACCTAATTTATTGAGAGTTTTTAGCATGAAGGGTTGTTGAATTTTGTCAAAGGCTTTTTCTGCATCTATTGAGATAATCATGTGGTTTTTGTCTTTGGCTCTGTTTATATGCTGGATTACATTTATTGATTTGCGTATATTGAACCAGCCTTGCATCCCAGGGATGAAGCCCACTTGATCATGGTGGATAAGCTTTTTGATGTGCTGCTGGATTCGGTTTGCCAGTATTTTATTGAGGATTTTTGCATCAATGTTCATCAAGGATATTGGTCTAAAATTCTCTTTTTTGGTTGTGTCTCTGTCCGGCTTTGGTATCAGGATGATGCTGGCCTCATAAAATGAGTTAGGGAGGATTCCCTCTTTTTCTATTGATTGGAATAGTTTCAGAAGGAATGGTACCAGTTCCTCCTTGTACCTCTGGTAGAATTCGGCTGTGAATCCATCTGGTCCTGGACTCTTTTTGGTTGGTAAACTATTGATTATTGCCACAATTTCAGCTCCTGTTATTGGTCTATTCAGAGATTCAACTTCTTCCTGGTTTAGTCTTGGGAGAGTGTATGTGTCAAGGAATTTATCCATTTCTTCTAGATTTTCTAGTTTATTTGCGTAGAGGTGTTTGTAGTATTCTCTGATGGTAGTTTGTATTTCTGTGGGATCGGTGGTGCTATCCCCTTTATCATTTTTTATTGTGTCTATTTGATTCTTCTCTCTTTTTTTCTTTATTAGTCTTGCTAGTGGTCTATCAATTTTGTTGATCCTTTCAAAAAACCAGCTCCTGGATTCAGTGATTTTTTGAAGGGTTTTTTGTGTCTCTATTTCCTTCAGTTCTGCTCTGATCTTAGTTATTTCTTGCCTTCTGCTAGCTTTTGAATGTGTTTGCTCTTGCTTTTCTAGTTCTTTTAATTGTGATGTTAGGGTGTCAATTTTGGATCTTTCCTGCTTTCTCTTGTGGGCATTTAGTGCTATAAATTTCCCTCTACACACTGCTTTGAATGCGTCCCAGAGATTCTGGTATGCTGTGTCTTTGTTCTCGTTGGTTTCAAGGAACATCTTTATTTCTGCCTTCATTTCGTATGTACCCAGTAGTCATTCAGGAGCAGGTTGTTCAGTTTCCATGTAGTTGAGCGGCTTTGAGTGAGATTCTTAATCCTGAGTTCTAGTTTGATTGCACTGTGGTCTGAGAGATTGTTATAATTTCTGTTCTTTTACATTTGCTGAGGAGAGCTTTACTTCCAACTATGTGGTCAATTTTGGAATAGGTGTGGTGTGGTGCTGAAAAAAATGTATATTCTGTTGATTTGGGGTGGAGAGTTCTGTAATGTCTATTAGGTCCGCTTGGTGCAGAGCTGAGTTCAATTCCTGGGTATCCTTGTTGACTTTCTGTCTCGTTGATCTGTCTGATGTTGACAGTGGGGTGTTAAAGTCTCCCATTATTAATGTGTGGGAGTCTAAGTCTCTTTGTAGGTCACTCAGGACTTGCTTTATGAATCTGGGTGCTCCTGTATTGGGTGCACATATATTTAGGATAGTAAGCTCCTCTTGTTGAATTGATCCCTTTACCATTATGTAATGGCCTTCTTTGTCTCTTTTGATCTTTGTTGGTTTAAAGTCTGTTTTATCAGAGACTAGGATTGCAACCCCTGCCTTTTTTTGTTTTCCATTTGCTTGGTAGATCTTCCTCCATCCTTTTATTTTGAGCCTATGTGTGTCTCTGCACGTGAGATGGATTTCCTGAATACAGCACACTGATGGGTCTTGACTCTTTATCCAACTTGCCAGTCTGTGTCTTTTAATTGGAGAATTTAGTCCATTTACATTGAAAGTTAAATTGTTATGTGTGAATTTTATCCTGTCATTATGACGTTAGCTGGTGATTTTGCTCGTTAGTTGATGCAGTTTCTTCCTAGTCTCGATGGTCTTTACATTTTGGCATGATTTTGCAGCTGCTGGTACTGGTTGTTCCTTTCCATGTTTAGCGCTTCCTTCAGGAGCTCTTTTAGGGCAGGCCTGGTGGTGACAAAATCTCTCAGCATTTGCTTGTCTGTAAAGTATTTTATTTCTCCTTCACTTATGAAGCTTAGTTTGGCTGGATATGAAATTCTGGGTTGAAAATTCTTTTCTTTAAGAATGTTGAATATTGGCCCCCACTCTCTTCTGGCTTGTAGGGTTTCTGCCGAGAGATCCGCTGTTAGTCTGATGGGCTTCCCTTTGAGGGTAACCCGACCTTTCTCTCTGGCTGCCCTTAACATTTTTTCCTTCATTTCAACTTTGGTGAATCTGACAATTATGTGTCTTGGAGTTGCTCTTCTTGAGGAGTATCTTTGCGACGTTCTCTGTATTTCCTGAATCTGAACGTTGGCCTGCCTTGCTAGATTGGGGAAGCTCTCCTGGATAATATCCTGCAGAGTGTTTTCCAACTTGGTTCCATTCTCCGCATCACTTTCAGGTACACCAATCAGACATAGATTTGGTCTTTTCACATAGTCCCATATTTCTTGGAGGCTTTGCTCATTTCTTTTTATTCTTTTTTCTCTAAACTTCCCTTCTCGCTTCATTTCATTCATTTCATCTTCCATTGCTGATACCCTTTCTTCCAGTTGATCGCATCGGCTCCTGAGGCTTCTGCATTCTTCACGTAGTTCTCGAGCCTTGGTTTTCAGCTCCATCAGCTCCTTTAAGCACTTCTCTGTATTGGTTATTCTAGTTATACATTCTTCTAAATTTTTTTCAAAGTTTTCAACTTCTTTGCCTTTGGTTTGAATGTCCTCCCGTAGCTCAGAGTAATTTGATCGTCTGAAGCCTTCCTCTCTCAGCTCGTCAAAATCATTCTCCATCCAGCTTTGTTCTGTTGCTGGTGAGGAACTGCGTTCCTTTGGAGGAGGAGAGGCGCTCTGCGTTTTAGAGTTTCCAGTTTTTCTGTTCTGTTTTTTCCCCATCTTTGTGGTTTTATCTACTTTTGGTCTTTGATGATGGTGATGTACAGATGGGTTTTCGGTGTGGATGTCCTTTCTGTTTGTTAGTTTTCCTTCTAACAGACAGGACCCTCAGCTGCAGGTCTGTTGGAATACCCTGCCGTGTGAGGTGTCAGTGTGCCCCTGCTGGGGGGTGCCTCCCAGTTAGGCTGCTCGGGGGTCAGGGGTCAGGGACCCACTTGAGGAGGCAGTCTGCCCGTTCTCAGATCTCCAGCTGCGTGCTGGGAGAACCACTGCTCTCTTCAAAGCTGTCAGACAGGGACATTTAAGTGTGCAGAGGTTACTGCTGTCTTTTTGTTTGTCTGTGCCCTGCCCCCAGAGGTGGAGCCTACAGAGGCAGGCAGGCCTCCTTGAGCTGTGGTGGGCTCCACCCAGTTGGAGCTTCCCGGCTGCTTTGTTTACCTAAGCAAGCCTGGGCAATGGCGGGCGCCCCTCCCCCAGCCTCGCTGCCGCCTTGCAGTTTGATCTCAGACTGCTGTGCTAGCCATCAGCGAGACTCCGTGGGCGTAGGACCCTCGGAGCCAGGTGTGGGATATAGTCTCCTGGTGCGCCGTTTTTTAAGCCGGTCTGAAAAGCGCAATATTCAGGTGGGAGTGACCCGATTTTCCAGGTGCGTCCGTCACCCCTTTCTTTGACTTGGAAAGGGAACTCCCTGACCCCTTGCGCTTCCCAGGTGAGGCAATGCCTCGCCCTGCTTCGGCTCGCGCACGGTGCGCGCACCCACTGGCCTGCGCCCACTGTCTGGCACTCCCTAGTGAGATGAACCCGGTACCTCAGATGGAAATGCAGAAATCACCCGTCTTCTGCGTCGCTCACGCTGGGAGCTGTAGACCGGAGCTGTTCCTATTCGGCCATCTTGGCTCCTCCCCCAAACCTCAAATTTCAAAGAATAAATATCAAGCAACACAGATACCCATTTTACTGAAATAGTGCCGCCTCCTCTTCTCTGATTCATTTCTTAACTTCCTTACCAGTGTTCCTGTCGCCTATCAAATAATTGACTTGCACTCAAATCCTTGTCTCAGGTACTGCTTTTGGGAAATCCTTTGCTACTAAGAGATGGAGCTGAGATCTGAAAACAGCTTTTTCTAATTCATCACACTGCCTTTGGCAGTCATTTACAAATAAAGACTTTATTATATCATTATCAATCTATGACAGGTCAAGTAATCAGAAAACAAGAGAAAAAATGATGCTTTTGAATCTATAAGGTTACACTGGCATGTGTGTGGGTGGGTGGGTGAGTGGGTATGGGTGTGTTCTCCCTCACTTACGGAGAAACACCTGCTCTGCTTTTAAGTATTGTACTAAAAATCCTCAATGCATTCTAAAAATTAGACGTGATCAGGCCACATTCTCTGAATGCAACACAATAAAACTGGAAATTAATAACAAATGTGATATGTTTGCATATTTGTCCCTTCCAAATATCATGTTGAAATGCAATTCCCAGTGTTGGAGGTGGAGCCTGGTGGGAGGTGTTTGGGTCATGGGGACAGATCCTTCATGAATGGCTTGGTGCCCTCCCCGTGGTAATGAGTGAGTTCTCACTCTGAGTTCACACAAGAGCTGGTTGTTTAAAAGAGCCTGGCATCACTCTTGCTGCCTCTCTTGCCATGTGATATGCCTGTTCCCACCTCACCTTCTGCCATGAATGGAAGCTCCCTGAGCTTCCTGAGGCCTCACCAGCAGATTTCTGCAATATTGTATAATATTTTTGTTTTTAAATTTATTTTTCTTCATACACACATATATATATACACACACACATATTTATAGGATATGGTTAAAACTGTGCTTTCATATAATATATAACCACATATATTTGCTACTATTTTAATAGAAGGTAAGATAATAAAGTTTTCAACTCAAGAAACTAAAGAAATGGCAAAATGGAACTCAAGCAGGGGAAGAAGATAATAAAGATAAATAAATACATAAATGAATTAAAAATAGAAAAGCAAAGTTGATAAATGATACCAAGAATTGGTTCCTTGAAAATTCAGTAAAATAGATAAATCTCTGAATAAGCTAATCAATAAACATAAAAAGCAAAATCATAAGTAAATGCATTTAGAAATGAAAGATGATAGTGGAATACGGAGAAGATTTTTAAATTATAAGTAAAAAACGTACCCGGTATGTAAACATATTAGTAAATTTCAATGAAATGGATAACTTTTGGCAATGGCAGATGAGGGTGAAGAATAACAAATTGAATCAAGAAGAAGTTGTTTTATTTTTAATTACTTCAATAAAAAATCAAGTGATCCTCTAGGTAAGTTATAAATTTTCAAGTATCCATTGTTTTCAGACTTTTTGAAACCAGTTATGTGGTGTTCAATCCAAGATTCTTAACCGTGAAGGCCTTTTAAACTCCCTGATTTTGCCCACATGCTGTGGACACCAGCATGAAAGTGATTTTCTGTAACGTAATTGCACCAGGGAGAAAGCCCAAGTGATGCCACACGATTTAGAACAACAGAGGTTTCCAATCCATAACCTTGGCATCTTCCTAAATCTTTTTATAATTGTCCTTGTCTTGCCTTGGAATACATATTCGGCTCCTCATGCATGGGGAGGCAGGCAGCATGTTTAATCATAGTATAACTGGTCAGAACTGCTTTGTAAATGTAAGTGTGAATCCCATTGTCTCTTCTTCTTCTAATCAATCATCCAAATCTCCACAGGCCTTATTAGCAGGGAGTCTAATGTCTCCCTTTTAAGACTCCTCTCACCCTTTGATAATCCACACCGGCTGTGACCTTTTCTCCGGGGCCGGTGGTTACACCTCTTTCTAGGAACATCAGCCATTCCCTCAGTACTCAGCTCCTCTGAGGGAGCCTCCTAACTGGGCCCCCCAAATCTAGCTCTAAGTGCTTTGGTTTCCATCCAGCTGTAAACCACGTGTAGTGACCACATCCAGCTGCCACATGAGCTTAGAGAGCTCAGTGAAGGAGGAACCAGGATCTACCAACACAGAGTCCGGGGGCTCCTTTCCTCCCCTAGGATCTATTGCCCAGACTTTCCCTTCTGAGCCCTAAAAATACAAAGAGCCTAACTAGATAACATCTCCCCCAAACAAAGGGGCTACTCTTCTAAACTGGTCCCCTGGCACCTTCTTCCTAACTAACGCTCTGAGACTTTCCAGGTGATTCCAGAGCCCAGGTGGTCACCTGCTCTTCTGAGGGCCACCTTCATGGGTTTTTTGGCATAGGAAAAGATGCAACCCGCAAGTGTACCTATGCCCCATTAAAAGTCACTCCACATCCCTATCCAGTCACACCTGCCATCTTATCCCCATGTATAGGTTAGTAATTTGAAGCTCAAAGACTTTTGCCTAAGGTCACTTGGCTAAGCTTCCTTTCCTAGATTTCTCTCTTCCTCACTAAGCCCTTGTCCTCTTATTTCCCTCCATCTCTTCTTTTCCCCAGTCAACTTCCTCTTCTCTATCTTTGCCTTCATCAACAAATTTATTGAGAACAAATACTAATCCAATATTGCAGCAGGACACAGATGGTAAAGGAATAAGACATTTATCCACGATCTCACAAAGTTTGTAATCTAGTTATAAAAACAAGATTAGCAAATGACATGAAGCAGCCTTAAATAATTGGATACTAATTTTATTTCTATGTCTCATTCTTTCTCCACCACAAACTCCACTCTTTCCCTTGTCTCTTGTGTTAGAAAAGGTTGACTCTTTTTTTATATTTCATTTTATATATATATATATATAGTGTGTGTGTGTGTGTGTGTGTGTAATCACAAAGGCTAAAATATACACTGCAGTTTATAGAACAATAATAAAATGACATCTATGTACTTTCCATTATACTTAAGCAGCAAAAACATTACCAGTCAATGATTGCCTCTTAGTAGGTAAGATAATTTATTTCTGTGGGTGTTTCAGAATAGACAGGATTTGGAAGACTGAGCATTGTCCCAATTAGAAGAGGTATACACACACAGACACACACACAAAAGAAAAGAAACAGTGCAGTCAAATCTATGTATAGCCCTTCAGTTCAGAGACAGGGTATGGAGCTGATGGCCAAGAGTAACAGGGCCTTGATCATAATATACTGTGAGAGTTCAAAGAATTTGAGGGCTAATAAAGAGAAAAATAACCCCCAGTGAGTTTTACTGGGAGACATTTGGACAAGGTTGCGTTAGAGGAGAAGCCCTTCATATCATGGGACTGTCCAGAAGGAACTACTGCTCTGAAGAGGAAGAGAACCAGGGAACTCTTGGGAGAGAGGGGGACCAGAAGGGGGAGCAAAGAGGAGGGTTGCGTCCAGGAGATGTTCCTCAGCAGGATGGTGGAGTGTGTCTAGGTCAGAGAACGTGGAAGGATGGGAGCTGCTTGGATCCTGTAAGCATAAGGCCCTGCCTTTCAAAGGCCAGCAGGTGGGAGGTGAGGTTTTGCAGGATATGCAAAGCAAGCAGGCCCTAAGTGGCTAAAAATCTGCTTGTTTGGGCTATTTTTAAAATAATTGGATGTGTGAAAAACTGAGTTTGGCACCAATAGGCTTTTGATCTAAGAAGTCTCAGCCGGAAGTGAAGAAATAAACAACCCAGGGGCCAATATCCAGAGACCATCTTTGGCCCATTTATGTAACACCTGCTGAGTATGTGCCCATCACCCCTCTTGGAAGAGGCCCCTATCACGTGCCCTTGGTTGCTGCCTCCATACTAACCCCTCTCCCACCCACAGAGCCCAGTCTATCAGCCACCAGATGATGCTGGGGCGAGAGGGGAACTCTTATTGAAGGGGGTAACAGCAGCAGACCTGCCCAACAGCTCCAAGGATGCCCTGTGTATCCAGGGCAGGACAGGACTCTCTCCCTGTCTCAGACCATCAGGGTTTGCTGACCATAGGTAAACTAATAGTCCTTCCAGGTATCTCTAAGAATCAAAAATAGACTCTTCTATTCACACACACACACACACACACACACACACACACACACACCTGTCTACAGACTCTTTTTGCAAACTATAGACAAATAAAGAGGCTAAACATCCAAAAACTAACAGTTAACAATAAGATTCTCCTCATATCATTCAAGGTTGAAATGTAGAAATAATGGTGAATTTTTCCAAAACTTTCTTTTGAAATAGGGCATTTATAAGCTGATGCTATCCGATGCTAATTGGTAAGGAAAAAAATTCAGCCATAAAGCATTTAATAGAATGCTTGGTAATCAGCATATTTCTTAAAAGAATGTTTCTTTTGACAGAATCAGATACAAGGAAATTTTTAAAATGAGAAGTATCAGTTCAGCCAGTAGCCCCGATGAGACAAGATTATTCCTCTAATGTACTTACTAGGAGTTAGCTGTCTAATGGAACTTCTGTGGCAACCCTTCGAAGAAAATTGCATGGTTTTACAGGGGATACTCTCAAATAGCTTATCCTGATAACGGCTTAAAAAGAGCCAACACCAGAGAAAGGCTAGACCTCCAAGGATGAGACCATCTCCCTGCAGAAAGTGAGCTAGAGAAGTGAGACAATTATCTGAATAATTTCATCTCACCTTTCCTCCCTCATCTTATCTCAGGAAAAACTTCAGAGAGCCCAGACAAAATATGTATTTTGTTTGTTTGGTTTTCCTTCTGTTTTTCACATTTGCTTAATTATCCAGGTAAATACATTATTTGCCACTTTACCCAGAGAAGGGCACAGGATCAAATAACATCATTACATCTTTACCAACTACAGAAGAAAAAAAAATCTTCTGTAGCCCTACACCCAGGTAATGTGACACATTTTTGTCAGTTTTCTTTTTCCCAGTGGGTGAAATTTAACCAATACTTTTGTTAGCGAAAGTCTAGTCGTTCCCCAGAGGAAAATTACAGGAGTGAAGATATAACCTCTGCCATACCACATGTGAGCTTAAAAGGATAGATTTCTAGGTCTAGCCACCGTTTTGAAATTAGGTTTTAAAAGGAATAGGTTTGTTGCTATGGATTTAAGGGGCAGAAGGGCTAACATTCACTTACTGTTCTCAAAAATAACAGTGAGTGAGAATATTTCCATCCTATTACAGCTCTGAAGGAGGATAATAATAATAAAAAAAAATCCCTGTTGGACAAAAGTGAAGCAATGATGGTGGCCAATGCTAACAACATTAACTTTGCATTATTGAGATTCACGCACTCGCTTCATTACTGAAGCATCCTCCAGATTAAAACAGACATAACTGGTAGCTTGCAACTAATCGTAAAGGGCTGCCTGGCCATCACTCTGTCAACTTCATCTCCATGACTATTTCCCCTGACAGTTTCTTCCAGGATATTTCAACCAACTGTAAAAGCTGCCTTCTCCTTCTTTTCTCCCTTTAAAGAAAAAGGCTGCCAGAGAAGTACGGTGCATTAGGGTAGACTTTATCAAACAGCTTAATCCATCTCTGCCTGCCTAGCATGGCCTAGGGAGTCCTAATTAATCAATAAGCATCTATTGAGCATTCTAATGTGCATAATAGTCCTGACTCAGGTGCTTCGGAGCCTTCAAGGATCTAGTTAGGAAAATGGAGCACATTGTCCCATAGAGAGTTTCCTGACAGTATGAGTTAGTGCATGGGGAACAGGAAGTCACATTTGCTGAGGGTTCTTAGCTACAAACACTGAGCTAGATGCCTACTATACATGATTATTTCATTTACTCCGTAGTAGTCTGCTAGGACTGCCATAACAAAGTCCTACAGACTGCATGGCTTTAAACAACATAAATTTATTTCTTCATAGTTGTAGAGGCCAAAAGTCCAAGATGAAGCTTTTGGTAGATCTGGTTTTATCCCGAGGCCTGTCTCCTTGGCTTGCATATGGCCACCTTCTCACTCTTCCCTTTCCTCTGTTTAGCACACATATCTGTGTCCAACTTTCTTCTTCTTACAAGGATCCCAGTCTATATTGGATTAGGGCCCACACTAAAGACCTAATTTTAATATAATTACCTCTTTAAATACCCTGTCTCCAAATACAGTCACATTTGGGGACTAGGGATTAGAACTTCATATGAAATTGGGGGGTAATATAGTTCAACCCATGACATAATCCTACCATGGGGGTGGGAGACTATGTCAGACAGGACCCTTTCTGTTTAAAAATAAACAAGCAAAGAAAACAAAAGCTGACTCAAACTATGGGTTCAGATGAGGTTCAGCTGTGAATAACAGAAAACAGTGACAGTCACTTAAATGTAATAGACATTTACTTCTCACTTTCAAATGATAAAAAATAGTCCAAAACTGGAATAGCGTTCATGGTGGCAGAAACCTAGGCATCTTCTATGGTTTCCATTCCCAAGGTCACCTCATGGTCCAAGATGGCCGCTGAAACTCCAACCATGAAGCCTATATTCTACTGTGTTGATTCTATTATCAGAAAGGCTCTCCCCTCACAGTTGTAAGATGGTTGCAGCATCCTCAGGCTTTATCTGCCCTAAGTTTCAAATCCAGTAGAAAAGAGCAAGAGCCTCTTTTTTAGAAATATTAGCAAAGTAATACTGTGTTTCATTGATCCTGATTGTGTCCAAGGCCCATTGCTATGGCCAGGGGAATGTGATAAAGTGGTGCCTTGGGCCTGGGCACCTACCCCCATGTTGGCTCAGAGCATGGCTGGGATGGGCCCCAGAGGGAAATTTCCCCTGATGTTGTACTAGAAGGACAAGTAGGCTAGGTGCGGTGGCTCACGCCTATAATCCCAGCACTTTGGGAGACTGAGGCGGGCCAATCATGAGGTCAGGAGTTCGAGACCAGCCTGGCCAGTATGGTGAAACCCCATCTCTACTAAAAATACAAAAAATTAGCCAGGCATGGTGGGGCGCACCTGTAATCTGAGCTTCTTGGGAGGCTGAGGCAGGAGAATTGCTTGAATTCAGGAGACGGAGGCTGCAGTGAGCCAAGATTGCGCCACTTCACTCCAGCCTGGGCTGACAGAGTGAGACACCGTCTCTAAAAAAAAAAAAAAAAAAATAAGGACAAGTAAATACTGCATGGTACAAACCCCAAATGCCCATGGAGTATTACCCACAAAGTATAGACAAACGCAATCAGACTCAGAGAGGCTGTGGCTTGACCAGGTACCCACACAGCTGGTGGAGCTAGGATTCAAACGTTGGCTGTCTGACTATGAAGTCCTTCCTCTTTTTACTCTGCTGCATTAACTGCTTTCAAGTCAGGGGCTATCACTATGGGATGGAGCAAGGTGGGAAGACTTCCTGAAAGAGGTGAATTAATGAAGGACAGGTAAGATTATATACCAACAAAACTGAGGTAAAAGCATCACAGACAAGGAGATTTTCTTTGTAGTGAGCTGGTGCCTAGAGGCAACCTGTGAGGTGGTTATCTTAGCAAAATACCAGGGTACACTGAGCATCAGCCGCTGCTGAGTGAGAGTTTGCAAATGCCTCCGATTGTTAATAAGCTTTCTGGGGTGGAGGGAGAGTGTTTCAGAGCCAAATGGCTTGCAAGAAACCTTTCCACATCCCCTTGGTGAGTCACAGTAAACATCAAAAAATAAAGTCCCTGAGAAGTCCTAGAAAAAGTTATTTCATTTGGCTTAAGTATAATAGTATATCCGAAACAACTTTTGTTTGTTTCCCGAAGATTTGTTTATTGGTTGATTTGTCTTGAACACCTATCAACATCTTTAATATTCTGAAAAATCAGTGTTCTTTTGGCTGCATTTCAGGGCATAAGAATTGCTGATTTAATCCAAAGCTTTATTTCCAGATGTGGAAGTTGAAGTTCAGGGACATTAAGGGATGTAGCCAATATTGTCCAACAGGTGAAGGGCTGCCCAGGGACTAGAACCCAAGCATCTACAGTCCCAACCTGTTGGTGCCTAACCCATTTGTAATAATTTGCATGTGTTGGTACTTTCCAAAATACTTTTATATTAAATTATTTTATTACTGTGAGCATGACTAAACTAAGTCTACCAATGTCCTCATTTGACATTTCAGTTTCTACCAAGTAGTAGCAGAGAGGATCACCTAAGCAGATGATCAGTTCTTGAATTTCCAAGAACTCTGTATGTATGTGTATGTCACTGCCTGTGTACGTGTATTTCCATGAGCTCTTGCACATACCCACACACCAAAGGCAAAGGCACTCAGAGTTAAATTACTTCCCTACCACCATTCAGTTAATATAGGGCTGGGTCTGTTTCTGTGCCCTCCATTTTCTCTATATAGGTTTTGAATAGATACATTAATCAATCAATCAGTGTTTATTGAGTGTTTACTATGCTCTCAGTACTGTTCCAGACCCTGCAGGGCACACAAAACAACTGCAAATCAATCCAATGATCATATATTGAATATTTACTATGTGTCAAGCCCTTATACTAAACATTATGGGAGGTACAAAGTTAAACAAGCTGTGGATCCTTTCCCAAGCAGCTTACTGTCTAATGAACGACATAAGTGCTCAAATAAATACAACGAAAGGCAAAACATGATCTGAGAGAAACATGGTTGTTTGTTTGTTTAACGGGCGTTTGAGCTGGGGTTGAAGCATCCAACCCGATCTCATTGGTTGGGTGGATGGCAGGACTATCCCTTCTGCAGATGAGAAAAGCAAAGTTCTAAAAGCTTCTGGGCTCCTGATTTTGCAGCTGAACACAGGAAAGCCTCTAACAGAGGTTCTTAACCCAGGCTGCAAATTGGAATCACCTGGGGAGACTTTAAAACACAGCTGTCTGTGGTTCCATCCCTGACTCTCTGAATCAAAATCTTGGGGCTTGGTGCTTTAGGACTGCATTATCTTGTTAAAACTTCCCCCAGGTGATTTTGGTGTGGCCAGCGTTGAAAGCTGCTGTCCTCGAGCTATTGCAGCAGGCCAGATGCCCAAGGAAGAAGGCCAAGGCAAGATGGGCTAATAGAAACAGCAAAGAAGCATTGGCGTGAAACATGGTAGAGAAAGACTCAAGGTCCTGATGAGAAACTACATACAGGGTGTAAAGAAGAAAGCATAAAGGTGGCTTCAAGAAACGAGCAATAAAGCCCTCGCACAGCCTTGGAGAATGTGCTGGGCGAAAAGGGCAAGGGTTAAAAAGAAAGGTCAAGAGTCCAGTTCAAGTGAAACTGTGGGCCAGGTCTACCCTAAGTTTTCTTTACCCAAGGTTTGTGAGGGAACATAGCCCAGAGATTTGGGCTTGGTTCCCCAGCTAGTTTTTAAAGCATCTTGAAGGCCACAGTTGCGCAGGGAATCCACAACCACTACTCTGCAAACCCTTTCTTAACACAGCTGAACACACCTGGGGAATCTTGAAATAACAGGTGCAAGAAGAGCTAAGAGCTAGGGTTTGCGATGTACCAGGTCCACACTAAAGCTTTGGCTATATTATCTCATCTAATCCTCACGACAATCCCAGCAAACAAGCCCAGTGGTTATCCTATTACAGAAGAGGAAACCAAAACACAAAGAAGTCAAGGAACTTGCTGAAGTTTCCAGAACTCATGAGCTAAAGGATTGAAATGTGAATTGATCAAATTAGTGCTTTAGTCTGCTTCATTTTCCTTTGTAAAAAAACGTATATTGTGTGTATGGCCTTCATGGCCTGATATTTGTTGGCTGAATTTTTGCTGGATTTCTATTAGTGCCAGAGACTGAGCTAAGTGGGATCCCAGATCCAGTCAGAGGGTATCTGGAAGTTGATGAGAAGGAAACAGGGAGCCCCAGAGGATTTCTGAATGGAAAAATAGGTATCATTTATTCTCACAACAAAGCTATGAGAAAACTGAACTACAGAAAGGTTAAGAATCTTGCCCAAGTACCGCTGGGAAAAGAGGCAAAGGTGGGATTTGAACCTAGGTTCATCTGAGTCTAAAACTGCATCTTTTTACATCATAGTCCTGTACTGCTGCCCAGTGTATCTGGGTCTAATCTAGCACCCTGACCTGTTTGATGGGCAATTGTTGGCAAATAATCCCGTTAATGTGTTTCTCTACCACCATCCCCAGACCCATCTTCCCACTCCGTCCTCTCTCACCTGCTCCACCACACAGAGGCAGAAATCTTGGCTCTGACCCTACCTACAAGACAATCCTCTCCTTAAAAGGCCTTACTGGCTTCAGGTGGCAATTAGGACAAACAGCCAATAGCCTCTAGTGGCCTGTGAAAAATGTGGTTGGAAACAAAAGCCTGAGAGAATTTTTTGGCAGCACTAGCAGCCAGTGGGAGCACAGGAGACATTTCACTTCAGTGAAATGCAGGAGGATTCAAATTCTGCAATCTCCACATGCCAGGTTGCCACTAACTAGTTTTGTTTTCTGGGGCAGAAAGCAGGGAGGTGGGACACCTTCCAGCTGCGTCCAGGCTGAGGCCAGCCAGGAAGGGTTCAGCCTGCCACTAGCTGCTCTGTCAAGCCACCTGGCTGCCAGACGAAGGGTTTGGCCAGAGCTCTCCTGGAAGTGGAAAAATAACCATCTCTTCTCACCAGATGCAAGGTTAGGCTACGAGCTGGGACAAGTGCAGGACCCCTCTGCTGAGGCATGCGGTGGGAGAAGGGTGCCTGGGAAAGTGACTGTTATGGTTACAACAGCATTTGCCAGTTGCTCATCAATTACATGAGCAGAGAGTACCAGCAAGATAATCTGGCCCCTTGCTCCTCCGAGTGCGGTACCCAGTTGTGATGGTTAGTTTTATGAGTCGGCTGGGTTACAGGGTGCCCAAATAGTTGGTCAAACATTATTCTGGATCCTTCTGTGAGTGGTTTTACATGAAGTTAACATTTAAATCAGCGGGCTTTGAGTAAAGCTGTTGCCCACCATATTGGACCTCTTTCAATCAGCTGAGGACCTGAATTGAACAAAAGACTGATCTCTCGCAAGCAAGAGGGAATTCTGCCACAGACAGCCATTGGACTCGAACAGCAGTAAAGGCTCTTTCCTGAGTTTTCAAGCTGATAGTTCACCCAGTATATTTTGGACTTGCCAGCCTCCATTACTGAGTGAGCCAATTCCTTAAATCTCTCTCTGTATATATATATCCTATTGGTTCTGTTTCTCTGGAGCACCTTAATGAATACACCAGCCCAGCAGCATCAGCGTCTTCTGGGAGCTGGTAAAAAATGCAGACTTTCACCCCCAACCCCAGACCTACCAAATCAGAATCTGCATTTTACCAAAATCTCCAGTTGAACATATGGACATTAAAGTCTGACGAGTGTTAATCTAGAGCACCTCTCTTGTTTTACAGATAAAGGAATAGCTCTAAAGAGGTCAAAAGGCTTTCCCCAAGGTACCAGCCCTAGACCTTGGCAGACCTCACACATGTACAGCACTTTTCTATTTAATCATTAAATCCTCACAGCAGCTGCACGAAGTGGGCAGAGCAGAAATATCCCCATGTTACTTATGAGAAAACTAAGAAAAAGAGATATTAAGTAACTTTCCCAAGGACATACAAAAATTAACAGAGCCAGGACTCCAGCCAGGGATGCTACCTCATTTTGTCCAGTGGTCTGGGACAGGGATCTGCAGGATTTTTCTGTTAAGAGCCAGATGGCAAATATTTTAGGCTCTGTGGACCATACAGTCTCTATTGCAACTATCCAGCTCTGCCATTGTCATAGGAAAGCAGCCACAGTCAATACATGAATGGGTATGATTGTGTTCCAATAAAACTTTATTTATAACAACAGAGGGCCAGATTTGGCCCCGAAGCTTTAGTTTGCCAAGCCCTCCATCTATCGCTCTATTCTTGAGAAGGTAATCCTTACACAGCCTTCCTACCCTATTCGAGAGTCATTGAAAGGAGGAAGGGACTGAATGGGGCTTTGTCCTCCCAAGGAAAAGCCTTCCCAAAATCTCATCTCGCACAGGATGTTTGTCCAGCAGACAGGGAGGCTTTTATCCTGGTCCAAAGGGGGTCTGAACAAAACAAGGTAGACATCACCAGGGATGCTGCATATGGTTGTGCAGGACTTTCCCTGAGGGGGCTGCAGTAAGGGCTAAATTCTTCCTACTCTGTGCTCACCACGCTAAGACCCTGGCTCACGATGCGCCAGCTGGAGAGATACATGCCCTTTGCTAATTGTTCTGCCCAAAGGGATTCCCTTCTGCAGGCTCCCTCCCAGAGGGGATGCCTTTTCTACTCTGCAGGAAAGAGCTGCATGCTAACAACAATCCTGGTAAGTCCATGTCCCACTACAGGCTGAGCTGTCCCACCCCAAAGACATCCCTGCAGTGAAGGCCACTGCAGCTGCTTGGTGAGTACGCTTGTGTTGCAGAAAGAGCACAAGGGACAAAAAGAGGAAAGAAATCCTAGTAAGCGATGTCTGACTCAGGAAACAAAGCTGGAGACCATCCTTTAATGTTTGCATTCATTAATGTTCCCGTCAATTTTAAACACGGGTAGAATTTCCAGACTTTGCAGATCATTTAAAAGCTTAAGGGATTATCAAACCAGTCATTTAAAATGACATTTTCACTGTGCAAATATTATTCTATTAAAGAGCATGCATGGCACAGGCCGAGATCAGCTTTGGCAGGGTTACAGGGCCTTCCTCCATTGCAAACCCCACTGTTTCCTCATAAAGCTGTCAAGCCCCCGCTTAATGAAACATATATAAATGCAATGATGTTAGCCATGTCACAGCAAGCTAATTCATTTTGGCTTTTTCCCATTGTGCTACCCTATTAAGGCTTTTATTATTGTATCCTCTTAGGATCACCCCCCCAGCAGGTCTGCCATTGGCCCAAAGAGATGAAATCCAAGAAAGTGTTTAATTTCCAAACAGGCCAAACATCTTAAATAAATAAATAACCAACAAACCTGGTTTGAGTGTTATGGTAACATGCATAAGGCAGACGATTGGGGTTTTATTAGGAAAGAGATACTATAAGATTAATAAACAATCCTGTTCTCTTCCCAAGTTCCTTTGACCTGATATAGCTGCTAACTTCGGTTCTTAGGGGGTAGGTTTCCTTCTTTAATGACTGAAAGAGAATTCACTTGGCATGATCAAGGCTTAGCAAAAACCTTTTTAAGCTCCATTTCCAGATTGTCTTTCAAAAAGTGTATCTTTATGGTTTTTCTGGCTCTGCCATTTCTGGAATGCTCTCCTTTTGCTCGTGAAGTCTGAGAGATATGGGGAGAGTTCTTTTGGTGTGGTTTTTCCCTTGTAGTCCAGCAAATAAAAATGATTTAGATGGAAGATGTGGAAGCCTTCACAGACCCAGAAACATCGAGTTCAAACCCTTTTAGGGAACAAGAAGGAAGGCTGCCAAAATGATGGACCTCATGAGGATTCATGAAGCTAGGGGTGATTATTCACTAACTGTATTCGAGGTTCCTGGACTACAGCCATCTGAAAGTTCCTGTCTTCTTTTTAAGGGAAATAGGGGGCAGGTCTTCTCAGGAAAACAACTGTTTCCATGACTTTCTTCTTGGCATAAAATTACCTCCCCAAGCTCACATCCCTGAGGAAAATTCACAAATTGGCCCAAATGACTGGATGTCACTATTTTCAGCTGCAGAAATCTGCTCACGTCAATGACAAGCTATACATACTGAGCCACTTGGGAATGACTTTTACAACAATTCCACCTATGACTAGGCTTTGACAATTGGGCCCAGGAAGGAAGATTCTTGGAGGAATCCACAAGTTTGGGTGTTCCTAAGAGGAGGGAGCAAGTTCTCATCTCTTCTTCCAACTTCCTCTTTTGTCCTCATTCCAACAACCAGCCCAAACACATAACACACACACACACACACACACACACACACACACCTGTGTAGTGTGCTGCCGGGTGCTGCATTTGAACCTGACTCCAGCCGCAGCTCCAGGACAGCCCAGCATCTTAGCAGACAATGCTATGGACCACAGGACTCTAGGGAAATGCTTGTTCAACCTCCATCTCAACGGGGGCCACTCCTGCAGTTTTAAAGAGAACAGTATTTCCCAGGATGCATCTGTGAAAAAAAAAGCCAGATAATTTGGGATTTGGAGCAAACTTTTTTTTTATTTTGGGGAGTCAAAGTACCACTTAGTAGGTGATTCAAAACTAATTTGCACATTGAAGGCTCTGGAAAGTCCTGCAGTAAACATACCTGTTAAAATTTGTGGGATCTAGCATTTGGCAATCTTATCTGACTACAGAAAATTGTATTCAAGTGACATCCATTACCAAGGAACAGTGTCTTGGAAAGTCTAGTAGAACATTGATTAAACACAAACTACCCCCGAAGAAAGAAGCTCTAAGGGCATTAAGTCTGTAATTCGAAAACAGTATATTTTCAAGCCAGCATGGGAGCTTCTAGGAAAGGGAGAAAGATGCCTGTATATAATAATTCTGATTCTTTCAAAAGCCAACAACCTACTCTCCCTCCACTGTACTGTTAACTAAAGCAAATACCACATGGTGTGTGCAGCTGTATACAACTGACACAAAGGCATTTGTGTACAGACCTTCCAAGCCATCAAGGGAAGAGAAAAATTTGTTGCTGGGAAAAAACCTAACTGTGCACTGCCAACACCAATAGTCTTCCTCCACAACAGACTTGGTGCCCGTGCCAAAAATCACTCTCGGTTCCCTTTTTAATTCTGCCCTCCTTTATCCACTAAGACTTGGAGAAGATTATTTTGATTGGAATTAGACAGCCACCTGCAGCTAGATCTTTAGCTGTTATTAGTGTTCTGTTTAAGCCCTTTCACAACAAGCTCATTGAAAAAGACAGTGGACTTTTGAAGTTGCCCAATACTATCTCTGGTGATTTTCTCAAGTTAACAACCTCCATACCAGCCAATTGTGCTAGCTGGGGGAGGTGATAATCTCCTCCCTGGGGTGGTGGTCAGGAATTAAAGGGTCTGGGATAAATTACAGCAGCAACCTCTGCCAAGAACTCTCTTCTCCTTGATCTCGCCCCATACTCATTTAATGTATTTTTGTTTTAACACAATGTTCAGGTGCTTTTCCACCATCCCTTTCCTAAATTCCTCCAGTAATTCAGGCCTTTTTGTCCTTTCCATGCATCACCCCCACTCAGAGTGAGCCTTGTAGGTGCCCAATTTCTAATTTGCCTCTAAACATTGCTTACTTAAAATGATTTCTATTCAGTTACCTACTATTTCTTTCCAATGGAGAACACAAACTGTTCCCCTTCCTTTTCAAAACCCAACACTCCAACCTTCAATACCCACTACACTTGTAACAATATGTCTTTGTATTTGCTTATCCATTTAGAGCTTACAAAGAGGCTTCAAATACAAATTCCCCGTTGTCATTCACACGGCACTGTCGCCATGGTTCGGGGACAAGCCCTGTGGGTGCTTATTATGCGACTCATTGAACAGGGAGCCAACTTGGGTTCCATTTTTCTGGATCAGTACCTAAAGGAATTCAACCAAGTCTGAGCTGGCCTCCATGATGAATGACGAAAAGAAAGACCAGTAACTTATCTCTAGTGGCTCAAGGCAGAGATGACAGAACCAAAGTTCCAAGACTCAGAAGAGCCACTTAATTCCTTGTAATGCTTAAGATGAAACTCATTGGGTGGCCACAGTGTCTTTGATCCCTCAAACTTTGTTCTCCCTTCTCTTGCCACAGCTGAGACCCATTCTACCAATATCCACATTGGGCTGCTTTTCTGAGAATACATAGCGGGATGGTGGGTTTCTGCTTCTTTCTTTTAAGAATTTTTTCTAACCAGTGAGTCCTCATCTTCTCCACTGTTAACACTTTTCTTTCCACAGGTAAAAGTAGAAATTAATATTAAAAGAGTTTTTTAAAAAATGGAAGAACTCAAAGAAAAATCTCCTAAAGCAAGAAGTAAATTCACCACGATTTAAGCCGTGGCTTTACCACTTACAGGCAGCGTTGCCTTGGACAAATTACTTAACTTCTTTGAGCTCTAATTTCCATGTCTGAAAAATGGAGATAATAATCATACCTCCCTCATAGGGTCATTGTGAGGACCAAAGGCATGAATAGACAGTTTCTAGCACCAGATAAGCACTAAATGGCATTTAATTAGTATTTCTTCTGTCTGAATTACTACAAAAATAATAATAAAAATCAATAAGTAATCTATTTTTAGTACAGTGAGCACCCACCCAAACCTGAGGGCTGTTGACAGCTATGCCATAGCCCTCCTCTGTCACAAAAGGTCCCTTCCTTCTCTTACAGAAGCTCCAGTTATTTCCAAACTTGTGCAAGATTAAATAGCCTATAAGTGACACAGGAGGGGTTTGAACCTAAATCCCACTGACTCCAAAAATCTATCCCCTTCCACTGGACCACCATCAAATGTATCAGAAAGAGGAAACTCACCAAAGAACATTATTGTACTTTGATCGATTGCTGAGAGAAAGCAAATGTCAGGTGACCCCAGAGACAGAGCTTTTAGTAGTACTTTTATGCAAAGTCACTAATCCCCAGACCCCTCCCCACTTCACCCCCAAAATCATTAAGCTAGAATCAGGACAGCTAACATGAAAAAGGGAGGAGGGAAATCAAGCTCACATAGAAGCATTCTGTAAGGCAAATTACACAAGCGAGAAAGATAGACTGTCTCTGCTAAACCTGCACCCTACAATGTTTCAGAAACTTCTAGAATACTGAAAGATCCATGCTGGCTCTCATAAGCCAGGACAGTGGTAGTAATGAAGCCCAGAGCTGAGCAACAGCCAGCATGGGGCCTGGGTTTGTTTTTTATTTTGTGGGGTTTTTTTTGTTGTTAACCCTGCAAATGACAGGCAAATAAATCTGCTTGCTATGCCTAAGAAAATGCTGAAAATATCTTCCCTTCAACAATCTGCAGATGCCCAAGAGCACATCATCATGGAATAGTGCAGTCCTAACTGAGGCTCCTCAAAGGCCAGGACAGGGCCTTGAAACTGGGACACTGAGAAGGGAGCCATAAGATCTGTCTGTCTGTCCTCGCTGGTGCTGGCTTCTGTCGTGCCCCACACCAGCTACTCATACGAGAGCTGAAATGAAGACAGCCTGGACAAGCCAGCAGGTGGGTGGCTCTGTAGACGGTTTCAGGGGTGTCAGCTGTCAGCCCCACTCTGCGCTTCCACAAAGAGCTGCACACTCAGCACCTTGAAGTTCAGGGCAGTGAGGAGGGCTCAGCCCTCAGAACCAGGCAGATATGGCATTGGATCTTGGCTTGGCCAAGCTGCATAGGGTATAAGCTAGTACTTGATTTTGACGGATAAGGCCACTGAGTCAAGCTCAGTCAGAGAGTGAGTTTGTCAAGGCTAGTACTGCAACCCGGGTCTCATGGCTGCACCACACAATAATGCCTCCCCAGGCAATGGTGCCCCGAGGCAGGAAGGTAACCCACAGTGGGCAAAGGTAGGGCTGGCAGCCACGTAAAGACACAAATTGAGACATACAGCCAGCCACTGCAGACGCACTCTCAGAGAAGGAGCCATAAAGCGGCTCTGCTTCCTGCATCCCACTTTCCCACAGCGCATCCTCCCTGGGAACAATGTAAGCCCAGCCAGAGGGCATAACGTGGAGAAAGGATGCCCTCCTCTTCCTGCCTCAGACCATTCTTCAGTTCCTGGGCCTCTCAGCCTTGAGAATCCAGAGTCATTAACAAAAGGGCCAGAATCATCAACTGCGGGGCAGAGTGGAGGCCGGTGCAGGACTGTGGTGGTGTGGGCTTCATTCTCCTGCCTGGGTCTGCTTAAAGTCAGGGATGGGCAGGAAACTTCTAGGGGACCCTCAAGGAATGGGCAGTCTCACTGGAGAAAAATAAAATGCACAGACAATAGCTGAAGAAAGTTACATGCCAAAATGAAGTACCGTGCCAAACTCGAGCTTGTCAAAGGTTCTGAAATGAGATGAAGCCCTACCGTGATCACTGGGGAGGGTGTTGTGACCATTCTGATGATTGGGCTGCACTCAGAAGTTCATGATGCAGCACAGAATTTTAAACAGAGCCGCCTCTGAACCCCTTTAATATGGTTCGGCTGTGTCCCCACCCAAATCTCATCTTGAATTGTAGCTCCCATAATTCCCACGTGGAAGGGACCCAGTGGGAGATCATTGAATCATGGGGGCAGTTCCCCCATACTGTTCTCATGGTAGTGAATAAGTCTCATGAGATCTGGCGATTTTATAAGGGAACAACTCTTTTGCCTGGCTCTCATTCTCTCTTTGCTGCCACCACGTAAGGCGTGCCTTTCACATTCCACCATGAATGTGAGGCCTCCCCAGCCACTTGGAACTGTGAGTCCATTAAACCTCTTTTTCTTTATAAATTACCCAGACTCAGGTATGTCTTTATTAGCAGCATGAAAACGGACTAATACACCCTTCAACACCACACCTCATCTTAGGACGAGGCTACTGTCCTCTCTACAAATCTCTCTGCAATGTCTCCCTTCTGAATCTCCTGTCCCAGATAACGTGTCACACACTGTGTGGTTGGAGAACAAGGCATGCTGGTCCCATGCAGCCAGATAACTCCCAGCATTGCCCTGGTTCCCCCAACCCTGGGAGCCAGCCTCAGGTCTAAGCCCTGGTGCGGATTTATAGACCAGGTGCCCGGTGTGATCAGACAGACAGGGCCTTGCCACACAAGGGCCTGGCACTGTTTTACTCCTGTTTCAAATTAACATAAGCATTTCTCAAGGCACACCTTGTATTAAATTGGAAAATAAAATCAAAAGGAATCTACCTTCTAGCCAATAAAATGTGAGGCACCTTCATCCAAAGTCAGCCTCTTTCTGCACCCAGTTTTATTTTGTAAAGTTTCTTCGGGGGCAGACAAAAAAGATGCTATGTCCTCCCTATGAAGTGCTGTGAGTAATAAGTGCGAGAGGAAAAGCACATAATTGTTTCTCCCTTGCAAACACAGTGACCTCATTTAGAGCATTGCTCTTCTCTGGCGGCTGGAATGTGAGCTTGATTTCTGGCTGGGAAAACGGAGCCCAACTTCTAACAACAACCCAGGCCTCGGCAACTCCTTTCCCTTTGTTCACCTGGCAAGGATACTGGACACAGAGCCCTTGGGTCTTGCTGCAAGTCTCATCTACTGCAGTTTGCAGGATGAACATAAAGTGAGAGCTGCCCCAAAGGGCTGAATGTCACGGTACAGGAGACGAGATTTATAGAGTGTTTTCCAACAGCTCCATCAGCTCCAGTGCAGGAAAAAATACATGTGTCCCAGTGGCAAATTCTAGTTGTTTTTCCCTTCTGAAGAGATGTATGAGATGGCGAGCAAACACTGAACACAGAGCCAGCACTGGTAAGAGTGAATAATTCCTGCTTCTATTGCTTACAAGTTCTTAGACTTTAACTGTTCATCGCCCTAAGTCGTATTTTTATGCCTGAGACACTCCGCCCCTAGCAAGGCGATTGGGTGGAGAATCATATTTTAAGGAATCTATCTAAATGCTCCCAGGGCTTCCAGATATTTCTGGGTCACTTTTATCCCTGGTAGATGGGACCAGCGTGTGAGCCATCATCCTGATTTATCCGCAACCTGGAATTTGGACAAGCTGAACAGAACAAATTAAGTTAAAATATTAGCTGTAAAACAAAGCCGTGGTTTCATTCCATGTCTCCCGGCTGAACTTTGAGAAGGGTAGCCTCTGAATCCAGCATCTCTAAAGATATCCTTTCTCATACACATTGAGGATATCACCACTTCTGAGGGATGTATCTTGGACAAGTGGCTTAATGGAAAGAGCTCTGGATTTGAAGGCATGGGCTGGTGACCACGACCTTGGGCATACCACTTTAAGCATTTGGGCACTAATTTAATCAAATTGAAAGCAACTAAAAATGGTAGACTCAGTCAGAGGTTTCCCAAATTATACCTCACTGATTTGTCTACCTCACTGGTTTCTATTAGCTTGGTGCAAAAGTGATTGCACCATTGAAAATAATGGCAAAAACCGCAATCACTTTTGCACCAAGCTTATCTATGGGAGACTATGCAAAAATCTTAGTAGAGACAGGAGTCAGGAGAACCACATCCTTTTCCCTCAAAGGCCAGCATAGTCTAAAACACGTGTGGAGAACAGCCTGCCAGCTGAGCGTGCTGGGCTGCTTCCCTCACTCAAGAGAGCTATTCATTGCTCTGTTGAAGAAGGAACTCACATTTCTCGAAGGTCAACCAGGCACCTCACACACATCCTCCTACACAGAAATCCTATGAGACTGGCACCATTATCATCCATCTTTATTTTGCAAATGAGGAGCTAGAGGTTTCACTGTGCTAAGCAATTGTGAAGGTCACTCACCTAGAGGTCGTAGGGTCTGAGGTCTGCTTGTTCCTAAAGGAGATGCCGTCTCAGATTGTAACACTATCAAGTGCTATTACATTTATTAAAGGACTTTGTAAACTGAGAGATGCAATGCAAATCTAAGAGACTGTGACCTGAGAGTTATTTCACAACAGCTACAAATTCAGTAAGAGTAGTTCACTCAATTTCAGAAGTTCCCTTTTGACAGTCCTCTCTCTAGTTGATGTTAAGTGTTGCTAATATAGTAGATACTGACTAAACTATACAAGAAGTCAGATGTGCCTTCAGTAGCAGCTCCATGTTTATGAACTGAAATTTTAAAAAACTGGCCCAAGAGCATTGCCCGGTAGACCCTTGATCTTATGGCGGGCCTGGCTTGGTGGGATGAGGACACCCGACCTGAAGTGTAGTCTCTGCCCGACCATTATGTACAAGATTTTGCACTGGACCAGCACTCTGGGACCTTCTTGGGATAGGGACCCTGCTTTAATTATTCATGTATCTCTAGGGCCTATCAGAGTACCTGTCACATAGCGGACCCTTAATACATGTTTGCTTGTTGAATGAATGAGCACATGGAGAAATTCTGATTATAAAGGAGGCATTGTGTGGAATGGAAAACACTGGACTAGCATTCTGAAGACCTGTGTTCAAGTTCTGGCTCCGCTAATTAACCAGCTCAGTGCCTCTGCAAGTCAGTGAACTTCCTCTGAGTCTATGTCCTCATCTATCAAAATGGGGTAAAAATTTTTCTCTATCCATCTCATAGAGATGCTGTATCAAATGAAGGAATATTTGCAGATGAACTTAGTTTAAGTCTATTCAAACATAAGTTACACCATTTTATTATATAGAGTCAAGAAACTGCAGCATGTCACAACCAAAGCCATTGCTTTTTGCAAATGGGAAATCTGATGCCCAAAGAGAAGAAGAGCAGATCCCAGGCCTTTTGCTCACTGCTCTGCCTTACTAATGCCATATTGGCTAACCTCATGAGTGCCCTTGCCAGAGCTGGTAGGTCTTCTTCAGGCTAAACCCAAGGCACCCACTTCACTGGGTGGCCCATAAGCTTTTACAAGATATCTGGGGATACACTTCAGAAGCAGATTGGGCATAAGGCTCTTCATGTGTGACTGCCTCTGTCTTCTGAAGGTTTTTGGGGATGTTGAATGGAGTTTTTTCCAGAATATGGGAAATACGGTTGAAGCCCAGCCATTCAGTTTTCCAGTATGCTTGGGTAGCTCCACAATCTGGCCCCAGTTTCTTTCCAAAGTGTCAGTCTTCATCACTCCCCAGTTCATTCCTCTGTCCCTACCAGGCTGGCTCCTCACCAGTCTCTAATCTGCTTCAGTCAGTCTCTGTGACCCCAGCCATATAATTCTTCCCTTTTTCCCCTTCCACCCTCCTTGGAGTCCAGCCCACCCCTTCTCCATCCAAATACCACATATTCTTGATAAAGAGCTCAAGTCCCATCATGCCAAGATGTCATCCATGACTATCCCAGTTCATAGGGTCCTTCTATCCAGCCAGCCTGCACATTAACATCTGCTGTGGCATGAGTTGTGTCTCCCAAGAAGATATGCTGAAGTCCTAAACCCCGTACCTATGAATGTGATCTTAGTTGGAAATAGGGTCTCTGCAGATATAATTAAGATGAAGTCATACTGGATCAGAGTGGGCCCTAAATCCAAAAACGTGTGTCCCTCTATGGAGAGAGATTTGAAGACACAGAGAAAATTGGAGTTATGCTGGCATAAGCCAAGGAACACCGAGGATTGCTGGAAACTACCAGAAGCCAGAAAAGGCAAGGAAAGATTCTTCCCTAGAGCCTTTAGAGAGAATCTGGCCCTGCTGACACTTTGAATTGGGACTTCCAACCTCCAAAACTATGAGAGAATAAATTTCCATTGTTTAAGCACCCAGTTTGGGGTACTTTGTTATACCAGCCCTAGGAGACCAGTACAACATTTTGGGTCACTGGTTGGGCTTATAGGCACCTGACTCACCATATACTACTGGTCACCTTCTCATGAGAATATTATAGGTCAATGAACTGCCTGAGGATAGAAACTGTCCGCCAAACTTCCTTGCAGCCTCCCTAGAGCCTGGTGCCTAGTGACTTGATTGATTTAACCTCAAGCATGAGGATTCAGCTTCAACATTCCATCAGGAATGGGGCTGCTTTAGAAAAGGCACTTACTTTCTTCTCAGACTCAACAAGTAATGCCAAATTAAAAGTAATGGCAAAAGTCACAATTACTTTTGTGCCAACCTAAAAGCAACATGATGAAGTAGAATGTGGGTGACTAATTCTCAGAGAACACATCTCCACTTCTTAGCTGCAATCCAGTAGCCCCAATGCATTGAAACAAGCTTACCCGAAACTTTTCCTTATACCCTACTGCCACCAAACCCTACACCAAATGCAGTCCAAACACCAATCCTTCACTCTCTGTCCCCAGCAGGGCTGGCCTGTCCAACATCCTGACCTTCCAACACTGCCCCCACCTCCACAGACATATTCTCACCCACAGTGACTTGACTCTGTATTTTGGTCCCTATCTCAGTCTTCATAATCAAATTCTATGTGAAGTTAACCTTTGAAGTTCACAGCCCCATCATAACTAGACAGAGAGATGAGCCCACATGAAACAGTGCTGGCCACTGGGCCAGTCATCCCACTCCACGCACTTGGGCCCCAGAGTGAGCATGAGATTGGAAAGGAGAGCCTGCACTGCCCTCACCAGGCCTTAATTTGATCAGGCCTCTGATGGTGTCAGCATCTCACCGCACTGAATGTGCATCTAGTGTTTAAAGACCTGCATTTTTCATACAGTGTGGCCTTAAAGTCAAGGTATGGACTTCACCTGGTACAAGAGCCATGAAGTGGTAATAAGGGAAACTTCTATAAGTGATCTTCCCTTGACCTCTGAGTAGCATGAGACTTATAGGGATTGCTTCTTCCTTTTGCTTCCCCTGCCCTCATCTTCTCCTTCACCTGGGTCATGCCTTGTCCTCCCTCTCTGTGAATCTAAATCCTACCCAAACTTCAGTGTCCAACTCAAATATGGTCTTCTCCAATAAACTTTCTTTCATTCCCCAAGTAATGACTCCAGACTCTTAACTCCCATTAAAACCTCTCCTTTGGCATATAGTTAGAATATCTTATTTCATGGATATTTGAATATGTCTTTTATCTACTATTTAATCACAGACTGGAAGGCTTTTGAGAGCAAAGATCTTATCTTATAATCTTTCCCCTTCAAGGTTTCGGGAATTAAATGAGAAAATGTAATCCAATGGCCTCTGTGATGTCTGGCATATAGTATATTCTCAATAAATGTCAATTCCTTTCCCTTTTACACATCTTTGCATCCCCAAGAGCATTTTGCAAAGTCTTTTGAATCATCTAGCTGCCTAATAAATGTTAAATATATGAATCAATGCACAGAAATGGTAATATTTCAACTGTTTTCCTAAGGTCAATGAGTACAGTTCAGACATTTCCACTTTTCTCCCACAACTCCTGAATTTGTGGGCTCATAAAGATTATTTCTGTTCCACACCTCTGAAGCTGAAAGCAATATTATGAGGCAGGAGGTAAGCAGTGGAAGGCTGACAGCGTCACCCAGCAGTGAGTCCAGAAGCAATCATCTAGGGCCTCCAGAACTGGCTGGACAAAATCAGGCAGCAGCCCAACCAACCTTTAAGCTATTTAACTAATTTAGTCTTTGTAAAGAAATAGTGTGCAATTAATCCTTATTTTGCACTCATCTCATACTTTTTCATTAATTTCTAATATTTTCATGTTCTTAGGTAGGTGAGGCATCGTATATAGCACCACTTTTCTTAAGCAAATTTAAATCCTCAGAGGTGAAACCCAACCAGCATGCCAGTAAGTTCGAATAGAGTTGGCACCATTTGATGCTGTCAGTTATTAGGAGCTGAACAAATTCTAGATGTTCCTGAGATGAAGTGGCAGGGAACAGATACAAGAAGACTCCTCCTTCATCCCTACTCTTAACACCATGGGACCTATTTATGCATTCCTCTTGAAAGGGAGAATGAAGAGTCCAGAAACTCCACAGGCTGGCTGGTCACTCCAGAGTCTCTCAGCTAAACCTTTGGATGGAGCAGGCCTTGCCCTCAGCATTGGGTTACCTTTGTTTATGTTCACAGAAAGAAAAGCCAGCCCAGAGCCCGAGACCCCCCAGCAGAGGCCTGATTTCACACACATTTTCCCCAGATTCCTATTGGCTTGGCTGGAAACCACATATTAAAACCCACCAATCTTTCCACTTGAGCCTGATGAAAGCTTCACCAGAAACAGCTGCACTTCACATGTGGTTTAAGTTAATATCTTATCCCGACGGTTTAACTCTAACTGGCTGGGCTGCTTTTTAATATTCACAATCCTCTTTTGTTTCACATTAAGAATATGTCTTTCATTACTCGCCAGAGCTGGGGGACACAATGAAGCTGGTAGCACTTCATTTTTGAAATGTCTGGAATAATTGTTTGTATTGTGTGTTACTCAAGGACCACTCCAGGTTGGCTATCTGAGATGCATATGAAAGTGTTAAAAACCCTAACGTGAACGTTGCTAGACCTATGTGGAATGTTTTCCTATTAAAAAAGTAAAGCCACATACTAATGGCTCAGATTTAGTTTCTAAATCCCAGAGCTCGTTGAGTCAAGCAACATGATAAGTTCATTGCTTTGTTTCTTCCAACGGCTCTCTAAACCACCCCATCCCTTCAGCATATAGGAAAGTTTAATCAATATGTGGCTAATTTCACACACAGGCATGCCATACACATATGCACACTCTTGCTTTGTATCTGTACTGGACATGATTAACTTTCAAGTTCATAGAAATCGTGCAACTCTGGTTTCCCTGGCAAAATGCACATCAGGTTCTAGAGGTTTTGCCCTAGCGGCTCCTCCTCTCAGGATGTGATGTCACCTGGGGGCATCTTCACTGTGTGACATCATTTGTTATGCAATGGTGAGTTTGAGGTGCTGGGAATATTCTGCAGATTTCCACTTGTCTAGCACTTGTATAAAAAAGGTCAAGATTGGGAAGATTTCAACAAGCCCCTTTTGTACTCATTAGTCATTAAGATATGGCTAGACTTTTTGATGACTCTTGAATTTTTTTCCCTTATTTTATTTCTGTGTTTGTATGAAGTATTGTCATCATCCCTGTTTTATAGGAGAAGCTGAAGCACAGAAAAATTAAATAACAAGATAACATGGATAATAAGTTATTATAGCAGAGACTAGTTATCCCCAATATCGTTTTCCCATTCTTCTCCAGTCATAGAACTACAGAAATCAGAATTGTATTGATTACTATTGGCTGGGCATATAGCCACCCAAATAAAGATTATGAAGTAGGAAGAATTCTAAATGGTCCCCAAGATTCCTACCCCCTGGTGTATATAGCCTTTAAACCCCCTTTTCTTGAGTACAAGTAGGACTGGTAATAGGATGAAATGATTGCTCCTTTAGATTAGGCTGTATTATATGATAGCAGTAAAGGGATTTTACAGATGGAGCTAAGGTCCCACATCAGTTGTCTCTGAGTCAGTCAAAAGGGAGATGACTCTGGGTGGGCCTGGCCTAATCAGGTGAGCCCTTAAAAGAAACTGGGCCTTTGCTAAAGAGAAAGAGTCAGAGGAATGCTCTTGCTGGCCTTGAAGGTGCAATGCCTTATTGTGGAAAGGGCCACATGGCAGAGACTAGCAGCCAGCCTCTAGGAGCTGGGAACGGACTCACTGACAGCCAGCAAGGAAGTGGGACCTCAGTCCTGCGATTGCAAGGAACTAAATCCTGCCCATAACCAGTAACTTTGGACAAGCATCCTGAGTCTCAGATGGGATCACAGTCTTGGATGACACTTTGATTGCAGCCTGATGAGACCCTGAGCAAAGGACGAGCACTCCTGATCCCCAGAAACTGAGAGATAATAAAGTTGTGTCGTTTAAGCCACTGAGTCTGTGCTCATTTGTCATACAGCAATACAAAACTAATGCAGGTTACACTTCCCAAATGCCTTTGCAGTTGGTGTTGCCATGTGACTAAGTTCTGGCCAATAGGTTTTAGCTGCAGTGATGTGAGTAGCTTCCCTCTGTACCTTCCCTTCATCTCTCCCCTCTTCTTCTGGCAGGATTATGGATGTTGTGGAAAGCCACCTAAAGCACAGGGGTGAGAGAAACACCCTGAAGATGGTGAAGCAACAAGATAAGAGCCTGCATCCCTCAAATTTTAGGATTGCCATATCAGTCCTGAACTGCTTACACCCACACTGTTAAGTGATCATGAAATAAACACCCATCTTGCTTGGTGAAGGCATTCTTACCTGGTGTTTGTGCTACAGGGGTTGAACCTACCCCGACCTAACAGGCAGAGCTCAAAATGGACCCAGGTGGTGTGATCCCAGAGCCCATTTACTTAGCTCCTTCACCACCCTGCCTCCCAGGCACCATATTACATCACAGTAGAATTGGAATCTCACACTGTTAGAGCTTGATGAAATTGTACTGGTCAAGTCAGTCAAACCAGTCAAGCGGACAAGAAAGAGGGACTCAGATCACCTGGAATTATGGCAATGTCTTGCAAGGATACTTCTGAAAATCGGGTGTCACGGGAAGCTGAACTTTGCATCCCAGTTCTGAAACATACAGCAACCTCATGGAGACAGATGCATCACTCGGCATTTTGGGGCGGTAGCGAGTTCAGTGACCTGCCAGATTTCTTAGCATTAACTTGAAAGAGAAGACACTTATTTGATTTGATTTGATTTCTACTAGTCAAGTGGGCACCTGGATTAAGCAGACTCTCCCCCAGGCACCCCGGAGGCCTCTGACATCCCTTATGTCCAGCCCAGACATGGCCTTTCTGTGGCCTCAGCGTATCTGCCCAGTCCAATCGGCTATAGCCAGAATAAAAAGGTTGGTTTCCCTCCACCCATGAGCCATGCCATACATGACATGCATGTGAATAATGATCTGAGCTGTGTTATCTGGCAGAGGTGATGCTCACGGCTCTGCTCCATGTTCTGGGACATGACTGGACTCTCATTTTAGGGAGGAAGATCCAAGAGAGGGAAGGAGGCTTTCCCAGCTACTTTCCTGCTAACCAGGGCAGAGGCTGGTCTACATCCCCCTATCCAGGTGGCCCCTGCAGTCATGGCTTTTCTGCTTCTAGAAGCCATCCCTGAGGTCAGCTGAATTTAGACCTATGGTATCTCCAGTACAGCACTTTGTCATCTGTTTGTGATAATAGTTTTCCAATTCTTGTCACTTCCGCCAGAACATCATTGCAGAACTCAAAATACATTGCATCATACAAAATGAAGTGGAGAATTAAGGTAATTATCCAATTATTAAAAACCATTTCTTATTCGTTAGCTAAATAACTCTTCAAGTCTCCATTTTACATGTGTTCCTCTGATGTGAATTTGACCCTGGCCTATTTGTTTTTCAGTAAAGTCCAAAATCCAAAATAGCCCAACAGAAAGACCCCCTCCCAGTATTCCACAGCATCAGTAATAAAGCTCCTTATCAGATCTAATTTAAATCTTTCTTGAAACAACTTAAGTCCTTCTGCACCATCCTCTGCAAGTGCAGAACAGCCAGAGTGCAGGTTGCAGGATGTGGGGGGATTATTACAGTGAAATCGGCACACGGATCTCAAGATGAAAGTTTGCTGTTTCTCCAGACCGTCTAGGTGACTGCCTTTTGAAATTGCACACGGCTTATACTGCCATTCGTGTAGTTTAAGAAAAAAATTAAAGTATAAAAGGAAACCAGCAGTGTTTTAAGAGATTTCATTTCTGCTTGATGCTTGTACTCATTTGCAGGGAGGCAGGAGGAGCGCTTGTACTATATAGGGTCTCTGGAAACACTTAAAGTTCAGAAAGACCCACGACCCCAATCCAAGCTTCTAGACAGAAGAGAGAGGGTGCAAAGGTAAAACCCTCCCCTTACTTTATTCCACATCACATTGGGGTAAGTGGTTTGCCCCTCGATGTCCACCCTTTACCATTCTGTGCCTCAGAGGCTGACACACCCCCACAGCATCCAGATTCCCCTGCCCTCTGGCTTCTGACTGAGATCGACCGAGAGGCAGTGTGATCATTAATTTTAACGTGTCAGCTTGGTTGGACATGGTACACAAATACACGGTCGAACATTATTCTAGATGTTTCTATGAAGGTGTTTTGTGGATGAGAATAACATTTAAATCAGTGGACTTGAAGCAGAATACCCTACATAAGGTGGGTGGGCTTTATCCAATGAAGGTGGAAGGCCTTCATAGAACAAAGACTGACCTCCCCCTGAGTGAGAAGGAATTCTGCCAGCAGACAGCCTTTGAACTCCCTGAGTCTCCAGCCTCACAGCCTACCCCATCAGTCTTCGGACTCACCACGCCTCCACAATCACATGAGACAGCTCCTTAAATAAACGAATGAATCTCTCTCTTTTTCTCTCTCTGTCTCTCTCTCTCTGTCCCTCTGTCTGTCACACACACACACACACACACACACACACCAGTGGTTCTGCTTCTCTGGAGAACCCTGACTAGTACAGGCAGCAACGCTAGGAAATCAGACCAGATGGAGGAAGGGAAGCAAGTATTTATCCCCTAGCTCCTCCCCTGTGGGGTCTGCACACAGCCCCAGCCATCTCAGGGTAGGGGAGCCATGCCCCCCCCTCACACCCTCAGGCCTGCAGGTGATACCTGCACTCTCTTTTCTTAAATCCAAGGACTGCACTAACCTTGAACAATTTCCCCACACCATGCTCACTCCTTTACAAATGATCCTCTAATTAACTGCTCAATTTATCCTACTATGAGCCTGCTGAAACCTTGACTAACACCAGTGTCACCAGAATGTGGGGGCCATGGCAAACTTGATGTGGCATTCAGGGCCTTCCTTGTCTGACCTCAACCTCCCCTTCGAGGGTCTTTTTCTGCCATGTTCATTCACTCCAAAGACACACAAAAACACACAGTAACATACTCAGTATTGTCACCAGACTGCGGCTCTCCCCCACATAGCAGCCCCACTCCAACACCTCTGTCACTCTCTCTGGATGTCAGCACCCCACAGTGTCCTATGCGCATTACCAAACAACCACACACTAGTAACTTATAAATGAATAAGAGGGCGGGGGGGGTGGCTCACACCTGTAATCCCAGCACTTTGGGAAGCCAAGGCGGGTGGATCACCTGAGGTCAGAAGTTCGAGACCAGCCTGACCAACATGGTGAAACCCTGTCTCTACTAAAAATACAAAAATTAGCCAGGCATGGTGGTGGGCACCTGTAATCCCAGCTACTTGGGAGGCTGAGGCAGGATAATTCCTTTAACCCAGGAGGCAGGGGTTGCAGTAAGCTGAGATTGCACCACTGCGCTCCAGCCTGGGCAACAGAGCGAGACTCTGTCTCAAAAAAAACAAAAAAAAGAAAGAAAGAAAATGAATAAGAGCTGGGAACCACTGCCCGTTGTGGCTATTTGCTACTTCATCACATCCCCCAACTTTGGTTCTGCAATCATGTATCCTCCATCTCGTCAACCAGTTAGTGGGGTCGGTTGGTTTGTTTGTTGTTGTCTTGTTCAACCCAAGTCCCCTTTGCCCCCTGTAGTCATATTTGTAGCCAAGTTGTTAGGGTATTTAGCAAGGTATGGGAATCTGCTGGAGTAAGCGATTGCTTCATTTTGTTTTCACACCACGTGCTCAAGAATGTCTGAGCAGGTATGACAGTTTTTGTTTTGTTTTTTGTGTGTTTAAATTGCTTAAGATGCTCCAAAGGCTTTGTTTTAAAAATAAATAATAAATATCACAGGGAAAAATGAAGAACTGTATAGGTTTTAGTAAAAATCATGCTTATGTCTTCTTTTCTTCTGGATTTTCCTACATTGTGTTAAAAATAGGAACACACGTTTTTCAGCCTGACACTGTGTCTACCACAGAAATAACGAAAAGCAACGAAAAATGGAAATGAGCAACATGACAAAACCAGTTCCCCTGAGGTTTCAGCTAAAAGAGAAAAAAGGAACAAATAGAACCAAGGCTGTAGCAGCACCTACAATTAGCATAAGCTGCGTCAATGAGGTGTCAAGGTTGCAGAATTAATAAGCCCCAGGTCAGCCACCCAGGTGATGGCCACGTAGACCAACGAAACAAGAAAGTCCCACAGAAGGGAGGCTTGTGGTCAGACAAGATTCTGAGATTCTAAGCAGTGAGACAACTGAAAGTTAGACTGCACATAAACATATTCAAATACAAGCATATCGTGTTTTTTGCGCGTTACTTTATTGCACTTCTCATATATTGCATTTTTTTACAAACTGAAGGTTTTGGGCAATCCTGCTTTGAGCAAGTCGCTCGGCACCATTTTTTCCAACAGCATGTGCTCACTTCCTGTCTCTGTGTCACATTTTGATAAATCTCACAATATTTCAAATGATTTGTTATTATTATAACTGTTATGGTGATCTGCAATCAGTGATCTTTGATGTTTCTATTGTAATTTTTTGAGGGGTGCCATGAACTGTGCTCATACAAGATGGAGAGCTTAATAAATGTGTACGTTCTGACTGCTCCACTGACTGGCCATTCCCCTGTCTCTCCCATTCTCCTCGGGCCTCCCTAACCCCTGAGACACAACAACACTGAAAGTAGGATAATTAATTACCCTATAATGACCTCTAAGTGTTCAAGTGAAAGGAAGTATCTCACATCTCTCCCTTTAAATCAAAAGTTAGAAATGGTTACGATTAGTGAGCAGGGCATGTCGAAAGCTGAGATAGGCCTTTCGCACCAAACGGTCAAGTCATGAATGCAAAGGAAAAGTTCTTGAAGAAAATTAAAAGCGGTACTCCAGTGAACACATGAATGATAAGAAAGCCAACAGCTTTATTGCTGATACAGAGAAAGTTTTAGTGATCTGGATAGAAGATCAAACCAGCCACAACATTCCTTTAAGTCAAAGGAAGCAATCCTCCCAAGCAAGGCCCTAACTGTCTTCAATTTGATGAAGGCTGAAAGAGGTGAGGAACCTACAGAAGAAAAGTTAGAAGGTAGCAGAGGTTCATGAGGTTAAAGGAAAGAAGCCATTTCCTTAACATAAAGGTGCAAGGTGAAGCAGCAAGTGCTGATGGAGAAGCTGCAGCAAGTTATCCAGGGGATCTAGCTCAGATCACTGATGAAGGCAGCTACACTAAACAAAAGATTTTCAAGGAAGATGGAACAGCCTTCTATTGGAAGAAGATCTTATTAGGACTTTCGTACCTCAAGAGAAGAAGTCAATGCCTGGCCTCAAAGCATCAAATGACAGGCTATTCTTTTGTTAGGGGCTAATGCAGCTGGTGACCTTAAGTTGAAGCCAATGTTCATTTACCATTCCTAGGAACCTTAAGAATTATGCTAAATCTACTCTGTGCTCTACAAAAGGAACGACACATTCCATTTGTATGCTGGGTGACATCTGTTGACAGCACGGTTTACTAAATATTTTAAGCCCACTGTTGAGACCTGTTCGGAAGAAAACGTTCCTTTTAAGATGTTATTGCTCATTGACAATACACCTGGTCACCCAACATCTCTGCTGGAGATGTTAAAGGAGATTAATCTTGTTTCCATGCCTTCTAACACCACATCCATTCTGCAGGCCCTGAAGCAAGGAGTAATTTCTACTTCAAGTGTAATGATTTAATAAATAAATTATGTAAGGCTATACCTGCCATAGATAGTGATTCCTTAGGTGGATCCGGACAAAGTAAATTGAAAACTGGAAAGGATTCACCATTGTAGGTGCCATTAAGGACAGTTGTGATTCATGGAAAGAAGTCAAAATATCAATATGAACAGGAGTGAGAGAAATTTATTCCAACCCTCATGAATGACGTTGAGGGATTCAAGACTTCAGTAGGGGAAGTCACTGCCAATGTGATAGAAATACCAAGAGAACCAGAATTAGAAGTGGGGCCTGAAGATGTTGCTGCAATCTCATGGTAAAACTTGAATGGATGAAGAGTAGCTTCTTATGGATGAGCAAAGAAAGTGGCTTCTTGAGATGGAATCTACTCCTGGTGAAGATGCTGTGAACATTGTGGAAACGAATACAAAGGATTTAGAATATTATATAACCTTCATTGATAAAGCAATGGCAGGATTTGGGAGAAATGACTCCTATTTTGAAAGAAATTTTACTCTAAGTAAAATGCTATCAAACAGCATTACATGCTACAAAGAAATCTTTTGTGAAAGGAAAAGTCGATTCATGTGGCAAACTTTATTATTGTTTTAAGAAATTACCTGAGCCTTCAGCAACCACCACCCTGATCAATCAGCAGCCATCAACATCAAGGTAAGAGCTTCCATAAAAGCAAAAAGATTACAACTCACTGAAGGCTCAGATGATCATTAGCATTTTTTAGCATTAGAGTATTTTTAAATTGAGGTACATACATTGTTTTTCTAGGCATAATGCTATCACACACTGAATAGACTACAGTGTAGAAAAAAACATTACCTTTATGTATGCCCTGGGAAACCAAAAAATTGGGGTGGCTTTCTTCATTGTGATATTCATGATATTCCTGAGGTATGCTTGTAGTTAATACCAGGTAATTGGGCTTTTGAAAACTAGTGCACAGTCCTAGTCTGGACTAGTCCTAAGAAAATCAGTGAAATTTACTTCAGATGATAAAAGGAAAGTTAAGAATCCTTTCCTCAATGGCTCCCACTTAGGCAACTCTGTCTGATGTCCTCCCCTCCACCCCCCCACTGCTGTGGTCTTTGAAGGATTCCCACAAAGCCCTGATCTCAGCAAAGGACTAATTCAAGATGCAATTGCTCTAATCACATAAGCCTAACTGCATATCCCTTATTACAAAAAAAGGCTGACCCTGTGACATAGTGTTCTGGGTTCTTTAAAGATACATCTCAAACACTCATGCAAGTGTGTGCTGTGTTACACTGCATCTGGGCTAATTTTAATATGGAAAGAATACTATGCATTTCTTTTTTTTTTTTTTTTTTTTTTTTTGAGATGGAGTCTCGCTCTGTTGCCCAGGCTGGAGTGCAGTGGTGTGGTCTCAGCTCACTGCAAGCTCCACCTCCCGGGTTCACGCCATTCTCCTCCCTCAGCCTCCCAAGTAGCTGGGACTACAAGTGCCTGCCACCACACCTGGCTAATTTTTTGTATTTTTAGTAGAGACGGGGTTTCACCGTGTTAGCCAGGATGGTCTCAGTCTCCTGACCTCGTGATCTGCCCACCTCAGCCTCCCAAAGTGCTGGGATTACAGGCGTGAGCCACCATGCCCGGCTGTGCATTTCTTACTAGGCAAATGGCAACCTCTGCTGGGGCAGGCGACTGTGTTACCTTTATCACATGGTCTTCTCCATCCCCGTTTATACCACTGCATGTGTCAATTGGAGAGACACAGATTTAAAATATCAGTTTTTGAAGGTAGTTGCATTTCAGTAGAAGACTCCTGAGGTTGGGAAAAACTGGAAGTGTCAAAGGAATGCATCTCTAATAGCGGAAAGATAGGCATCGGGCTGGTGCTTTTGGTGCTATTTCCCCTGTTTGCTCCTCTCTACCTCCCACAGTGATGTGGCCTCTGGGCCAATCCTAGTCCTGTAGTATCTTTCTGAAAATAAATCTATTTCCCTCCTTCAAGCTCAGGAGAGATAAGCAATGAATTGCCAGTTGACATAGTTCGGGCACTTGTCCTCTCCAAATCTCATGTTGAAATCTGATGCCTAACATTGGAGGTGGGGCCTGGTGGGAGATGTTTGAGTCATGGGGGTGCATCCCTCATGAACAGCTTGAAGCCATTCTTGCAGGATTGCATGTGTTTTCACCGTTAGTTCCCACAAGCTCTGGTTGTTAAAAAGAGTCTGGCACCTCCATCCCCTCTCTTTCTTGCTTTCTTTCTTGCCATGTGATGCACTGGCTCCCGTTCCCCTTATGCCATGATTGGAAGTTCCCTGAGACCCTCATCAGAAGCAGATGTTAGTGTCATGCTTCTTGTACAGCCTGAAGAACCATGAGGCCAATATACCACTTTTCTTTACAAATTGCTCAGCCTCAGATATTCCTTTACAGCAACACAAAATAGACTACTCTACTCTTCTTCATACAGGGGAAGCCAGGAGTGCCCCCAGACTGTCTTCCAACCTGCCCTGGGTTCCTCTGTGGCCTGGAATAAGACAGATGCTGGCAGACTGCCTCCAGATGCTCTCCTGATTGACACAAACATCAGCAACCATCTCCTCCATTTTGGTTCAAGGCTAACTGCCTCATGCCTCAACAAAACCAAAATGCACAATCAAGCAAAGGATTTGGGGCCTGGCCAGCAGGAGTCATTTCTTAGAAGCACAGGCCATCCCATGCAGCTCAGTGGTTGGCAGGGGAGCCCTAATGCCAATTTATCTGCCCACACCCTCATCGTAGCATCTTTGTCCTCAACCTGTAACCATCCATGCATGTTTCCATCAATCTGTCTCCCTGTTTGCTCCCTCTAGTGAGGGTAGTATAAAATAAAGTTTTTTTGAAAGAGGGAAGTATTGTGGATGAGCCCAGAATTTCTAGTTTAAACCTGAAGAAGACTGATACCATAAATAAACACCCTCCCCACCTATACAAGCACATAAGTCTCCTTTTAGGGTTGATTAATAGAAAACAGACTAAGAGAGATTTCTCACCTACTCTGTGTTCTCTAAACCATGGGCAAGAAAAGGGTCCCACCCAGTGCCTGGCAGCAGAAATTGAATATAATTTCATGGTCAGTGAATGCAAATAGGCACTTGTGAAGGGTGGCTTTATAAAAGTCTAATCCCAACCATGAGAGTCTTCTCCCAGGACCCTCTCCAGCTCTGTCACAAGATTGTCTATAGGGTCTCTCATGGTCAGCCTGTGACAACACCTGTGGATTAGTTCATTCTTACATTGCTATAAAGAGCTACCTGAGACTGCATAATTTATAAAGAAAAGAGGTTTAATTGGCTCACAGTTCTGCAAGCTGTACAGAAAGCAGGGCTTAGGAGGCCGCAGGAAACTTACAATCATGACAGAAAGCAAAGAAGGAGGAGGCACACCTTACTTGACCAGAGCAGGAGAAAGAGGGTAAAAGGGGAGGTGCTACACACTTACAAGCAACCAGATCTCATGGCAACTTGTTCACTATCACATGACCAACAAAGGGGAAGTTCATCCCCATGATCCAATCACCTATCACCAGGCCCCTCCTCCAACACTGGGGATTACAATTCAACATGAAATTTGGGCAGGGACCCAAATCTAAACCACATCAACCTGCATCAGTCTCAACCAAGCTGTGGTTCAGGAGTGGAGTCCACCAAGACAACTGCTCCCTGGGCAATGCAGGCCGTGTCCTAATCCTTGTCAACCCTTCTACTACCACATGACCCCCAGGTTTTAGGGTCAACTTTTTAAAAAGTTCCATTATCCCTTTGCCTCTGGCACTAGAGACCCATGTCTAGAATCTGTGAGGGCTGCCACATGGGCCTGAGATCAAAAACCTTAGTTCTTCCTCCGCTTGAGGGCACACGCAGTCACTGGCTTAGTCTGGTTTGCGTTTACTTGCTTAGGTGTTTGACATTCAAAGTATTCATTTGTTAAATGCAAGCATTGAAATCTACTACAGTTTTTGTCTTTACTTCCGTTTGTAACCTATTGAAACCCCTATAACTGGAAATAACTCTGACCTCTTCATCTTATGAAGACCCCATTTCCTTACTGAACATGTAAAGGGACCCACATCTGCCATGTTCATAGCTACACAGTACCAGGCTGGTGGTAGGTGATCAGGAAACACCCTTGATTCAACATCTCTCAGATGGCAACCAAGTCCCCATTATTTCTGGGCTCAAATACCAACTAGCAGGTTCTTTCTTCATTAATTCACTCCAACACACTCAATCCTAAATTATCTCTCTCCTTCTTAGTGAAAGACTAATTTCACTCACACACACCCCTCCCAGATCCTCATTCTCTGATCCACCACTGGCATTCTCCTGTCTTTGTACATGACTGTCTTCTCTGCCAACTTTGCAGAGTTGCCATGGCAAAATGGCAAATTGTCAGTCTTGCCTGATGATGAAAAACATAAAGAGCCAAATAGCACCCCATAACCCACAAGGAAGCACTGAACTCTTTGCAGATAGAGGTTAAGTTCTAAGACTACCCTTTATATCTAAAAAGGGGGAGTTGCCTACAAATTCACAAATCCTTCTTTCCCAATTTACCAAGTGTGATGCTTGTCTCCAAAGACAGCCACCGTCAATTCCTTTCCTCTTCCCATCAAGAAGTGAAGACTAGGTCTATTACTCCCTTCAATCTGTGCGGCTGTGAGGAATCGAATGGGGTGATGGAGATACAGTACCAGCTCTGGGCACAGCCCTTAAAAGGGTTGGCACTTTCTGCTTTCTCCCTCTTGGAGCCCTAAGCCACCATGTAAGGCCAGGTTATGCCGATAGACAGAGGCCATGTGGGGACATCACTGAAGTGCCATATGTGAATCAAGAAACCACCTTGAATGTCCTGGCCTCCGTCCACTCCAGTCCTCCCATCTGAGGCCCCAAACATTCTGAAACAGAGATGAGCTGTCTTCTCTGTGGCTCTTCCAAATTTCTTACCCATAGAAACATGAAAAATAATAAAATAGATGTAAGGCACTAGGTTTTAGGGATAGTTTGTTATACAGCAATAGATAGCCAGAACACCAATAAAGGATTCACATTAAGGAAATATTTCAATTTCTGGGCTAAGAATTGTATTTGTAGGCCAGACACAGTGGCTCGCTCCTGTAATCCCAGCACTTTGGGAGGCTTAGGTAGGCAGATTACTTGAGGTCAGGAGTTCGAGACCAGACTGGCCAACACAGTGAAACCCTGTCTCTATTAAAAATGCAAAAAAAAATTAGCCAGGTATGGTGGTGGGTGCCTGTAATCCCAGACGCTTGGGAGGCTGAGGTGGGAGGATCGCTTGGACCCAGGAGGCAGAGGTTGCAGTGAGCTGAGATCATGCCATGGCACTCCAGTCTGGGTGATAGAGTGAGACCCTGTCTCAAAAACAAAAAACAAAAAAAACTCACAAAGAATTTCATTTCTATGCCAATATCAAAAACAAGGAAACACTGCCTTAAACATATCAGAGTTTTATTTTCTCTCACATAACATGAAGGCAAGGCCTCCCAGCATTACCTTGGCAGCCTAGAGCCCAGGTCTCCACAATTCTCTTGTTTTTCCTCATGCATCCAGCTCCAGCCACCAGTATTCCAGGAATCAGGAAGGAAGAAGAAGTGGTGCCTTTATCAGAAAAGCATAACTTTCCTAGAAATGCCCAGCACGGGTTCCTATTTATATCTCATTGGCCAGAACTATTTTGCACAGCCACCCCACACAAAAGGGACAGAGAAATACAAGGCTTTAACTGGCAATGGCCACACTGAACAAAACTGGGGTTTGGTTAGAGGAAAGAATGATACTGGAGAGGCAACTAGCTGTCTCTGCCATATTCAATAAGGAAATAGATTACATTAGCCAAAGTTCAGAAACAGAGCTGGCTTCTGGGTCAATCCATTGATGTCATCAAAAACCCAGGAATTTCCCATTTCCCCACTCCGCTGTTTGCAGCATTTGCTTCAGCCTAAGGCCAGCTTTCCTCCATGTTATGGCTAGCTGCCAGTAGCAATCGGGCTACATGCCTCCTGTTCATATCCAGCAGGAGAGTCTGGCTTCCCCTCCATCTCTTTTAAGAGCTAGGAAGTAAGGGGACACTTTTAAGCATAGACATTAAACTGTGCCTGATACATACTGAAGACCATTCCTTATTCCTCAGTCAACAGGGATCTCATTGCCAACAAAAGACTTTCATTCACAAGTTTTGGTTAGGTTAAAAGTGAGGGGTCTGCAGTCAGTTGGCCTAGGTTTATATCCATCCTATCGCTTTTTGAGCTATGTGATCTTGAGCAAGTTACTTAGGCTTTCTGAGTAAAAGACTACCTTCTTTGTGTGTAGACAGAGAAGAGCTTATAGTTTCTACTGGTTTAGGTTTCATGCAAGGAATAAATAAGACAATACACGTAAAGTACTTAGCATGGTACCTGGAAACCAGTGAACATTAAATAGATTTTGGTGATTACGATTATGCAGAATGTTTCCCACGAAGCCCCGTGTGAGTTTTGCCAAGAGAGAAATAAATGTAAATCAGCGATGCACAACTCTTCCTTCTCTTTCCTTTGCAGTTTAATGATATCAACTTCTGCATCCTGAAAGACTCAGATATTTTGTTTTTACAAGTCTTTCTTCAGAAATGACCTGTTCCATCTCTCATGCTGCTACAGGTAAACTTGAAATTTAAACCGTTCATCTGACACCTGGACTTATCTGAAAATTTACTACCAAACAATCCATTGGAGGACCCCATAATTAATCCAGTTCCATCATTACCACATCTCTACTAAACATATCATTAAACAGCTGAAACAATGCTTTCAAGGGTATTTGTTCACAATTCATTTCAACAAGAATTTAAGCACCTAATAACCAAATTAGATTATCTAGACAGGAACTCCACCAATTGTACCATAGTCAGCACATATAATTACCCCAAAAACTAAATCAACAATATTTTTTCAGTTTGACTAAACAGTATTAAACAGATCATAAAACACAGGAAAGGAAACTAATTGCTAGTAGTTATTATTAACAATAACAGTTGGTATCACCATAATGTACTAGCTCAGGCACCATGCTAAATGCTCACTAACATTGTAGAGACTTACTATTATGATTCCCATTTTACAGATGAGGAAACTGAGAATCTAAGAAGTTGAGATCAGAGTTCCCAAGTAGCAGAATCAGAATTAGAAAATCTAGGTCCATTCTGACTCTAGAGCACAAGCTCTTAAACAGCAAACACACCAGTAGATGATTGAGCTCTTTAGAGAAACCTCTGGAAGGCACTGAAATTTTATCTCCTGGTAGAACAGTAGGTGCAGAAACCAAAGGTTTTGGAGTCAGACAAATGTGAATCTTGATTCACTGTGTCATGTAGTCTTAGTTAGTCTTGACCTTGGTCAAGATGTGTAAACTTTCTGAGGCTTGGTTTTCCCATCTCACAGGCAAGGCAAGGAGATAGCAATGCAAGCATGAGCCAGTGCCCAGGCTAGCGCCTGCCACAACATCAGCCCCCAGAAGCATTAGCTTCCCCTCCTCATTTTCCTTCCTCTTCCTGTCTAATTATCATACTCCCGTGTGAAAAAAGTCAATAATTTTTTTTTTTTTTTGAGACGGAGTCTCGCTCTGTCGCCCAGGCTGGAGTGCAGTGGCTCGATCTCAGCTCACTGCAAGCTCCGCCTCGCGGGTTCACGCCATTCTCCTGCCTCAGCCTTCCGAATAGCTGGGACTACAGGCGCCCACCACCACGCCCAGCTAATTTTTTTTTGTATTTTTATTAGAGATGGGGTTTCTACTAAAACCTAAAAAACTATTTTTAGATTGAGACCTTGTTAGCCAGGATGGTCTCAATCTCCTGACCTCGTAATCCGCCCGCCTCAGCCTCCCAAAGTGCTGGGATTACAGGCGTGAGCCACCGCGTCGGGCCAGAAAGTCAATAATTTAAGCAAGATTTATCACTGGCTCAGGCCTTGGTCCAATTCTAAGAGTCAGTATTCACAATGTTTTTTGAATTATTAAATGTTAATAAACAGTACATGCCTACACAATCAGTGTGTTTCTTCTAAACAATGCCTTATTAAGAACTCTCATTTTAATTATTCAAAAGTGAAATTCATCATCAGACTCCAGTCCTGTACAGTTTCTGTGCTGCATCCACTCAGGGCAACATGGGTCACAAGGCCAACCTCAATCCCTCTCTGGCCATGCACCTTTGAGACTGGAAGCAGGAAGGGGTCCCTCTAGCAGATCAGTAGCCCAGGAGAGGTCTGGGGATAAGAATGGGAGATGCAATCAGTCAACTCAGGAGAAAGCCAATTAGAGTGAACATGTGTCACTCCTTTGACCCACCCAACACCTTTGAATGTCTTCTCTCTAGTGGGGAATTCTCCACCCTATGAATTCCTGTCTTCCCTTGTGGAAAACACTGATTGTTAGCAGCATGACCACAATAATCCTCTTATCCCCATTTGCTGTCCCTTTGCAATGTGATTTTGCTTTTCCTCCCATCAGGAGCTGGTATCTATTACCTGACCCCTTGAGTCTGGGTATAGGTAATGTTTTGTGACTTTGAAACCTAGGCCTCAAGAGATGTTGCAATTTCCATTATCACCCTCTGAGAACTCAGTGCTGCCATGAGAGGGAACTTAGGATAGTCTCCTTGAAGATGAAAGCCAATGCAGAAAGAGAAGCCCAGACAACAAGACCAACCACCAGTCATGGAAGTGAGGCCACCATAGACCATCCAGGCCTGGGAGAGTGGCCAGGTGGTGCAGCCACATGAGTGACTCCAGGCAAGAAACGTGAACGAACTGTCCGGCTAAGCCCAGCACAACCTGCTACTCATTAATCATGAGCAAATAAAATAGTTGTTACAAGCAACTTCACTTGGGGGCAGTTTACTACACAGCAATAAATGACTGAAACACTTACATCCCAATCTTCCTTACAGCTATAAAGGAAGTGTAAATGTGATGTGATCTAGGTCCCACCAATTAGACACTCGTCTTCAATCACTGTAGGCTTTTGCCAGAAGCTAACGGATTAAAGAAGCACCTGTCAAGAGTAGAGGCAACTATATCTGGTTTCCACAGGCAGTGACAGAACTTCTAGCAGTAATGTTTAGTGCCCAGGATCAGTAGTGACATCTCTGTGGCCAATGGGGGTGGCAGCAGTGTCCACACCCAGCTCTGTGGACAACGTGGGCCATCATTTCTGGCTATGTGGCCACCAGCCTGATTTTCTGGCCCCTCTAAGGACTCTCTGAGCTAACTGTCTCAATTTGAGTTCCCTCAAAAGCAGAGCCTAAGGCTCAAATACGGGTGCAAGTAATTTATTTGGTGATCCCAGGAATCAGGAGTAAAGGAAAGAGGAGAGTAAAACAGAAAAGGAAGAAAAGTTAATGAGTTGCTGGGGCTCAGTCCTAGTGGGGACCCACCGAAGAATCATGCAGAATGAAATGCAAAATTCTCCCTCCAAAGGATAAATGTCTGAAGCGTCTATCCCCTGGCTTCCAACCCCATTTGTTGAGGTTGCACTTGGCAGTGTTGACTCCCCAGTACTGCCAGGCTGCCCTCTGTAAGAACTGGGCAAACTTCATGGCCTCAGGAGAAGCCCTGAGTCAGAGAAGAGCATGCAGACAGAGAACACGGGGTGAGATGCAATTTGTGGGCAGCTGAACTAACTACCACAGCCACAGCTAACATCAGACAGAGGTCAACCAAGGGGACATGACATGAGCACAGGAAGCATTTGTTATGCTACTGAACATCTGGCTATGGGTGCTAATGCTTAACAACTGGCTTTCCTGGGGCAAGATGAGGAAGAGGGCTCTGAATTGTATTGTTTGCCAATTTCCATGGTGTAAATACCCCTACCATGGCTGATTTCAAGCTAACAATGTGACACCAACCAGTTTACAAAGCTCCTGGAATTGTAACAATTTAAGTCCACCCATCTGAGGCTCTGGAGCTTATACTGGCTCCAGCCCAGCACTGCTTACAATCTTCTAATAAATTCCTATTCTGGTTAAGCTCACTTAATGTTTCAAACTAAAAACCTGGGTAACTATAATCAATTGCAAGAGGGAAGATTACAAAGGTTGGGAATCAGAAATTGGGCAAAGACCAATAGGTATGCCTTCTGGCATCTTTTCCCTGGTCAAAATGACACCAAGCCTTCCACTACATCTCAGGGCATAATTCCTGATCCCATCCATACCTAGGGAGTGGAAATCACCCACAAATGTCATTGCAGTATAGGCAAAAAATGTGAGGCAAAGGGCTGGGTAGACAATAACAGAAAGTCTTCCAGTGATAAACTATTCTCAGTGTCAGGAAATTCTTCTTTGCCTGAAAACCAAATCCCCCACACAGCAGTTTAAATGTTTTTCCACCAGTTTTATTCTTGGTAGGGGCAGTACAATTATCTACAACCTCTGTAGGATAACCTTTCAGGTACTTGAAGGCTTTTCTTTTCCAAAGGAAATAGTCCAACATTGGCCTTTTGTCAGAAATTCAATTTTCTGATGCTTTAACCTTCTCTGGGGCTTTCTTTCTAATCTTGTTCAAGTTCAGCATGTGCTTATTAGCTGTAGAACCCAGACCTGGACCCAGGCTTCTTGCTGAGTTTTGACTGGAGAGAGAAAAGGGAGGAAAGGGGGACCTCTTAGGGACTGGCCATCCCATGTTTATTTATAGATTCCACCATCACTGAGTTCTTTTTCCAATCCAGCAAATAGCCAAAACAGGGCAAGGAGGCAATTGTAGGGACAGAAGTGGTCACTTTTCTGATGGTGACCATCTCCCCTTTATCAGAGCAGAGGTCCCTGAGCAGGAGTAACAGCTAGTCCTCTCTCGCACCTTCCCAGGATAAAGCCTGCCTTTCACAGCCCGCCCTACCGCTACTTGGGCTCCCTGCAAAGCCTACTTGCATCAAGCACCAGGATGCTGGAATATGTTTAACTTTTCAAAAGATATCCCCAAGGGAGAGAATTTAGTAAGTCTTAGAAGAGACAGTAAACTCAAGAATGCATCACAAAATTTCAAGGCATTCTCACCTATTTCCTTCACACTAATTTATGGATGTCCAGATTTAGACCAAAATGGTGGCCTGAAACAGCACCAGCCAATGGAAATAGTTGAGTTAATAGGACACCCAGTTAAATTACAAATGTGTAATTTACATTTGTGTAATTTTACATTTTCTAGTAGCCATATTTTTTTAAAAAAAGAGAAACAGGTAAAATTAATTTTAATAATATATCTTACTTAACCCAGTATATCCAAGATATCTTTTTAATGTGTAGTCAAAATGATAATATTTTAAAATTACTATGGAGATACTATACATTCTTTTCTCATACTACACCTTCAAAACCTGGTGTGTTTTTACATGGCATATCTTAATTCAGACTAACCATATTTCAAGAACTAGCGGCCACCGTATTTGATAGCACAAGTTTAAACCAAAATGCCCCAAATGTGGTGCCCAGACCAGCCACATCCGCATCAACTGGGAACTTGTTAGAAACACAAAATTCCCAGCCCCACACCAGAACTACTGAGTCAGAAACTCAGCATGCAGCTCAGCGATTTGTGTTTTCACAAGCCCTCCAGGTAAATGTGATGTACACTTATTGGTCTATGTGCCGCCAAATCAGAAATGATTAATCTGCTTTTACTTCATGGCATCACTAATATCTAAGGGGGGATATGAATCATTAAGAAACCAACTCTTCCTGTTTTACTGTTGCTAGGAAGCCTAAAATAGCAAATTTGGTTCCCATGAGCTATGTTTATTTTTATTTTGTGCCAATTAAGTGAGTTTTTCGTGGGTGTGCTCCTCTTTTTCAAATAATCCATTGGAACCTTCTTTCCCCCTTGGGTTTGGATTTTATCCCTTCATCCTCTTGGCTTTTTTACAGTAATCCCAACTACACTTATCCTTTCATATCATACACACCTAGGGTTACCAGATTTAGCAAATAAAAATACAGGATACCCAGTTAAATTTGAATTTCAGATAATTGATGAATAATGTTTTAGTATAAGTATGTACCATGCAATTCTTCCCAGAAATTGCAAGGGTCATACCTATGCTAAAAAGTATTGGGCAAATATTGCATGAGATACGCTAGAGATTATTTGTTTTTTTTTGGAATTCAAATTTAACTGGGCATCTTGTATTTTACTTGGTGAATCTATTCACACCCTCCTACATCCTTCTGACTCCAGATTCCTCCAGTGATTGGATCACAAAGGCCTCTTGGTCAACTGGGGTGAGAGCTGCAGAGGAGACTGCAGACCTGGTGTCTCATTCCCCAACAACTTAAACTAGAACAAAATAATTTTGGACAAAACCAGCTGCCCAGATGTATTCCTGGGCTTTTCAAAGATGAGTCCTCTGGCTTCCAGCGAGTGCCAGCTGCCTCTTGGGATCAAGCTCTCATTAAAAAAAAAAAAAAAAAAAAAAAAAAAATCAAATCAACAAAGAGAACACTGTCAGTCAATCAGAGCTGAGCAAATGCACCCACTTAGCTCGCAGCTCAAATTGGGTCTACAGATTTGCGCTATTGAAAAGGAAATTGGCCTCACTTGCTGCGAAACAGCCCCAAAGTGGGGAAATTAATACAGAAGACACCAAGTCATAATGAAATCTGGCAACAGCAGTGGATTGTGTGGCATCATCCAATTACAGCAAACATGGACACTGCCCAGGGGAGAAGCCAGTCTGGACACCAAGCAAAATTAGAACCCTACACAGTAATTACTAGTGCAGACAGGAAATTTGTTGGGATGTTACAAAAATCAGAAAGTTTGATAAATCCGAACACTCCAACAAATGCACAGAATCACTACTCCACACAGCTCCAAAATAACTGTTCCTAATACCTACCAGACCGTGAGCTCCTCCTATGGGCAAAGCCCTAGAAACCCAGATCTTGGCTTTTGTATCACCTTTTCCATCAGCCCACTGCTACCCAGCTACAAACCCATGTGATTCATGAATGATACATGCCTGGAGGAGGTTTTCTTTCCTTTCACTGATGTGGCCCTTTCTCCCCATCAGCCTAGTGGACTCTATGGAGCCATAGCCATTAGGATGGTGCCAGCAACAACATCTAGGAGGCCTCAACTTTACCTGGTAAACTAGGGTGACACCAGGACCCTGGGGGTGGGCAATAACTTGAGGGTGGGCGGTAGGAAGGAAAGGCAGGGAGACGAACAGAGAAGAGATTCAGGTGCTCATCCAGTATAAATCCATATCAACTGAAACTCCAATTGATGGGGAAGTAAAGAAATGTTATGACCTGCAGTCTAGGCTCCATGTGGGTTCATGATCAGATAGCATTGCTTTATTTTGCCCTGCAATCTCTTCCACACTTGTGGGAGCATAAATACAGGACTCCAAATGAATAAAAAGGGGCTATGAAACCTGATTGCTTCAGTTTATAGTTTCATCTTAGAGTGTAGATTTCAACCCAATTCTAAGACAAAAATCATTTTATTCATTGATCCTAAAGAGTTCATTGATTTTTAAAAGAAAAACATAATAATGCACAAATAAGGGTTAAATACCAACTGAATAACTATGAGAACTCTATACTATATATCACCTTATTTCTAGAAGCCAACAGAAAATAAAATAAAATGATATAGCATGGATGTGAGTCTCCTACCAATGATGTAATAGGAAGGAACAAAACTATTATTTTTACAAGCAAAGTATATTTTGAGCCAGGATATTTAGAAGGAAGACAAAATTTCTCTTGGAGAGCAAACTTTTCTTTTGGTTAAAAAAAAAAGTTCAAAATATTTGATTTTGGAAGATGAGGGCCCCTGGAAAAGGTTTGCACAAAGAAGAGGTAAATTGTTTTAGCTAGGTAAGTCATCAGAATTGGGAAGTTGGCTGCTTACTGGTAACTGAAGGAAGAGATTTAGGGAACATGAAAAGGAGAAAAAAGTTGAGAGAGACAGGACCCCCAGTTGAAGAGAGTTGAAAGACTTAAGGATGAGAGTGAGAGAGAAATTCTTATGATGGAAAGGGCCGAGGGGTGCATAACTGTCAGTAAAATATCATCTCTAATTTGCAGTGTGATTCCCAACCCTTTTGAAACATATACTATAAGGAAGGGCCTGGGTTTGGAGGAACTTTTGAAAAAAGTGGGAGCTGCATACAACCTTCAAGACGATGCAGGACAGAAAAACGAGTTAAAGGCAGCAAGACATATACAAGAGCAAGAAGCTCAGCAGGAACAAGAAATTAGAATGAAAGGCAACTACAGGAACATGCATCTTTTACGAATCTGCAAAAATACCAGGGAGAAATACCAGTGGAGCTCCAGACTCCAGATTCCTGGGATGGAGACTCGAGCCAAAGCTTTTCCATTCTAGATAAAGCTAACCCTCAAAACTAGAGATCTCTGAGTTATACTTCCAGAATTGAAACCACTAAATATTGGAAGGATGGAAGGGAGGCAGAGAGGAAGAAAAAGAACAAGAACAAAATTTAAAAGAAAAAGATAGGAGTCTGACGACCAAAATTTTATCTGGCATCAGTGCAGCACTGAAGAATGTACGTAACTTACACATCATGGAAAAGACAAGTATTATTAGTATTGATAATGAGATAAAGTAAAATGTACAATAAAGCAGGTGAAATAAATACAAATAAACTGTTAATTACAGTATACAGCAGCAATATCTTTGAAGAAGATTGAAAAGGAGGCTTTACAGTCAGACTCAGACTTCCCTGGTTCAATTCCCAGCCCCAGGACCTCTTAATCAAGTGACCTGGACTATTTACCTAACCGTCTCTGAGAATTTTCTTCACCTGTAAAAGAGGATCATAATAATACTACTTTCTTTATACAGCTGTTGTGGGGAATAACTGAAATGATAATGTATGCCTGTTAGACTTCCATTTCTGGCAATGACAAACTGGTTGTTACAGACCAACATTCCCACTGAGATGACTCAGAAAAATTGAACAAATTGTTGATTAAAAACAATATCTATCTGACAGCATTAAGATGGTGAGAACTTGAGGGGCCAAGATCTGGAAAAAGAGGGAAATACAGACAGGTAATCCTAGCGTCTTAGGGCCGCTTTTGCCCTTGAAGCAACTGCCAATTCTGAAAGTAAAAGCAGCTGATAGGTGAGAAGGTAAGCAGAGTGAACCAGAATCCCATGGGTTGGAGGATCAAAAGTTCGATTCCAAGACCCACCAACATAGAGCACCCTGGTAAATCCAAAGAATAAATCATAAGTAGATCAAGGCTTGCTCTTTATTCTTGCAAAGAATGAAGTCCAAATCAACTCAGTCTCTGATTGGGTTAAGGTTATCTGCCCTTAGACTAACTGCTACTAGAAGAAAAAGTCAGTGCTTTCTGGAGTAAGCATGACCCAGAGCCTCAGACTGCCTTTACAATTTTCATATATAATGCCCAGCAGCACGCAGTCAAAACTAACCAAACAAACAAAAGATAAGAAATAATCAAAATCCAAGTGGAAATAAAAGGCAATAAAAATAAACACAGAAAATCCAGACTTTGATGTTATCCAACCTGTACTTTAAAATAACTACACCTGGCTGGGCACAGTGGTTCACGCCTGCAATCCCAACACTTTGGGAGGCCCAGGTGGGCGGATCACCTGAGGTCAGGAGTTTGAGACTAGCCTGGCCAACATGGTGAACCCCTCCCACCACCTCCCCATGTCTCTGCTAAAAATACAAAAATTAGCTGGGTGTAGTGGCGCATGCCTGTAATCCCAGCTACCCAGGAGGCTGAGGCAGGAGGATCACTTGCGCCCACGAGGCAGAGGCTGCAGTGACCCAAGATCATGCCACTCCAGCCTGGGAGACAGAGTGAGACTCCGTCTCAAAAATAAATAAATAAATAAATAACTACAACTACCGTGCTCAAAAAATTAAATTATAAGATGTACAATTTCATCAGAGAATTGAAACTATATAAGAAAGAATTCAGTGGCAATACTAGAACAAAATAATACAATTACAGAAATTAAGAATCCAATGGATGTGTTTAACAACTGATGAGACCAGCTGAGAATTAGTTACCTGGAAGATAGAAGAATAAAAATGAAAATACTAAAAAGATGAGCAATATAACAGCAAAGGATAAGACACATAAAGAATACACTGAAGAGATTTAATATATGTGTAATTATATTTGGAAGATAAGAGAAAGAATTGAGAAGAAACAATATTTGAAGAGATTTAATATATGTGTAATTATATTTGGAAGATAAGAGAAAGAATTGAGAAGAAACAATATTTGAAGAAATGGTGACTGGGATTTTTGCAAAATTCATTACAGGAATTATGCCACAGATTCTAGAACTCCAATGGGATTCATTTTAAAAGAAAATCTAGGGACATTATGAGAAAACTGCTAAAAATCAAAGGCAAACAGAACAGGATCTGGTATGTAGTATTTTTCAATATCTTCAAAAATAATGGCCCAGGGGAGATGGGTACACCAAAATCTCACACATCATCACTAAAGAACTTATGTAACCAAATACTACCTGTTCCCCAAAAAACCTATGGAAATAAACATTTTTTGAAAGAAATACATTAAAGAGATATGCAGAGACATGAAAAGCAGAAAATACACAAAACTGGCAAATTGTACACGTTTAAATTATTGTGAAAATAATAAACCAAATGTTTCATAAATAATAATAATAATAATAATAATAATAATAATAATAATAATGGCCCAGAGATCTAATTCTATGGACAGGGAGTATTCTAACTTTCTAGACAGAAGTAAGTTGACACACTTAAAACAACTTAGTTAGTATTTTCTCTTATTGCTCTTTCAGTAACATACATAAATAAATAATAAAACACATATATATAGAGAGAAATTTACATATAAATTTATATACATACATGTACTTCTATATGCTAAATGTATAGATTTAGTATGGCTTGGGCATTCAAATTTTTAGGACTCACAACTTGAAACCTGGGATAGATTCATCCCAAAACCTAAGTTTAGAAATTAAAATGTAACAGTTTAAAATTTTTTTGCTACTATAGAGTTCCAATTGCCTACCATTAACAATGTACAGGAAGTTTTCTCAATTCCTTTTCATAGCAGGAAAAGGACCCCATGGATCTTTGGGTCTCCTCCTGGGCCCAGACCCAATGGCTACTCATCCATCTCCCACTGAGTTCAGCCATCAGGCGGGCAGATCACCTGAGGTCAAGGGTTCGAGACCAGCCAGGCCAATGTGGCAAAACCCCGTCTCCACTAAAAACACACAAAATAAAAACTAAAAGCACACACAGAAAATTAGCTGAGTGTGTGTGGTGGTGCATGCCTGTAATCTCAGCTACTCGGGGAGGCTGAGGCATGAGAATCACTTGAACCCAGGAGGTGGAGGTTGCAGTGAGCCGAGATGTGCCATTGCACTCCAGCCTGGGCAATAGAGCATGACTCTGTTGAAAGAAAAGAAAAGAAAGAGAGAAAGAAAGAGAGGGAGGGAGGGAGGGAGGGAGGGAGGAAGGAAGGAAGGAAGGAAGGAAGGAAGGAAGGAAGGAAGGAAGGAAGGAAGGAAGGAAGGAAGGGGCTAAAATCTAAATCGGTTCCTTCCCACCTGTACCTATATGAGAGTCTAGAAACATGGCTCGCTGGATAGCATTAATCACCAAAACATAGTCCTTTCTGTAATTTCACAAGAGCAAAATTGTGTGTGCAGTTTGTTTGTAGATATTGTCAATCAGAGCTAGACGGTAGTTAAAACAGTAAAAACAGATTTTATTCAGGACCATTGCAATAAGGGAAAAGAGACCTCAGTATAGAATTGGGCTCAATTCTGAATACAGCATGAACAAGTTGGAATTTTATAGCCAAGGAGGAAGGTGGAAGTCAGAGGATAGAAAATTACTAAAAAAAAAAAAATACCAGGGGGAAGGGGGCAATTCTGGCTAAACCAATCTGATAGGTTTCTTGCTGAAGGCAGACCAGGGTGATCAATAATCACCCTGGGGAATGAAGGAAAATGAGGAATCTGATGACATATTGGATATCGAAGGTGATCAGATATAGAGGAGGTGAGGTGGGATGGAGGTCTGGTTAAATTGTCCTAGCAGAATTCTTGGTAAAATTGGACAATGCAGAGTTACCTAGTGGAAAAAAAGTCCAGGAGACACTGACTACATTTTCTTAAGGAGATAATCTTTATCAATGTCATGCCTATTTTTGGTTTTGTCTGTTATGAAACAGGGTCTCACTCTGTCACCTAGGCTGGAGTGCAGTGGCATGATCATAGCTCACTGCAGCCTCAAAAGCCTGGGCTCAAGCAATCTTCTTACCTAAGCCCTCTCAGTTGCTGGGACTACAGGCATATACCACTACGCCTGGCTAATTTTTTTTTAATTTTAATTTTATTTTAGAGACAGGATCTTACTATGTTTCTCAGGCTGGTCTCCAACTCCTGATCTTAAGTGATCCTCCTGCCTTGGCCTCCCAAAGTACTGAGGTTACAGGGAGGAGCCACCTGGCCTGTTTATTTTTTTCTTTTACAAGAACTCTATTATATTTGAAACCTGTTTATTTATACCCAGTACTTTTTAAGAATAAGGAGCCTGCCAGATATCACTTACTCAATGTATAACTTACTGGTGTTTTACTGGGGGAAAAAATGGTCAAGGGAGAAAGGAAAGGCAGAAAAAGAGGTAGAGGTGGAAGGGGGAGAGAGGTAGAAAGAGAAAGATGAGGTAGAAAAACAGAAGCAAGAGAGAATAAAAGAAAGAGCAGGAGATCAAAAAGAAAGAAGAAATTGAACCCACTGAGCAGCAACCTGAGGGTTGGTGCCAACCATGTGCCCAGTAGAACACAGGGCATAGCCAACCCAAGACAAGGTACTGAAGACACCAGATTTATCAACATGGCTTTGTTATTTGGTCTGAATTCCTGTGAATACCCAGATCCTCAGATTAACTCATATTTTTATGCAAATGTAACAAATGTGCATGGAGTATTTAGTATTAACCATGCCATTCAAAAGGAAAACCCAGGGTTTTCAGAACCTGTTTTTGTATTCAGCTGTGTCTACCAAGGATACAAAACTGAGGTTCAGGCAGATTTCATTCATCCTCACAATGACCCTGGGAGAAGTATAAAACTCTTATAATTGTTCACATTTTCTGGTCTCATGTTGGAACTTGTATAGAAAATAAGAGTTCTTGTCCAATAAACATGACCCCAAATATAGAGTGTATCACTTTACAGAATAACCCTGTTTATCACAGTGTGATTAAAGTGGAAAATTGTGTGTGTGTCTTTTAAAACACTGAACAATTTTACATAAACCTTCTTATCTGCTCCCTAAGATTTCTTCAGAGCTATAAGCAACAGATCAAGGTATTTCACTCAGTAAATGACCTCCTGAATTTCACTGAGATCTTCTGCTTCAGTCCAGGGAAAAGTAGGAATTCTGCAATGACAGTGCTCCAACCCTGAAACCCAGGAATCCAGGGCTCAGAACATGGCTACAATAGCTGAGCCACAGCTAATTCTCTCAAGGCTTGATAAGATCATATGGAGACGTTAAATGCCTGGTAAGTCCTATTCCTGATACCACTCTTTTCAACAAGCAGGACCTAATTAAGAAGACTTCCCACCTCTTCTTTTGGTTTTCCATGAGTTTTCTGCCTACTGCTATTAACTTCTGCTGGAAACTCCGGGCTAACATTGGACATTACTGTTCCTCATTAAAATCGTGCATGCAAGATAGAAAACAAGGCTAGGAGAACAAATGGGGCTTTTCTTGTTGTCAGAGTGTAAGCTCCTTGTGGAAGAAACCTTCTGTGGTCTAGATGACCACTTATGAGTATTTAATGATGTGTTTGTTTCTGGTTCTTAATCTGCGGAAAGGAAGATGTTCAAGTATTTGTTGCGCAGATGTATTCCAGACATCTTGGGAGGCTAAAAACCATAAGACATAGTTTCCATCCTCAAAGACCTACAGTCAGGTTAGGAAGACAAGAAATAAAGAAGTGAAGAGTAAATCAAAGAACAACACAAGGTTAATTAATAAAACAACAAAAAAGACAAGTCATAAAGCAATGCATTTTTAATTTGCAGATGAATTGCATAGCTAATACTTCAGGAGAATGTAGAGATTACTTTAAGCTGCAATGGAAATGAAAACTTTTACGAAGGAAGTAGAACTCAAGCTGGGCTTTAACATTTGCATCAGATTTGGATAAGCATCAGAGCTTACTATGTGCCAGGCAACATATCTCATTTACTTGTCACAAAACCGTGGTAGGATTGATATTATTTCCATTTTACAGAAGAGAAAATTAAGGCTCATTAAGGTTATATAATGTCGTCCAAGGTCAGGTTTCAAACACAAGTCTAGCTCTGAAACGCACCCCCCACATCATATTGCATGGCTTTTTGATACTCTGTAAAGGTCTAAGCAAAGCTCAGAGATGGAAACGCATAGTGGCCAGGTGCCCTGAATATGCTGCTCCAGCATGACTGAAAGCATTACCGGAAAGGGGTCCAGCTCCAGACCCCAAGAGAAGGTTCTTGGATCTCATACAAAAAAGAATTTGGGGCAAGTTCATGGAGTAAAGTGAAAGCAAGTTTATTAAGAAAGCAAAGGACTAAAAGAATGGCATTAGGACAAATACCTAATGTGTGCGGGGCTTAAAACCTAGATGATGGGTTGATAGATGCAGCAAACCACCATGGCACATGTATATCTTTGTAACAAACCTGCATGTTCTGCACATGTATCCTAGAACTTGAAGTAAAATTTTAAAAAAATTTCCAAAAAACAAGAATGGCTACTCCATAGGCAGAAAAGCATGGGCTGCTTGACTAACTACAGTTATTTTTTGATTATATGCTAAACAAGGGGTGGGTTATTCATGAGTTTTCCGGGAAAGGGGGGGCAATTCCCAGAACTGAGGGTTCCTCCCCTTTTTAGACCATATAGGGTAACTTCGGGACTTTGCCATGGCATCTGTTAACTGTCATGGCACTGGTCGGGGTGTCTTTTAGCATGCTAATGTTTTAGCGTGTAATGAGCAATAAGGATGACCAGATGTCGCTTTCATTGCCATCTTGGTTTTGGGGGGTTTGGGCCAGCTTCTTTACTGCATCCTGTTTTATCAGTGGGGTCTTTGTGACCTGTATCTTGTGCCAACCTCTTATCTCATCCTGGGACTAAGAACACCTAATCTCCTGGGAATACAGCCCAGCAGATCTCAGCCTCATTTTACCCAGCCCCTTTTCAAGATGGAGTTGCTCTGGTTCCAACACCTCTGACAAAAGGTCAGTTGGAGCCTTCAAGATTGAAATTTCTAGGGAACAGGGTGATAAAGCTAAACAGATAGATGGAGTGAGCCTTATCTGTATTTGCCAAATTATACACAGTGGGTATTATCATGCACTCGAGTTAGGAAAGACTTAACTGTTTTAACTCAAAATATGTCCACTTCCTATTCTCTCTGAGCTTCAGCAGTACTAAATTCCTATTTAAGAAAAATGCCAGAATCCAGAATTCTTCATTCCAAACCTGGGATAATCTACATATTATTTTGCATAAGTCTGCATATCAAGTTCAAGAGCTCCCTTTCCCCTTGGTTATATGATGTTAATTAATTGACTAGTGCAACCTCCAGCAGTTTTCTCGTCCCTTGCCTCTCCTGGTGCAGCCCACCCAAGGAGCAGGTGTTTCACTCCAGGGAGATTCAGGGCCCATTCTGGCAGAAAGCAGTTGACACGGCCACTTATCAACCCTAGCTCTGAGGCTTTGGAGGAGAGAGCCTGCCCCACCTTGTCGGGAAGAATGACAGTCAGCACCTGCCCCGGTGATCCCTGCCCGCCCTCCCTGCAGCTCAGAGGCAGAGAGGAGGTATCCAGAAGCCCTTGTACTTTAAATAACAACTTGGGAGAGGAAGAGCATGGGGGAGAGTAGCCTTGGATTACCTGCAGAGAAGAAATAAGAGCTAAAGATAGAATGAAAAATAAGAAAATTACAGCCAGACTGGGCTTCAGGTAAGACTTTCAGCTGTTTTTCCTCCTCTTTTTTCTTCAGTAGGTCAAAAACTATAGTGTTACTGGAAAGGGGTCCCTGTCCAGACCCCAAGAGAGGGTTCTTGAACCTCATGCAATAAAGAATTCAGGCCAAGTCCACAGAATAAAGTGAAAGCAAGTTTAATAAGAAAGTAAAGAAACAAAAGAATGGCTACTCCATAGGCAGAGCAGCAGCATGGGCTGCTCGACTGACTAGACTTCTAGTTATTTCTTGATTATATGCTAAACAAGGGGTGGATTATTCAAGAGTGTTCTGGAAAAGGGGCAGGCAATTCCCAAAACCAAAGGTTCCTCCCAATTTAGACCATATAGGGTAACCTTCTGGACATTGTCCTGGCATTTGTAAACTGTCATGGCACTGGTGGGAATGTCTTTTAGCATGAATGCACTATAATTAGCATACAATGAGCAGTGAGGACGACCATCTTGGTTTTGGCCGGCTTCTTTACCACAAACTTTTTTATCAGCAATGTCTTTGTGACCTGTATCTTGCGCTGACCTCCTATCTCATCCTGTGACTATGAATGTCTAACCTCCTGGGAATGCAGTCCTGTAGGTCTCAGCCTTCTTTTACCCAGCCCCTATTCAAGATGGAGTTGCTCTGGTCCAAATGCCTCTGACAAGAGGACCCAAAGCCCCACAGTATCATGGTAAATGGACAACACTGTTACCTGGAAGGAAATACAAGTTCCCCTGCCTGCAGCTGGGGGAAAGAGCAGTCGTCAAGGCCTGCAAGACATCTACAGTCAACTTCCAAGTGCGTTGGGAGAAGTCTCTCTTACAAGCTGTAGAAAATCCCACCAAAATTCTCTTTCCTGCTGGTTATGTTGATCCCATTACCTACACAACCCAATGTGGCAGTTGTGTGCTTTCATGCCTATTTTGCAGAATTGGCTAAGGACTGAACTCTGACCTTTTTTTTTTCTCTTGTCCAAATTCCTATCTAAGGTGCCCAAGGAGTCACGCTCTACAAACCATGAAGTCTCATCAGAGGGGTTTGTTACAGGAAAGGGGTCCCGATCCAGACCCCGAGAGGTTTCTTGTATCTCACGCAAGAAGGAATTCAGGACGAGTCCATAGAGTAAAGTAAGTGAAAGCAAGTTTATTAGAAAAGTAAAAGAATAAAGAATGGCTACTCCATAGACAGAGCAGCCCCAAGGGCTGCTGGTTGCCCATTTTTATGGTTATTTCTCAATGATATGCTAAACAAGGGGTGTATTACTCGTGCCTCCCCTTTTTAGATCACGTAGGATAACTTCCTGGCATTGCCATGGCATCTGTAAACTGTCTTGACACTGGTTGGAGTGTAGCAGTGAGGATGACCAGAGGTCACTCTCATGGCCATCTTGGTTTTGGTGGGTTTTAGCCGGCTTCTTTACTGCAACATGTTTTATCAGCAAGGTCTTTATGACCTATATCTTTTACCAACCTCCTATCTCATCCTGTGACTTAGAACACCTAACTGTCTGGGAATGCAGCCCAGTAGGTCTCAGCCTTATTTTACCCAGCCCCTATTTAAGACGGAGTTGCTCTGGTTTGCATGCCTGTGACAGTTTCATTTAATCCAATATAACATGGCTTAATTTCCAACCGGACCTGGGCATAACATCACATGATAGATAAAGAAGGAAATCAAAATATTTTATTCCCAAATATGTTTCTTTACCATATTTTAAAATGGCCTGCAAAGCCGTTCTTGTGAGGGGAAATTGCATCTGTAAAGAATCTCCATTAACATAACTAGATCTTTCCCCTTCCAGTCCAGGCCCTCCCAATCTTGAAGAGATTAACTGAGAGTCCAGTATCTTTTAGAGGTCTGAATGGGATACATTTACCATCCATTGCCTCTAAGGGCCTTCATCTACATAATAAGAACCCTGGTCTCCACAACCCCTTATCTCTACCCTGGCACTCCTTTCTACTGATTCCAGGCCTTTAGATAATAACTCTTTCAACCAATTGCCAATCAGAAAACCTTTCAATCCACCTCTGACCTGCAAGCAACCCCCGTCCAGTTGTCCCGCCTTTCCAAACCAAACCAATGCATATCCCACATGTAATGATTGGTGTCTTATTGGTATCACATGTCTCCCTATGTATGAAACCAAGCTGTAGCCTGACCACCTTGGGCACATGTTCTCAGAACCTCCTGGGACTAGGCCTCAGGCCTTGGTCACTCATATTTGGTTCAGAATAAAACACTTTTAAATATTTTACAGAGTTTGACTCTTCATTGACAGGCAAAAACCTGGACTCTTAGTTCCTAGAAAGTCAGGCATGGGTATCTTAGCGTGTGGTTCACTCAAAACTGGGTAAGAGTTACCCTTTTAGCACCTAAAACACCTCCCAATTCAGCTTCTTTGGAGAGGTGAGAATGACTTCAGCCCTACTTCAGGGAGAACTGTTACCTCTCCCTGAGCTCAGAAGAATGGAATGCTCAGAATAGTGAAAATAATTTCAGCACATAGTGGGTAGCAACCCAGGGGAAAGGAACAGAAGGACCTTCCTTTTGCCCTCAAAATGACATCACACCTGTGTGCAGATCACCTTATAAGGGTGATCTTAAAGACAAGCCAGCTTTAATTATTTTAAAATATTATGAAAAAAAAGAAATGTTTGCACAATAATCTGCAGCCCTAGGCCATAAAGGAATAGTAGAAATATTATCGGAACCAATATTTCTGAAGAATTAGATGTAAGTATCTGTCTTTTGACACATCTGTGTCAGTGAGTATGCTTGGTTTGGGTGCCTGAGATGAGAATTAAACTATATGGTGTCAGGCAAAGAATCGACAGGATAGCATTACCTAAAAACACTGAAGAATTTGCAAAGCCAGTAAAAAACAACCATAAAAATACAGTTTCTTCCTTAAAAATAAATAGTACCATCATTTGCATAAACCATTACCACTTATGACCTAGTTAATATACAACCAAAAAAAATCATGAATATTAGTAAATGCTGGGTTAACTTTTAACATTTATTTCTTACAATCCTGAAATGTTTGTGTAAATGTAATAGGGTACAGTTATCAGTAACATTTTTAGCCCTTCTCTTCCCCCTACCACAAAAGCATATTCTAACTTCACTGACTCAGTTTCCTCTACTCTTATTTTAGGGAGGGCTCTGCCATTGCCAGGTTTGTTCTTTGGAGCTTTTGTGAGGCAGAATTTAGGGGAGGGGTGGGGAAGACCAAGGGATAGAAGGAACAGAGACACCAAAGCTGGACCTGATGTTGAGGGGGTGGTTTTTCAGAAAGTTTAAGGAAGAGCCACTCTGCAGGAGAATAGGTGAACCCAGGAGGCGGAGCTTGCAGTGAGCCGAGATGGCGCCACTGCACTCCAGGCTGGGTGACAAAGCGAGACTCTGTCTCAAGTAATAAATAAATAAGGAAGAGCCTCTCTGGAGAACGAAGGTAATATGTTAGAATTAATCAAACAGAAATGGCAAATGTTTGGAAGTGTTGTTGTAGGCTTTGTATCCAATTCATGATGTTTAAAAATTTGTGAGAACTAGAGATTTTATAAAATTGCCTTTCAGGCTTTTTTTTTTTAACTACAACCGTGAGACTGGATCACATGTGATCACAGCTTCAGTAGGGTCGCATGTGCTAATCCTTCTTCGCTTGTACGTAAAACTTGTAGAAAAACTGAGAAACTTAAAAAGAAATTAGAAGAGAAACTGCTCTATTGCTGCAACCTGTACCCTTCCCCTATGTCCATCAACCAAGAGCCTTGCAATGCTAATATCTTCCTGTATAGACAATGGGTTGTGTATTGTGTTTTCATATGCAGCTAGTTAAGTCATTTTGTAAGAGCAAACTAAGTTAATGGCAATAGACCAGTATTCCCAGAGTGATTCGGGTTTTCAGCTTCCCTCCCAAAATGGCTGTGAAGATTAAGTAAAATAATGCAAAGTGCTCATAAACCATAAAGAATGTGACTTCCTGGCGGTTGATCATGGAAGGCAAACTGCAAAAAGATACAGAGGCCTGAAGTAGCAACAGTCACTGTAACTCAGACTTCTATCGAAACTTCATGAAAACAGAAGCAAATATATTCTGTCTAGGTAAAACTCTGGGGTCCCATTGCTTTTCGATCTGGGAGGAAATCTGACTTAAGCCCCATCTCATGAATTGAAAGGTTTTTGGCTGACTCCCAGGGTCTTCCATGGTCACCTGTGGCTCAGATTGCCTGTTCTGGTGATCTCCCATCATGCTACATCTCCCCTTCTGTGACCACCCTCTTCTTTCTGTCCTGAACCAAGCTGATGTACCTTTGCCTGTTGAACCTTCGAAGCACCACCCACACTAAAGCTGTTGCATGTTGTAAACAGACCTTTACTGAAGGTTGGCAATTATAGAGAGTTCTATCAGAACTCCACAAACTACTTAAAACTAGAACTTCTGGGCCATTTCCACACCAGGGCCTCCCATACTGGATGTTGGTCCTTCTCCACATCCCACTCCTCCATCAAAGGGCTTCTGTTTGGGCATCATTTCCCCCACTCTTCCCATCTACTCCTCTGTACTCTCTCATTTTTATTATGCAGAGTCGTTCTGATCTCGCTGTGTCTCTTCCAAATCATCCTCTAGAGTTGAGGGAGTAGGGAGAGGAGGCTTCATCTTTCACACCAAATAGGTGATTATGGTCGTTTCCTAAACGAATAACCATCTCCCTAAAATGAGTCTGCCCATTAGCCTGGCAAGGCAAACCAGCTGCAATCCTTTCCTTTTTTTTTTTTTTTTTTTTTTTTTTGAGATGGAGTCTCACTCTGTCACCCAGGCTGGAGTCCAGAGGCATCATCTTGGCTCACTGCAACCTCCACCTCCCAGGCTCAAGTGATTCTCCTGCCTCAGCCATTCCCATAGCTGAGACCACAGGCACGCACCACCACACCTGGCTAATTGTTGTATTTTAAGTAGAGACGGGGTTTTGCCATGTTGGCTGGGCCGGTCTTGAACTCCTGACCTCAAGCAATCTGCCCATCTCGGCCTTCCAAAGTGCTAGGATTACAGGTGTGAGCCATCATGCCCAGCCGCTTGGTTCTTATTTTCAACCAAGATTTTCTTTTTTCTGCTCCATGTGCCTGTGCTGGTGAAGGACAGCAAGGGCCTTGAGATTTTCTTGAATTTTTCTGTCTATTCCTCCCACTTAGTGCTTGATTTTTCATGGCTAGAGAGAGCCTAGGTGTGCTTCAGCTGTCCCGCTGGTTCCCATGTCTGTATAATGAGAGAACAGCTGATCCCAGATTTGTAAAAATCCAGCAAAATAACCAACAGCTTAAATGTGCAAATGGAAGTTATTACACTGGCCCAGATTGGGTCAATGACCAATTAAGGGGCCCTGTGGAGGCACACTCCATACTCAGGTGAGGATCTCTCTGCTGCAAAAACAACTGGGAGGCAAGATGTGTGGATCAGCTGAAATCCAGCTGAACCTGTTTCTTGACAATTAACCGCAGGAGTCAGGAAAGTAGGGCCCTTGGTTTGAATTCTGAATTGATTTTAAAAGAATCACGGTGTTAGGGGAAAAGTCATAGGAGATTTGAGTTCAAATGGGAGCACTGCCTCTACCTGGCATTGAGAATTTGGGTACCTCATCTGGAAACTGTCTTAAATCATTTCTGGAGGAAGATAAGGTGGATGAATGGACAGACGAACAGATGGATGTTTGGATGTGCATTCATCTGTCAAAGGGAGATAATAATGCCTACCCACTTATTTTCAGGAGTCACTGAACATCTGAAACAGTGCGGTGTTCTTGTGGGCTGGGTATTTTTTTTTTTCTCTTCTACAGCCAAAAGAGACACTAACTAACGTTATGTTTTTCTGGAAATGCAGAAACCTGTGCATTTCTAAAGGCCCACTACTAATGGAAGTTCTGTCGTTGCAGATGACATCTCTTAGGAACAAGGCAAAGAAAAGCAAACAATCTCTTCCCCCACTTCCCCTGCTAGTTCCCACCCCCAACAGTCCCCTCCCCACATTCCACATTGCCATCCATCATCTCCCACCCTGTCCGTTTTTATCCTAAAGCAGTACTTGTTAAAGGCTCTGTGACCACTCCAGCTATTTCCTTTGAGGATGGAAACACTGCCACCGAAGCTTCATTATTATGCTAATCGAGCTCGGTCTAAGCTGCTTTCATAACTGCCACATTAAAGCGTCCCATAGAGGAGAGGCCTCCAGAGCGATGTGCTTTGCACCGGGTGAATATTAATGAAGGATGGATGAGTTCAGAGCAGTTGTTGTTGAGCCTGGCCATCAGGTAAAGGGGTCTCGCTCTCACTGCCATAAATAAATAAATAAGTAAACAAGCAAACAAGCAGATTCTAAAACACAAAGGAACCGGAGCAAAGCTTCAGAGGAGGAAAAAAGGGGATTCTTGCACAGTATAAACATCTTCCATTGCATAGTATGCATCACTTTTATCAAGCCAGGGTAATTGTCCCTATTTTCGAGACAAAGAACGTAGGCCTCATAACTGTGAAGACTTATTCAGAGACTTACCACTCCTCAGTGACAAGATCTTACACCACTCCAGCCTGCAGAGCAGCCAGTGACAAAACTGGGGAAACCAAGCTAAGCCAAACTGCTAAAAATAAGAAGCTAGAAGGTGACAGAGTGGAGACTGGAGTCCAGTGGGGATGCTTACCAAATTGACCCCTTGGAACAGTAACGGTGCACAGCTCTCTTGTATCCTGATGAAAAGCTGTAATAGACAACCCCCTGACTTGCTTTGCCTAGTTTTCAGTGGTGTCCCATGGAAAACTAAAGGAGGAGGAAGACCCACAGGTTCCAGAAGTATTTCTGGACAACTCGGAGAGAATGAGAGATAAAAGGCCCTAGACTGGCAGCATCAGGAGAAAGGAGCTGAATCTCCCTTCCCAGATATAAATCAAGAAGCTGAGCTAAACAGAGGTCAGTACCTCTCCTAGTCCCTGCATGCCAGGGGCACACCAGGGGGTTCTCATGAGCAGCCCATCTCAGTATCTCTCATACTTCCTAAAGGAGTCTCAGTCTTTCTGCTTCTAACCCAAAGAAGAAGAAATCCTGAAAAAAGCATTGCTAACTTCTGCTCCCATGAGTTAGAAGTGACTACGACATTCCATATCTTTCTCACTGAGAAGTCTGTGGCCCTTAAATCTTTCCAGTCCAACAATGAACACCCCTCAATTACATTAGATACATGCTATAATCCTTCCCACTAGCGAGATAAAGATTCATGCGTGGTGCACTCCCCAAGAGTCATTCCCAGCCCCTTCCTTCCTTGCTGGCAGATGCTGGAATATTCTCCAGATGTTTGCAGCAACCCTCCCTTCCTACCCTGTGTCTTCAGCCAAGGACACCCCCTCCCGTCCCAAGGGTAAATATTAAATGTTAATTTATTTAAGCCAATCCTGTTGATTCCATTCACTTGCCAGTGATAGATACAGACCTAGGCCTGTGATGTAACCCTGACCCTTAAGATACAGGGATGAGAGAGTTGCGAGTCATTGGGAAAGTTTCCAGTGCTCTAAAAAGAGGGCAAAAGCCTGGGACTTTGGCCTCTTCCTGCATTTGAATATAGGCAATGCTTTGAGCTGTGGCAGACACTAGTAAAACCAAGAAAAAGCCAAGGAAATTACAAGAGGCCAGCAGAAGCCTGACATCCCTGCACTGCTGAAGCTACCACCTCTCGAGTCACCTGCTGTGGTCTTCTTGTTAGGTGAGATAATGGTATTTTTATTATTGTTTAGGCCATTTTTATCTGGATGTCCTGACACTTGTAAACAAAATGGTCCTGCTATACCTCCTTGTTTTTTGGGGACAGAATCTCAATTTTGTTTGGGTAACCTATACCCCAATTAAACTAACGTGATAAGCTAAACTAATGGTGGAAGCTCCATTTCCTTACCAGAGATTGGTTTAGGGTGCAAATGTGACCTAAATCTTCCAATGAAATGGAAGTAGAAGTTTCTGTGGAGGCTTTTAAGAGGTTTCTTGTTTAGGAGAGAAAACAAGGAACAGGGATTTTTCTTTCCCTGCTGATATGGGTTGGCTGTGTCTCCACCCAAAATCTCATCTTGAATTATAATCCCCATCATCCCCATTGTCAAGGGAGAGATCAGGTCGAGGTAACTGAATCATGGGGGTGGTTTCCCCCATGCTGTTCTCCTGATAGTGAGTGAGTTCTCATGAGACCTGATGGTTTTATAAGGGGATCTTCCCCCTTTGCTCGGCACTTCCCCTTCCTGCCACCTTGTGAAGAAGGTGCCTTACTTCCCCTTTGCCTTCTGCCATGATTGTAAGTTTCCTGAGGCCTCTCCAGCCATGTGGGACTGTGAGTCAATTAAACCTCTTTCCTTTATAAATTGCCCAGTCTCAGGTACGTCTTTGTAGCAGTGTGAAAACAGACTAATACACCTGCTGAATGTCCTCATGCTTGGATGTCACATACACGGAGCTGCAGCAGCCATCTTGAAACCATGAGGGGCACTGGTCTGAGGAAAAAGTTAATGTGTTGAGGTTGGTGAATCTTTATTGTTAAAGGGATTTCAAGTTGGGTTTTCTATTATACAGCCGAGTAATGATAATCTTTAGCCTTATAGTTCAGGAATGGATTGCTTATAGTTATCTATCCAGTCACTTGCCTTCCCAATACTCTTGGGTAGAAGAGGAAGGGGTAGGTAGTACAGCAGCCTAATAAAAGGAACTTAACACTTGTATCCTATCCAGACCGCAGGAGTAGTGGGTGCCAGTTAAGGATGTGCCATGAATACTTGTGGCAATGACAAATTACTGTGGAGCCTGTGAGTTTTTATTTTATTATGACTTCCGTTTTCTTTTAATTTAATCACCACTAAATTTTTTATAAGGAAGAAGGAAAGCAAGGGCAGATTAAGAGAGCCTGTAAAATGCATTACATCTTTAAAACATGGATTTCATTACTCACATGCTTGTAAAATGCTTTCATGAATATCAAGTCTCTTCACACTCCTCCCCCACCAAAAACAGAAAAGAAAATGAGAAAAAGGAAATGGTTGTGGTTCTATTTGCTTTATTTTCCTGCAAAATGCTTTGAATCCTGTGAAAACCTAGGTGGACTTATTGGCATGTATACTGTGTCTGACCATTATCTAGGGTGGGTGTTGGGGCAGAACATGGCCAAAGGCCACTGCCCCACCTGTGACCAAACAACCACTCCAACCATGGCTGCTACCTGTTGGGCTCTAACTAGAGGCATCAAATGCTTCTAGGCTGCACAGTCAAAGACAAGGTTGAGGAAATTATAATTAACAGGGGCTTGAGTGGCTGCCATTGATCGTCAACAAATATAGTTTTGCCAGATAGATATAATCAGCTCAATAAGAAATTTATTTTGTGATCCTTTATCTTCTTTCCCAAACAGAAAAAAAAAATCATCTTCACAAACTAGTTTATTATTTGGACTAGATTGACTAATGTGGTTTGGGCCTATAGGGGCTTGTACAGCTGATTTCCAGGTGATCAAAGGGGTTCTAATAGAGAAAATATATATATATATATATATAATATATATGTATATGTATGTGTATAAAATATGAATATATATTTACTGTATTAGTGTATTCTCCAAAGAATGCCAAGAGGTGCCAGCAGCCACCACACTGCTGATAAAGACATACCCAAGACTAGGTAATTTATAAAGAAAAAGAGGTTTAATGGACTCACAGTTCTGCATGGCTGAGGAGGTCTCACAATTGTGGCAGAAGGTGAAAGGCACATCTTACATTGCAGCAGACAAGAGAGAATGAGAACCAAGCAAAAAGGGAAACCTCTTATAAAACCATCAGATCTTGTGAGACTTATTCACTACCATGAGAACAGTGTGGGGGAAACCACTCCCATGATTCAATTATCTCCCAGAGCATCCCTCCCACAACACGTGGGACTTCTGGGAGCTATAATTCAAGATGAGATTTGGGTGAGGACACAGCCAAACCATATCTGTATGTGTGTATGTATGTATAAAACAACTGCCTTAGAAGCAAAAGAGTGCATTCTTTTGAGAGACAATATATAATGTAGTAGAGTACAAAGATCAAAAGATTTGTTGTGGTTCTGACTGTATTATTAAGGACCTATATGTCTTGGGCAAGTCATTTTGCCTCTCTGAATCTCATGACGCAGTTTTTTGTGTTCTCCAAAAAAAATATGTCCAAGTCCTAATTCCTGGTATTGAGAGCATGACCTTATTTGGAAATAGGGTCGCTACAGATGTAATGAAATTAAGGATCTCAAGATCATTCTGGAAAGCTGGGCCCTAAATCCAATGATTGCTGTCTTTATAAGAAGAAATAGAGGGAGACATGAAGACAGAGATGAGAGTGATGCATCTACAAGCCAAAGAATGCTAAGGGCTGTCGGCAGCCAGCAGAAGCCGGGAGAAAGGCATGATACAGATTTTCCATCAGAGCCTCCAAAGGAACCAGCTCTGCCAACACCTTGATTTCTGACTCTGGCCTCCAGAACTGTGACAGAATATACTTTGTTGTTTTTAGCCATCCAGTTTGTGGTACTTTGTTACAGCAGCCTTAAGAAACTGAGAGATTTTCCAGTTCAGAGGTTACACCTGAAAGCATTGGATTGATTACAATCATCTTTCTCCACTGTGCGATTTTGGGTGGAATTGCAGGGAAATTAAATTTACCTAAAAAATAAAGACATCTGAATCCTTTGTTTTGGAATTAGAGAAATGGTGCTCAAAGTCTCAAATTCTTTTTCTTTTCTTTTTTCATCTGGATGAGGCATTAAAGCACTCAAGAAAGGGCTGTTTAAAAAATATTCTCAGCCTGTCAAAAATAAAAGTGATATAAATCTAAGAGGAAGATCTGTAATTTGACCAGGGTAATTGGGGCCTGCATTTACATTGTTGATGAGATTCTAATAAAACTTCATTTTACTGGGACACAGAGAATAAAGAAATCAAAAGGGATGATTATTTCAGCAAAACTGGTTTTGTCTTTTAAAGTTTCTCTTAAAATATAAGGGCTTTAACTCAATAATAAATCTTGTATTCAAGTTGATGGACAGCTAACACTCAAATATACCACTGCATTTATTCATCCATTCACTTATTCATTCAACCACAACTATACATTGAATCTTCATCATGAACCAGGAGCTAAGCTTCGGGCTGGGGATAAATAGGAGACCAGAGCAGAGAGACCCTAACTGATAGAGTTAGAATCTAGAGGGAGGTAGTAGTGGGGGAGGCAAGGGGAGACAGAAAATAAGCAAGTAAACCAACAAATATATAATTACAAGCTGTGATCAGCTCTATAAAGTAAATAATGTAGGGTCAGACAATGATAACAGGGGGGCCAGTCCCAGTGGCCCACACCTGTAATCCCAGCACTTTGGGAGGCTAAGGTAGGAGGATCGCTTGAGCCCAGGAGTTCTAGACCAGCCTGGGCAACATAGTGAGACCCTGTCTCTACAAAAAAATAATAATAACAGGGAATCTGAGATATGAGAGGGTTTTTCTCTGCATGCAGTATGGAAGCTGATGATATTTAAGGTCTGAAGATACAAAGGAAGCACCCAGGCAGGGAGATGGGAAAGGGGAACATTCCAGGTGAAGGGAACAACATGTAAAAGCCCAGTGTGGAAGAAAGAAGCCAGTGGGCCCAATGACCTGAAAGGTGGCCCACGTGGATAGCGCAGGGTTGGGGGGAAAGAGGTACAAAATGATGCTGGAGAAGTAAGCAGAGGCTAGATCTTGCAGGACCTTGAAGGCCATGATAACATGTTTGGGTTTTATTAGCAATTTATGTTTAAAATTAAAAATATATATATTCCAGAGGCTGTGTAGAGAACAGATTGGAAAGGGTCAGGAATATGTGTGGGAGATGATTAGGAGGCTCTGGCTGTGATCCAAGAGAGAAATGACAGGGCCTGGACAAGGTGGTAACAATGCAGATGGATGGAAGTGGATGGACTGAGAGGCATCTCCACTGCATGGCAGCTAGGAACAATTGCTTCAATCCACTGTGTGTTCACTTAGGAGGCAGTCAGACTGTCCTCTGGGTGACAGCACCAAAGAGAGAGGTCCAAGCAGTTAGCCCCTGATACGCTTTTAATCCAAATAGTCTAGAAGGGAAAAGAAATGTTAACAGATGCCAACACTTGGAATATGAACTGGGATTCATTCTGGAACTTTACAGGAAATCCAAATTATTGCCTTTGTATGTTGAGATTCTTGCCCCATTTCAGAGATTTGGGCTTAATATCTACCAAAAAGGCCAAAGCAAAGTTAATCAGCATTTAAAGAACAAGGGTAGTAAAGTTGTCCTACCAGGACCTTCCAAGAAGGACCATCAGATACAAGGGTATAGAAACCAGGGAATGGGAGGAACAGTAGCAGAAATAGGGGTTCTTACTTGGAAATGAGAATACTCAGGGGACACTCCCCAAGTGCCTTTGAGTTTTTTAAGAACTCTGACCAAGAAGAGCCCAGTTCTGTGTAGCCACCAAGTGCAGCACTCTGGCCCAGTTAGAAGCTGCAAGAAACAACTAAATGAAGAGGAGCTTTTAAGCCATCAGAACAAGCACAATAGCTGTGCTGCCTTATGGTGGTAAGTTCCTCTTCTCCAGAGGTATTTAGGCAAACAGCAGAATACACGAACAGTGCCTACCACGAATTTTGTAGGATTCATATATCTGGTATGGGCTGGGTGGTCCCTAAGTGCCTATTCGTCTTCCTTTTAGCAGCTGTTCATGTGTATGACCATAGGTTGGCAGAGACCCATTCCTCCAGAACATTTCAGCCTTTTGAAAGAAGACTGTCCAAGACCAAATTCCTTCTCTCTTCTCCTGAGCAGTGTACCAGCTGATATATAGATCCCAAAATAAAGAACTGCAGAAGAACTTGGCAATATCTTGGTCTCTCCATCATTCCTTTCAATGGATTCCACTGCCAAGTGGAATCAATACACTCACTGGTGTCTGCATAGCCGCCTCACTAACCTGGCCATGCAAGGAATCACATCAAAACCTTGCCATGTTACAATGCCTTTCCCCAGATGATGCTAAGTTGGGCCGTGCTCCTGGTGCACACATGAAGCATCATTAAATATCATGACAGGATGTGAGCAAAACATCAGGAGACTTCAGGGATCAAAGAAGCCCAACACAGTTGAAAAGCAGCTCTTTAACGGGGGGGTGGGAGCAGGAAGTTTCCCTTTGTTAAACAGCAGCCCTAATGACTTCTCCCTGCTTGCCTCATAAAGGCTGCCTAATTATATCACATATGTCTGCACCTCTCATTCAAGGCCTCCTCGGTGTCTGGGTCCCCTACTGTCAACCTCATAGCCCCTGAGGTCATAAAAGCCAGGGGAGTCAGCTGCTGGAGATCTGGTTTTGTAGCTGGGTTTTCTGGCTTTGGTTGGACATACAAACAAACTCTCATTATATTTTGGCAGTCAAACCAGGGAATGAAGAGTAACAGTCCTTCCTCAAATGAATACCTGTTTGTTTCATCTTCTTTCAATCTTTTGGAACCACCTAACTGATATTTAAGATTAAAGGTGGCACCTCATTTCCAAACAGGTCTAAAGAGACCCAAACTGTATCTCAGCAGTGGGCAGACCATAAATCCAATTTTTCCATTCATCTTGTATCAAGATGGAAACTAACTGGACTCCAGGCAGTCTCAAGGGTGCCACAATAATCCCTGAAGGCAACCGACATGGCCAGACCGGCCACACCACATCCTCAAAGACCTCCCTCTTCTGGGTCCCTGCAGAACATCTGCTATCTGGATCACTCATTTTGATACTTAATCAGACACACCTTTGCCCTGCGGTTTATCTATTCTTGCATATGTCTATCTCTCCCCAACTTGATCCAAAGCTACTTATGAGGGATTCATTTGGTTGGTTTGGTTTGGCTTGGTTTTGGTATACCTCTTTTGGCTCCAGTAGGAGGTTTTGCAAATAGCTGATAACAAATGGATGGATGGATAGACGGTTGGGCAGATGGACGAAAATAGGCACTGCCATGTTCCAAATCATTAATTACTATTTTGAGATGTGAATCCCCAGCCTCCCAGGTGGGTTGTGTGGTTGCTTTGATCACATCTGCCATATCTGAACCTTAGTTCGGAGGAGCCCTCACCTTAGGTTAATTTATGCCACGGGAAAATTGTCTCCCTAGTACCCTGGTATTGCACACTGCGGCACCTCATGAATATTCCAACCTCATAAATCTGAACTCTGACCTTTGGAAAAGACACATGAAAAACCTCCCCGGCAGAAGTTTTTTTTTAACTCTTATGCACCCTATTTCTTCGGGCCCCCTTGTGGCCCATTGCCACCCATTATAACTGCTCCCAATATTTGGCCACCGGCTTTGGGGACAATGCTCTGTAAGGGGCAGCGTTGCATGGTAGGCATTGCCCTTTCGGAGTCAGAGAAGTCTGAGTTTAAAACGTGACCCTCCCACTTTCTAGTTGTGGGGCTTTGGGTGAAATACATGACAACCTCTCTGTGCCTCAGTTTCCTCCTCTGCAAATTAACCCCCCTCATTCTGCCGTTGTGAAGGTTTAAGGAGACAAGGCACATACGAACTAGCGTGCAGCAATTTGCTCAATAAACAGCCACTATTACTGCTATTCCCTGATGGTACAGCTTGTTCTTCAGGATTCACAGTGACTAAAATGGCTGCCCGCCTACAAGTAATGCATCCAAAGCACAAACACTTGATACTGAAAAATATATATGCACATAAACATTTACATATACGTGAAGACAAACCAGCTAGCAAGCATCAGACTTTGTATTAAAGAAGTGTCCAGATGCAGGGTGTTGTCAAGATTTGACTGCCTGTCCAAAATGGTTCTGATTTCCGCCCCTTCATTGGGAAAACAAAAGACAGTCATGAGGCCGGGCACAGTGGCTCATGCCTGTAATCCCAGCACTTTGGGAGGCCGAGGCAGATAGATCACCTGAGGTCGGGGGTTTGAGACCAGCCTGACCAACTTGGAGAAACTCCATCTCTACTAAAAATACAAAATTAGCCAGGTGTGGTGGCGCATGCCTGTAATCCCAGCTACTCAGGAGGCTGAGGCAGGAGAATCACTTGAACCTGGGAGGCAGAGGTTGTGGTGAGCCGAGATCATGCCATTTCACTCCAGCCTGGGCAAAAAGAGTGAAACTCCATCCCAAAAGAAAAAAAAAAAAAAGACAGTCATGAAAGCTGACATTTAGTTTTACTTTGGGAAGGTGGGTAAGCCCCACTCCATTCCTCCCCAGCAACAAGGCAACTACTTCACTCTGTGGGAAGTGAGAAGGGAAGATGCAGCCTGATGCTGCCAGTTGTTATTGTTTGTGATTCTGCCTCAGTTTTTTCCTCTGTGAAATGGGACCCTGGATATCTTGTTTCATTCTTGCATAGCAGCTGGGCACAAGAAAGACCCTCAACAAATGCTTGTTGAACTGTTGCTGGAGGCAGGCAGCTGATGGCATGTTTTCTGGCACTATATAGAACTTTCGGGCTGGGCAGGGTGGCTCATGCCTGTAATCCCAGCACTTTGGGAGTCTGAGGTGGGCGGATCGCCTGAGGTCAGGAGTTCGAGATCAGCCTGGCCAACATGGCAAAACCACGTCTCTACAAAAAATACAAAAATTAGCTGGACGTGGTGGTGGGCGCCTGTAATCCCAGCTATTAGGGAGGCTGAGGCAGGAGAATCGCTTGAACCTAGGAGGCAGAGGTTGCAGTGAGCTGAGATTGTGCCACTGCACTCCAGCCTGGTCAACAGAGCAAGACTCCATCTCAAAAAAAAAAAAAAAAAAAACTTTCTGACTTCAGTTTGTTTGAACATTTGAAAAGATGTCAAAACTCCAGCTTCTTTAAGGTAAAGTTCTGGGTAGATTGATTGGGTGGGGGCTGTAAAAATGAGGAGACAAGAGAATGGAAACATCTGATGCTGGGATTTGCTCCTGAGAAGAAACCATTTAGGACTTTGCTTGTTGTGTTTGACAGGTTACTGTTGTTAGGCAATCACAAAGGTGCCCCAGTATGTGGTCCATTTGGGAACAATAAAAGAAATATAAGGGCCAGAACTTGCTCCAAGAAGAACATTTTTAGTTTCTCCTTTGAAGCCAACATTAGATTGTTGGCACTGGAACTAAGAGCTGTCTCAATCTGGAGCTATGTTTCATCTCGAGATGCAAATTCATCCTGCAAATACACACATAGCTCTTCACGTAGGTGCAGCTTGTGCTGTGCAGCTCCGGGGCTGCATCCCCAGAGGACTCTGGGAGACCCCCTCACTGCTGTCTGGCTGCCTCCTTAGCCACCCATAGGGGTGTTTGGTGTCACTGCTCCTTGGGTAGCCTGATCAAATGCTGGCCTCCAGCTATGCCACTATTACCACCTCAACATAGAACTATGGACGTTTAACCAACTTCTTTCCCAATGCAATGTCACTCTGGCTGATGGTCCTATGGTGCCTAAATGAACTCATCTCTTGACAGGGAGCTCATTTCTTTGCAACCAAGACCATTCTATCGTTGAGTAAGTCTGACTAGATAATATTTTTGATACTAGGGTGAAATATGCCACCCATTAATTTCTACTTATTGGTCTCAGTTCTGCCCATGGGAATACTAAGACTACAATAAATGAATATCTCAGAGTATCAAAGGATAATGACTTTACCACAAACCCCAATTTTTTCATCTTGAATATAAAAATCAAGTTTCAAAATCCATATAGCTCTCCTCCCATTCTATTCCTCTCTTTTCCTTTATTAGCTTCCTTCCTTCTTTCCCCTTTCCCTACCTGACTTCCTCCCTCCCTTCTTCCTTCTTTTTTTCCTTTTTTCATCAAAGCACCATTAGGCAGGCCTAAATGAGATAGTGGCCCTGGGAGATGCAGACACACCCTGGTGTCAGGGCCCACACGCAAGGGAGGCAGGAATCAGGGAACTGAGGGATTAACTATGTAGAGGGAGACTGAGCTAAGAGCCAGCTTTCTTACAATCAAAAAGGAAGGTACAAATATAGAAAGGAAGAAAACTAGAATGTACCTCCTGATGTTGGATTGGAATTGGAAGCATCGGTATGAATTCATGGAGTTCAATATATAGAAACAGATTATGTCTATATTATATGAAATATAGATGTTAGTTTATATATATTATATAATGTGTAACTCCCTACCTCTACCCATCGATAGGGCCCGAGAGCAGTGACATCCCACTAGCAATGAGCACATCTATTACCCGAATCTTCATTTCTAAATATAATTCTTCACTAAAAGAAGCCAGGGCTTCTTGGAGAAATCATTGATTCCAGGGCTGGGGCAGAGAAAGTGGAAGATGAGCCTGGAACATCTAGTGCTGCCAAAAAGTAAGGAAGTGCTTCAAGAATGATGGGGACGTGTCAGAAATATAGGAGCCAGTTTGGATGGGCTCCCAATGGCCAAATCTGGAAAACTTAGAGCATCAAAATAAATTATCATACTAACAGATTATAGCCATTGAATAAAATTGAAATCCATAAATCTATACATAGATAGATATTTTTATATGAATAAATAAATGGGGAGAAGGAAAGCTTTTCTTTGTAGTAGAAAGACAACTACTAAATGCAGAAGGAGCCACGACATTAGAAATTCACCACTTGACAACCACCATAATAACAATTAATTCAGGCAGGAAACATCAAGCGAGGCTAAACTAATGGTTTAAGGTGGAGAGAGAGATGGGATTTTACACAGTATCAAAATACCTCCCACAAGACATGTATTAAATGCCAAGGTGGGAGGATGGTATCTTTACAGCAGAGAAATCTGCAGACACCATTTTAGTCAAGGGATCAAAGTTAATACTACCAGTAGCGGGTCAAATCCACATCGTGTACCTACCACCCATAGATTTCAATGGAAAGAACCCACCATTCCTGATATTTTGACTCAAAATACATAACTTTGGTCTCATCAAGAGGAAACAAGGAACCAACACAAATTGAGGGACATTCTACATAATAACTTTCCTGTTTACTTCAGAATTTTCAGAGTCATAAAAGTCAAAGAAAAACAGAGGAACAGTTCCAGATTGAAAGAGCCTAGAGGGACACAATGACTGAGTGCTACCTGTGACCCCGGCACGGATCCACTGCTATAAAGGATGTCTCTGGGACATCGGCAAAACTTGAGTGGGGTCTCAGGGCAAAGGATGTACAGGAGTTCTTTGTACTATTTCTGCAAATTTCTGTAAGCTTAAAACAGTTTTAAAATAAAAATTAAAAATGTATGTACACAGTAATCCAGTGCTTTTTAAAGTTTCCCCCTTAAGAAAATTCTCTCTACCTAATGATACTTAAAATCCATCAATATGATTTCTACCCACTCCCATCCTCCTGCTTTCTCAGACTTAAAGTTTTGAACTTCGTTCCGAGCAAGTGTACCTTGGAGAGAGAAGACTTTAAGCCAACACTCATTTTCAATAACGTTTCCCAAAGTAGCTTTGTTAATTGGTATTAAGGAAAAGAAATTTGTGTGCTCAAAGAAATTCTGAAAACATCATTATGCAAAGTTTCTTTACAGCAGAACTCCTCAGAGCCTTTATGAGATTGATGTGTATTTTAAATTCACTTGAAGAGAAATAGCATTTGGAGTTACCTGATCATGGCACCTTACATTCCAAAAAACACATTTTAGAAAATACTGGCTGACAGATTCCAATCAGTAGCCAATAAAGCATTGACACTTTAGATTCTGGTGTAAGATGGCCTGGGTTCAAATCCTGGCTGCCCCACTTAGTAATTGTGTGACTTTAGGCAAGTCAATTAAATTCTCTGTGCCTCAATTCCTTCATCTGGAAAATTGAGGTAATAAGAGTTCTTACCTTGGTGTTGCGGTGATAACCAGAATGATAATAAAGATAAAAAGTTTAGCACAGTGCTGGGCACAGGTAAGAATTCAATGCATGTTTGCATGGCATGTTTTGATATTCCTTTATTATTCTTTCTTGGGGGCCTGTTTGGACTGGAACAGGGCCTTTGTGGGTGGAGCCATTAGAGAATGCCACCAAGGTCAGGAGAGGACCAAATGGGCTGCAAGAACTAAGAAGCTGAGGTACTCAAGGCATACTCCTCGGACATCCCAGCTTTGAGAGTGTTGTTGTCCAAGCCCTCTTTCTACACATCCATGTAGACACCCCCAGGAACCCCAGTATGCTATAGGGGCAAAGACCTAGACAGGGCGAGGCTGCTCCATCATTTACCCAATCACAGAGAACCTGTCTTCCCAAGGACAAACAAAGTGCAAGAAAACACTTTCCCCTTTGCAAATAACTGTTGCTACTTTCCTCTCTGTGGACATGTTCAACTGGTCCACTGAGTTAGCACCCCACCAACTGTCTCTGGCCCCTCAGCCCCGCTGTCCTTTGCCACAGAGAGGGAGGAGGGGTTTGGAGAGTGTGGCTGCCTGCCAAATGGGGTGACCCAAGCTGGACCCCATGCCCCAGAGTCACCACAGAGGAGCTGACCCAGGGGGGCTGTCAGCTCACCACAGACAGGCTTCACAAGCGCTTCAGAAAATGAAAAGCTTTATTAAACTTTCAAGCCCAGAACAGATGTGTCCTGACATAAATATTCAAAAGAGCCCATCTGTTAGGTAAATCGTCTTTCCATGTAGTAACGAGGGACCGTATATCAGTAAGACCCCATTGCTATGAGAGCCCAGGAGTGCTGGAAACCCTGCAAACAGATGCTCCTGGTATTCCAAATAAAAGCAGCCTGAGAAGGAGAGGAAACTCAAGCCAAGACCACAGCCAGGGGGCATTTCACTGCTATGCCAATCAGGGCCTCTGCCCCACCAGCAGCCCCCAGACAGGTGATGTCAGTGATGGAACTCCAAAGGATTGAATAGGCAGGGGGATCAAGAGAAAAACCAAATCCCCCCACAAACACCCTCAAGCTAGGTTTTGGTTAGAGATGTTAAGGTTCCTCCCTGGACTGCAAAAATGTACTTATCCTCCCCCAATCAGTTAATGCCTTAGGCAAGGCACTTCACCATTCTGCCGGGGCTTCCTCTTTTGAAAAATTTAATATTCTCCAATGAACATTGTACGGTGGAAATAATAATAACAATAATGAATAGCTTACACTATATAGCCTTACTACGTGCTAGGTACTGGCTCATTTAATGTTCCCAGCACCTCTCTGAGAAAGATACTCTTAGTATTCCCATCTTACAGATGAGAAACTGAGACACCGAGAGAATGAGTGATTTGCCCAAGGGGTCAAGGCTGGCAAGTGCTGGACCAGGACTTAAACCCAGGCAGACCACTCCAGGGGCTGAGCATTAGCCACCACCATGCTAAAATGGCACAAAAATAAAAGACAGAACTGCTTCCTACCGGGGAGCTCACACTCTAATGTAGAAGAGTGAAAGACACATTAGAAGATCAAAGAAAGCACACAAGCAACTGCTTGACAATCCTGCTTCACAGAATAAAATATGGTGCATCCGTAGTGAGGCGCTGCTGAGGAGGGAGGACCTGGCCCCCACTTCCAGGCTAGACCCAAAGTCCTTGGTGTTAGCTCCCAGACTGGTCTGCCTGCTCCGTGTTCCCTCCGCTCTCGTTTACTCCCTTTGTCCTGCATACATTTGTGTTGCCCTCTGTCTGCATGGCTCACTGGCTCCCTGCAGCACCATCCCCCCTACTCCTTGCCAGGGCACAGTCTTCCCAACAGGCTCAACTCTCACATTTCCCAAGTCCTAAAAAATTCAGCCACCCAGCAAGCTAGCCTCCCTCTTCGGAAGTCTTCCAATAACCGTCAGGTGCCCCACTCTTTCTCTGAACATGTTTCCAGTCTTGCGCAATTAGTTAACCCATAGGCTGTTCATGGGTAGCTAAGCTTACTGTAGCTAAGATATTCAAGTGCCTAACATGGGCTCAGCTCTGCACACACACCCCCCTATGCTCCAGTTACACTGAGTTTCTTCTCACCCTCCAAGAACACACTAAGTATCATTATAAAAATTATATAATTATAATAAGAATAATTTCTCTTTGTGTCAAAGAAGACTTTTTGCGTAAAGTATAACATTCCAAGCAAAACAAGTTTATGCCAAAAAATATAAAAGGAAATGTATTGACTCAAGTAACTGAAACGTTCCCTGAAAAGCCGTGGGGTGAACCGGTACAGCTGAATCCGAATGCCCCGTTAGGATCCATCTCCTTCCTGCCAGCCCTCCCACTAGCCATGTGCTCAGGATATCATACAAGATGCCCTCTGCTGCTTCAGACTCACTTCCCACTAATCTACCAACCCCAGCAGACAGCAGCGTCCTCTTCCTAGTTCCAACAGCCTGTGGTCAGGCACCATCTCTGAACCAATCACTGCTGCCTGGAGACTCAACAGTCTCATTGGCCAAGATGGGGTCACATACCCACCCTTGGGCCCCATAAGGAGGGGCAGAGGGAGCAGCCCCACCAATATGGACTGACAGTGGGAGAGATGTTTCCCCAAAGGGTATTCTATTCTGAGTTACCAGAAAAAGGGTGAATGAACACCAAACAGGTGTAGAACACCACATCTAAAACAACCAAAACTCATATCCACTAATTCAATCTATTTGGTGAGTGCTTCCCATGTGCCAGGATTAGGCTAACCCTTTCTACGAATGAAGATTAAATAACATACATATAAAGCACTTGGCCCAGGCTGGGTATATAGTAGCTGCTTGGTAAATGGCAGCTACTGGAGACTAGGTAGGTTCTATTATTATCTCCATTTCACAGAAGGGGAAACTTGGTTAAAAGAGATTAAGTCATTTGTCTCAGGCCACACAGCTTTGAGAGGTAGAAATGCGAGTGTTCAGAGCCTACTGATGTCTACTTCCATCCCCAGCTTACCTGGGAAACCAATCAAGATCCAGTTCAGACAGAGTACAAAAGATCCTTCCCCTGAATCTTGTACATCCCTCTATTACGGCACCAAAGCCCCATATTGCAGCACTTTATTTTTTCCATTCTATGATGTATTGTATTTTTCATATTTCAAAGTTTCTGAAATGAAGGCTCAACATTCATTGTGTATAATTAAAGTGGTAATCTTTTTTTATCCCCAAAATCTCCTTTTAAGTTTTTTTTATCCCCAAAATCTCCTTTTAAGTTAACACTGCATCTTACAATCAATCCATCTTTCTTTTTTCTTTTTTCTTTTTTTTTTTTTTTGAGATGGAGTCTTACTCTGTCCCCCGGGCTAGAGTGCAGTGGTGCAATCTCAGCTCACTCCAACTTCCACCTCCCAGGTTCAAGCAATTCTCCTGCCTCAGCCTCCCCAGTAACTGGGATTACAGGTGCTCACGACCAAGCCTGGCTAATTTTGGTATTTTTACTAACGACAGAATTTCACCATGTTGGCCAGGCTGGTCTCAAACTCCTGACCTCAAGTGATCTGCCTGCCTTGGCTTCCCAAAGTGCTGGGATTATAGGCATGAGCCACCATGGCTGGCCTCAATCCATCTTATAATCAAGGAAATGCGGCATATGTTTCTAGGTCTAAAATGCAAGCTCCTTGAGAAGAAGCTTATTCATCTTGTGACCTAAACACTTAGCTCAAAGTCTTTCATTGTGTGTTGATTAATGCAAGGAGTGTTATTCAAAGAGATGTGTCTTTAACATTCATTCATTCAACAAATATTTATTGAGCACCTATTACGTGACAAGCCAGGACATAGGAATATAATGTCAAACAAACCTGGTGAGGTCCCTGCTCATAATATCTTTGTCGTGTCTTAATAGGGATAGACAGGACTTGGAGGGGCAAGGGGAGAGCCGTGCCCCAAAGCTAGCAACCTACGTCCTATGAGCCAAGATGAGAAGCCAGAAGGTTGCAGAAGATGAGGGTAGTTAAATGTAAGTTTACAAAGGTCTTCAAACACATGCTGAGGAGTTTAAATTAAAGGTAGGAGGCAAATGGGAGCTCCTGCCGATTTCTGAATGGACGAGTGACAAAATCAAAATAGCACTCAGAGAAAATTAGCCTAGCTGTTGGTTATAGAATGTACCAGGAGGGGTGAGGCTGCAGGTGAAAACACTCTCTAGGAAGGCGGCTGCTCCAGAAATCAGCATGTGAGGAGATCAGAGCCTGGACTCTGTGGGAGGCTTGGCTGTGTCATTGGCTGGAGAAGGTCAGATCCCAGAGATAGAATTGCCAGCCCATTCTGAAAGGAACAGTCTGAGAGAGGAAGCAGTCAAAGGTGACTCCAAGGTTGAAGGCTTGGGAGGCCAGGATGCCCCTAGTGACCATGGACACAGGAGATGCCAGATGCTTAGGAAGACAGATTTTAGGTGCCCTTGGGAGACACAGGCAAAGAGAGAGGGTAAAGGTCAGAGCCAGGGAGGAAGAGCGAATACAAACCACATCTACTAAATCAAGGGTGCCAGAGATGGACCTACCTGTCCAGAAAGCAGAGAGAAATGCTTTTCCCTTCTGGGTCCAGGAAGGCAGCTCCATAACCCGTTTCTGACTCCAGAGAGGAATAAGAATAAACTCACTGCTTAGATCTTTGTCTTAAGTTGAGTTGACAATTAGGCAGAAGACCCAGGCTAGGAAACAGCTAATTGACATAACCTTGAGTCATTGCAGAAGCAAGATAATCAGTGAAGACTGATTAAGCAGGAAAATAAAAGGCACACAGCCTAAGGTCAGACAGAGTCCAAAAGTTCAGCCTCCAAATCTACAGGGAAGTTTATTGTCCTCCTATTGTCACATTCTTAGAAATTCTCATTAAGGGTCTTCAGTGCTCACTTGAATCTTTGGTCATACTCTACTGCATTTTATGGGGGAGGGAGGTTAGGCTACAGAGGTATTTTTGATTCCGGTGACTCTCGGGACACACGCTTTCCAAAAGGTAAAGAGGATTCAGGAGGAGGTGAACTTAAAGTACTTCTACAATGCCTGGTGCATAGTAAGTGTTCAATAAATGTTGGGTCCTGAAGATGTGTTTGGCTCCATTAGGGCCTATAAGAGGAAAAAAAAAAAAAAAAAAAAAGCACAAATACTGATACCTGCCCTGAAAGAGACATATGAAATTAATAAACCTTGCATTAAAGAGCCACAGGTGCTCCTTAGAATAGAAATAAAGAAGACCCACGTCTCTTTTCTTCTACCTTTGTGATGGTGACTGGGCTCTTCCTGTAAAATGTTTAATGCATCCAACTACTAACAGGAATTGGCATCTTCCAGGGTTATTTACCTTCCAGCTTCCTGGCATTTGAGGCCAGACAGAGCTGACTGCCCTTCTGTCTCTCTTTTGATGGCCCAGGCAGAGGCAAATACAACGGGGCATCTCTTGTCAGACTTCCTCTGAGTGTTAGGGTACTGAAAAGAAGGTGGCTCATTAAGAGGAGAGGCACTGAACCCTGGTGTGTTGCTGGTGGGAGTGTACAATGGTGCAGCTGCTGTGGAAAACAGCACGGCAGCGCCTCAAAAAATTAAACATAGAATTACCATGTGATCGAGCTATTCCAATTCTGGGTATATACTCAAAATCATTAAAAGCAGGGACTCAAACAGATATTTGTACACCTATGTTCCCAAGAGCATGATTCACAATAGCCAAAAAGCGGGAACAATCTAAATGCCCAATAACAGACGAGTGGATAAACAAAGTGTGCTATAGGCACATAATGAAATACTCTTCCGTCTTCAGAAGGAAGGAAATTCTGGCACGGGCTACCACATGCATGAGCCCTGAAGATGCTGTGTAAGTGAGATAAGCCAGCTGCAAAAGGATAAATACTGCATGATTCCACTTACACGAGGTACCTAGAGTGGTCAAACTCATGGAAACAAAAGTAAGGGAGGCTGAAGAGGGGAGAACGCGGAGTAATTAACGAGTATAGAGTTTCGGCTTGGGAAGATGAAAACGTTCCGGAGATAGATGGTGGTGATTGCACAGCAACGTGAATGTACTTAATGCCACTGAACTGTACACTTAAAAGTGGTTAAAATGTCAACTTTTACGTTATGTGTATTTTACCACATTTACAAAAATGTTTTTAAGAAAGGAGTAGAGAGGCATTTATAAGAGTCAAATCTTGTGTCTGGCTAATAACGAGAGTAGAGATGGGAGGAAAAGCTGCCCTCTCTCCTGGATCTCAGCTTTGCAACAATTTCAGAGTCAATGCCAACTTTCTAGGTTTTTTACTCCAACCTCTGCCGAGTTGATTAGTCACCTCTGTGCACGTTCCTCCCCAAGGTGGCCTCCGGCCCCTACTGGAACACTGCCTGAGTCAGGACGCTCCTCCGCCTCCGGGCTGCCATTAACTTTCAAACCCTCTCCTCGGTGACAGTTCTTCATAGCGGTTCCCTTTTCTTTCCCACACTGCTTAACCTTCCCTTAATCAGATTCCTGGGAGGAAACTAATTAGTCCAACCCCCCTCTGCTGTTTCCCCACAAAACACAGAGACTCCAACCGTTTTATAGGGGATGTGACTAGACCAGTGGGCACCTGTTTTTCTTTACACTGTCTTAAAGCTGGGACGCCTGGGGAGCTTCTGCTTTAGGCGGACTGCACAAGCTGTGAGAAGGGCGAGGTGCGGGAATTTGCCTCTGGCTTGTGGGTCAGCGGCAGTGTGGGCGCCAGTTTGGGGAATGCCCTCAACTCTCCCCTTAGGTGGCTCTTGGAGAAGACCCGCCGGGTACGCAGAACATTCCTGGAACACCGGCCTGCCCGCAGCCACTGAGAGTGACAGCACCAGGAGCCCAGCCAAGACAAAAACGAAAACACTTGGCTGTGGAAAGTCTCCCTGAGTCTCCAGCTGCCTTGATCAGACCCTTAAAGAGAAAAACAACAAAGATGGCGCCTGTGCCAAAGGCAGAGGCACCCACTGCCCACGGCGACACACCCTGCACCTGATACCAGGACACTAGCCAGTTCCCCTGTCCCCCTGCAAGCGAAGCCAGCAGGTCAGGCTCACACCTTCCCTAATCAGGACAGACCAGCGCCCCCCGCCCCCGCCCCGACCCCCACCCCCACCCCCACCCCCACCCCCACCCCCACCCCCACCCCCAGCACCAGACGCAGGCAGCCAGGGTTAGACCACCAGGCTGCTTTCACACAGCTCCAACTTGGAAGGTCACAGCACTTTGAAGAACCTTTGGTTTTGGGGTGGGGAAGATGACCCGGCTTTGCCATAGTTAAAAACCTAGCACCTCCAGGTGTTAGCTTTTGTTCCTACTCTGCACCTCACAAGGATTTGAATGGTCAGATTAGCATAGTCCGGACCTTGAAGAGACCCCCTACAGCAACTACTCCCACTGATTCGTTTTGTCTGTGAGGCGGAGAAAGGAGGTTCCCAGCCCGGCCAGTGAGGGGCAGAGCAGGACTGAGTCCAGGCCTGGTGGGGTGGGTTACCTACCTCAGTCTGCATAACTCGTCTACAAACACCCCTAACCACTCTTTTCTATTTTTTTTTTTTTTTTTTTTTTTTTTTTGAAACGGAGTCTCACTCTGTCACCCAGGCTGGGGTGCAGTGGTGCGATCTTGGCTCACAAGCAACCTCCACCTCCCAGGTTCAAGCGATTCTTCTGCCTCAGCCTTCCTAATAGCTGGGATTACAGGCACCCGCCACCACCGGTGGCTAATTTTTTATTTTTAGTAAAGGTTGGCGGGTGGGGGCGGGGGGGTGGTAGGTTCACCATGTTGGCCAGGCTGGTCTCGAACTCCTGACCTCAGGTGATCCAACTGCCTTGGCGTCCCAAAGTACTGGGATTACAGGCGTGACCCACCACACCCGGCCCCTAACCACTCTTGAAAGTCCCTTCACATCTGTTAGTTCTTTAAGGATGAAGGCTGAGAATTAACCTTGTTCCCTATTCCCCGAAGTGTCTGACCCAGTGCTGAATGTGTGGTCGGAGCTTGGTGAATTCTTTCCAAATAAAGGAATTCCCACAACAGCCCCACGAAGGACTTGAGGCAAGGATTAGGATCCCCACTTACAGAAGAGGAGGACAAGGCCCAGAGAAGATCCCCCAGACTCAGCCAGGGCACGAGGGGTCGGGTGAGTTTTGAGATCGATAGAGCCTTCTTTCACTCTCCTGTGACGACATGACAGTAGATAAAAAGCATATACCTTCATGCACTCTCATGGGCTCTGGCACCATGTTTAGAGTCGGGCTAGGGTTCTTTGCAATCTGGTAACCTATGGCTTAAACTTATACCCAAACCTCTCTTCCTGCTTCTTGTCTGTGCACATCCTCTTCCCATCAGACCATCCATAGCTCAAGCTCAACAGCTTTCCCAGCTAGTGTTCCTCCTCCCTTTTCCATGGAGTGCAGGAAGCAAGGCAGAATTCCTCATCTCTGCCTTAATGTCCAGTTCACTTTCCATCTTCCCAAGTATTGTTAGTGCCCCTTCAAACAAGAAAGGACAGGTAGTCATGTTTGTAGGTGGCATTCAAGAAGCAATAAGTTGGTTTATACATGGTTGTCCAGATGGCCACATTCTGTTGATAGCTCTGACATGGAACTATCTTTCTCAGCAACAATAACATTCCCAAAAAGTATCAGCCAGAAAACAGCTAGCCTGACGGCCACAGATGGCCTCAGCACAGAAGCAAATTCATGTGTCTAATACTTTGGGGAGCTGGGCTTTAACAAGGCAGATTTTCCTCTTCATCTTTACCTGCATTTTCCTTCCCACAGATACCTCCATTGTACTAATCTCTTTCCTCTCTAAAAGTCTATGGACCTCAGAAGAGATATTTGCTATTTCCTTTCTCCTGCCTACCTGGAGGTTGGTTAGCCCCCCATCTTGATTTGTCTTTAATACTCTCTCTGGTCCCTATAAACTAGGGTGGGACCTTTTTACTATCAAGAGCCACTGTCCCATGGACGAGATCAAAAGCCACACATGCACAGCCACGTACAACTGACTTTATTGCTTGGCTTGTTTTGGAGAAAATAGAAAATTTGCAACTTGCTCCATTTTTAAATTATGACTAGAGAACATGAAGCTTTATTTTCAGTAAATAGAGCCCACCTGTAGCAACTATATAAGATAGGGTGGCATATACTTTGTTTTCTAATTTAACTTTCTCTTTATTCCCTCCATTCCAATTTCTGCAGCTATTTATATTATTCTATGGCATATATGTGTGTGTATATCTCAAATCATTTTATAAAGTCAGTATGTAAAAAAAAATTTAATTCGTGTCACAAATAATAAGAAACTACCATGTTGTTTTATATATATATATATGAATGTATATATGGCTAATGAAAGGAAAAAGAAGGTGGGGAGGGAGAGGATAGGTGGGAAGGAAAGACAGAAAAACAGTGAGTGAGCAAAGGGGGAAGGAAAAGAAAGGTTGTGATGGTAGAAACCAAGGCTTATTCACCTGCTCCTCCTGATAGCTAACACAGGAGTGCACACATGGACACACAAATGTGCACAAACACATGCACACACACACACACACTTACATCTTCCCATTGGGTAAAATTCTCCCTCCTGCCAGCTGGTTCTCTGCACCTAACAATAAGAATTGCTACTAATTATCGAAGGCCTGCTATGTGACAGTTGCTATGCATTTATTATTTACAGTCTTCCCCACAGCGCTATGAAGTGGGAATTTTACCCAGGAAGAAACTGGGCTCAGAGACATCACTAACTGCTAATATTACATTGTAGTGGATGTGAGCTGTTTCTGTCAGTCCAGGATCCATTTCCCTGTCTTGGGTAACAAAATTTCACTTTTCCTTTGGGAAAAGTGGCCACCCGGCATACTCTATCCCACAGCCACCAAGACTGGTTTAGGGGCGAATATGTGATTCCACCCAGGCCAGTGAGATTCAAATCTGAGAATTTAGTTCAAGCTACTCAGAAAGAAGATTTCTTCCCACTGGGATTGAAAATGAAGTAACATAGGAGGTGCTAAGGGTAGGGAGACAGAAAGAGACTGAGGCAGAGGCAAGAAAGGCTTCACAAGTCCCTTGAGTTCTTGAACACAGCAATGGCTGCTCTTCCCAGTTTGGGGAGCCAAGAAATCCCTCTCCCCTTTGAAATTTTTTTCAAACCAGTTTGAATTCTGTCACTTGCAACCCAACAGGTCCCAACTAATATTCCTCGTGTGTGAGCAGCAGATTCAGACCACAGCCACCTTCCCCTAAGCACATGCACTCCCTCTCCCCCAACACTGCTGCCCCGGAGCATGGTGGGCCAGGCAAGCCCACCATCCTGCTCCATCCCCTCACCTGGGAAATCCACACTCCTGGCTACTGCCTCCCTCTACTCCAGCATCTGCCAGTGCCCATCCCTTCCCTGGAAAATGCTGTCTCAGAGCAAAACAAAGAGTCCTCGAGCGAGGGCCTGGCACAGCTAGGTTGTGAAGTTGACACCCTGATGGGGCACCTGAGGCATTTGAACACACATGTCCTTGTGCTCACTGATTATAGCAGAAAGGGCAGGAATGTTGAAAAGATCAACTTTTCTCAAAGAAATTGAAACCAAGACAAGAGTTAGATCAAGCTCAGGATCCAGGGCTTCCTGTCGCTGGCATAGAGATTTCTAAAGAGGGGAAAAGTTAATGTTAACTCAACCCAATACTGTGGTCCAGTTTAAAACAGAGGCACAACCCTAAACCTGAGATCTAAGATATAGTGGGAGCTTCTAAATCATCTGATCCAACACTGCCCAGAGCAAGAACCCTACCACAATGTCCCTGAGCAGTTCTAATTATTAACCAATTCTTTCTCAAATGATAAAAATAAAAATGATTAATGTAGAAGAAAAGGTGGAAGAGGGAAAAAAGGAGCCCACAAAATCAGGGTGATGGAAGCAACTCTGGGTTTAGAATCAAAGTGAAAGAGAGAAAAGTTTGATGGGTTGAGGAATATAGAGAATATCAGAGATGGGGAAATGTTTAAGTCTTACTGTACATTAAAAAATATATTTACTTCCCTTGATATTCTTTCCAGAGATATCAGTATAGTTTTCATTTAATTTAATTGCTTTTGGTTGCTGGACTTGTGTTCCTTGGAGTGCAATTCTCTGCCAAGGCTGGACCACATGAGGCCCAGTTTGGGGTTGAGTTATATCAATTTCAAATCTACTTCCTTGTAAATCTCACCCAGAATGTAAGGAAGGGATGTAGGGATAAGACATAGAACCAACCATGGAGTACAGGATAGAGACTTAATTACGAAACGGCTAGAAATGAACTTACCACAAGCAGAGCCTGTGATCAGAGAGGGACTAGCTGGAAGAATGGCCAATTTGATGGTGAACCACCTGAGCTAATTAAATTTCGTAAGGACACCACTGGTCCCAGCAACTACAGACTGAATCAAGTATGAGAAGAGGCAAGCTATGGAGATGGGACCCATCAGGTCGTCAGAATATGGATCTGTCAGAGTCACTCATTGCAAGCAACAGAAGCTGACTCTGGTGGATTAAGCAAAAGGAGTTTATTAAAAGGGTATTGGACAGCTTATAAACTCTTTGGGTAGGTTGGAGAAACAGCTCTAGGCTAAGCTTTCAGAAATGACATTTAACACCATGCACAATGATACAGGATTTACCTGGTTAAAAAAAAAAAAAAAAAAAAAAAGCGTGTGCCTCCCACACTGATACCACCAAGTCCTGAGTGCATATATGACTGTGACAGACCATCCCCTGCCTGGGTGAAAGCCACCCACATCTGCTCTGCAAGTTTGACATGCAGCCACTGCCACCCTCCCCAGACCAATGGAATCCACACTAAGCCTGTGTTCTCACACTGCTCATGTCTGAGCCAAAGTCTACCTCCGTGGCCTCTAATGGATAGAACTGAGGTCACCTGCCTGTGCTCTAGCTGCGAAGGAAGTAGGAAAATTACTTTTCAGATTTCTGTCTTGAGGAAATGAGGCTCTGTACTAGTTTGTTTGGCCTTTCGTTATAAAGTATCACAGACTGGGTGGCTTAAACAACAGAAATTTATTTTCTCACAGTTCTGGAGGCTAGATGTGCCAGATCAAGGTAGGGTTGGTTTCTTCTGAGACATTAGCTCCTTGGCTTGAAGATAGCCATCATCTCCCTGTGTTTTCACAAGGTGTGATGGTCAATTTTATGTGTCAACTTGACTAGATCAACAAGTGCCCAGATATTTAATTAAACACTATTCTGGGTGTGTCTATGAGAGTGTTTCTGGAAGAGATTGACATTTGAATAGAATTAAGATTTGAACTCAGTAAAGCAGATTGTCTTCCCAGTTTGAGCAAGCATTATGCAACCCCATGAGGGCCTGAATAGAACAAAAGGCAGAGGAAGGGAGAATTTACCCCTTCTGTGTGACTGTTGAGCTGGGACATTGGTCTTCTCCTATGCTTGGACTGAGACTTATTCCATCAGCTTTCCTGGTTCTCAGGCCTTCAGACTTAGATTGAACCACACCACTGGCTTTCCTGGGTCTCCAGCTTGCAGACAGCAGATCCTGGGACTTCTCAGCCTCCACAGTCATGTGACCAATTCATTTATATATATATATATAGTGTGTGTGTGTGTGTGTCAAGAATTACTGGAAATCAAAAAAAAAATTAGTGCACAGCAGCTTGATAACAACAACAAACAAATGCAACATTTCATTATTTCAGTTCACTCCAGAGCTTGGCAAATTCATGTGGCATAGTCTGGTTTGAAGTTTACCACTGGTTTAATTAAATCCTTTTGGCTTTCTGCATATCCAGGCTTAGACTATTTTTCCCACTGCTCCGTATTTAATTCTGTCCATTTAATAGTAAAGTAGTAACTTGCATTTGAATTTAGCTTTTAATGTATAAATTCCTTTTGCATTATCACCTACTGTTACCTTCACAGCACTATGAAACTTTGTACCAATATTTATCGAGTGTCTACTATGCCTGTACATGTTAATATGCTCGTACACTCATTGTCACAGCAATGCTGCAGAACAAGTATTAATTTTCCATTTTACAGATGAGAGAACTGAAGCCCAAAGAAACTGAATGACCTGCCCAAGGTCACATGGCTAGTATTTGACAGAACCAAGCCTCAAAGCAAGGCTTTCTCCCTACGAATGCAAGGTTCTCTTCAATGTACCTGGCTATCTTCTACAAGGCAAGACCAGAAAGGATATACCAAGAACATTGACAGTTGGAGGAATCTTAGAGGCCCTCTACTCCATCTTCCCCATTCTATAGACAAGGAGGCTGAGACCAGCAGGAGCAAGTCACCTCCTGAAGGCCACACAGCCAGTCAGTGGCAAACTGGGATGAGAGTCCAGGTCTGCCATTGTCCCGATCTGACATACATGAGTAACGTTCATGACAGTTAAGGGATTTGGAGACCAGAGCCTGAGAATTAGCCAGGACAAAAACCCACCTTGCCCTCCTCCTCATCCTGCCTCAACTGCCTCCTTCATTTCTTGGTCAGCACTTTAACTTCTGGACACAGATAAAATGCTGAATGTCACAACCTGGAGCACAGGGCAATCGACTGCCCATGGAGTGAAATTTGATACAAGAAAAATAGGAGGAAGAAAGAGGCTGGCCATTAAACTCTTCACCCTTTATTTCTTTTGTGGACGACTCTGAGATGTAGTTTCTCCTTAATACGTGGTTTCTCTTTCCAGTCCTTCCCCAAAAAGTCCCACTACCAAGCAAACACACCTGCTGAGTGACCTGCCGCATCTGTGTTTTGTTGAGGTTCATTGAGAAGCAATGACCAGTGTAATCATGCTTTGCATACTGGCGTTTCACATCTTGCCTCACTTCCTTTTTTTCCTCATCCTCACAGCCCTAAGCCTGAACCTCCCAAATAGTGTCAGCACTTTAGCCCTTGCTTGCCTCAGGCTCTTCTTTCAGAGAACTCTAGGCTAAGACAACCATTATCATGATTCCCAGCTTTAATCCTTATGCTACCACTTTCTAACACTAAATGTTGCCTTTTCACCTCTTAAAAAAAAATGTAAGTGCTTATTTCTCCCTGGCCCTGAAACTCAATTCTTTAGCCACGCTCTTGACTGCTTCCCAGGAAAGCTGATATAATTCCCCTCAGGGACTCAGCCTCCTCCCGCAATGGTCCGCATTCATAAATCTTCAGTGGCAGTTATGAAGTCTTCTTCCTTGACTTGTTTGACATTATAATTCCTTGCCCCTAAACTCCATAAATATCTATATTAAGATCCTCTTAACTTCAGGAACTATTCATCATCTTTTCTTTTTCTTTCTCACTTTCCCTTTTATTCCTCCCAATCTCTCCTACTCACTCCCTTACTCAAGTAACTTTCCCATCATAGACTCAAGGCTTTCTCTCATGCCATTTTCTTTCTTTTTTCCTAAGGCTGCTAAGCCCCCCTCTCCAGCTTTTCAAGCATTTATTGAAATTTCAGCTTTCTAAAATGTATTCCCTAAAAAATATTAATATAAAAAAATGTATGGCTACCTCCACTGCTCAATTTCAGGGTTAATAGGGTATGATGCTGTGCATATAACCCACACCTGGTGCACCTGGTACTCCCACAGTTCCCCAGATATACTTGTCAGAGTATTTATCACAGAATATTATAATTGATAAAGTATCTATCTTCAGGTCAATTGTGGGCACCTTGAGTTTAAGGAGGCTGTCTTTGGTATTTTAGTTTTTCTAATATGTAGCACATAATAATAACGGTTTAATGTTCATTGAGTAAACTAACGAATGAATAGAAACATTTTACTTATATGATCAATTGCTGCTGCATCAAATTCCAAGAAATCCATTCAGATTTGTTGGTTCTCTGGAATAGTTTTGTATATCAAATACTGATTAAAAGACATGAGATACCAATTAGGAATTTGAAAAGCTATTATATCCCAATGGAAAATGGGAAACAAAAGTCATAGGCAATGCATCAAAATAAAACCATACATTGCTAGTAAGCATGGAAAGATGCTCAGCTTCACTAGGAACAAGAGAAAGGTAAATTAAAATGAGATATGGGGCCAGGCACGTTGGCTCACGTCTGTAATCCCAGCACTTCAGGAGGCCAAGGCTGGCAGATCACTCGAGGTCAGGAGTTTCAGACCAGCCTGACCAATATGTGGCAAAACCATCTCTCTACCAAAAATACAAAAATTAGCCAGGTGTGGTGGCGTGTGCCTGTAATCCTAGCTACTTGGGAGGCTGAGGCATGAGAACTCGCTTGAACCCAAGAGGTGGAGGTTGCAGTGAGCCAAGATTGCACCACTTCACTCCAGCCTGGGCAATACAGCAAGACTCTGCCCCCCAAAAATAAGATTTTTTTACCCATCAAATGGGCAGAAATTAATAAGAGGAAAAATATTCAATGCTGACAGAAGTGTAGGCAAAAAGCCCTCTCGTGTATCCTTGGTGGAGTATAAATTGGCACAGATTTTTGGAAGGGCAATTGGACCATATATCAAATTTTAAAATATATGTACATTCCTTTTGATGGAGCAATTCCAATTTTCAGAACTTATTCTACTGAGAGACCAGCAAAGATATCTACACAAGGGTGATTATTAGAACACGGCTTATAATAACAAAAATAGGAAATATTTTAAATATTTGTTAATAGAACAATGAATTATGAATATTTGTATCATAAAATATTAAATAAGAGATTCAAAAGATAAGGTAGAGCTTTTCTCATAGAATGCCTGCCAAGAGATGTTGTTGGGAGAGAGAGAGAAGAAGGTCACAGAATAACACATATAGTATGATCCCATTTATGTGAATAGAAACAGCCTATGTGTGTATGTGTGTGAATGCACAGCAACCAACAAGATCCAGAGAAAAGGGAAAGGAACTAGACATAAGGGGAAGTGGTCACATGGGTTAAATTCTTTTCATTCTTTATGCTTCTGTGTTGTTTGAATTGTTTGCAGTGAGCATATGTTCGCGTACTACTTTTGTAAGTTAAAGAGATGACTGACTGGTGTTACGTAGATATCAACCTTGTGTCAATCCTTAGATCCACTAAACCTGGGAGCTGAAATGAGCCATAGCATCATCTATTTTCCAGGAGGTTGTAAATTACTTCCCCTAGGATTCCACAAACACACCTACGTGGGGTGGAGACCACACTTAAACCCACTGCACATCACCATGTACTTCCAGGAGCTCCTGTTCGTGCAGTCTTCATACCAAAGCTTCTCCTGCCTTCTCTGTTTAACTAGACTGAGACTACAAAATGTGCTATTGAAAACAATTACCATTTGCAACTACATATGTAGATAAAACAGGAGTTTCTTATTGATGTACATCCAAAATAATTTGCAGAATTAAATTTAATATGTAAGCCTGGATTGCAAATGTTATCCAGCATCCTAATTTCAAATGTTTACATTCATCAAAATAGCCCCCATTGTTCTCCATGACTGAGTTTACAATAGACAAATTAATTTTTAAAATCCATGCTAATAAAATACCATTTATTTCATGTTGAAGTCGATATACGATTTTGTTTTTCAAGAGAAGAAACAAACAAAGGTTTGAAAACCACAGTTCCAATCCCACTTGCTCATCTTTCAGATAAGGAAACTGAGCAGAAGTAAAGGTGAGTGATGATCAAGATTTCACCATTCATTTATCAGAGCAAGGCAGCCCAGCCCTGAACCAGAGCTTAGCAGTAAGTGCTCAGTAATGACCTTCCTTGACTGCAGTGTGCTCTTTTCACACGTTACCTGATCTAATCTCACAGCAAGCCAGTGTGGTAAGGGTTGCGATATTGCCAGTGAGATAAATGAAACTCTGAGATGTCAAACTTTTCCCGAATTGTACAGCTAATAGGTGGAGTGGCTCAGCCTCCAGAGAGAGAGACCTCTTCTCACCACATCCCTGGGCCAGATTGCTACAGGCGGTGAGCAATCTCTAGTCTAGATTATAAACTCCTTTAAAGCAAGTACTACATTGCCATTTCCACAAAGCTGCTAATAAATCATAGAGTCACACACACAAAAAAAGACACTCACTAACTAGATCTACAATCCACAAAGATCTACCCATCACCCACTGTGTGCCTAGCATGCGTTCAGTGCAATGGACGCATTGAGAAAGAAGATCCCACCATCGTTATAAAAATGTACGTCTATGCTGCCGTAGTCACGGTTCCTGGTTGCATAAAATATAAACTAATTTGGTTTAACTTAAATAAAAATGAGTTCATTGGAGGGATTGGAGGGATTACTAGGAAGGCTAGATAATGCAACTCTGAAAACAGGGGGAAACAAACAGAGGCTAAACAGGCAGAACAACATCCAAAATTATGCCATGGCAAAATCAGGCTACAGACACCGTGCACCACGCAAGGGCCCCACCAACTAGAGACACCATTTGCTGCTATTGCTGCTGCTGGAGGAGATAATTCTAAACTGGCCTCTGTTTTATTATGACTCTGAGTCAGTCTCAAAAACAAGCATTTGATTGGCCCACCATAGATTACAAACCCAAGCGTAAATATCTAATTGGCTTAGCTAAGGTTGCATGCCCAAGAACTGCCAGTTAGTCCCAGTTAGTGCCAAGCTGGGAGAGAAAATTTCTACCATCCTCTGGCTTGCACTGTGGGAGATGGGACATGCCTTCCTTCATGTATTAACTATCTATTGCTATGCAACAAATCACCCCAAAATTTAGCAGCTTAAAACAATAAATATGCATTCTCCTACACAGTTTCTGAAAACTGGGACTCTGGGAGCAGTTTGGCTAGATAGTTCTGGCTCAGAGTCTCTCATGAAGTTGCAGATAAGAAGCTGGGCGGGGCTGTGGTCATCTAGAAGCTTACAGAGGCTGAAGGATGCACTTCCCAGGTGGTTCACTCACATGGTCAGCTAGTTGTTGGGAGAAGGCCTTGGTGCCTCACCGTGTAGACCTGTCCAGCAAGCTGCTGGGGTGCACTCATAACACGGCAGCTGGTTTTCCTCAGAGCAAGGGATCCGAGACAGCAAAGCAGAAGCCACAATGTCTTCTATAACCTAGCCTCATACTCACATACCCTCACTTCTGCCATTTGCTATTGGTCACACAGAATAACCCTGGCACAACGTGAGAAGGGGCAATACAAGAGCATGAAGACAAGGGACAGGGGTCAGTGTCGGCTTTCTCAGAGGCTGGCTAGTGTACTTGGATTTCTCCAAAACAAAGAAAGGTGTTGAGACTGGACAGCCTGTAACAGTGAATATTCATTGCTGGTACCTCCTAGGTACAAAGCCTGCCCTCTAGTTGCTGACACTTTGAGAGAAGAAAACACTAATAACATAAAATAATGTTTTCTCTGGCCGGGTGCGGTGGCTCACACCTGTAATCCCAGCACTTTGGGAGGCTGAGGCGGGTGGATCACCTGAGGTCAGGAGTTCTAGACCAGCCTGGCCAACATGGTGAAACCCCATCTCTACTAAAAACAAAAAAAAAATAGCCGGGGGTGGTGGCAGACACCTGTAATCCTAGCTACTCGGGAGGCTGAGGCAGGAGAATCACTTGAAACCAGCAAGTGGAGGTTGCAGTGAGCCGAGATCGTGCCATTGCACTCCAGCCTGGGCAACGAGAGAAAAACTCTGTCTCAAATAGTAATAATAATAAAGTTTTCTCAATTTAATATAAATAAATGTCAAATTATGTACATTCTGGGTAACATCATTCACTACTTTGAGTTATGTAAAGAAATGGAGATAAGATAGCACTAAAGACAACTTTACTATTCTGCTTGGACTTGGGCTTAGAAATAACATTCGCACATACAAAGCTGAGATTCAAGAGAAATATATGTTTCCATTTTTAGTGTGTTCCTAGGTGCTCTTTGTTCCTTTGGCAGCAATAACCCCAATAATTGGGGAAATACATTACCTACTGAGGCATTCCAAATCTTCTAAATCAAGCTCATTAGAGTCCACTGCTTTCATGATGGACTTTTCCATATCTGATAGCAAATTAAAGACAGTGAAGATGTTTGAAAAGCTGGCCAGGCCTAAGGTACAAAAGCAGAAAGCTTATTATCCTTCCTTTCTCCAACTCACTTTCTTCTTAGGCATGAAACACCCAGCCCCATCCTCTCCTGAACTTGACCAGTTAGCTTTACTTGTTTCTGTTCTATTCCCCTTGTCCAGTCCAAAATTTCGGCTCCAGTACATTCCTTTTATTTCCTTTACTCAAGAATGAGATTGCCTCAGCCTGTCCAACATGGTGAAACCCCATCACTACAAACGATACAAAAATTAGCCCGGCATGGTGGCACACACCTGCAATCCCAGCCTCTCAGGAGGCCAAGGCACGAGAATCGCTTGAACCCAGGAGGCGGAGGTTTCAGTGAGCCGAGATCATGCCACTGCACTCCAGCCTGGGTGACAGAGCAAGACTCTGTCTCAAAAAAAAAAGAAAGAAAGAAAGAATGAGATTGCCTCTACACATTACCAGAAAGTAAAATAAATGGAAAAAAAAAAAGAAACCCACAAACTTCTTATTTGTGTTCCTACTCAAGACGACCAATGTCGTTCTTGCAATTCTGAGCCAAGTGCCTAAGACAGAATGGAGTCCTCTTTAAACATGAGGGAATCTGGGGTGCCAGGTGAACTAGACTTCGCGACATTCCTAGCCTACTCTAAGCAAGAAACAAAACATGTAAGTTTCCCAGCAAACCAATGTGCACATGACAAGAGCTGTAATCAATAAGTAACTTGATAAAGTGGATAAAAATTGACTCGTGGGGAGTGAAACATCCTATTAAGCAAATTCAACCCAGACCACTTCAACCCAGACCACTTTCAGTCAGCCATACCAAGCTGCAAAACTCAACAACCAAAGTCTTTGTGGGAGAAGCTAGATCAATATTTTAAACCCAAGCTCCTTAACGTTGTACTACCAGCAAACCAGGGGGGGAAAATCATGATGCCTTCTAAATCCAAAGACAGAAAAAAGGATGGGGAAAGCAGGGGAGGGGCCAGAAATATGTAGGTTGTAAGTTACACGCAACTCCCAGGGAATAAATCTGTCTTTCCTGAACTACACAAGTGCTTAAATCCACCAGTCCAGCCGCAAGCGACCTTCATGAATACTGAAAGAGGAGAAGGAAATATTCAGGTCGCAAATTTATCTGATTGAAAGGCAGCAACTAAGTGAAGCCTGCAAAAGTTTGATTTCTTTTTCATTAATATTGGGGGAGGAAAGAAAACACTCTGAGATGCCAGGCACAGAGGAAAGGGAAGCATTGCCTGCTGCAATTTTTTTCAAATTGCATGAATACCATCATATAAATATTTTCATTTGTGAGGAAAGTGCGATTCTGTGTAAAAGAGTTCTCATGAATAAGTACCAAGCATTCAAAGCAGATCTCCACTGGAATTCCAGAAGCATTTCTGCTGCCCTACCTGAGCACCAGCCTCTTCTTACCCAGCCACAATAGCCAATCAAAAAAGCAATTCTCAAAATTATAGTCTGCTGACAGAGGATATCAAAGGGCTAAGTTTTGCTGTGCTTTGATTGGATTCCAACTTATGGGGACCAGCGAACATCTACTCTTATAAGGCTCTGACAAAGAGATGAAAAGAAACAATGTCAGCATGATCGCCAGGGCAAATTATTTTATAGCCATTTCTCCTCCACCTTGGTCCCCATCCAAAAGAAATCACCTAATCAAAACTACTTCCAATTGTTTTCATTTGCAACTCAATTTTCTGTGAACTCATTGAGGGCCTACTATGTGTAGAGCACTACAGGGTATGTGGGGGCGGGGGAATGCTTATGACAGGTCCCTCAGTCAGGTGACTCCAAAATTATCCAGTGAAATCCGGGTGAAAGAGAGGCAGCTGGTAGCTCCTAGAGGCCCCTTGCAGATGGGCAGTGGAGGGTCAGCCTGCCATCGGACATCGCCATTCAAACCCTAGGTGTTTGTAAACGTGGCTGAGTAGAAATGGCAAGGGCTTGAATGGGAGTCCAAGTCCTGGCCATGCCACTGGATTTTGGCACGATACTTAATGTGTCTGGGCCTCGGTTTCTTCATCTGTAAAATAGAATAATACCTATATCATGGGGGTGTGGGGAAGATTAAAGTCATAGGTAGAATGCTAGGAAAGTGCTCGAAGCCAAGTAGGTGCTGAGTAATGGTCAGCTACTTCTCTTTTCATGAAGAAAGTCGTTAGCAAGGGCTCAAGGCTGGCACAGAGAAAACATGAACTCTATTCTCCCCGACCTCATGTCTGGTACAAGGACACCTGGAACAATAACAAGGCAGACAAGCTCTCCAGCCTACTCTGGCCCTGTCAGCTCACCTGCTCACTGCAGCAAGGCTGAGCAGAAAGACAATTACCTCAGAGTGAAGAGAAATTGGATCCAACCCTGAGAAAGATGATTGAGGCATTTCAGAAAGTGAAAAGCTAATGTGAATAGACAGTTTCCAAAGCCATTCCTCCCCCTTTGTAACTGAACTGGACAGCCGGCCGATCCTCAGGGAAGGGGAGGGTCTCTACAAAGGGCCCCCTACTTCACCCAGACTCCATGGAAACCTATGGGCAAAGAACTGGGCTAAGCACTTTTGTGGATACAAGCATAGTCAAGAAGTGGTTCTGTCCCCCAAGGAGACTACAAGTAAGTCAGGAAAAGGAAATAGATATGGATTAAAAGTTATTTGTTTGGCCGAGCACAGTGGCTTATGCCTGTAATACCTGCACTTTGGGAGGCCAGGGCAGGAGGATCAGTGAAGGCCAAGAGTTCAAGACCAGCCTGGGCAACATAGCAAGATCCCATCTCTACAAAACAGCTTTTTAAATTTGTTTAATGTTATATGTTTTGTACACCAATGTTTGTAGAAGCACTATTCACAATTGCCGAAAGGTGGCAGCAACACAAATGTCCATGAACAGATGAATGAAGAGACAGAATGTTGCATATATGTGCAATGAAATATTCTTTAACCCTAAAAAGGAATGAAATTCTGATACATGCTAAAACGTGGTCAAGCTTTGAGGACATTATGTTAAGTGAAATAAGCCAAGCACAAAAGGACAATTATTGTATGATTTCACTTGCGTGAGTTACTTAGAACAGGCAAATTCATAAATAAAATAGAGGATACCAGGGTCTAGGAAGAGGAAGAATGAGGAATTATTGTATTAAACCCTCTAAGGGTGCAAAGTTTCTGTTTGGGAAGATAAAAAAGTTCTGAAAATGGATAGCAGTGATGGTTGCACATGCACACACTGTAAATGTATTTAATAACACTGAATTTATACACTTAAAAAATTATTTAAAAGAAAATAATCCTGGGGCCAGGTGCGGTGGCTCACGCCTGTAATCCAGCACTTTGGGAGGCCAAGGTGGGCGGATCAGGAGATCAGGAGATTGAGACCATCTTGGCTAACACAGTGAAACCCTGTCTCTACTAAAAATAAAGAAAAGTAGCTGGGTGTGGTGGCAGGTGCCTGTAGTCCCAGCTACTCGGGAGGCTGAGGCAGGAGAACGGCATGAACCCAGGAGGCAGAGCTTGCAGTGAGCCAAGATTGCACCACTGCACTCCAGCCTGGGCAACAGAGTGAGACTCTGTCTAAAAAAAAAAAAGAAAAGAAAAAAAAGAAAATGATCCCAAAATTTGTGTGGGACCACAAACATTCGTGTGAATCTCAAATAGCCAAAGCAATATTGAGCCAAAAGAACAAAGCTGAAGACATCATACAACCTGATTTCAATATATACTGTAAAGCTACAGTAATCAAAACAGGATGGTACTAGCATGAAAGTGGAAATATAGATCAATGGAGCAGAATAGTGAGCCCAGAAATAAATCCACACTTTTACAGTCAACTGATCTTCTACAAAGTTTCCAGGAACACACAATGGGAAAAAACAGACTCTTCAATAAATAATATTGAAAAAAATTTATCCACATGCAGAAAAATAAAACCGAACCCTCACTTTTTTTTTTGAAACAGAGTTTCACTCTGTCACTCAGGCCAAAGTACAGTGTCACAATCATAGCTCACTGTAACCTCTAACTCCTGGGCTTAAGCAATTCTTCTGCCTCAGCTTCCCACGTAGCTGGAACTACAGGCATGCACCATCACACCTGGCTATTTTTTAAAACATTTTTGAAGAGGCAGGGTATTGCTATGTTGCCCAGGCTGATCTCAAACTCCTGGCGTCAGGCAATCCTCCTGCCTTGGCCTCCCAAAGTGTTGGAATTATAGGCCTGAGCCACCATTCCTGGCCAAGAAAAAGCCACTTGACATTGATCTAGGAAATGATTTTTTTGGATATGACTCAAAAGCTCGGGCAGTAAAAGCAAAAACAAACATGGGGTTGCGTCAAACTAAAATGTTTCTGCACAGCAAACAATCAACACAGTGAAGAGACAATCTGCAGAATGGGAGAAGATATTTGCAAATCATACATCTGATAAAGGGTTAATATCCAAAATATATTTTAAAAACTCAGACAATTCAATAGGAAGAAAACAAATAACCCAATTTAAAAATGGGCAAAAGGACCTGCATAGACATTTCTCAAAAGATGACATACAAATGGCCAATGGGCATATGAAAATATGCTCAACATTATCAATCATCATGGAAATGCAAATCAAAACCACAATGAGCTATCATTTTACACCTGTTAGAATGGTTATTATCAAAATGTCAAAAGATAACAAATGTTGGCAAGGATGTGGAGAAAAGGGAATCCTCGTACACTATTGGTGGGAATGCAAGTTAGTACAGACATTATAGAAAACATATGGAGGTGCCTCACAAATTAAAAATAGAGCTATCATGTGATCCAGCAATCCCAATTTCGGGTACATATCCAAAGAAAATAAAATCACTATCTTGAAGAGATACCTGCACTCTCATGTATATTGCAGTATTATTAGCAATAGTCAAGATATGAAATCAATTTAAGTGTTCGTTGACAAATGAATGAGTAAAGAAAATGTAGACTACACATGCACACACACAAACATACACACACACACACCCACACACACACAATGGAATACTATTCAGCCTTTAAAAAGAAGGAAATCCTGTAATTTGCAACAACATGGATGAAACTGGAGAATGTTGTGCAAAGTAAAATAAGTCAGGCACAGAAAAGCAAATACTGCATGATTTACTTACATGTAGAACCAAAAAAAGTTGAACTCATGGAAGCAGAGTAGAACGGTAGCTACCAGAGGTAAAGGGGGTGGGAGATGGGGGGAGGATTGGGGAAACGTTGGTCAAAGAAGGGTACAAACATTCAGTTAGACAGGATGAATAAGTTCTCATGCCTGTAATCTACAGGCATGTAGATTTTATATACTACAATCTATTTTTATATGCTACAAAATTCCCAGGAGAGTAGATCTTAAATGCTCTCACCACAAAGAAATGATTGGTATTTGAGGTCCTGGATATGTTCATTAGTTTGAATTCATTATTTCACAATGTATACATATAACAAAACATCATGTTTTATGCCATAAATATATACAATTTTAAATTGTCAATTATACCTTAATGAAGCTAGGAGGAAATGGCTAAAATGGTAACTTTCATGTTATACATATTTTAGGACAATTTTTAAAAGGTATATGTCCACTACAGCGTTTGCCAAGACCACTCCCTCACACAGCCCCCACCTCACACATTTTGTGCTATGTTACTTCCACCACCCCTAGCCATAAGAGATGAAACCAAGAGTGTTGAACAAATGAGCCAATTTATAGGTGTACAAGGCTTGTATGACGTGGCCCAAATGTAAGAGCAGGCTCTGAGCTTGTGATGGTTAATATTGAGTGTCAACTTGATTGGATTTAAAGATGCAAAGTATTGATCCTGGGTATGTCTGTGAGGGTGTTGCCAAAGGAGAATAACATTTGAGTCAGTGGGCTGAGGAAGGCAGACCCACCCTTAATCTGGGTGGACACCATCTAATCAGCTGCCAGCAAATATAAAGCAGGCAGAGAAAATGTGAAAAAGCTAGACTGGCTTAGCCTCGGAACCCACATCTTTCTCCCATGCTGAATTCTTCCTGTCCTCGAACGTTGGACTCCCAAGTTTTTCAGCTTTGGGACTCAGACTGGCTTCCTTGCCCCTCAGCTTGCAAACAGCCTATTGTGGAATCTTGTGATTGTGTGAGTTAATACTACTTAATAAACTCCTCTTTATATATACATATGTATACACATATATCTCCTATTAGTTCTGTCCCTCTAGAGAACCCCGACTAATGCAGGGCCCATCTGATACTTGCTCAAAAAATTTAACTGGAAATGCAAAGGAATGGAGGTCCTTAGTAGTAGTAGCTAAAGCTGAAAAGTCATAATGCAGAAGACAGGACCATGACAGACCATGTGCAAGCTAAATTTTGGAGGATATAAAAAGTATTAATAAGAAGGCAGAAAAAAATTAACCACTGTAGGTTGTACCTGTCAACCTACCTGTCAAGGTCCTGGCAGGCAAAGGACTGCACACTCAAACCAAGTAATTGAGAAAGGTTAGATGAAGAGCTCATGTTCAGAGCAAGGGGCAGGGTTTAGGGGAACTAATAAAGGAGGATGCAGTACTTGAGAGCTAGTCACAGCAAGGTCTGTTACCACCCCTGGGCCTGAGGGGCCAGGCAGGGAAGAGTATCAGAACCATGAGAGAGGAGCTGAACTCAGAGAGCTGCCTTAGGCAGAGGGCTGCAGCTTACCCACAGCAACCCCGCAGGAAAGGAGCTGGGGGAATGCCACCTCAACCTTACCCTCCTCCTGCCTCCTTTTCTCCTGCCCTGCCTCTATTGGTCAAACCAAACCAGAGCCAGTGGACAATCCATTCAAGTGCGTCCTCCTTATAGTGGCACTTTGCAGAGGAGATAGCAAAACTGGGCTTGAGTTGTATTGCAACTGGTTCTGATGAGCTGAAACGGAGAATCGACTGTGAATTTTGAATGACTCAGGTAAGCCAGGCCCTTCCTGGACCCTTCTACAGGTTCCTTCTTCACCAATGAACAATGGGACTTGTTTTAACCAATCGGGCCCACACCTAACAAGAGTGGTAGTTTTCCATCCTTAATTGAGATAACCACCCTGAAACCCTCTTCCGAAGTCAAAAAAAAAAAAACACTTGACTCTTCAACCTCTGAGAACAACTCAGTGGATTTATTCACTGGTGTGTATTCCTTTGTCTGGCAAGTTAATCAACTCAATTTGCATATCTTGGCTTCTAATGGTCGTTGTTTTACATGGTCCAACCTCCCAGGCACAGAGCAGGAAGGGAAAGGTGAAAGGTGGATCTGGAGGGCTAAATGAAGTTATTCAAGCGAACAAAGAGAGCCACTAAATGAGCAGACGGTGCGAGGAACAGAGTCCCCAAAATGATGGTGCACAGGTCCGTGTTTACAAATGCTTATAAACACCTTCAGGGCTCTGAGCTCCATCTCCAATCCTGCTCTTCTCAAGGCCTGGCTCTTTGGTCCCTGCCTGGGTTCCCATGACATCGTCCCTTAAATACCAAGATATCCATGATGCATGAGGTCACCTTGACTGCCCTTCTGGAGCTCCCTCCAGGACCTCTCCTCTCCACCTGAGACTTTCTCACCCCAGGACTCAGTGGGCCACCACTTGAGGGTCCTATGCTTTTTTCCTGCCCCCTCCCCACTGAAGTCTCCAAGGTGATGAGGTGGGGAGCCTTCCTGCCCCTTCACACTCTGTCCTCTCTCTCTCCTAAAAACCTCTATAAGGCTGGGCAGGGATTTGTGAGGTTCTTTATTGAAGAGTTAGGACAAGTTGCAAAAGGAAATATGACACAAGAAAGGACCAATTTAAGTTCTTAATAACTTAATCTTTCCCCAGCATCATCCAAAAAGAAATGCAGGAGGGTTTCTTCTCAGCTCCATCTTGGGAGCCAAACTCAAGAGGAAAGGGGACTTCCTATCTTTACATGGCTGCCCTTGGTTACCACAATGGATCATTCTAGAAAGGTCAGGATTTAATTTTCTTCCAGTGACACTTAGAAAAAGGCCCAGGATGTATGAGGACCCAAGAGGAATTTGGCCCTTGCAACCAAAAAGCCAGACTCAAACCGTGAGTTCCAAGGAAAGAGAGAGCACCGTGGATGACAGGTGTCCAGGCCAAAGACCCTGCTAAATATGTCACGTTAAATCACCCATCATCATCCAGGCAGCAAGCAGGGGAAACCAGTAACACAGCATGGTTGACTTGAGGATGGAGGGCAAGGAGGATAAATTTAAGTAGACACATACACTATTTAATCTGCGACTGCAAATGCTATGGCCAAAACATGTGGAAAGCAGCTCTGTGAGCAACATTTCACAGGGTTTTCATCAAAGAAACTCTGCTGCCTACTTCTCTTGGGCTTATTTCCCAGGAGAAAAGAAAGTAAAAGCATGCAGAATGCCCTCTGTGTCCTTGGCATTGCATATGTGTGTGTAAGAGACTGTGAGTGTGTAAGAAGGACAGGGCAAGAGAGTATGTATAAGAAAGTAAGTAGGTGAAGACAGTGTATAAGAGAACGTGTGTGTGAGAGCAAGTGGAAGAGCGTGTGCATGAGGGTAAGAATGTGCAAGAGAGAGTGTGTGTGTATTTGGTATGTGGTACTTGTATGTATGGTGTGGTGCATTTGCACATTTGGAGACATGTGAGGGTAGGAGTGAGAACAATTTCAAAGAAGGCAGCTCCAAGAGGGGACACATTCAAGTCATGCTGGAGAATTAGGAGGAGTGACAGGAAGGAGCATTGGCTGTGGGTGAGCAGTGCAACCTGCTCCCTGGGGAGCCCTCTCACTCAGCTGCTCCCCTAAATTTTATCTCCTCCACTGACTTGCTGCAATGCCCAAATTCCCACCAGGAAATTCATCTCTGCCCTTAGATGATTTCCTCTGTTTCACAGCAAATATTGCTCCTAAAAATCTGTATAGGTGGTTCTCGAAATCCAGGAGGAATCATCAGAAGGTCTGTTAAATCTCAAGGTGCTGGGCCCCACCCCCAGACCTTCTGACCCAGTAGATCTGAAGTGAGGCCCGAGAATTTCCACTTCTGCGAGTTCCCAGGTGGTGCTGATGCTGCTGCTCAGGGACCACAGTTTGAGAACCACTAGCCCATACTGATAGACTCCGATGGTTTCACTGAACTGGTTTCTGCCATTTGGCATGGGCAGATACTGCAGGGACTTGCAGAAGTGGAAATTCTCAGGCCTCACCACAGATCTACTGAGCCAGAAGCTCTGGGGGTGGGGCCCGGCACCTTGAGATTTAACAGACTTTCTGATGATTCCTCCTGGAGTTTGAGAATCACCCACACAGACTTTAAGGAGCAATATTTGCTGTGAATATTGCTCCTAAATATTGACGCTGGTGCTGTAAATTTCGACAGTGGATGCCAAGAAAGGTAGACTGAGGGAAGGTGCTGCTCCAGCTCACCTCATGACGCTCAAGGACCCAACCTGCACCAGCCAACTTGAGGGAGGAGGAACGCACTGCGGTATCAGGTAGGAAGTAGGGAGACCTCTGCTTCTTTTCCCTGCCAGGAGGCCACACTGCGAGCAAGCTCCCGGCATGGGAGCAGCCTACTGTTGCTGTCTGAGGACTCAGATTTGGCAGGTGTGGAGTGATCCCACGGTGGGGCTCCAGGGCCACTGCTCCCTTCTTGTTTATGTTTACTGTTCATGTCCAAAGCTGCTTCTCCAGACTGGGCTCTGTTTACCCGAAAACTGCAAATAAGAGCTCTGCATGTGACTTCGAGACATCTGTTTTCCCTTTGCGTGTTTCTCATTCTGATTCTCCTATCCCGCCTCTTGTCTTTCTCTATCACAATGTAGTTTCCCAGAAATAGAATTTCGACAAGCTCCAGGAAAGTCCGAAGGGTCCACTTAGTTTAAACTACAATCGAAAATCTTCCCGCTTGATTCATCCACTTTGAAACAGAGAGAGCACGTGTTCCTCAGAGTTGGAGACAAAAGGGCCACCCCGTCCCCCAAACCATACGACTCTGCAGGATTGTTTCAGGACTGCAATTCGAAAGGGCTCTTTCGATTTTAAAAGTGGATTTCTAAATAGTCCATATGGTACTTTTTTTTTTTTTTACAGACAGTATAACTTTCAAAGATCCGGCTAGCTAATCCTTTGTATATTAAAGAATTTTTTTTTAATCTATCACAGATATTCTCTGGATCAGACCAGGAACAAGGTTAGAAACTTTAAAGATGAGGAATAACTGACTGACCAGTGAAAGATAGTCATCACAGCTCAATACCTAGACACAGAAGGCAGCATTGCTGTAAAATGCATAAGGCAAGATTGTGGCCGCATAGGGTAATGGAAGCGCCTGGGACAGGAGGGGCCAGTTAAACTTATACCTGTTTCATTCTGCAGCTCTTTGGGGACCCAATTTTGTTTTGAGCAGCTTTTCAAGTTGAACACTAAAGCTATGCGCCCAAACTCTCCAGCTCCCACTTTCAAACCCCACATACAGCCGTTCCATGACCAAATGCTCATCTTGTCCCTGCATATGCCCTTGTAGGGGTCTCCCTTTACAGCCCTTTCCCTACAACCACCAAATCAGTCTTGCTCAAAGCAGCATGAGCCAAGTGAATGCACCTCCCACCTACACGCATGCAAATATGTACACACATACACACACAGCAGCTATCTTTCCCCATCCTCACTATAGTCTTCATGAGATGTATTCCAATAACAAAATCACTGTGCTGTGTACTTCTTGGCATTTATAGCAACACCTTGTCAGGTTTCCCCAAATCCATAAATACCCTATCACAAAAGTCCCCCTTTATAGCCCAATATGGAGGAACTCAACCATCTGCTTTCAGATTTCAACTGTTTCCACTTTGTTTTATGGGAGGGGATTAGGCCTGGATTTCCTCAGGTGCCTGGGTTTCATTCTACTGCCTGTCAGTTTTTCCATCTTTAGCCACATGCGCAGGCTGATAAGCAGAGCTAGACACTCATCCCACCTAACGAATGGTCCTTGTCAGTGAACTTTAACCTCCTTCATGTTGCCCATTATGAAGCACATCTTTTACTCTCTCGGGGAAGCTAAGCAAAAAAAAAAAAAAAAAAAACCCTGCTCAGGAATGATGCAGCCAAATGTTGCTATTCAGCAAAGCACAACGGCTGGAGAATCCCACAGATAAGAAAATGCAGCTGTGGATGATTCTGAGCTTCTGAGTGAACAGAGTGGCTTTTGGAGAAATAAGGAGATGCCTCAAGAAACAGCAGTGGTGTCCTTGAACCAGGATGAGAAGAGTTCAGATCTACCTCCGGGTGCTAGGCAGGTGTGCTGTGGGTGAAGGGAGAGCCCTACTGCAGCTTAGAACAGAGATTCTCAAAGTGTGTACAGTCCTTGGATCAGCAGCATCAGCCCCGCCTGAGAGCTTGTTAGAAATGCAGGCGCTGCTAATCAGAAGCTGCCTTTAACAAGATCTCCAGATGAGTGGGGCACACGTCAAAGTTAGAATAGCACAGGCTCATCCGTCAGTGTGGGGTGGTGCATGTTGGCCCAGTGTAGCTTAGGGGCCAACTGTGAGTAGTATAATGGGGGAAGAGATTGGACTGATTTGGAAAGTCCCAGATTACAGGCCTGGTTCTGTTACCAGCTGGCTATCTGGGTCACTCACTTCACTTCTTGGGACAGCTGCAGAAGAACCCTGGTTTTCAAATTTGACTGCACTTTGGAATCATCTGGAAATTTTTTTAAATACAGGTCGGTCCCGCCTCCCAGAGATTCTGCTTTAATTGGTGTTGGGTGCAGCCTGGACATCGGGATTTTTTTCAGTCTCCCCAGGTGACCATAATGTGTGACTAAGGTTGAAAACCATTATACTAGATGGCCCTCAAGTCTTACTAGTTCTAAAACCCAATTATTTAGCCAATTCTATCTGGTTCTAGATACGTGTCAGAGGTTAAAAAAAATTGCAAAGACCTAAAGCTAGGACAATCCCTAGGACTTGATTTGTTTTATTACATCCATGATTTAAGTGGGCTTAAGAATAATAATAATAATTGAAAGCTCTGATGAATTGGGTTCCAGTTAATTGAAATGTTACTCTAATATATTTCTATTAGTAGATTTCATATTTCATACAGGGAGATTCACAGCATGAACTCTTTCTCATTAGAATCTCCACTCCTAAATTTTATTTAAGAAATTGGATGACTTGCCTATTTTTTCCTTTGAAGTCAACTTATAAATGTATAGTGAGTGCTATCTTCTAATACCAACTTATGATCTTTTTCAAATTCACATGTTCATTTAAGTTAGAGGAAGATATTTTAAAATAAAGATGAGCTGTTTTCAATATCCCTTCTGAACCATTGCATTGCATTTCATCCCTTCCCATGTGGATTTCTTGCTGTTTTATTTGGGAAAAGAAGCTGTGGTTTTGGTCTCCATTGACTGACCTATTTAGCTTCCCCACTTTGGATAAGTTTGGCTAGGTGAATCAATTTCTATAGTCTCCTCTGAGTTGTCACTTTTAGTGACAAGCAGAAAATTGAAATTTGCAAGCCATTAGCTGTCAAGATGGTACATGAGATTTTAAGATTTGTTTTAATAAGAAAAAAAACTCAACTGTTTAGGAATCCTTTTTAAAAAAGAAAAAGCTTTCTCTATATTACATGGTATATTTTTAAGAGAGCTTTAATAAATCTAAACGCATCTTAGCCTTAAGGGAAACTGAATCGTGGTTGGCAGAGCCATCAGGAACAAGGCAGCCCCCTCCCCTTTTTCTCAGGCCCTGCAGTGTTTGGGGGCTGCTCTCTCTGAACACCTGCTTCATCCCTCTCTGTCCCAGAACCAGCTTTCTCTGATTTCCCATACTCGTGACAAAACATGGCACCCCACCACTTTTGAGTTGAGTATTATAATAATACCCATATTCCAGCAAATGGCCCCAAATCCACGTGACTCTCTCAGCCACAGCTCCAAATGCCCAGGAGAGAGGATGTGATAGCCTAGCAGGTGGTCAGGTGTCCACACCTGTTTCTGTCTCTGGCCACTGATGGGTGGGGGACAAACATGGCTGCCATTAACCACCATATTGGAGAATGAGAAGTAGAGCTCAGAGAACAGGGAACATCAGGAACTGGACAGATTCCCCAAAAGGGCTTACCACTGCTACCCACTTACTTGAATAATAGAGTTTCAGCAGCAGGTTCTCCAAGACCCACCATTATTCCTCCAAATTGGGCATTTATCCTGGCTATCAGAGACACTGCCCCATTTAGGCCTCCCATCCTTAGCAGAGGGGAGGCAGTAGATCATCCTGTGAATCTATATCATCTTAAGCATGATTTGCATGCAAAGACTGATAGTTGTCCCCAATATCCATTTCCTCTTCTGTAGAATTAGAACTCATAGTTAGGCACATGGCCAGCCAGAATAAAGATTACCCCTCTTAGCCCCTTTGCATCTTGGTGTGGCCATTTAACTAAGTTCTGGCCAGCAGGGTTTAAACAGAAGTGATTGAATACATTTGAGCTATGCTCAAAAAGGAATGGGGCTCTCCCTCTTCTCTTTCTCCTTCCTTCATTCTGCTGCTTAGAACATGGAATATGGTGAACAAACATCTTGGACTGTGGAGATGAGAGGACACGAAGGTTGGCGGAGCAGCAACACAGAAGTCCTGTCCCCTGGTGACCACAGAGACCAGACCCACAGTATTAGTTTTACCTTTTACATGGGAGAGAAATCCAGGTCTACCTTGTTTGAAACCACTGTTATTTTTTATTTCTGTCACACACTGCAGAAACTATGTCCTAACAAATACTGCTTGTACAATCATAAAGTTCCAGAACTTTAGTGTTATAATTTAGAAATTATCCAGTCCAACCCTGCACAGTACGAATGAGGATTTTGTGACCCAGAAGAGAGAAGTGACTGTCCCATTACATATACGGGACTAGACCAGGTCTTCTGACCCCTCCCTACCTATTCCCAGACCCCAGGACTTTTTTTTTTTTTTTGAGACAGAGCCTCACTCTGTCACCCAGGCTGGAATGCAGTGGTGCGACCTCGGCTCACTGCAACCTCCACCTCCCAGATACAGCGATTCTCGTGCTTCAGTCTCCTGAGAAGCTGGGAATACAGGCATGTGCCATTACGCCCAGCTAATTTTTGTAATTTCAGTAGAGAGGGGGTTTCGCCATGTTGTCCAGGCTGGTCTCGAACTCCTAGCCTTAACTGATCTGCCCACCTCGGCCTCCCAAAGTGCTGGGCTTACAGGCATGAGCCACCATACCCGGACCCCAGAACTTTTTCTATGGTACCATATTGACAGTAGGTATCCACTAGGTAGGTAATGAATATTCAGCAATGTATGCTCAGATTTGGCTTTTAGAAACTTTTTTCCACAGACAAGATACTGTGTGAATGAAACAGTGGCAATCGTCTCCTTATCAAGGAACAAAGAGCTCTAGTCAAGAGCATGCCTACTTTTTATTCTTCACAGCAAGCACTTTGGGTCCTCACTGTCTCTGCACTCCCTCGAAGCCAGATTTAGCATAAGGTGGGTGTAGTGGGACATGCAGGAAGACATTTAATATGCCTGGCCTCCCATTCCTCCTTTGAAAAATGAAACTGGACAAGATCCATCCGACTCTGAAATTCTAAAGTTCTGTTAAGGTTGCAGTCTCTCCAGTCTGATCCTGACAAAAATGTGATTTCTTTTGAAACCATTTCCCACCTTCAAAGGAAAAAGCTAAGCTTTTTAACATAAAGGCTTCAAGCATGGTGCATCTCATACTCCCCACTGCCCAGGCCTCAGGAAAGCCCTCCTAGAACTAGAGGAATGAGATATGGTCGGCAGAGTGACATGAGCCAATCAGGCGGCTCTCGTTGTGCTAACCTTGTATTTGCTCTTTTCCTTTCACTTGTTATTTTGTGGAATAGGATGGCGACAGCTGTGATTCACTGTCCCCCAGAGTGCTTCTTGGAAATTGGGACATTCCAGGGCAGAGGTGGAAAGGAAAGAGCAATGAAGAACTTGCTTTTGATCTTTCATTCAGTTTGCCCTTTTTGGTGTTTACAATAGTGGAACCTGGGTTGGCACTTCCATTTTTACCCATTTTGTGGGGAAGAAAAGACATGTATAGAATCTCTACACACACACACACACACACACAATATGATGGTAGCTTATCTCAGATTCATCACTTGCTTTTAGAAAGAAAAAACTAAATACATGGAGAGATGAGATCAGAAAAGAAGTAGGAAGAGTCCCCAAAAGTTGTTTGCTTCTACTTCCCAGTAGGAGTGAAGAAGGAAGAACACAGAGGAAAATCAAACCAGCACTCAACGATGTACACAGAATCATCTACTTCTGGGTTATAAAAATAATTAGAAATTAAGCCTTTAGATATTTGAATCTTTTTTTCTTTGCTTCTCACACTCTAAAGCCAGGAAATTGACATTAAAGCATCGGCAAGGCTAGGACATGTGGTAATCACACATCCACTAGAGAGAATTTATAAAACCCCTCAAAAGAGTTTTTTTTTTTTTTGAGACGGAGTCTTGCTCTGTCACCCAGGCTAGAGTACAGTGGCGTGATCTCGGCTCACTGCCACCTCTGCCTCCCGGGTTCAAGCCATTCTCCTGCCTCAGCCTTCCGACTAGCTAGGACTACAGGTGACCGCCACCATGCCCAGCTAATTTTGTATTTTTTAGTAGAGATGGGGCTTCACCATGTTGGCCAGGCTGGTCTCAAACTCCTGACCTCAGGTGATCCGTCTGCCCCGGCCTCCCAAAGTGCTGGAATTACAGGCATGAGCCACCACGCCCAGCCCCCTAAGAGAGTTTCTAATCTGTAAAAATGCAGGCCTTGCTCAGAATCGAGGAAGACAAGACACACAGCTCAGTGAGACTCAGAGGAGTGTTCATCTCTATTTGGCCCTGGTGCAAAAGCAACAGCTGGATTAAGCCACATTATATCCGCTGCCAGAATGAGCTGCCTAGGAACCAGGTGACCTCTTGTATACTTCTGCTCTCAGAATACTTCACTTTCCCAGTTCACCTCTCAGGCCCTAGGGAATCATGAGTATTTATCTGCTGGGCCATTCATCTGAGACGCAGAGGAGGAATCCAAATGCCAAGATGCTACACTAAGTCCTAGCCCGAGCCTCTCCTTGCTGGTGGGTGATCACAAGATGCCAGCCTCTGCCAAAAGGAGAACATCTCCAAGTGAAGTACAAGGCTCTCTAAAGCAGGCTGATTTATCCCATCTCTCTTGAGAATAACCCTGCTTCTCTTTCTAAATGAGAGGTCGACCAGTTATGCTCTCAGTGGCTAAAACTAGGAGGTAGCTACAGCCTATGGCACTTAACACACATTATCTCATTTAACCCTCCATAACCACTCACGAGCTATGCATGATTGCTATCCCCATTTTGCAGATTCAGAGATTAAGTGATTCGTCAAATATGGTATGACCTGTCGGTGGTGAAGCCAGGATTCCAGCTCAGATCTGAGCTCTTTACCACTAAATTACAAGACCTGCCACAAAAGAGTCATCAAAGGGTACTTTGGAAGGCCGAGGCAGGCAGATCACTTGAGGCCAGGAGTTTGAGACCAGCCTGGCCAACATGGTGAAACCCCATCTCTAGCCAAAAAATACAAAACATTTAGCTGGGTGTGGTGGCACATGACTATAGTCCCAGCTACTCGGGAGGCTGAGGCAGGAGACTTGCCTGAACCCGGGAGGCAGAGGTTGCAGTGAGCCAAGACCATGCCACTGCACTCCAGCCTGGGTGACAGAGCAAGACTCTGTCTCAAAAAAAAAAAAAAAAAAAGGCATCAACGGGGCAGCTGTTTGGGCCTGGGCTCAAATGTATATTGTCATCCTCTACTTCCTGAAGGAAAGCCTCTGGGAATAGTCCCTAGGGGGCAATAGACAACTGGGACAGCCTGTTACCTTCCATTTGGGATTTGCTTTTCTTCCAACACTTTTGCTACATTGTGGATCGAGCTAATGAATTTTTTCCTAGGTTTCTCTTTCTGAATATTCTCCATTCTAAAGAACATCAGTTCTAGCAATTATCAATTGTTTCCATAATTGGGTTTCTCTACACATTTCTGAAAAGCGTTTTTAAAAAAAGTTGAAGTCATGACATTATTTATTTCTCTTGTCACATAGAATCTCTCTAAAATGATGCGTTATTTTCATGCCTCTTAGATACTCAGGCTTTCCAAAAAAAAAAAAATCTCCTTTGCAATCAGGTTTCAAAAATATGCCAGGAAGATTTTTACGTCCACACACTGGATCAAGATTTTGGTTGTGAGTCGGTCCAACCTGTGTTTACCCAGCAGGCACGTGGGCAGCAGGGGTCTCAGGGGACGGGTGCAGCTCCTACTATCATGGCCTCTGCCGCAACCCCTAGTCTCTGCTCCACCAATTGATACCAATTGCAAATAACTGAATTACAATCTTTCCTACTGAAGAAATTGTCTTTAAGAAAAAAGACTGTTCTTTATCCACTTGAGATAGCTACTTCAAATTTCAAAGCTAATAGTTTGAAGAATGCTAAGGAAGCAAAAACAATCACTAGACAATGTTAATTAAACTTGAATCGAATTATTAATTAAGAACAGACCCAGGAAAACAAAACTTTCTTCAGCCAAATGGAAATCTATATGTGAATTACTAGTTGAATGTATACTGTTTAGCCTTTCAACTGCAGGTCATAATACAAATTCAGGAACATGCTTATTGAGGACAAGCAGCTCCCACGATGCTATTCACTGCATCCAAATTCTAACATCCCCTTCAGGGGCAACATTTTATGAACTAAGAGGATAACATTAAAATAGCCTCCGCTTTCATAAATTCAACCTTGCCAGTATTTGTGAGCACTGAATCCCGAAAATTATGTCATAAATAAAAGAATTTTACAAGCCACTACCTCTTCTTTAAGCTCAGCCAAAGACCATAAAAAGATTATGAAGTTACATCTCTCCAAAATGTGCACAATCTCCGGGGCCAAGGTAGACTTCGCAGATCAAAGAGGAAGGTGTGTGGTCCCAGGGGGCCTGGGCAGCCTATTCCTGCAGCTCAGAGATGCCTCCACATCTCGTAACTCCTGCAGTTTTGCCCTTAAAATGAAACTTAGAAGCTAACAGCAACAGATATTCAGATTCAAAGTGAACATGGGCATAATAACCATTACCATGCGCTCCTAGTACTCAGATGCAATCTTGGAGACCTCACTCTTCTTCCAGCCATCCTTGAGTTAACTGAGTTAGTGACTCAGTGGTTCAGGGGAGGGGATGGGTGCTTGGTGTGACTGGAGGCTCATAAGTAAACTGCAAAATTGGATTGCATTCATTCATTCTTTCAACACTGATTTATCAAGATCTATTCTGTGCCAGGCAATATTGCATATAGCATAAGGACTTCCGAGTAGCATGAAGATCTGAGCAGCCTCTTGGACCAGCCCTTAGAAAATCTGGGATAGGTAGGGAACAGCCCAACCTCCACTTACTCTTGGGGCTGCTTTTTCTCTCTCTCCCTCCCTCTTTTCAATGACAAATTCTCTTTCTCTCCCTGCCCCCTCAACCCTGCTTTGAAGAGGGTACCTGAAGCCAATCACTTCCATGCTGGGGACTTCCCATATACTGGCTTATTTCACATCCCCTTGGCTATATATGGGAGGCAGCTTAGATTAGCAGGGGCTGCAGATGGCCACGGCTTCAGAATACCTTCGACAGAGAAGCCCAGCATGAGCCTGATAAAACCTCAGCCTGGCAGCTGCCACAGGCTTCTCACCTCACTCAGAGCCAAAGCTCAAACGTTCACAGTAGGCCCATGAGGTTGTGCACCATTTGCCCATTGCCGACCTCCCTGACATCTCCCTGCCTTGCTCTGCTCCCATTCCCAGAACACACCAGGCACATTTCTGCTTTAGGGCCTTTGTGTTGGCTGTTCCTCTGCACACTCTTCCCTGATGCCAGGTGGGCCCGTTGCTCATCTCTTCTAAGTCTTTACACAATTGTCACCCTCTCAGTGAGGCATTCTCTGACTGCCCCATTTAAAACTGCAACCCTCCAAACCCCGCCCATACACACACATGCGCACACACACACACACATGCACACACATAGACCCTCCCTGTCTCCCACCCCCAATCATAAGCTCCTGAGGGCAGGGGTGTTTATCCGTTTTATTCACTGCAGTAGCTTCAGTCCTTGGAGAAAGACCTGAACACAGCAGGCATTCAGTAAACATTTATTTCATTAATAATCACATGAAGAACCTGTTTAAAACATAGGTTTCCTTCATTATTCTGTGGCCTCTTATGGCACTTCTGATGTGGTATAACACGAATGGACTTAAATGAGGCAGTAAGTCTGGATCAGGCCACCAATTCCTTATTTTCTACCAGGTTTTTTTGTTTTTGTTTTTTTTGTCCCATTTGTTCTTGTGTGTACGGAAAGAGTCCATATGAAGAACACAGCATGATGTGGGGTGCTGGGAAATTTCTGTGGCCTCTTTTCAGAAGCCACCCACAATATCATATGATTTAACGAGCAAAAGAGATCCCTGTTCCCAAAACCAAATCTCTCTTTGCACTCTTTAACTCTTGGTAATGGATAGAGCTGGTTCACAGAGACAGCAGGATCTCAAAACGTGTCGTCTATTTTTCTCTTTGTGTTGTGTGGCATATGATACTTCAGTTTATCGGTCCTAGAAGAAAGAAAGGGCTCTCCTGCCTAGTATCCATATAAGTCCCATATAAGTCCCTGAGAAGTATTCTGATTGGCTCACTTTTGCCATCCCATGGTAAACATTGTAATTGACCAGGTTTGAATTTTATGTCCACTGCTATGGTCAAGACTAGAGGCAATGTCTCTGGAACCACTTAATGTAGAGAAACAATAGTTATTCTTTGGGAAATTGGACACTGCAATTCAAAAAAAAAGGATAAATAGAATAATGAGGAGACATTAATAAAACCAACAGGAAACCAGTACAGAGATGCTGCATGCAACCCAACTGTAGTAAAAAAGAGGTTCTTCTGCATTAACTAAAGATTAATGGTGGGGGGAGGAGCCAAGATGGCCAAATAGAAACAGCTCCAGTCTACAGCTCCCACCATGGGCGATGCAGAAGATGGGTGATTTCTGCATTTCCAACTGAGGTATGGGATTCATCTCACTGGGGAGTGCCAGACAGTAGGTGCAGAACAGTGGGTGCAGCACACCATGCATGAGCCGAAGCGGGGCGAGGCATCACCTCACCCGGGAGGCACAAGGGGTCAGGAAATTCCCTTTCCTAGTCAAAGAAAGGGGTGACAGACAGCACCTAGAAAATTGGGACAATCCCACCCTAATACTGCGCTTTTCCAACGGGCTTAAAAAACGGCACACCAGGAGATTATATCCTGCACCTGGCTCGGAGGGTCCTATGCCCACAGAGTCTCGCTCATTGCTAGCACAGCAGTCCAAGATCAAACTGCAAGGCAGCAGCGAGGCTGGGGGAGGGGCGCCCGCCATTGCCGAGTTAGTTGTTTGATTAGGTAAACAAAGCGGCCGGGAAGCTTGAACTGGGTGGAGCCCACCACAGCTCAAGGAGGCCTGCCTGCCTCTGTAGGCTCCACCTCTAGGGGCAGGGCCCAGACAAACAAAAAGACAGCAGTAACCTCTGCAGACTTAAATGTCCCTGTCTGACAGCTTTGAAGAGAGTAGTGGTTCTCCCAGCATGCAGCTTGAGATATGAGAACAGGCAGACTGCCTCCTCAAGTGGGTCCCTGACCCCCAAGTAGCCTAACTGGGAGGCACCCCCCAGTAGGGGCGGACTGACACCTCACACGGCCGGGTACTCCTCTGAGACAAGACTTCCAGAGGAAAAATCAGGCAGCAGCATTCGCGGTTCACCAATATCCGCTGTTCTGCAGCCACTGCTGCTGATACCCAGGCAAACAGGGTCTGGAGTGGACCTCTAGCAAACTCCAACAGACCTGCAGCTGAGGGTCCTGTCTGTTAGAAGGAAAACTAACAAACGGAAAGGACATCCACACCAAAAACCCATCTGTACGTCACCATCATCAAAGACCAGAGGTAGATAAAACCGCAAAGATGGGAAAAAAGCAGAGCAGAAAAACTGGAAACCCTAAAAATCAGAGCGCCTCTCCTCCAAAGGAATGCAGCTCCTCACCAGCAATGGAACAAAGCTGGATGGAGAATGACTTTGACGAGTTGAGAGAAGAAGGTTTCAGATGATCAAACTACTCCGAGCTACAGGAGGAAATTCGAACCAATGGCAAAGAAGTTAAAAGCTTTGAAAAAAGATTAGACGAATGGATAACTAGAATGATCAATGCAGAGAAGTCCTTAAAGAACCTGATGGAGCTGAAAACCAAGGAACAAGAGCTACGTGACGAATGCAGAAGCCTCAGTAGCCAATGCAATCAACTGGAAGAAAGGGTATCAGTGATGGAAGATGAAATGAATGAAATGAAGCGAGAAGAGAAGTTTAGAGAAAAAAGCATAAAAAGAAACAAACAAAGCCTCCAAGAAATATGGGACTATGTGAAAAGACCAAATCTACGTCTGATTGGTGTACCTGAAAGTGACGGGGAGAATGGAACCAAGTTGGAAAACACGCTGCAGGATATTATCCAGGAGAACTTCCCCAATCTAGCAAGGCAGGCAAACATTCAAATTCAGGAAATACAGAGAATGCCATAAAGATACTCCTCGAGAAGAGCAACTCCAAGACACATAATTGTCAGATTCACCAAAGTTGAAATGAAGGAAAAAATGTTAAGGGCAGTCAGAGAGAAAGGTCGGGTTACCCACAAAGGGAAGCTCATCAGACTAACAGCTGATCTCTCAGCAGAAACTCTACAAGCCAGAAGAGAGTGGGAACAAATATTCAACATTCTTAAAGAAAAGAATTTTCAGCCCAGAATTTCATATCCAGCCAAACTAAGCTTCATAAGTGAAGGAGAAATAAAATACTTTACAGACAAGCAAATGCTGAGAGATTTTGTCACCACCAGGCCTGCCCTAAAAGAGCTCCTGAAGGAAGCAGTAAACATGGAAAGGAAAAACCGGTACCAGCCACTGCAAAAACATGCCAAATTGTAAAGACCATCAAGGCTAGGAAGAAACTGGATCAACTAACGAGCAAAATAACAAGCTAACATCATAATGACAGGATCAAATTCACACATAACAATATTAACTTTAAATGTAAATGGGCTAAATGCTCCAATTAAAAGACACAGACTGGCAAATTGGATAAAGAGTCAAGACCCATCAGTGTGCTGTATTCAGGAAACCCATCTCACGTGCAGAGACACATATAGGCTCAAAATAAAGGGATGGAGGAAGATCTACCAAGCAAATGGAAAACAAAAAACGGCAGGGGTTGCAATCCTAGTCTCTGATAAAACAGACTTTAAACCAACAAAGATCAAAAGAGACAAAGAAGGCCATTACATAATGGTAAAGGGATCAATTCAACAAGAAGAGCTAACTATCCTAAATATATGTGCACTCAATACAGGAGCACCCAGATTCATAAAGCAAGTCCTTAGTGACCTACAAAGAGGCTTACACTCCCACACAATAATAATGGGAGACTTTAACACCCCACTGTCAACATTAGATCAACGAGACAGAAAGTTAACAAGGATATCCAGGAATTGAACTCAGCTCCGCACCAAGTGGACCTAATAGACATCTACAGAACTCTCCACCCCAAATCAACAGAATATACATTCCTTTCAGCACCACACCACACCTACTCCAAAACTGACCATGTAGTTGGAAGTAAAGCACTCCTCAGCAAATGTAAAAGAACAGAAATTATAACAAACTGTCTCTGAGATCACAGTGCAATCAAACTAGAACTCAGAATTAAGAAACTCACTCAAAACTGCTCAACTACATGGAAACTGAACAACCTGCTCCTGAATGACTACTGGGTAAATAACGAAATGAAGGCAGAAATAAAGATGTTCTTTGAAACCAACGAGAACAAAGACACAACATACCAGAATCTCTGGAACACATTCAAAGCAAAGTGTAGAGGGAAATTTATAGCACTAAATGCCCACAAGAGAAAGCATGAAAGATCTAAAATTGACACCCTAACACCACAATTAAAAGAACTAGAAAAGCAAGAGCAAACACATTAAAAAGCTAGCAGAAGGCAAGAAATAACTAAGATCAGAGCAGAACTGAAGGAAATAGAGACACAAAAAACCCTTCAAAAAATTAATGAATCCAGGAGCTCGTTTTTTGAAAAGATCAACAAAATTGATAGACCGCTAGCAAGACTAATAAAGAAGAAAAGAGAGAAGAATCAAATAGATGCAATAAAAAATGATAAAGGGGATATCACCACCGATCCCACAGAAATACAAACTACCATCAGAGAATACTATAAACACCTCTATGCAAATAAACTAGCAAATCTAGAAGAAATGGATAAATTCCTCGACACATACATCCTCCCAAGACTAAACCAGGAAGAAGTTGAATCTCTGAACAGACCAATAACAGGCTCTGAAATTGAGGCAATAATCAATAGCTTACCAACCAAAAAAAGTCCGGGACCAGATGGATTCACAGCCGAATTCTACCAGAGTTACAAAGAGGAGCTGGTACCATTCCTTCTGAAACTATTCCAATCAATAGAAAAAGAGGGAATCCTCCCTAACTCATTTTATGAGGCCAGCATCATCCTGATACCAAAGCCTGGCAGAGACACAACCAAAAAGGAGAAATTTAGACCAATATCCTTGATGAACATCGATGTAAAAATCCTCAATAAAATACTGGCAGACCAAATCCAGCAGCACATCAAAAAGCTTATCCACCATGATCAAGTGGGCTTCATCCCTGGGATGCAAGGCTGGTTCAACATATGTAAATCAATAAATGTAATCCAGCATATAAACAGAACCAAAGACAAAAACCACATGATTATCTCAATAGATGCAGAAAAGGCCTTTGACAAAATTCAACAACCTTCATGCTAAAAACTCTCAATAAATTAGGTATTGATGGGACGTATCTCAAAATAATAAGCGCTATCTATGACAAACCCACAGCCAATATCATACTGAATGGGCAAAAACTGGAAGCACTCCCTTTGAAAACTGGCACAAGACAGGGATGCCCTCTCTCACCGCTCCTATTCAACATAGTGTTGGAAGTTCTGGCCAGGGCAATCAGGCAGGAGAAGGAAATAAAGGGTATTCAATTAGGAAAAGAGAAAGTCAAATTGTCCCTGTTTGCAGATGACATGATTGTGTATCTAGAAAACCCCATCGTCTCAGCCCCAAATCTCCTCAAGCTGATAAGCAAGTTCAGCAAAGTCTCAGGATACAAAATCAATGTACAAAAATCACAAGCATTCTTATACACCAATAACAGACAAACAGAGAGCCAAATCATGAGTGAACTCCCATTCACAACTGCTTCAAAGAGAATAAAATACCTAGGAATCCAACTTACAAGGGATGTGAAGGACCTCTTCAAGGAGAACTACAAACCACTGCTCAATGAAATTAAAGAGGATACAAAGAAATGGAAGAACATTCCATGCTCATGGGTAGGAAGAATCAATATCGTGAAAATGGCCATACTGCCCAAGGTAATTTATAGATTCAATGCCATCCCCATCAAGCTACCAATGACTTTCTTCACAGAATTGGAAAAAACTACTTTAAAGTTCATATGGAACCAAAAAAGAGCCCGCCTTGCCAAGTCAATCCTAAGCCAAAAGAACAAAGCTGGAGGCATCACGCTACCTGACTTCAAACTATACTACAAGGCTACAGTAACCAAAACAGCATGGTACCGGTACCAAAACAGAGATATAGACCAATGGAACAGAACAGAGCCCTCAGAATTAATGCCACATATCTACAACTATCTGATCTTTGACAAACCTGAGAAAAACAAGCAATGGGGAAAGGATTCCCTATTTAAGAACTGGTGCTGGGAAAACTGGCTAGCCATATGTAGAAAGCTGAAACTGGATCCCTTCCTTACACCTTATACAAAAATTAATTCAAGATGGATTAAAGACTTAAATGTGAGACCTAAAACCATAAAAACCCTAGAAGAAAACCTAGGCATTACCATTCAGGACATAGGCATCGGCAAGGACTTCATGTCTAAAACACCAAAAGCAATGGCAGCAAAAGCCAAAATTGACAAATGGGATCTAATTAAACTAAAGAGCTTCTGCACAGCAAAAGAAACTACCATCAGAGTGAACAGGCAACCTACAAAATGGGAGAAAAGTTTTGCAATCTACTCATCTGACAAAGGGCTAATATCCAGAATCTACAATGAACACAAACAAATTTACAAGAAAAAAACAAACAACCCCATCAAAAAGTGGGCGAAGGTTATGAACAGACACTTCTCAAAAGAAGACATTTATGCAGCCAAAAAACACATGAAAAAATGCTCATCATCACTGGCCATCAGAGAAATGCAAATCAAAACCACTATGAGATACCATCTCACAGCAGTTAGAATGGCAATCATTAAAACATCAGGAAACAACAGGTGCTGGAGAGGATGTGGAGAAATAGGAACACTTTTACACTGTTGGTGGGACTGTAAACTAGTTCAACCATTGTGGAAGTCAGTGTGGCGATTCCTCAGGGATCTAGAACTAGAAATACCATTTGACCCAGCCATCCCATTACTGGGTATATACCCAAAGGATTATAAATCATGCTGGTATAAAGACACATGCACACATATGTTTATAGCAGCACTATTCACAATAGCAAAGACTTGGAACCAACCTAAATGTCCCACAATGATAGACTGGATTAAGAAAATGTGGCACATATACACCATGGAATACTATGTAGCCATAAAAAATGATGAGTTCATGTCCTTTGTAGGGACATGGATGAAACTGGAAACCATCATTCTCAGCAAACTATCGCAAGGACAAAAAACCAAACACCGCATGTTCTCACTCATAGGTGGGAATTGAACAATGAGAATGCATGGACACAGGAAGGGGAACATCACGCACCGGGGACTATTGTGGGGTGGGGGGATGGGGGAGGGATAGCATTAGGAGATATACCTAATGCTAAATGACAAGTTAATGGGCGCAGCACACCAATATGGCACATGTATACATATGTAACAAACCTGCACATTGTGCACATGTACCCTCAAACTTAAAGTATAATAATAATAAAATTTTTAAAAAATGAAAATAAAAAATAAAATAAAGTAGGCAAAAAAAAAAGATTAATGGTCCTTGAGAAGGATGTCAGCAAGATGGCAGAGTAGGAGATACCAGCCCTAATCCTCCTAAAAAAAAAAAATTAGACAGCTGTCCACAAGTGAAAATAGTCCTGGGAGGGCTCAAGGTTTCAAACAAGAACCTGCAGAAACACAGTGGAGCAAAAAATAAAGAATTGCCACACAGAAAGAATCGCTGGGGTGATAGACATACTTGAGACATCTGGAGATAGCTAGGAACAAAGAAGAAGGATAGGGGCTATCAATATCAGCCATATGGCAGGTGCCACCTTGGTCCCCAGTGGCCTGCTCTGCAGAGGACAATGGCAGCCTTCACCACTGAAGTAACCAAGAGCTATCGCCACTGAGAACTTCTGGGATAGGGAGACACTGCTGCATACTCCTACCAAGAAAAAGCCATGTTGTGCCACCCTGGAACTGGGGTCACCACTCCCCAACCCTGCCTGAACCTTAGACCCCAGAACTGCAGTTGGTCCATGCATACCCACACTCCAAACCCCAAATCCATGGCTGTACCATGCATGCCCGCATTCCAGACCCCAAATCCATGGCTGTACCATGCACACCTGAAGCTCAGACACAAGAGTCACCATGACTGTGGGCTAGCCTGGCCTCAGACCCTGGAGCCACTATCAGTCCATGTGTACCAGCATTCCAGACCCTGATTCTGTAGCTGCTGTATGAGCACCAGCACTGCAGATGCAATAGCAACAACTGTAGCACCATAGCAACCGCTTCCCTGATCTCTGAAGGAGTGGTAGCTCTGCACATGCCCACACTCCAGACCCTGGAGCCACAGTCAGTTCCACATGAGCACACACTCCAGACTCTGGCTCTGTGGCTGCTCTGTGGGCACAGAGCTTCAGATGCCAGTACCATGGGCTCCCATACCATGAGCCCACCATGAGCCAGGCTCAATGCCAAGAGGGATCCCCTCAGCCACAACTTTCCCAATGTGAGAAAAATATACCAAAAAATCTACAGCAGCCTTTAATGCTGGAGACCCCAATAACCCTCACTATAGCTGTGGATACCCACCACAGCCTTGGCCACTGAGGGTCTTTGGACTCTTTGCCAAACACAACTTCATCTGACAGAGCTGCATGAACACTATGCCACTCTACCTATATGGAGTGGAAACCCACCCAGCCAGTGCTCTCCTATTCACCCATTGGTGAAGTTCTTTCCCCACTGAAACTAGTCCGTAGTATCTGGAAGAGGTGACTGCTTCATCAAATGCACAGACATCAGTGCAAGGCAACAAGCTATGAAAAACTAAGGAAACATGTCACCACCAAAGAAACACAATAATTTTCCAGTAACCAACACCAAAGAAACAGAAATACACAAAGAATTCAAACTAATTGCTTTAGGAAAGTTCAGCAAGCTACAAGAAAACACTGACAGACAACGTCAAAAAAAATCAGGAAAACAATACATGAACAAAACTAGAAGTTCAACAGAGATTTTTAAAAAATAATTAAAAAGAACCAAATAGAAATTCAGGAGCTAAAGCATACAATGAAACAAAAAATAGGGTGGCCTCTGTGGCTCATGCCTGTAATCCCAGCACTTTGGGAGGCCAAGGCAGGCAGATCATGAGGTCAAGAAATGGAGACCATCCTGGCCAACATGGTGAAACCTCGTCTCTACTAAAAATACAAAAATTAGCTGGGTGTGATGGTGCACGCCTGTAGTACCAGCTACTCAGAAAGCTGAGACAGGAGAATTGCTTGAACCCGGGGGGCAGAGGTTGCAGTGAGCTGAGATCTCGCCACTGCACTCCAGCCTGGTGGCAGAGTGAGGTTCCGTCTCAAAAACAATGAATAAATTAATAAAAATAAAAAATAAAACAAACAGCATCAATAGCAGGCTTGATTGAGCAAAAGAAAGAAAAGACAGGGCATTTTAAAATGTTCATTCAGAGGATAAAAAAGAAAAAAGAACCAAAAGGAAAGAAGAAAGCCTGCAGAATGTATGAGACACCATAGAGAGCTAACATTGCACTATAGGAATTTTAGAAAGAGAAGAGACAGAGAAAAAAAAAGAAAGCTTATTTTAAAAAATAATGGATGAAAACTCCCCCTGAAGAAAAATATTAACATCCAGGTATACAAAGCTCAAAGGTCTCCAATAATGTCCAACCCAAAGAAGACTTCACCAAGGCATATTACAACCAAATTGTCAAACATCAAAGACAAACAGAATCTTGAAAACAGCAAGAGAAAAGAAATTCCTCACATATAAAGGATCCTCCATAAGGCTACTAGCAGACTTCTTAGCAGAAACTTTGCAGGCCAGGAAAAACTGGAATGATATTTTCAATTTAAGCCCTGAAAGAAAAAAAAAATCTGCCAACAAAGAATACTTTATCTAGCAAAACTATCCTTCAGAAATGAAGGAGAAATAGACTTTCCCAGACAAGCAAAAACTAAAGGAGTTCATCAACACTAGACATGCCTTACAAGAAATACTAAGGAAATTTTTCAAGCTGAAACAAAAGCATGCTAGTTAGTAGCATATGTTTATGAAATATATATAATATGTTTCATAAAAACATATAAAAGTATTAAATTAACTGGTAAAAGTAAATATTTAGTAAAATTTAGAATACTCAGATACTGTAATAGTGGTATGTAAATCATTTATGTCTCCAATATAAAAGTTAAAAGCAAAACTATTGAAAATTATTATAGTGACAATAATTTTCTATTTGACAGATTATGTAAAAAGAGTAAATTGTGACATAAAAAACATAAAATATGGAAAAGGGGAGTGAAAGTGTAGAGTTCTATCAATCAAAGTTGAGTTGTTATCGGCTTAAAATACAGTTATAACTATAAGGTATTATATGTCAGTCTCATGGTTACCACGAAGCTAAATCCAGTAGATACACAAAAGAGAAAAAAAAAGAAATCAAAACATACCAGTACAGGGAATCAAAGCATAACAGTGCAGAAAATCATCAAATCACAACAGAATACGATAAGAGAAGATGGAAGGAACAAAAGATCTATACAACTGCCAGAAAACAGTTTTTAATGGCAACAATAAGTTATTACCTATCAATAGTTACTTTTAAAGTAAATGAATTAAATTATCCAATCAAAAGACATAGAGTGGCTGAATTGTTAAATATATATATATAAAAAATACAATTATATGCTGCCTACAAAAGACTCACTTCAGCTTTAAGGACATACATACACTGAAAGTAAAGGAATGAAAAATGATACTTTATGCAAAGAAAACCAAAAGAGGGCAGAGGTAGCTATACTTACACAAACTTGACTAATTCAAAAACGAAAAAGAGACAAGGAAGGTCATTATATAATTATAAAGGAGTCAATTCATCAAGAGGACATAACAATTGGAAATATATATGCATTCAACATTGCAGCACCTAACTAGCTGAAGCAAATATTAATAGATAGGAAGGGAGAGATAAGCAGCAATACAATAATTGTAGGGAAGTACAGTATCCCATTTTCAACAATCAATGAATCATCTGGACAAAAAATCAATAAGGAAATACAGGATGTGAACAACACTATAGATAAAATGGATGGAACAGACATATACAAAGCGTTCCATCCAACAGCAGCAAAATGCACATTCTTCTAAAGTACACATGAATATTCTCCAGGATAGATTATTTGCTAGGCCACAAAACAAGTCCAAACATGTTTTAGATTTAAATTATATCAAGTATCTTTTCTGACCACAATTATATGAAACTAGAAATCATTAACAGGAGAAAACCTGGAAAATTCACCAATATGTGGAAATTAACATACTCCTGAACAACCAATGGGTCAAAGAAGAAATCAAAAGGGAAATTTAAAAGTATCCTGAGACAAATAAAAATGGAGACACAACATACTAAAACTTATGTGATCCAGCAAAACAGTTCTCCAGGCTTTTTTCCTAAAGAGGACTTGTAAAAAAATTAGATACTGGGTTTCACTATGTTGTGCAAGCTGTACTTGAACTCCTGGGCTCCAGCAACCCTCCTGTCTCAGTCTCCTGAGTAGCTGAGACTACAGACACATATCACCATGCCCCCAGCAAAAAAAGTTCTACAAAGGAAATTTATAGTGAAAATGCCTGCATTAAAAAGAGTAAAGATCTCAAACAACCTAATAATGTTATGCTCAATGAACTAAAAAAAAAAAAAGAACTAAGCCCAAAGTTAGTAGAAGGGAGAAAATAACAAAGATCACAGCAAAAATAAATAAAATAGAGAGTAAAAAACAACAGAAAAGATCAATGAAACTGAGAGTTTTTTAAAGATAAATAAAATTGACAAATCTTTAGCAAGACTAAGAAAAAATAGAGAAGACTCAAATAAAATCAGAAATGAAAGAGGTAGCATTGTAACTGATAGCACAGAAGTGCAAAGGATCATAAGAGACTACTATGAATGCTTATATATCTACAAATTGGATAACTTAGAAAAAAAGAGATCAGCTCCTAGAAATACACAAACTACCAAGACTGAATCATGGAGAAAGAGAAAATCTGAACAGAACAATAATGAGCAAGGAGACTGAATCAGTATTCAAAAATTTTCCATCAAAGAAAATCTCATTTTAATGTGTTATAACACTATAGGATGATGATAGTTAACAATAATACGTGTTTCAAATAGCTAGATAGAGGAGATTGAATGTTAGAGGATATTTAGCAAATAAATGAAAAATGTTTTAGATGATGGATATACTAATTACCCCCAATCTGATCACTATACATTATATGTATTGCAATATCACCATGTACCCCCAAATATGTACAATTATGTATCAATAATTTTTTTTTAATTTTTTTTGAGGCACAGTCTCGCTCTGTTGCCCAGGCTGGAGTGCAGTGGCGCTATCTCAGCTCACTGCAAGCTCTGCCTCCTGGGTTCACACCATTCTCCTGCCTCAGCCTCCCGAGTAGCTGGGACTACAGGCACCTGCCACCACACCTGGCTAATTTTTTGTATTTTTAGTAGAGACAGGGTTTCACCGTGTTAGCCAGGATGATCTCAATCTCCTGATCTCGTGATCTGCCTGCCTCGGCCTCCCAAAGTGGTGGGATTACAGGCGTAAGCCACTGTGCCTGGCCTTTTTTTAAAATTTTTAAGCAAAGAAAGAAAAGCCCAGGACCTGATGGCTTCACTGATTAATTCTACTAAACATTTAAAGAATTAATATCAACCTCTCTAACTCTGTCAAAAAACTGAAGAGCATGGAATACTTGCAGACTCATTTTGGAGACCAGATTACTCTAATACCAGATCCAGATATGGACACTAAAAATAATAATAAAATTACAGGTCAATATCCCTGAGGAAAATAGATGCAAAAGTTCTAAACAAAATACTAGCAAACTGAATTTAACAGCACACTAAAAGGATCATTCAAAATCACCAGGTGAGATGAAAGGATAATTCTATATATGCCAATCAAAATATGTGATATACTACATGAACAGAATGAAGAATGAAAATGATACAATCACCTCAATAGATACAGAAAAAGCACTTGACAAAATTCAAAATCCTTTCATGATAAGAATTCTCAACAAACTAGTTATAGAAGCAATGTACCTCAACACAATAAAGATCATATAAGACAAGCCCATAGCTAACGTTATATTCAATAATAAAAAGTTGGAAGCTTTTCCTCTAAGATCAGGAACATAACAAGAATGCACACTCTTGCCATTTCTACTCAGTGTAGTGCTAGAACTCCTAGCCAGAGCAATTAGGCAAGAAAAAGGAATAAAAGACCCAAATTGGAAAGGAAAAAGTAAAACTGTCTCTGTTTACATATGGCACGATCTTTTATATATATAAAACCCTAAAGACTCCACCAAAAAACAATTTAAATAAATGAATTCAGTAAACTTGCAAAGTATAAAACCAACGTACTAAAACCAGTTGCATTTCAATACATTAAAAACAAACAATCCAAAAAAGAAATTAAGGAAATAGTCTCACTTATAATAGCGTCAAAAAATTAAATTCCTGGGAAAAAAAATTTAAACAAGCACGTGACAGATCTGTACATGAAAACTATAAAGAAAAACATTGAGGAAAGAAATTGAAGAAGACACAAAGAAATGGAAAGGTATTCTATGTTTGTAGATTGGAAGAATCAATATTGTCAAAAAGTCCATACTACCCAAAGCAATCTACAGATCAAAATTTCTGCGGTGTTTTGCACAGAAACAGAAAACCAATCATGAAGTTCATTTGGAACTAACAAAAGACACTTAATAGCTAAAGCAATTTGAGGCATCATACTTCCTTATTTTAAATTATATTACAAATCTATAGTAATCAAAACAATATGATACTAACATAAACCAATGGGACAGAAATAAACCCATTCACACCCAGTGTTCTAATCTTTGACAAAGGTACCATGAATACACAACAGGGAAAGGATAGTCTCTTCAATAAATAGTGTTGGGAAACTGAATATTCACATGCCAAAAAAAGGGAAATTGGGTCCTTATACTATACACAAAAATCAACTTGAAATGAATTAAAGATTTAAACATAATACCTAAAACTACAAAACTTCTAGAAGAAAACAAAAGTGAAAAAAGCTTCATGATATTGGTCTTGGCAATGATATTTTTGGATATGACACCAAAAGTACAAACAACAAAAGCAAAAATAAACACAGGAGACTACATCAAACTACAATATTTCTGCACAGCAAAGGAAACCATCAACCAAATGAGAAGCACCTCATGAAATGGGAGAAAATACTTGCAGACTGTATATCCAATAAGGGCTTAATATCCAAAATACATAAGGAACTCACAACTCAAGAGCAAAAATAAGTAAATAAACAAACCAATTTTTAAAAGGGCAAAGGATCCAAATGGACATTTTTCAAAGAGGATATACAAACAGCCAACAAATATATGAAAAAATGTTCGACATCACCACTCATCAGGGAAATGCAAGTTAAAACTATATCACCTCACACCCATTAAAATAGCTATTATCAAAGAAGAGATATCTGCACTACCATCTTTATTGCAGCACTATTCATAATAGCCAAGATTTGGAAGCAACCTAACAGATGAATGAATAAAGAAAACATGGTACATATGCACAGTGGAGTACTATTCAGCCATAAAAAAGAATGTGATCCTATCATTTGCAACAACATGGATGAAACTGGAGGTCATTAGGCTAAGTGAAATAAGCCAGGCACCAAAAGACAAACATCGCATGATCTCACTTATTTGTAGGATCTAAAAATCAAAACAACTGATGTCACTCATGAAGACAGAAGATAGAAGGATGGTTACCAGAGGCTGAGAAGGGTAGTGGGAAGTGGGAAAGAGGTGGGTATGGTTAAAGGGTACAAAAAATATAGGAAGAATGAATAAGACCTAGTACTTGATAGCACAAGATGGTGACTATCGTCAGTAATAATTTAATTGTATATTTTTAAATAAAAGTGTAATTGGATTGTTTGTAACACAAAGGGGATACAAACTATACAACTTGGTAAATACTTGAGGGGATGGATACTCCATTTTTCATAATGTAACTATTATGCATGGCATGCCTGTATCAGAACATCTCATGTACCCCACAAACGTATATACCTACTACATATCCACAAAAATGAAAAATAAAAAAAAAAAATATAATAAAAAGAAGAGCTATTATCAAAAAGTCAAAAGATAACAAGTATTGGTGATGATATAGAGAAAAGAGAACCCCTGTGCACTGTTCGTGAGAATGTAAATTGGTGCAGCCACTATGGAAAACAGTAAGAATGTTCCTCAAAAAATTAAAAATAGTACTATCATATAATCCACCAATTTCACTTCTGGGTATGATATCCAAAGCAAATGAAATAGTATGTCGAGGGGATAACTGCACTCCCATATTTGCTGCAGCATTATAAGATATGGAAACAACCTAATTGTTCGTCAATGAATGGATGAATACAGAAATTGCTATATATATATATATATATATTCTGTATTCATCCATACATACATATACATATACATACATATGTGTATACATACATATGCACACATACATATACATGTATATATAATATATATATTATAAACAAAATACGATTCAGCCTTTCAAAAGAAGTAAATCTTGCCATTTGTGACAATATGTATAAACCTGGAGGACATTATGCTAAGTGAAATAAGCCAAACACAGAAAGACAAATATTGCATGATCTCACTTATATGTGGAATCTAAAAAAGTTGACCCATAGAGGCAGAGAATAGAATGGTTGTTACCAAGGGTTGCAGGGTAAGGGAAATGTTTGTCAAAGGGTAGAAAGTTGCAGTTATGAGCTGAGTAACTTCTGGATACCTAATGTACAGCATGGCGACTATAGTTAATAATACTGTATTAAATACTTGAAATTCCCTAAGGCAGTAGATCTTAAGTATATGAATATGTCAATTAGCTTCATTATGAATATCATTTCACAGTATATATGTATATCAAAACATTATATTGTACACCTTGAATATATATTTTTGTCAATTATATTTCAATAAAACTTTTCTTTAAAAAAAAAAGGTCATGTGTGGTGGCTCATGCTTGTAATTCCAGAACTTTGGGTGGCCGAGGCAGGCAGATCACCTGAGGTCGGGAGTTCGAGACCAGCCTGACCAATATGGAGAAACCCCGTCTCTACTAAAAATACAAAATTAGCTGGGCGTGGGGCACATGCCTGTACTCAGGAGGCTGAGGCAGGAGAATCACTTGAACCCACGAGGCAGATGGAGGTTGTGGTGAGCCGAGATTGCACCATTGCACTCCAGCCTGGGTAACAAGAGTGAAACTCCATCTCAAAAAAAAAAAAAAAGAATGGTCCCCTATAACCTTGAAGCCAACCCAAGGTTTTCCAAGGTTTTCACTCTTTCCTCCCCTGCCCTCCTCAAAGATACTATCTAAAGTCCCAACTTAACAGTGATATGAGAACTCAATGATATCATAATAACATTTGTGTATCACTTTACTTTTCCATATGTTTTATTAAACTAGGTGTATAATATATGAGTGATGATACTTACAATTTACGATATGGAAACTAGTTCAGAGGCTCAAAAAGATTACCTCAAAGTCACTGGGCTAGCAAAGGCAGGACTCACATTCTGGTCTTCTGGCTCCAAGTCTGTGCTCTTTGCACTAAAGGGTGCTTTGCTTTCATCACAGAAACCTCAAATAATGTGTACTTAAGTGAGTGAAATATTGTACCTATTTTAATAGATATTCAGTGTTACGGGCATATGCCAAAGGTAAAGTTTCTTGCTACCCCAGAATTTGACAAGTCAAAGCCAGGATCCTCAAATCTACATAATATAATATTTTCACATTTAAGACAGAAAAAGCTTTCATACATTTATTGAGACACAGATGCAGCACTGGTAGCATTTAAATTATAGTGCTGTGCTCCGATGTGCCCCGATCCCATCGTTGTTTTCGTTCATTTTAAAAATGAGCACGACATTCCTGAAGATTTCTTACACATCTTTTTACAACTAGTTACGAATTCAAATCAGGTGGCAATCCCAGGATCCAGCTGTTGCTTCTCAGCTCACAAAAATCTCCGCAAACCTCCCAGAGTGCTAAATTACTACCTCAGTCCTCTTCGTTTAACCTCAAACTGGGTCACCCTCTAATCAAGAAAAATTAATGACTAGCAACATATTTTTCTTTTCCTCTTAATTAGAGTAATTCCACCCTGGCAGTAACTCTCAGACTGAACTATGCTAATAACGAAGTTTTAATTCAGAAAAAAAGCAACAAGCAATCAAAAGTAACTAAGCCATCCCATTCCTGGTTGACTGCTAGTCATGAGTTCAGGCCAGTGTCCAGTTTACCATGAAGCTAATGAGGCTCCAGCTTCAGGGCCCCAAGAAATAAGTTCACATGATCATAGGTTTTTGTAAGTTTTTTAGCAGCAAGACATTTTAACCACAATTGGTTATGACTCACCTCTCTTTCCATTGTAACTTTTCCTCCAGCTTACTTCCCCTCAGACTGCAGAGTACTGGAGTGGCTGCTAGAATTTTGGGAATCTAGATAAGGATTCATTTTTAGTTTGAGTTTGGAGGGCTATATGTATGCAATCTGTAGTCACTTTCGTGTATAGGTAAGTTAGCGCTGGCTGTCCTGGTACAGAAATGGTTTTCATGAATACACCTGCTACTCACTGGGACCACTCACCCATGCGGCAAAACTGGGGGCAGAGGGCAGAAGTCACACTGCATTAGACTGCACATACTGGGCAAAGTGCTTAACCTCTTGGAGCCTCAGTTGTCCACCTTTAAAATGAGGATAATGTCAGCACCTATCTCAAAGGTTGTGAGTTATTAAAATAGATTATTATTATTACTATTACTATTATTAAGACTAACATGACTTACTGTGTATCAGGCACAGTGTTACTTGCTTAACATACACAATCTCAATTAATCCCAGGTTTAGAGAAATGAAGTAATTTACCAAAGGTGACACAGCTTATAAACTGGGGAGCCACGAGATAAATATGGGCATCCTTTAACCCACGATGCTACTTATTTGCGGGCTAAATCTAGACACTCAATGTCATCATTAAACTGGGTCAAGCCAAGGCCAAGTGCTCACTGGAGATTGATGGCAATCAAGGTCAGGCTGGGAGCCATGTAAGACACACAGAAAGTCTAGGGTGTAGTCCAAGGATCAGGACAGGTATCATAAGCTGCAGGGAAACATTAGCAAAAACAACTAGTGCCAAGCACATTGTTAGGCATGTTACCTATGTGTAATTGGTATCATTTTATACTTATTAAACCACCAAAAGAAGTTTGAAAATAAAATAATAACATCCAATGCTGGCAATATTTTGCCAGCCTGCTACATTCATTTATTCATGTCAGGTATATAAATTGCTACACTCTGCTGGAAAGCAATTTGACAATATATATATGGATCCATGAAGATATTCATACCCTTTGACACATTAATCCCGCTGTTGGAAATGTATCCTAAAGAAACCTTTGAAAGGAAGCAAAAAAATCTATTTATACAAAGACGCTCACTACAATGTTATTTGTGATACTGAAACTCTGAAAACCTCCACAGTGACCAAAAGGAGAATTGATAGGTAAGTGATGGCACATGACCTTGATGGATGATATGGGTTCACTGAAATGATTCATGGGGGTCTATGTGAGAACATGAACAAGCACATCCTATTATGTGAAAAAGAACTCAATGGCAATTACATTATTTTTGTCACTATGGATCTGTGTGGATAATAGCAGGAAATAAAACCAAACAACTGTCCTAGGGAGAGGTATTGTGGGAGATCTGCTTCTCCTTACACTTTATAATGTTCTTATTGTGACGATTAATGAATGTTGGGGTGCTATGGTTTGAATGTGTCCTCCAAAACTCATGTTGAAATGTAATGGCCATTGTGACAGTATTCAAAAATAGGACCTTTAAGAGGCGATTAGGTCATAAGAGCTCCACCTTCACAAATGGATTAATGCCATTTTTGAGGGAGTGGGTTAGTTATCTCAGGAGTGGGGTCCTGATAAAAAAGATGAGTTTTGCCTGATTTCCTCTCCTGATCTCATATGTTCACCAGGTGATGTCTTCCTCCAGGTTATGATGCAGCAAGAAAGCCCTTACAAGAAGCAGCCCCTCATTCTTGGACTTCCCAGCCTCCAGAACCTTAAGCTAAATAAGCTTCTATTGTTTATAAATTACCCAGTCTCATGTATTCAGTTATAACAGCAGAAAACTAAGATGTGGGGGAAAACAGAAAAATAACAAATAAAAGCCAGCTTGGGTGAGAGGAACAGTCCAGTGGATAAACGGCAGGACTGGCCCAGGACTAGAGACAATCCCAGCAAAGAGCTCAACTTGGTCCACCAGCCAGACCAGGACTCTGACCTTCTACCCTCCCAATCAGTAACACTTCTGGACAGAGCAGCACCCTCAGTTGCCCTGGGTTTGTTTCCTTCATTGTACTATTATACTTCAATGTGCTATTGCCTTTATCAGCCAAACTCACAGGGTTATTGAGAGGGTCCATTTAGATAATGTTGCACTTCACTTAAGAACATTTTCTGATAGTAATCCAAAGATATTTTTTGCAGAGTCAATGGTACAGCTTAGTCCTTCCATTCCAGATTTTGGGGTAGAACAGGTTTAATGACTGGCACCTAAGTCTCTACCTCTCAGTGTTCATATGTAATGATCTGGCCACTTCATATACTGTTGCAAGCCACAGGCTCAAATTAATTTACTTATTATGGGAGATGTCTTCTCTGCTCTTTCTTGTATACCTTTCCTGGCACACTGGCCACCCATCCTCTTCAGAATCCAACTCTGAACCACTCAGGAACACCATCACTGTGAGCTGAACCTCCAAACCAGAGCATCATCTCTTCTTGGTGTTGTTTCCTCTCTGGTCCACAAAGCTAGTGGTGGAATGAAGCGTTTGAGCAAAATGGCCTTCCCAAGTTGCTGCCTAGCAGACTCCAGTCATCTTCAAGGTTCAACTCAACCATCATCCTATAGCACTCTTTCTCAACCTTGACATTCATGACATTTGGGACCATGTAAGTTTTTCTTGTAGGAGGCTGCGCACGCATTTCAGGTTATTGAGCAGCATCCCTGGCCTCTAGATGCCAGTAACAAATTCGATTCCCCTAGTTGAAATAACCAAAAATGTCTCCAGACATTGCCAAATATCCTTTAAAAGCCAAAATCCCTCCCCTACCGGCCTCATCTCCACCACCCCAACCAGCAGAAGGATTTCCTCTTCTACCTTTTCATTCCTAGAGTATATATAACTAATATTTAAGTATCTCCCTTATAGCCCTTGTCATTTCATTCTATGATTAATTCTCTGCCTGTGTGTCACTGAAGGCAAACCTTAGTTTCCCCAAGGTAGATGCTGTATCTTGAACAGCATTACACACCCCATGCATAGCACAGGGCATGGCACAGAGGAGGTGCTCAGCACATCCTGTGAAGTTAAACCATGACTCCATGCATCTCAGGAACTTGCGGTGACAAACAAACATGATCCCAATCCAGGGCTGTAACACTTTCTTCTTTCCCAAACTGGGGTGGAAAGGAGAACTGGATGGTGTGTTTATTTACTGGAGAGGGAAAATACTACATTTTATACTAATAGAGATATTCAAGAAAGTCTGGGCTTGTGATGGCAATTATTTTCAATAAATTCTGACTTTGAGACCTTGCTAAACCATACCCACAGGGACTAAACTGCCTAATTCCAAGAGAAAAAAAAAACAAGAAGGAATAATCCCAAAGCCTCCAGGCATTGATTTATAGATGGTGAGACTCCCTAAATCTCATCTGACATTATTTACAATAAGATCTCCTGTGAGTCCCCAGTTGATAGACTGACAAGCAAAAACTTGCTTAACCCAGGACATGAGGGATTTGGGTGAGCCATGGGTGAAAGGCCACCGTAATCAGGACATGAGGCACAGAGCCCAGAACCAGATTCCAAGAAGATGGATGCCGAGTTGTGTCAAAAGCTCTTGAGAAGAAAAAGCATTATCCTCCAGCAAATTCTATGTAAATAACCTTGACATAGAGCAACTCTGAATGAAACTGACCTTCTAATAGATAAATAAGACTTTGAGGAATTTTCTTAATTTTAAATGAGCTTAGAGAGTTTGTAGGCAATATCTCTGTCCCACCATGGCTGGATTAATGGGTGTGCATGCACGCATGTGTGTGCACATGGGCCACACCCCTTTTTCTTGGTGGTGGGGTGGCTTGCCCCACCTTCATATATGGGACTCAAGGAAAAGGAATAGGTGGTTTTAGTGAGACCAGAGCCAGCAATGGGGTTAGAAAGCCCTGCTTCCTCAGGGTTCTCTACAGGCTTGAGGCCTACACCCCCTTCCACCAAGCTCTGGGATGGCAGAATGGCCCCAGGGGGAGCCCCTCCAGCCTCAGTGTCCTGCACAGACCTGTTGGCCCCAAAGCTTCTTGGCTCTTTTCTCCTACAGAATCACAGTCAGCCTACATTGAAAAAAAGCTGGCATTTGGGAACCTGGGCTATACTTGAAGAACTCCTGGGAGACTACCCCAAGTTCAACCTGCCTGTAAAGATGAGAGCAAGTGCCCTCGGCCACCAAAAAAAAGTCTTCCCCAACTCCACTGGGCCTGGAAATCTCTTCAGATGAGACACAGCCTTTCGTCCCCCTATGAGAGCCAAGACTCAGGTGGTCAATCCACCAAGGAGATGTCATAAACCTCCCTCAGACCATTCACTGTGAAGCGTAAACCACTCCTCACTGAGATTGTCTTCTGCTTCTTCCCACGCTGCCTTCTCTCAAAGACAGAACCTTCTTATCCTTCAGGCTGGAGGTTAAATGCCACCGGCTCAGAGAGGCCTGTGAATCTTGATCACAGCTACTTGTGCATGTCCTTCATACCCCTCTGTGCTGGGCCACACTCTGGGTGTAAGTATCTACTCTCCCCTCAACTCTAAACTCCTTGAGGAAAGAGATTACATTCATCTTGCTCACCCATCCTTCACCTATGCCCAGCATGGTGCCTGGGGCATAATAGGTTCTTCATGAATGTTGTTAATTTCATGAAAAAACAATAAAGATTCTTCTCCAGAGAAGATGCTGACAACTGGGTAGGAGAAGATAGGACTGTGTGGTATGCCAATGCCAGGCCTATGGGGCACAGTCCTCCCAGTTTCGTGCCAACATGAGTAAATAATTGGGTGTGCTAACAGACCAAACATCATTATGTAATCACAATGCTACCTGGCATATGTGCCTTCTATTAATACTTACAGCATAACCTATGACTAATGCAAGAATATGGCACTCTTCACATAGCATGGGTACCCAGAGTCATAATAATAAATCCCGGGTAACATAGTTTGCTAAAGAAAGTTTTTGCAAGGCTAGAATTTCATAGAAATGTTGATGAGAGCCCAGGAATCTGGGAAAGCCCAGCTTCAGAGCTTCTGCCAGCTTGTGGCATCTCCACGTGGATAGGCTGGTAACCCTCATCACCATCTGATTACCTCTCTTATGGTGGAACCCAACCTGATGTCAGCCCGTCTCTTTTGCTTTATCCTTTAAGCTCAAGGCTGTAAAGTATAATTTGCACAAAGGATATCTAAGTGTCTTTTTTTTTTTTTTTTTTTTTTTTGAGACAGAGTCTCACTCTGTCACCCAGGCTAGAATGTAATGGCACAATCTTGGCTCACTGCAACCTCCACCTCCCAGGTTCAAGCAATTCTCCTGCCTCAGCCTCCCAATTAGCTGGGACAACAGGCGTGCACCATCATGGCTGGCTAATTTTTGTATTTTTAGTAGAGAAGGAGTTTTACCACGTTGGACAGGCTGGTTTCAAACTTCTGACCTCAAGTGATGCGCCCGCTTCTGCCTCCCAAAGTGCTGGGAATACAGGTGTGAGCCACCGTGCCTGGTCTAAGTGTCCATTCTTAAAGCCAGACCTCCGTGAGACTGACCCAGTGGGATGGGAAGAAGGGAAGAAAACATGAAAGATTAAAGGAAAAAAAGGCATCAATTGATTATTAAAAGGGTTAGAAAACAAACTCATTAAATCAGCTTGTTACCTGTACCCCCAGCTGCCCTGGGGAGCTAAAGAACTCAAAAAAAAAAAGGAACTTTGTGTTTACATCCTACTTCCCTGCTTCATTCCCACATGCATGGATTAATATGCAGGAGGACTGGTCTTCTGAAACATGTGTAAAACCACAGTGCAACCTGGAAATTGAAGAATGGGGCTCAATGAATCTATTTGAGACAAGCTCTGAATCAGACTCATGTCTCTAAGCCCAAATACTGGATCTGCAGTGACCAGTGGACACCCCAACAGAGGACATGTTAAATCATCCAGCTATCAACAAGCTACCTAATTTAGCAGCCAGTTAGAACATGGTAATAACCATGCCTCCGATGTGAGAACTATTCCAAATAAATCTATGGGCCCACAGAATATTAAGATTCAACAGGTTTCATTAATTTCCTGAAGCGTGCTTGTTTGTAAAAAGCTGGATGGAAATTCTGTTTGGGTAATAATCTCTTTGAATCCTTAAATCCCACTTTTAGTTATCAGTCTCCAACAAATGAAGGAAGAAAGTGAAATTACTCAACTTCAAACCCCAAATATTTTGGCAACTTTGAGCCAACTAAAGGCTTCAGATGGGATTCTCTTTTGTCTTTCTCCAAATCTCCAAATTCCATGGAAGGTTTCTGGTTGATAAATTAATATGGCACCAACTCCATGTAGCACAACCCAGCAGTATCTTGGCCAAGAATTTTTAAAAACAATAACGTCAGACTCTATTAAAGAATCTAGGAATTATTTTTCTTTACTTACTTTTTCTCTTTAACATGGCATTGCTATACAACATTCCTCAGATGGCTTTAACCAACTGCAAATAACTGAAAAGCATTTTAAATCTTATTTAAAGAGCTGCTGTTCTTATTGAAAATGCAAGCAAGTGACCTCTGAATTTAACCCATTACATCTGAGCCTTCCCAGCCCCAAGTATTTGTGAAATGCCACAAAAAATATAAACAAGAAAACGTCTAGGCAAAAACATGGGGAAACCAGTGAGGAAACTTTGGGGAGCTTTGTTGAAAATGTATATTCTCTCTATCCAGACCTCAACACAAAACACTATTGGCAAAGTAAAGTAACATTTTATTATGACCTGAGATTTTCACGCTAAACTCCTCATGTTGAGTGCATCATTTTCCCAAATTAATTAGTCCTAAGTAAGCCTTCAATCAAAGCAGCATAAAGCGGATTCTCTCTATCCCCCTAAAATCCTAAATCAAGGCTCAGATTTTAACTTATTGATGCAAAGGTTTGCAAAAAGGCAACTTTAAGCACCTATTCTGCATAACAAACCCCCCAAAACTTAGTGGCTTAAAACAACCAGTAAGATCTTTTGCTCATGATCTTGTGGATCATGAATTGGGGAAAGGATCAGCTCAAGACTTTTCATCAGTTGCAGTCAGATGGTAGCTGGGGCTGCAGTCATCAGAAGGCCCAACTGGGCTGGATATCTAAGATGGTGTACTCCCATGGCTGGCAGTTGGTGCTGGCTGTTGGCTGGGAGCTCAGCTGGGGCCATTGCCTGCAGCAAGCACCTACACATGGCCCCTCTATGTGGTTTGGATTTCTCACAGCATGGTAGCTGGGTTCTGAAATGAAGCTTCCCAAGAGTAAGTGTTTCACGAAACAAAAGCAGAAGATATACAGCCTCTTCTTACCTAACCTCAGAAGTCATGTTTGCCACTTTCACTGCAATCTGATGGCTACAAATGGGTCGCTGAAGCCACTGAGATTCAAGGGGAGAGGAATGTGTCCATGTCTCAATTTGAGAAGCATCAAAGAGTTTGTGGCAAGCTTTTAAATCTGCTACAGTGCTATCAGAAGTGATTGCACCAATGCTGAGGACAGAGCTGGCCTGGGTTGCATCTTTCTTAGTCAATGCCACCCTTCCTCCTGTGTACTATCTAAAAATCTCCTGGCCATGTCTGGGAACCAGGCAACAGTTCCTTTCTTCTACAATTCAATCGCATATATCCCTGATCCCCTCCCTGGACCCAGCTCAAGGAGGAATGTACCAGGTAGCACCACAGTGTACAGTTGTAAAGGTTGTACACTGCACAAAGGCAACCAGCCAAGTTGTGTGCCCTTGTCTAGTCATGCACCTGGCTCAGAGCAACATCCATGCAGAGAGGTTGTTTTGCCTAATTTGTACCAAGGTACTACAAAGGCTAGCAATCCAGGGTGCTCAGCTCTCTCTCAGAGATTTCCACCATCCATTGCCATCTACTTTCTAGTTTCTCATGTTCCTATGAAACTTATTGCTGTGTGAATGATAAGAGGGAGGGCAGGGAGCATGTAGTCACTGCATTGCAGTAGATAGTGATGCCACTAGAATGCACAAATTTCTGAGGAGTACAGATGGGAAGATGCCTCTGACTGAGGAGGTATAAAAAAGGGGGCATTCTTGCAAAGTTGACCTACAAACAGGCAAAGAAAAGATGCACAGTCTTTGAGTTAGAGAAGAGGGGGATGGGGGAGTCATTCCAAGCAAACAGACTAAAAGTATAAAAGGATAAAAGGGAAGATATAAGTAGATAATAGTACAGCAATGCCTTTGACTGAAGCACAGATAGGCACAGAAAAGAGGGGGATATTAGTCAAGAGATAAATTAGATGGGCCCCAAGCTTCTATGGACAAGGGCTCTCCTCCTATAATAGCACCTGCCAGTGCCTCACCCAGATCCCCTCAGATGTCATGTAGGTTCTGTGTGCTCCTCCCCAGCTCCCATGTGCTTTGGTTGGCTGCCCCTGCAGGTGACAGCCCATGGGTTTCTAGTGCTATTTTGATCACAACATTTGGAGACCCAGAAGTACCTGGGAGCTTACAGGGGGTTACTCATAGCCAACACCAGATTAGTGAAGGAATATGAAAGCCCAGAACCTTCACCTTAGTTGGTACAAACTCTGTGGGGTGATTTATGCTGCAGATCACTTCACAGATGAGGCTGAGGCTAGAAACATCACCTGAAATCTCACCCTGCTTAGCTTCCTGCTTGTTCTCCCTTGTCCTGCTTCCCACTCCCTTTGTTATCTCCCCTGAGAGCCCACCCTTCATTATCACTACACACAAACCCTCATCTCAGGACTAGGAGCAGGACCTGAGCTGTGAGGAATGTGCCCATGTTCATTTCTGGTTTGACTTTAGCCTAATAAGGCCTAAGTAACCTCAAACCATAATTAGCATAAGACTGACTCTACTATCCCTCCATCTTAGCCCATTGGGGCTGCTACAATAAAATAGCTGAGACTGGGTAATTCATAAATAACAGAAATTTATTTCTTATAGTTCTGGAGGCTGGAAAGTTCAATATCAAGGCACTTGCGGATTCAGTGTTTGGTGAGGAACCTCAGTGAAAATTGGTGCTTCGTTGCTGTGTCCTTGTGTGGCAGAAGGGGGAAGACAGCTCCCTTCAACATCTTTATAAGGGCACTAATCCCACTTATGAGAACAGAACCCTCATGACATAATCACTTCCCAAAAGGCCCCACCTCTTAATTCTATCACATTGGGTATTAGGTTCCAAAACGTGAATTTTGGAAGGACACCAACATTCAGACCATGGCACCCTCCTACCTCCACCCTGCCCCACCACCCCCTCCCAAAAAAAAGAAAAAAAGATTTACCTCAGCAGAAACATTTGCTCCTATACCATTATGGCACATTGAAAGAACTAGAATAGCTTTTCAAGGTTGGCATCCTCTTCATTCCAGGGTTCCATAGAACCTTAAAAGTCACAGAGAAAAGAAGACACCAGTTACCATGCTTTGCCTTAAGCAAGTGTAATAGTCAAAAACGTTTAACAATAGCCTGGCATAGGCACTAAAATTAGAATAGACAACAGCTATAAACAATCAGTATCTTATGGTTCTCTAATTGTTCTTGATCAAAGATGTCCATTTATAACCTGAAGTTTCCCAGAGCTCAAAGACAACATCTTAAACTTCCTTATCACTTCCCAAGTGCCAAGTTAAAATAATATCCCAGGTCTGTCATTTACTATCTGGGTGCCCTCGGGTAAGTTACTTAAGCTTCTAAGCCTTTGTTGCTTCTCGTGTAAAGTAAAAAAATAATAGCACCCTTCGTAGGGTTGTTAGGAGGAAAAAAATGAGATAATGCATATAAACATTATAGGGGTAAGCTAAAGGGATACAAAAATGAACCCTAAAGGTAGAACACCTCAAACAAAATATTTCCTGTTTGCATGATAGGCCCAGGAATGTGAACCTGGTTGACGTTGTCCTTACTCTACATGGTGATTCAAGGGCCCATTCCCACTCCATCTTGTGTCTCTAGGGCCTTTCTTCAATCAGCAAAAAAAAAAAAGAGAGAGTGGGGAAAAATCAGAGGATACACATCCATTCTTTTGAAGGCCTCACCTGGAAGTGGCATACATCACTTTCCCTCACATTGTCATGGAGAGGACACGCCATACCTCACTGCAAGAGAGTCTGAGAAATGTATAATAGTTTAGCCTTGTGTCTGGTTACAATCACATTACTCTAGGGGAAGCAGGGACTAGATTCTCATAGAGAGCTTCCATTATCTGCCCTAGTACTCAATAAACACAAACTATTGTGGCTATTTTTTCTTGTTAGATAGCCAGTGGGTACTTGCTGGATGCTTGAAGGATTCAGTGGAAATAAGAAAGAATAAAGAAAGAAAATGGATGTTGCAGGGCAGAAACAACAAGAAACGAGAATGAGTGACAATGGAGAGCGCTGTGTAAAGGGAGGTACACACAGTGCCAGAGTTAGAGGGGGCAACCCATGTCCGCCGTGAGGAAACACTACAGCCAGACCCTTCCTGGGACTTCTCATCAGCATCTCACACAAGCTGAGTCCACTGAGAGTCACCGCACCAGACGGTCTGAGAGTCCCCTTGTGATTGCCACGCTCAGAAAATCCTCTCTTGCCTTAAACAACGTAAAGGTTGTTTTAAGTATTCTATCTGAACTAATTTGAATTCTCAGCTTTAAGTGGGTTAAGGGCCAGAAGAAAAAGCCTGCCACTCTAACAGCATCTGAGGAGTGTACTAAATTCTCGTTGATGGTAATTAGCATCCCGCTTCTTTACTCTGCCCATACAGTATTTCCAAATCAATTGCTCAGCGTTAGTGATTCTGCTGGGATTGATTTAATAGTCTAATATGAAGTCTCAGCCCTTCTGTATAGGTTAATTACATGTGGTCTTATACATTCTAATTTAAAATACTGCCTTTGCAATTATCATCAGCATTAAAACAGAGCGCTAGTAATGATGATGGGCTTGAATTTTTTTTCCAGAAGTAATGAATTGAAAAACCAAAATGACTTTTAATTTTTTTGGTACTTACCATCTCAATCTCTCTTCTCTTCTATGGAAAATATAAATCAGGGTCTCCTCCGTATTTCAGACTTTTATGAAAACAGGCAAGATGGCCTTAAAGAAAACAGAAGCCTTTGATTTTGGAACAGCCAAGACTTGACTATCTGGTCAAGGGCTACCTGGGAAGGGCTGCCTTCCCCTACCCTAATCTCCCAGTTATGGATGTATTTACATGTAATTATATGATGTTTCCTATGAGGCAAAAATTGCCCCAGAGCTTTAAAAACAGCAACAATTGGCCAAGCACAGCAGCTCACGCCTGTAATCCCAGCACTTTGGGAGGCTGAGATGGGCAGATCACGAGGTCAAGAGATTAAGACCATCCTGGCCACCATGGTGAAATCCCGTCTGTACTAAAAATACAAAAATTAGCTGGGTGTGGTGGTAGGTGCCTGTAATGCCAGCTACTCGGGAGGCTGAGGCAGGAGAATCACTTGAACCCGGGAGGTGGAGGTTGCAGTGAGCCAAGATCACGCCACTGCACTCCAGCCTGGCAACAGAGTGAGACTCCGTTTCAACAAAAAAAAAAAGCAACAACCACACAGGTACTATATGAGTTTTCTAGGCTGTGTAACAAATTACCCTGACATATAGTCACTTAGAACAGCAAAGATTTACCAGTTCACAGTTTCTGTGGGTCAGGAATTTGGGAAAGGCTTAGTTGGTGATTCTGGCATAGGTTCTCTCATGAGGAGACAGTCAAACTACTGGCCAGGGCTGCAGTCCTAAGGTGCTAGAGGATCCACTTCCAAGCTCACTTAGGTGGCTGTTAGCGGGGCCCCAGTTTCTCACCATAGGGACCTCTCTCTAGGCTGCCTCGCCACACATGACATCTGGCTTCCCTTAAAGCAAGTGATCAGAAAGAGAGAGAGAGGGAAAAAAAAGATAAAGGACAGAAAGACAAAGAAGAAAGAAAGAGAACAAAATTGAAGATGCAATATCTTTTATAACCTAATATCAGAAGTGGCACACCACCACTTCTGCTGTGTTCTACGGGTCACACAAAAATACCTGGTACTACATAGCAGGGAACAACACGTGGGTGTGAATACCAGTAGGTGGACTGTGGCAAGCCAGGCTGGCTATGAATTGGTGTTATTATTGTTCCTGATTTACAGATGAGGCACAGACAGGTGAAGTCACTTGCCCAAAGTCGCTGTTAATAAATGGCAGAGCCAAGATCTGAATCTCGTTGGTCATTTTGGCTTCAAAAACCAAGCTCTTAACAACTACTCACACACAGAGAAAGGTGTCCATTCATGTAATTTAACACGTGGTTCAAAAGCAGTGTATAAGCCAGCCAATAGTGTTCATTCTAAATGAATAGCTGATGGGAAACTTGCTGAGGATAAAATCTCTAAACTACTCAGCATCATCACAAAATACTCCTCAGCGTCTCCTAGCCTCTGTTGTTTGAGGCAAAATAATTCCATTTCCTAGGAATTCCTTACTTTCTTGGCAAATTAATCTAACAGCCTTCATTATCACTATCACTAGATTCTTTCTAAATATTGCATCTCGTACCACACCAATAATCACGTCTTCCTGCTCAAACCGCTAAGGAGATGACCGCTGTAATCACAGTCAGCTCTATGCAATGATACTGCTGTGTTAAAATCCCACCATTTATCACCCTCAGCCTTCACACCCAACGGCCACATGACCTAGTCTCTTCAGGTGTCCCTGTTATCAGTTCCAGCTTCAGATGCACATCTGTACCTGTCTGACATTGCGGATAAGACTGGATCACAGACCTGGGTCCGAGGAGGATTGAGTATCATGGGATCTTCCACTGGATCATGAAAGAGATTTTGCTAGCCAGTATTCTAAGCACTTCACACACATTATTTCACTTAATTCTCCTATATCCTAGAAATATAATAATGGTAATAATAGTAATAACTCATAACTATAGAGATTGCAAGCTTGCCATATGCCAGGCCCTATGCTAAGTGCTTTATAGACTTTAATTCATTTTATCTTCACACAAACCTGAGAGATAAACTCTATTTTTGTTCCCTTATGATAAATAAGCTCAGAAATGTTAAATGACTGGCCCAAAGTTACACAGAGCTGGGATTCAAACCTGTGTATGTCTTATCATAAATGCCATCTTTCCACCTTGACAAGGAACAGGCAGAACAGCTGGGTGCTGCTCCCAACCCGCCTTCGCCCTGTCCTTTCAGAATCAAATGGCCAATCCAAAGATTTTTCTTTTTTTTTTTTTTTAAATGGAGTCTCACTCTGTCACCCAGACTGGAGTGCAGTGGTGCAATCTCAGCTCACTGCAACCTCCGTCTTCTGGGTTCAAGTGATTCTCATACCTCAGCCTCCCAAGTAGTTGGGAATATAGGCATTTGCCACCACGCCCGGCTAATTTTTGTATTTTCAGTAGAGACGGGTTTCACCATGTTGGCCAGGCTGGTCTCAAACTCCTGACCTCAAGTGATCCACCCGCCTCGGCCTCCCAAAGTGCTGAGATTACAGGTGTGAGCCACCATGCCCAGCCAGATTTTTCTAAACGAAAATAATTTCCTCCCTTCAAGAGATTCTGGAGCCAGGAGTTGAGATGCCTTTTTTGTTAACACTTCTCCACTAGCAAATAAAACAATATATTATCAGGGATTAGCAAGCCTTCTTAAAGGGCCAGATAGGAAACATTTTCAGCTTCATTTCTGGGCCATATGGCCTTGATCACAACTCCTCAATCTGCCACTGTAGCAAAAGGAGCCATGAACAATACATAAATTAATGAGCATGGCTGTGTTCCAATAAAATTTTATTTGTGGACACAGAAAGCTGCATTTCATATAATTTTCTCATGTCACAAAATATTCTTTCTTTGACTTTTTTTCAACCATTTAAACATTTTAAATCTTTTCTTAGACCACAGGCCATACAAAAACAGATGGCCATAGTTTGCTGATGCCCACAATGTACAGCAGAAGAAGTCAGAAATTCTCCCAATGAGTCAAGCGATTTGATTTTATCAAATCAACAAAAATCCAATTATTGAGCAACATATTGTCAAGAAGGGCTGTTCTGAACATAAATGTGTTATGTCAAAATGTAACACAAGAGACAAAATCAAGTGGATGAAGTAATCTCTCATGTTTTATACCCTTCTTAGAAGACTGGCTGGGAAAAGTTGATGAGGAATGTGATGTTCACTCCACCAAAATATGCCTTAATGACAGAGACTTAGATTTCCTCCTCATGTCTCCTGTTAGACTATAATAGGGCTGGGCCTACACATCCCTGTATCCCCATGCCCTCCCTCATGAGATCTCTCAATAAATGTTAAATTATTAAGAAAAAAAGAAGAAGAGAGAGTGGGGAGGGAAGGAGGAAGGAAGGAAAAGAGGAAGGGAAGAAGGAAAAGGGAGAAAGAGAGAAAAAGAGGGAAGGAAAGAAAATAATATAAACTATTTCCTATCATGTTCTGTATTAGTCCATTTTCATGCTGCTGATAAAGACATACTCAAGACTGGGTAATTTATAAAGGAAAACAGGTTGAATGGACTTGCTGTTCCATGTGGCTAGGGAGTCCTCACAATCATGGCAGAAGGTGAAAGGCACATCTTACATGGCTGCAGACGAAAGAGAATGAAAACCAAGGGAAAGAGGTTTCCCCTTATGAAATCATCAGATCTAGTGAGACTTATTCACTACCACAAGAAGAGTATGGAGGATACCGCCCCATGATTCAATTATCTCCCACTGGGTCCCTCCCACAACATGTGGGAATTATGGGAGCTACAGTTCAAGATGAGATTTGGGTGGGGACACAGCCAAACCACATCAGGTTCTTTCCTAATATATTTCAATAATTCATTTAAAAGGGAGCTGCTATCTAATAAAGTAAAAGTCAATGACTCACTTCTCATTATTTTTAAGCAATATACAATTTTTCAGAGATACCATGTTCACATTCTGCTTGACTACAAAATAAGGAAAATTATTTCTATTTATGCCTATGTCTAGGCATATAACTTGTAGGATTTTAAGAATATCAAAATTGTGTTCAATCTTTTCAGTCAATGTGTTAAACTGTCCCCTGGAACATAGAATATGAAAACCAGGCTTTCCACAACACACAGTACAAGTTCCTGGGACAATGGGACCAACCCCACTAGACACTAGGTTTTTGGAGGGCAGAGACTGTCTTATTCACTTTAGTACTCTGGGGATCTGGCACTGCAAGGCATTCAGTGTTTGTTGAATGAATGAAAAGTAAACGAGGGAAATGTTTCACCTTAAGAAAATTAAAACCTATTTTCTAAAAAGGCAATACCACTTGAACAAGGTGGGTGTTCCTGGGAGATAAGAGACACTCAGGAGAATTGTATAGCACAAAACAAAGGTGTTACCAAATGTCAGGGATAGCAAAACCAGAGGGTATTCCTATGCTTAGCACAAATACTCCCCTTTAGAGATGACTTGAAAATAATCCAACTAAATTTACCTCTTTGTTAAATGAGAAAATAAAATCCTAAATTGCCCTAGGCTCAAATGGAGCTGAGTTAGAATCAACATTTTTCAATATAAGGGGAAAAGCAAAGGAGTCAAAAGACCAGTGTCATAGCAAAGGTGGAGCTATTGTTAAAGTCATGTTTTTATTCAGCAAATAAAATTAATCCAGGCTACTAACATTAAAAATAAGAATAACCACTTTTTCTGAGTATGTGTTTAGGTTTTTCCTTTAGCCAATATTCAACTTATTTTAGCCATAATGATCTGATGCTTTTCTAACCTCTTAACCATGTCTGGGGCTTAGTCAATCATTACCAAATAAACACAGGTCAGAGATGAAAGAGCCAGTAGGTTCTCTGTCTAGAAATCAGTGCAGTTTCTCAACCAAAGCACCTGCAGGGCAGAGAAGGTAACTTTTGTATCAGGGAAGAGACATACCCTTCACACCATTGTTTATCTGCACACCAGAATGATTCTTCACCTAGCTCAAGTCAGTCAAACCACCTTGGCAGGTGGGTGATCCTGCAGATGAGGCCATAGGGATCTGCCACATAGGGCTTGCGCTCCAGTCTCCACAATGGCCTGGCTTTGGGAGCAACATTATGAGATAAGGCTAAGACAAGCTGTCTAATCTCCACATCCATTTCCTCTTCTTCCTGGGTGCATAGTCAGACCACACTTCCCAGCATCCTTTGCTTTAGGTGTGACAATGTGACTGTGTTCCAACCAGTAGAATGTCAGTGGAAATGGTGTCTACTGCTTCCAGATGTGGCCCATAACACCATTCTCTTGTGATCCTCCGTGCTCTCCATCCTCCATCATCTTCTGGTAGACCAGCCCAAGGATCTTGGAAGTCATGTGTTGAAGATGGTAGAACCATAAGATGGGAAAAGCCTAGGTCCCTGATAACTCCCGGATGACAGCCACCTACCAATCATGAACACTCTTTTGGATGTTGTATTAGTTTGCTAGGGCTGCCATAACAACATACACACATGGAGTGGATTAAACAACAGAAATTTGTTGTCTCATGGTTCTGGAAGTTAGAAGTCCAAGATCAAGGTATTGGCAGGGTTGGTTCCTTCTGAGGGTTGTGAAGGAGAATCTGCTCCACAGCTCTCCTCTAACCTTGGATGGTTTGCTGGCAATATTTAGCATTTCTTGGCTTGTAGAAGCATCACCCAGTTTCTTGCCTTTATCTTCACATAGTGTTCTCTCTCTCTGTGTGTGTGTGTGTGTGTGTGTGTGTGTACATGCAAGTTTCTCCTTTTTATAAGGAGACCAGTCTTATTGGATTAGGGACCACTCTGATGTCCTCATCTGCAACAACCCTATTTCCAAAACAGGTCACAATCTGGGGTACTGGGGGTTAGGACTTCAACATGAATTTTGAGGAGATTGAACCCACAACAGATGTCATGTGTTAGGTCCCTGACATTTTGTGGTTTATTTCTTACAGAAGCCAGCATTTCATTAACTAAAACAAATAAGATAATACATATAAAGCACACAGCACAGTGCTGTACAAATAATTTTTACTCAGACGGTGTCTGCTACTATGGCCCTCTGGTAGAGCTGGATTTACCGTGAATCTAATAACACTTAAGCTTCAGGGCACCTAACTTCCAAGGGACCCTTCCAAGGGCCTGTCCTTAATTTTATACTCATAAGTTTGTATTCATTGACCTCCAAAGACAGCCTCCAAAATGATCTAAGCTTCAGACTCCACAGGACCTGAATGCACCCCACTCTCTGGTCCAAGTCTTCATTACTTCTTCCCTAGACAACGATATCCTAATTGGTCACCATCCCTCTAATCTGTTCTATATATCACTGCCAAATTAAGCTGCTCAAAACTCACATCATCTAACTGCTCAAAAATCTTCCTGGGCTCATCCCTCTTTGTGCATAAATTATAAAAGCATTTACTGAGCACCTACTGTGTGCCAGGCACAGTGCTAGGAGCTGGGAATACAACCAAGCACAAGTGAGTCTTGCCCTTAATGAGCTTACAGTAAAGTGGAGGAATGAATGAGTCAACTGTTGCTCAAAAATGCTGCATGAGGAACAACCCCAGAATTTCAGTGGTTTATTTTTCTTCCTCACAGGTCTGTATACTGGCTGGGTGGCTCTGCTTGAAGCTACAAGTTGGATTTGGGTCTACTCTGCTCCCCATGGCTCTTTCTGGGGTCAGCCGCTGTCCAGGGCATGCTCTTCTTAGAAGATGTGGCAGAAGCACAAGAGGGGCAAGTGGAAACAAGCAATGCCTCTGAAGGGCTGCACTCAGAGCTGGTTCACAGGCACTTCCACCCACGTGCCTTGGACCAAAGCAAGTCACATGGTGTATTAATCTACTAGGGCTGCCACTACAAGGTACCACACACTGGGTGACTTAAATGACAGAAATTTATTTCCTCACAGTTCTGCAAGCTCCAAGTCCAAAATCAAGGTGTCAGCAGGTTTGGTTTCTTCTGAGACCTCTCTCCCTGGCTTGTAAATGTCTGCCTACTACAGAAAGACCTGGTCTTTCCTCTGTAAGAGTCTGTGTCCAAATTTCCTCTACTTGTAAGGACACCAGTCATATTGGATTAGGGCACAGATTATTGACCTCTTTTAACTTAATTAGTTTTTAAAAATCCTATCTCCAAATACAGTCACATTCTAAGGTCCTGGGTGATAGGACTTCAGCATAAGAATTTGAGGGGTATGCACTTGAGCCCATAACACATGGCTCAACCCAACATCAATGGGGTGAGAAAGTGCACTCCATCCAGCACGGCAAGGGTGGTACAAGAAGCAAGAACTGTGAGCAAAGTAACTGATATGGACAGCAGACAAAGAAATAGAAAAGGACGGTTCCCCGACAAAGACCCCATCCTCAAGGCTGGAGACCCACGGCCCTAAACAGGGACAGGGATTCCTGTTTTTGCACCCAAAAAGTTGTCTTTTGGCCTGCCATGCCCCCTATCTTGTACCCATACAAACCCCAAACCCTAGGCTCCAGTAGCAGATGAGCAGATGAGGAGACGAGGAGACAAGCAGATGAACAGCAGAATGACACTGCAGGAAAGAGAGAAGAGGAGGAACATATGAACACCAAGAGGAGTTCAGCTGGGGGCGATTGGAGAGCAATTCAGCTGCTGGATGGCCCAATTCCAGAGGAAGATCATCTCCCACTCCATACCTTTCCAGCTCCCATCCATCCCACTGAGCACCACCCCCACCACTCAGTAAAACCCTGCATTCATCCTTCAAGTCTGTGTGTGACCCAATCCTTCCAGGATGCTGAACAAGAACTCGGGGTACAGAAAGCTGTCACACCAGCCCTCTGCCCTTGCAGAAAGGCAGAGGGTCCACTGAGCTGGTTAACACTCAAGCCATCCGCAGACGGCAAGGCTAAAAGGGCACACTGTCACACATGCCCACTTGGGCTCCTGCACCTGCCCGTCTGTGTGCTCCCCCTCCTGTCAGGGGTTTGAGCAGTGGTGGTGACTGAACAAGCAACCCACACCCCTGTCACATGTCCTGCGAGGGGGATCAGGGAACTCTCCTGTTTCAACAGCATCTGCCACTGAGAGACAATGATGATGCAATGTCATAAGCACCAAAATGGAAGAATAATGCAACAGGATAAAATCCAAACATGCCTGGCATTCAAGCCCCCTTAAAATTTGACCCCTGAATACCCTTCTCCTGTTCTGAGTTACTGTAGAATAGCATCGAGCCCCTTCCTCAGAGGCACACAAAGCAACGATGACAAATCCAGTAGGATGTAGTAGAAAGAGACGCCTGGATAGCTAAGACCTGTTATCTCGCATGTCACGCACTGGCTTCTCATCCAGAGTGAGCCAAAAACCACCTGTGTGCTCTTGGGAAAATCATTTTCCTTCTTGGAGCCTATAACCTGATTTCTAAGATGAGGAAAGACTAAGGTCCCTAAGATTGTTTGACCTGGTTTCTTTCCTTTGTGTTCCACAGAACATTAGTCCCAGGAGATGTCATGCAAATAAATGGTTCCATGAGCAAATACACTTGGAAAATGCTGCATACAATATCCCTTCCCTAGAATAGCAAAAGCTATGAGAAGTCCTGAATTTTTTTAAAAAATCCATTTTACTTAAACTGTCCCAGATGTATTTGCTCTAAGAATTTCTCTTTCTGCCCCTTCTTATAACTGGCTCAGAACCAATGACCTAACATCCTTAGCATGCATAGACTTGTAGAGTTGGGTTTTTTTTTTTTTTTCATATCTATGTCTTGCCAGGACATAGATTCCCTATACTTGGTGCTTTGTGAATTCTTGCATCTAAGTTGCAATGTCCCACAGACTGCAACGCAGCTACCTCTCACCAGGCCCCACAGGTCTGCAGCCCAGTCTTCTTCATTTTCTGAAAGCTCCGTAAACAGGGCACAAAAAGCACCAAGCATCAGCCTCCCGTACCCAGCGAGGCCAATCCTCACTAGATACCTGGGAACTCAATGCACTTAGTCCCTATGTTACTCAAAAGAGTTTTGTGTCTCCTTTTTTAGGAATTTTCTCCAGAGTCTGCAGTGTGTTTCCCAAATATCCTCACTAATGGCATATCTTTGTACTTTGTGGAAAGATTTGAGTTTGGGAAGCAATAAAAGTCTTCTGGAGCCAAGTTTTGTGAATAACGTGGGCGATGAAACTGAGAAATACTGTTTTGCATACAAAATGTAGAGTACAATTCACCTCATCTTCCAGTCAGGCCCATTCCCATCTGGCTCCCAGGTCTCTGAAACCAGAATAGTCATTCCAAATGAGATTTCCCATGCATTCCAAAATCTCCACATACCATATGCTGAGTGGTCTGTGGCTCCCTTGTATGGCAAACAATTATGTCCACTTGTTTGTTTTGTTCCTTTACTTGGCCCCTTGTCTGAACAGAGACGCATAATCCAGCGTTTCTTGCATTGCGAGTTCTCGTGGGGCCATTCATGTTTCTGTTGCCAGCTATTGTTCCACATTCAGAAGACTATCCCCAAATTGCACATTCACATCTTTAATTGAACCAAAGCCATTTTAACACCTCCCTTTCTTCCCCTCTCCCCTGATCCTCTGCACATGATCGCTCTGCCTCTCCCTGGCTTTGATCCCAGGGTAAGGATTGTTTTGGTTTTTAATACTATTTCTGTAATTCAGTAGTCAGCTTGTGCTTTTTCCTTCTTTCAAATAACATTTAATTGCTTTAAGACAACTTTTTCAAGGTGCCAGAGGAGTGTTCTTTGAAGATCTAAATTATCCTCAGAGCTGGTCTCTCAACGTGGCTGAAATTTGCACTGACTTTTAATAACCAGAACATGAAACAAAAGAAAGAAGTTTTATGCCACCTTTCTCTGAGAGCAGTTTAAGAGTGGCTATATAACCAAAGATTGTCAGAGGTAGAAGGTAATACAGAGGTCATAGATTCTTAGTGGGCCCTAAACTTCCTTAGACATAGAATTCTTTTCAAACAGAGGCTTTCAAAATCCCGGAATATTAAAGAAATAAAAGCAATGAGGGGTTCTTAGGACAGTTTAAATCTTCAGATTAGCTTTAAATGCTTCACTATTTACAAAGTATCTGAAGCTCCTCTGCCCTTGGATTTTGATTGCAGCTTAAAAACGCAGACATTTTACTGATGAGGAAAGTGAGGCCCAGAGAGACTCCGTGAATACAACAGAGCAAGAGGTAGAACCTTCGCCTCCTGAAATCTACTACCATTCATGGCCCTAAACCTGGTCATGCATCTGAAGCACTGGTAAAAACACAAATCTGGGCCGGGCACGGTGGATCATGCCTGTAATCCCAGCACTTTGGGAGGCCGAGGTGGGCAGATCACAAGGTCAAGAGATCGAGACCATCCCGGCCAACATGGTGAAACACTGTCTCTACTAAAAATACAAAAATTAGCTGGGCATGGTGGTGGGTGCCTGTAATCCCAGCTCCTCTGGAGGCTGAGGCAGGAGAATCACTTGAACCTGGGAGGTGGAGGTTGCAGTGAGCCAATACTATGCCATTGCACTCCAGCCTGGCACCAGAGTGAGACTCCGTCTCAAAAAAAAAAAAAAAAAAAAAAAAAAATTCTGGTTGAAAACACAGATTTGGGGGACCCAGCCTCTGAGAATTCTGATTCAGTAGATCTGGAGTAAGAACTTGGAATCAGAATTTTTTTTAAGTTCTCTGAGAGTCTAATGGAGATCTGGGTTTAGGAACCACTAATCCATACCATCTGGTCCTCCATGCTCAGGTACCAAAGAGTAATTGTTCTTAGGGAAAGAAAATACCCCCCACCCCCTCCCGACCCCCGCCACACAAACACACACACACACACACACACACACACACACAGAGAGAGAGAGAGAGAGAGAGAGAGAGCGTGCCGGAGAGAGAGAGAGCCCCTAGATTTGCTCAAAAAATGACCATCACTAAAAATGATAGCGTGCACTGGGACTGTTTCAATCAGATCCAAAAATTAATTCATGGGTAAATGGGTTATTTACAATGTACCACTCAAGAGGGAATTTGGCCAACATTTTCTGTTCCTAGATATTTGCTTGGCATTTTATAGGCACAATCCCTGAACAGTATCTTAAGATTGATCATGATTTGCCTTTTATAAAGTAGCCTGCTATGCATTATCTTTTTCAGTGCATTCAACAATCCAAAATATGGGTAAAGCAAGTCTTATTTTTCCCATTTTACCTATGGTACAACTGAGATTCACAGAAGAAAAATGGCATACTAAGGCTAGTATGGACTTAGGGCTAGATCAAAAACCAAAATCTTGGATTCTCTATCCAATATGCCTTCTTAAAGCATTAGAAAATAATCTACATTACCAGAGCTTCCTCTTTTCTTCTGACTCTAGCATAATCACAAATAATATTATAAAATGGATAACTCAATAACTCTAATAGCTATTTAAGAAAGAAAAACACTATTGATGCTCACAGCTCAGACTTCATGATGTTTATTCTAATGTCCTCATTTGCTACTACACTATCATCGTAAAATGAAAACCATTCGACAGAATTGTATCCTTTGACTTTCTAAAATCAATTTCTACTTAGTCTGGGGAGTACAGTAGTCAGTTAAAACTCAAATATGGGAAAAATCTGCATCACAAGTTATTCGTCAACAACCGTAAAAAGTTGATATTTATTTGAATTTTAAAAGGAAATAGAATTGCTAGAAATCAAAATAAAAGAAAAATCTGCTTAAGAAATGTGAGCATTTTACACTTGGGTTACATTCAAGGGAACCAGGTTAGCCATGGCTTGAGTAAATTGATTATTTCTTTCTCTCATCATGATCAATTTTGCATCAATGAACTGCACTGAGGATGTTGCAATTCAGTTTGATTATTATGCTGGCTAAAGTCATTGCTCCACTCCAGGGACTGATCATTTCAGTCACAGGAACATTACTGTTGCCTGCTCGATTCTTTTTAGATATGAGAGGGAAGCAAATTGCTTTGACTGAACCTGAGGATGCCCCAGGCTTCCTACATGTGAAGTCAGCATTGCTCCCTCCCAGGAAGTAGGCAAAATTCTCTGGGTACCAAAATATTTTTAATCAGAAGGGAGTTTCCTAGTCCCTCTAGAAATCCCTCTAGATTCCCCCCTTTCTCCTGATATTTGCCCTGTATCTCGTTTTTTTGTTTTGTTTTGTTTTGAGATGGTGTCTCGTTCTGTTACTCAGGCTGGAGTGCATTGGTGCGATCTTGGCTCACTGCATCCTCCGCCTCCCGGGTTCAAGCAATTCTCCTGCCTCAGCCTCCCGAGTAGCTGGTATTACAGCCACCCGCCACCACGCCCAGCTAATTTTTGTATTTCTAGTAGAGACAGGGTTTCACCATGTTGGTCAGGATGGTCTCGAACTCCTGATATCAGGTGATCCGCCCGCCTCAGCTTCCCAAAGTGCTGGGATTACAGGCACGAGCCACCATGCCTGGCCCTGTATCTCTGTTTAACTGATTCCCTTAAAAATAGTTCTAAGGGTCTTGCCCTGCTCATATTAAAATATACCATAAAGGTACAATAAGTTAAACAATATAGTAAAGGTTCAAGAATAAACAAATAAAAAAATAGATCTCATTATCTTAGTGCAAGTCTCTCTCTCTCTCTCTCTGTCTCTCTCTCTTTCTCTCTCTCAATCTCCCCTCTCTCTCTTTTGTTGGTAAGCTGCTGGAGGACCAGTTCTCTTTGGTTCCCTTCTGAACCCCTAAACATAGAACAGGACAAGACATGGTAGCACTTAATGGGTATTTTTTGATTGAATGAATGAAATGTTGACTTTTCACACCGAAGAGGAAACATTCTACCCATAATAAAGGAGGTAAAAGAGACTCAAGGGAGTAGCTGAATGATACAAGGGGGGAAGGAGTGGGGAAATAGGAGAAGTCAGAAGAAAAATTTCTAATAGGAATTGTTTCTTCTTCTTGTTGTTGTTGTTACTGTTTCATGAACCATTATCTTTCTTGTGTCACACTAATCTTGTGTCCCACAGCTTCACAAAACACATGCAAATATACCACATCTTCTATGGGGAAGAGGGGGGCTGTAGTTGGAGGAGCACTTTCTTGAATTTTTATAACAGGCATATATTCATATACATTTCACTCAGGAATTCTAAGATTCATTCTATAAACATAATTGGATAATTTTTTAAAGGTATAAAAATGATGTTTATCTCAGAGTTATTTATAACAGTGAAAAATAAAAAACAACTTCAATATATATCAATAGAAAAGCTATTAAGTAAATTAATCCGTATCCATACAACTAGATTCTATGCAGCCATTTAAAAAATAGGGTGTAGATTTTTATGTATTTTCATAGAAATAAATTGACAGAATATTGGTAAGTTAAAAAAAAGCAGCTAATGAAACAATAGTAAGTGTAATATGAGATGATTTTTGGAAAAAATATACAGATACTTGCTTAGGGAAAATCTGCAAGAATATCAACAGTGGGTCAGCTCTGGGTGGTATGTTCCTCCCACTTGAGCTTTCCTGGAAAAACTATTTTCCTTTTTCTAGGACATACAGCTAAATGCATTGTACTACATTTTTGCAAAGAAAAATATAGTTATTTTTTCACCTAGCCATCCAAATTTCTACATATAGAATTATATTTCCTCTCACCAACTATAAAAAATGTACCCCATCGATTACAAGGTGTTGATGTGAGAGGAAGATTCAAATACAGCTTCAGATTCAGTCTATTTTAAGGCCAGAAATAATTGTCCCTTTCCGTCAAACACAGCATGCGTAGAATGTCCAGAGGTAATATTTTAAGCATTAGGATTAAAGATTTGCAAACTAATTGATGGCGAAAGTCCCACCTTGGAAGACTGAAATAGCTGAGACATTTACTTGGGAATAGCTAGTTTAACTCAAGGAAAGTTACAGCTTCCTTGTTTTCAACAGGGAAGAGACCCCAGGAGAAAATAGAAGAGATGCTTATGGCTTCTTATCATTCAAACCTACTCCTCCGCAGCAAATCTGAACTTCACAGTTATTACAACCTCATAGGCACCTCTTCTGCTTGCATGCAGGCTGTTACCAGGGGAGACATTTCTCCGTTTCACTCCCACCTCCTAAAAGCATGGGGAGAATGGAAGATGGATAAGTGACAGGAGTTCAGGAGTTTTCTCCTCCCTGATCCCAGGACTGGCATCATCAACACCTACTCTCCTGGGTTTAATGGGGGAAAACAGATCCCCAGAAAAGTCTTAAACCCTTCCTTTGGTTAGAAAGAGGGATCAGAAGGAAAGAGAGTGAGGGAGGAAGGGGTAGGAGGGAGTCAGGAGGAAAACAGGAAAGAAGGGAGGGAAGGACGGAGGGAGGAAGAAAGATACCCATTCCTTTCTCCTGATACAATGTCCTGGCTGAACCTGTGTCAGGAGCAGAAATTGGTTTCACAAACACGACAGATCTAAGAAACAAAATCATCACAAGCTCATATGTTCCACTGATTTGATATGGTTATAAAAGTAGAATAGCCTCCGGATAAAAACCTGGTTTCTGAGATCATAGGCCCTATTACAACAAAATTTCCCTATAACAATTCAGACCCAGGTATATGGAAAACACTTCACTTGCACAGTTTTCCGCAGTGTAGTAAAAGTTTTATTTCATCCACAATAGAGCCTGTTTTCTCCCAGAAAGAGATATGAGAGGTTTAGTAAGGGAGTGGCTCTGTGGTAGTTGCTGACCCAGTTGATCGAGGCCAGTTTTCTCCTATCCAGGGACCAGAGATTCCTACAGGCATTGAGAAAGTCACCATTTCTGTGTTTCCCTGAGACAGCCTAGAACTGAGCCTACAGACAGCTTCAGCACCAAGCTCCTCACCCCAGAGGTAATCCCTTCCACATGCTGTCTGCTCCAGGCGTCTCCTGTTACTCTGACAAGGGCAGAGCAAGGTATGAAATCTAAGAGTTCTGGAAATGCCTAGGCAAGAGAGTATTGGTAAGCCTCCCTTTCTATGTCCTTTTCCTTATTCTAGGCACCTAGGATCCTTCCCATGTTAAAGCTTCCTCTTAGGAAATGAGCTTATATCAGTCATTGCTACTTTAGTGGGAATTAAAATATCTCCACTTCCAAAGGCACTTTAATTTACAGCCCTTCTAAGTGTGAGAAGGAACATTTTGTTTCTTATAGGAATCAGGCATATTTGATTAGATTATTCTGGGGGTGTGAGTGAGAAGGAAGACTTTTCCAGCTCCTTGAAATCCCACCATATTCTGGGTGGATACCTAAAAAAACATGACCCCAAAAGCAAAAAGGCCACAGCCATGGAGCTGCCCTTTGGAGAACTGCTTCTCGGTCATATCAGAGGGAAGTTATTATTTTTTTTTGAGACGGAGTCTTGCTCTGTTGCCCAGGCTGGAGTGCAGTGGTGCAATCTCAGCTCACTGCAACCTCTGCCTCCCAGGTTCAAGCGATTCTCCTGCCTCAGCCTCCTGAGTATCTGGGATTACAGGTGCGCACCACCACGCCCAGCTAATTTTTGTATTTTTAGTAGAGACAGCGTTTCACCATGTTGGTCAGGATGGTCTCGAACTCCTGACCTTGTGATCTGCCCACCTCGGCCTCCCAAAGTGCTGGGATTACAGGCATGATCCACTGTGCCCAGCCAGGAAGTTCATTTTTAAGCCATCTCTTTAAATGGCCACCTCCCACACAGACAAACTCCGCTTCTGTTCCCCCATAACCCTAAGCAGTTCCCCCATGCTGATGGCTGGAATGAATTCCACCCTCAAGGAAATACAGTCTCACTGGCTGGAGAGTAGATACCACATAGTACAATCACCTGTAACTTTCAATGATGAATTGCATATTTACAATTATTTTAATTACACTTGAAAGGACAAAGATCAGGAACAGATGTCAGACATTTGAATTAAAATTAATGATCATTTGTTAATGGAGTGAAGAGCCATTCATCATTTTATTAGAACAAATTCTTAAGGCCATATGGGACCTTTTACAATGGAGCAAATCTTTATTCTCTTTACTATATTAAGACTTGATGAATAAAAGGCAGAAAACAGGGTTTCTCCAGTAACATTTCTTATTCTTTAATGTTTATAGTTACCAACTAGTATCAAAAACTGGATATGTTCCAATCAAGTAAGTATACAAATGTTGACCTTTCGTTGATCAAATGTTGACCAAGTTGTGTCTATATTTGCCATCTCTTCCTTTTTACCCTCTGCCTCCCAGGTTCAAGTGATTCTCCTGCCTCAGCCTCCTGAGTAGCTGGGATTACAGGTATGCACCACCACACCTGGCTAATTTTTGTATTTTTAGTAGAGACGGGATTTCACCATGTTGGCCAAGCTGGTCTCAAACGCCTGACTTCAAGTGATCTACCTGCCTTGGCCTCCCAAAATGCTGGGATTACAGGCATGATCCACTGCACCTGGTCCCACCCTTCCTTTTTAAATTAATTTATTCAACGAAAGTTTATTGAGTGCCAAACACCATGATAGGCAAAGAGATATGATGATGATCAAAACTAGGCATGGTCTTGCCTTCCTGGGTCTAGCAGTCTAAAGGAAACAGATATTAATCAAACAATTTCATTCACAACTATAAAACTGCAACTGTGACAGGTGATAGGCATGCACACAGGACCTGTGACAGAAGGTATCCTGGGGCATGCAATGAAAGGACGAAAGGCAAGACTGATTGGATAAGCAAGCCACAGGAGAGACCTGGTGTGAGAAGAACTAGAAGAGGCAGGTAGGGACTTGTAGGTTATGGCTGGACTTTTCTCTTTCCCCTAAGAACAATGGGAAGTTATTCAAAAGAGAGAGAATCAGGCTGGGCGCGGTGACTCATGCCTGTAATCCCAGCACTTTGGGAGGCTGAGGCAGGCAGATCACCAGGTCAGGAGATCGAGACCATCCTTGCTAACATGGTGAAACCTCGTCTCTACTAAAAAAAAATACAAAAAATTAGCCAGGCGTCGTGGTGGGCACCTGTAGTCCCAGATACTCGGGAGGCTGAGGCAGGAGAATGGCGTGAACCCGGGAGGTGGAGCTTGCAGTGAGCCGAGATCACGCCACTGCACGCCAGTCTGGGCGACAGAGCAAGATTCCATCTCAAAAAAAAATAAAAAAAAACAGAGAGAGAGAGAATCAGACTCAGATTTGAATTTCAAGATCACTCTGGCTGCAGTGTGGAGTCTCAATGGGAGGGTGGGGGATAGAGCTGGTGTGCAAAGACCAGTCAGGTAGGATCTGCAGTAGTCCAGGTGCAGAATGGTGGATGCAGGAGAAAGATGAGGGGGTAGTCTTGGCAGAGTGCTGGTTGCGGGGCTGGGGATGGAAATGGAGAGATGTGCTTGGATTCAAGAGATGTTTAGAAGCTCTCCAGGACCAAGTAGTGGATTGGATGGGGACTGCGGTGAAGACAAGCAAGGTGTTGAGAGATGGCTCCTGGGCTTCTGCCTTCCAGAACCAGATGGGCGGTGATGCTGTTTACTAAGAAACAAATGGCTGGGGGACACCCAGTTTAAAAGGGAAGGTTCTGGATCTCTGGGGGATAGGTTCATGCATGCCCTTCCCTGACCATGTCACCTCAGCCAAAGCCACAGCTATGGTGGGGGAGATGGTGGTGTTAAAAAAGAACAATGAGTGTGGCCACCTTTATTTGTTTGAGGTCCCATGGTCTCCTTCCCTGGGTATATTAGCACTGGGAAGCATTTGGGGGATTATCCAGCCCTGCCCCCTCACTGGACAGGAGAGTGAAGGGATCTTCCTCAATATAACAGACCAGCGGGGCAAGAGGACCAGGGCCAGCCCAGAAAAGGGTGCCATAGACAGAAGGAATCACAGGAGCGGCCCTCAGAGACCAGCCAGCCACTCAGCAAACACGGTCTGGCCCCTGTTGCCCAGCACCAGCCCTGGAGAAGACAGGCATCTTTTTTTTTTTTTTTTTTTTTTTGAGACAGAGTCTCGCTCTGTTGCCCAGGCTGGAGTGCCGTGGCACTATCTCGGCTCACTGCAACCTCTGCCTCCTGAGTTCAAGCCATTCTCCTGCCTCAGCTTCCCAAGTAGGTGGGATTACAAGCGTGTGCCACCACACCCAGCTACTTTTTGTGTTTTTGGTAGAGATGGGGTTTCACCATGTTGGCCAGGCTGGTCTCGAACTCCTGACCTCAGGTGATCCACCCACCTCAGCCTCCCAAAGTGCTGGGATTACAGGAGTGAGCCACTGCACCCAACCAGACCGGCATCTTATAGGCAACTCAAACCCATTGTGATCAGGGCTGTGATGAGAGAGATAGAGGGTGGCATGGGTGTTCACAGGAGCATGGGCAGTTCCCAGGAAGGAGTCAGACATGAGTTCTTATGCTCACACCTGAGCTGAGTTGTAAAGACCGGTGGGGGTTATTTGAGCGTTTCCAGAAGAGCAAGTGGCGGGCCAGAAAGGATGGAGTATAACCCTGAGCAGGTTAGGCCCCTGGCGGTCCTCCTTTCCTCCTCTTCCGTGATCCTTGCTAGCATAATCCTCTCAAGAAGTTTGGGCTTTCAGGAAACAAAGCTAAGAAGAGTGTTCCTTCTCTTCAGTTAACTTCTGCTTTCTCCCCAGAAAACATAAGCCTCTCCTGGGGTTAAATACAAAGTCTGGATACCTCCTTCAGAGCGCAGGAGTCATAGTGACAGGGAAAAATATAGCAAAATAAAACACTAACGACTCTTTCAATATATCACCCTTCCATGAATGTCCTGGAAAGTTTATCTGGACTGCAGGATAGAGGAGAGATTGGGGAGAGGAATAGGGGAATTGTTTAAAAAACAGTGCTTCTGGGCACAAGATGGAAGGCCTGGATTAGGGAATTTAAGCACTTTTCTGTGACCAGTGAGCAGATATTTGAACAGGCCTGCAACGTCGAATGATTCCACATAATTTGCCACTCTGGTCTTCCCCACCGGGAGCTGTACCTACCCAAATAGGACACCAGGTTAGAAAAGGAGAAAAGCATAAGGCAAGTGGGAAAAGTAGACTTGGTTTCCACTCCAACCGAAGTGAGTATGTGAAGATGTTTTCTCCTCTCCAAGCTCCAAAACCCAGACCTCTGTGCCCTCTTGGATGCAGGGGGGAAAGCTCAAGAAACCAACCTCCCAGCTCCTTCATTTCAGGGAATTGAAAGGAGATCACAGTTCAGCAACAATGAAAGACAGGTCTTGCTCTGACTCCAGAGCAACGTGTGAAGTGGGTACAGAGGAGGGTTTCCAGGCTGACAGTAATGAAGTGACAGCAGATGTCAAAGTCTTGCCTCAAGCTAATCAAAAGGCTGCTGGCTGCCTCCATCAGCAATGCCTGTACCTCGTGCAATCAATCTCCCTCTCCCTCCCACCTCCCCTTATGCACACATGCATGCACACACAATCACGCATGCACACACATTTATTTGGGGAGTTTAAAGAGGAAAAAGCCTTTGCTCTCAACAGACTCCAATGCCTTTCCGCTACCCAACTGACTACACCCCCTTCCTCCTTTCTTCCCCTCCTGTGGTCGTACAATGAGGAAACTTTAAGATCGCCTCTTCACAAAAAGATGTGGGCCCCTACTTTAGCAGATTGTGGGCAATGTGTGGGAGAATTCTATGAGGCCTAGGACCAGCCCAGCCACAGGATATCTTTTCTCCCACTGCTGCAGAGAGATGGGCCTTGCAGAAGCAGAACTGACAACAAGCACCAGTCCCTTGCAGGTCCCTGACCTCCAGGAGAGATTTGCCCCAAGGACAGGGCGCTGGTATTCTCTTGAGACTGATGCCTTATCCTTCCTACCCCTGGTTTTCTGGAGCTTCTCAGGAATACATTGGAATGCAGCCTGTGCTTGTGCAGTTCTCCCTTTTCAAATGCAAGGCAAAAATGAGTTTGTCAAGATTGAGCTGTTGAGCCCGCTAAAAACGTTCCTGAGAGTGAATACCCCAGGGCTCGAGCAATCAATCCGCCATTGCAGGGGCTGGGCCTGGACGTTAAGCAGCCTCAAGTGTAATTTAGGGCTGTGCTTATTGCAGGCTCAGACCTTGTTTGATGCACTGGAGTGGATAAAAGTTCCCTCTCTGCATGTGGCCATGTCCTATGTGTCTATCGTATCTTTAACAATGTAAACATCAGAAACAGATGGGGAAATCCAGGCCGATGCCAGGCCAAACAGCACTCTCTACAGACAATACATCATGGTGCCAAGACAAATACGTTCTGTCGATATCACTAATTTATAGCACACTGGAACCAAGCAAAACAAATAACAATTAAGGCCCAGAAATCTTAAAATGAATAACCTTTCTGTACACAAACTCAATGTCACTATTAAAAGGCCATCAACTACAACGAATATATGAAATATAACAATGAAATCCTTCTTATGTGAATAATTACTGAATAATTACCAGGAAAGGGGGCATTTCTCTAGCTTGCAGAGTCTGTGGGTTTTGAACATTAAGCCTTGCTTTTGCAGAGCACACAGATGCCTTCAAAATGCTTTTGCAGACTCGGCAACACTGTGATAACACTGGTAGGGGAGAGAGGGGGTACACAGGCCCTTATGCCCCCATTTTCCAGTTGGGACACCTGGGGATAGACTGAAGAAGGGAATGGCCCAGTCACATTGCTTTAATGGACAAAACAAGTTCTCAAAATTAGGTCTCTTAATCTCTAGTCCAGTGTCCCTTCCACCACCATCACTTCCTCCCATGCCCCTCCCTCCATACTAGGTCTCTTAACTAGGGAAGCAAGTGCAAGAAACCTCTCAGGCCCTGAATGGGCAAAGCTGGTGGTACAGCAGGGACCCAGCCCTTGCAATGCCCAGATATCCTTCCAGGGATATTTGAGCCCTTGGGTATTCACTCCCATTCAGCCCATTGTCACTCCTCACTAGCCAATGCAGGTACCTTAGCAGAGATGAAGGCTACCTATGTAGCCACAAACTATGAAGCCAACAGGCTTCAGCTGAACGGCTTCCTATTTCAGCCAGGTATAAGCTTATCTTAGGGGTCACGGCTCAGTCTAGGGAGTGAAAAGAATTCACATAGCCAGGCGTGTGGTAGCTGACACCTGTAATCCCAGCACTTTGAGAGCAAGAGGTAGGAAGACTGCATGAGGCCAGGAGTTCGAGGCCATCTTGACTAACGTAGCAAGATCCCATCTCTGTTAAAAAGAAGAAGGAGAAGGAGAAGCAGCAGCTACCTGAAAATGTAGCCAATCCCCTCTCTCTGTCTGCAGTTAGCCCACCTGACGGGTCACCTGCTTTATCTGGGCACAGCCCAGCAGCAGTACTGCCCATCTTGTATGGGTCATGCTGAGGAGATCTGGCTCCTACCAGAAGAAGGACCTGCTCACTGCATGTACCACAGCTCTTGAGAGTCATTGGCAAGCACAGTGAAAACTGTTCTTCACCCATCAGATTCACAGAACATGTAAAACAATGATCATTTTAACAGTGGCAATGGTATGGGGAAATGGGAACCCTTATAAATTGGTGGGAGGAAAGCAAATTCCTACAATATGTTTATAGGCAATTTAGCAATTTTAATGAAAATGTATTAGGCTGAACCATTTGAAATTGCCAATAATCAACTGTCTTTGGCCTACAAAAATTTCATATGGTTCAACCGAATACAGTGTGCTTGCCCTTCAATTTTCCATATTTGTGTCTTTGTAGCTACCCTAGAGAAATGTTGGCACATGTGCACAAAGATCTCACACAGTAGCACATGGGTGCCAGTAAGAGTTTGAAAACAACCAGGCCAGGTGCAGTGGCTCACACCTGTAACCCCAACGCTTTGGGAGACTGAAATGGAAGGATTGCTTGAGCCCAGGAGTACAAGACCAGCCTGGGCAACACAGTGAGACCTGTGTCTCTCCAGAAAAAACAAAAACAAAAATTAGCCAGGCATGGTGGCCCAGGCCTGTAGTTCCAGCTACCTGAGAGGCTAAGGTGGGAGGATCACTAGGGCCCAGGAGATGGAGGCTGCAGTGAGCTGCGATCGTGCCACTGAACTCCAGCGTGGGCAACAAAGTGAGATCGTCTCAAAAAAGAAAAGAAAAAAGAACAACCTAAAATGCCCATCAATAGGAGAATGGGGGAGAAATGATAGATCCCCACTGGGGAATACTATGCAGCAAGTAAAAATGTAGACCTTTTCAACGAATTAATTTCAAAGAGAGAGGGAGAGAGAAATGGAAGGAGAACGTATGGGTTAAAGGAGACTTAAGAGATATATCAATCAATGGCACTGTGTGGATCTTAATAGGATCCTGATTCAAATAGTTTTTTAAACTAGATGAAGCCTGATATTAAGGAATTATTAATTTTTTAAGTGTGACAATGGTATTGTGGCTTTTTTTAATAGCCCTTAACTAGGGAGAGAGGAGGGAGGGGTAGGGAAGACAGAAAGAGAAAGAGAAGAAGGGAAGGAGTTATGATGACTCGCTTCAGCTCTCTGCTACCCAAAGGTAAAGGGGTCCCTAGCAAGCAAAGAAAACTTTCTTGAACGTTTCTTCTAGTAACATCTACTCCAAAGTAAAATTCTCAGTTTGGAAGCCTAGGCTGTAACCCTGCACTAAGCTGATGATTCACTGGTTTGGTCTGCACCCAATCTGCCCTCCATTACTCAGGATAGCAAAGAATTGGCTGGAAATTGCATGCTGAATTCTGCATAGAAAATAATGTGCACATCTGAAATATTATTCAGTTGTCTGAGAGCTGCTAGACTACATTCTAAGCTGACTTCATAGAGTATTTATAACTGCCAAAACAAGTTATTTCAAAAATAAATACGGTATTTTTAGCCCAGTGTCGTTGATAACCTATTCTGCGATGTCATAAGCTCAGCTAAGACGCAACAGCACAGCTCCAGTTCCCGCTGGTTGCCAGGGATCATCTGCAGTGCACGGGCTGTCCAGCTCCCTGGGGTGATGGACCGAGGCCTGCCTGCCTCCGGGAGCTTGCACATTAACTCTCGACAGGCAAAAGAAGTCAGGCCAGATCTCTGCAGAAAGCAGCACTCACCCTCAGCTCCCCGTCCTCCCCCGTAGGCGATCAAAATTGAAGAATAAAAGGAAAAGAGCAGCAATGATAATGGAAAATGAAAAAGAAGCAGGGGGAGGAGAAGGGAGGGAGGGAGCCAACACTACCTCAGCAGATGCTAAGGGCAGCCAAGGAGCCAGAGGGGAAATGAAAGGCGAGAAGGCAGAGAGGAGGGAAACCTAAATAGGTTTCTCCATGACCGGAGTAACAAGGCCACTTAAGGGTGCGGAAGACACTATAGGAATCCCCGGCCCTGGACTGGAACCTGTGCACCTGAGATGGAGCTTTCTGGAAGGGGAGCAAGAACCCAGGGAGGCTGGGTCTTCAGCTCGCTCTAGTTTTTTGCCAACATTTTTCTCTCCTGCTGCTGCTCCTCCTGCTGCACTATGATAAGGACTCTCCAGGAGGAGAGGATCAGAAAGTGTCGGCTCAAGCTGATCTAGTTTTAAGCCTCAGCTCTGCTACACAGCTGTGTGACCTTGGGCAAGTTACTTAACCTCTCTTGGTCTCAGTTTCCTCAACTATGATGTAGAGATGACAGTAGCACCTGACCTCCAGGGAGGCTGGGAGAATGACACACAGCGTTTATACAGTGTCAGCTACACAGTGGGATCCCAATAAGTAGAGGATCATGTCCTCATTACCCTTTGGCCTCCTATTGCCAGTCCCTCTCTCCTATACCACTAATTGACCCTCTTTATATAAGGTTAATATACATAAAGTTGTGGTCATTTGGCTAAAGTCTAGACAGGAATTATGGGAGGAGAGAGGAGAGAGGAGCTCAGGAACTACTGTTTGAGAGAGGTCAACAGCACTGGTGATGATAAAAGCATTCCATGTTTCAGGCCACGGAGTCAGCCAATCAGCCACACCTGCTTTCAAATCCCACCTCTACCATTTACCAACTACATGGCCTTAGGCAAGTGTATTAGCTCACTATGGCTGCTGTAACAAATTGCAGCAAACTCAGTGGCTTAATACAACTCAAATGTATTCTCTTACTTATTATCTCTCTCTGGAGGCAATAAGTCCAAAATCAGTCTCACTGAAAGCAAGGTGTTGGCAGGGCTGGCTCCTTCTGAACACTCTTGGGGAGAATCCATTTCCTCCCCTTTTCCAGCTTCTAGTGGCCACCTGTGTTCCTTGGCCTGTGTCCCCCTCTTCCATCTTCAAAGTCCATGGCTCCAGTCTCTACCTCCACCATCACACCACCTCCACTGACTCTGACCCTCCTTCATCCTTCCTGGAAGGGCCACTTGACTACATCGGGCTTACCAATATAATCTGGGATCATCCCCTATCTCAAGATCCTTACTTTAGCCACATCTACAGAATCCTTTTTGCCATAGAAGGTAATATTTACATGTTCTGGGGAGTACAACGTGGCCATATTTGGAACCATTATCCAAACTACCATTGCAAGTGAATTTATTTCTCTGAGACTTGTTTTCCTCACCTATACAAAGAAAATGATACCTACTCTAATAGTTCCTGTTACATGTCAACTTGGCTATGCACAGTGCCTAGATATGTGGTTAAATACCAGTCTAAATGTGGTCATGAGGGTATTTTTTAGATGAAATTGGCATTTAAATCAGCAGTCTTCGAGTAAAGCAGATTATCTTCCATGATATAATGGGCATCACTCTGTCAGTTGAAGGCCTTTTGAGAAAAAAGACTGATGTGTCTCAGCCCTGGTAAGACAATGAGGAACAGTTCCATGGCACGATGCTATGAGCATATATGGAGGTACAAGCAACGTTCACCATATTTAGGTAGCGGACATATTATAGCTGCTTCGTTTTTCTTTCTTTTTCCTGTCTCCCTGCTTCTGTCCCTTGTGCCCAAGAAAGAAGGGATTTTGCCTCCAGGTTGCCTTCAGACTCAAGCAGCAACTTCAACTCTTCCCTGGATCTCCAGGCTGCGGGCCTGTCCTGCTGATTTCAAACTTGCTAGCCCCAACAATTACATGAGCCGATTACTCTTTTAAAAAAATTAAAATACACAAACAGACACCCACACACCCACCCACACACATGCACACACACAGTCCTATTGCTTCTGCTTCTCTGGAGAACCCTAATACACCTACCTTGAAGTTCTGTAGTCCAGTTTAAATGAGATAAAACATGCAGAGTGTTCATCTCAGTGTCCAGCACATAAAGGTCAATAAATATTAACTGTCAGTGTTGTGCTTTTTTTAAAACTAAAAAAAAAAAAAAAGAAAAGCCTCTGAATGTGAATTGCTGTTATGCCACAATGGCCATTGAGTTCATTGAGTTAGTTGTGAAGAGCAGGACCAAACCTACCTACCTTGAATCACTCTTTAGGAACCTCCCAACAACAATAGACATGCCTCAGGGCACTTTCTATGGTCCCCTGTTTGTCCTGAAAATAGGGCTGTGCCCTCATAGAGTCACTTCCTACAAATAAAAGATGAACTGAGTGCTCTGAGCAAGCCAACAATCAGTGGCTGTCAACCCTCATCAGAAACCACAGCCACCACCTCAGCATGCGGACAGCAGGCTTCACCATCACAGATGTCACCATGGGAAGGAATGGAGGCAACAAGCCAGCAAACAAAAGTCAGAGATGTCTGCCCACAAGGAGATACCCTGAGGTCACACCTCTCGGTCACAGGCTCAGGGACAGGACTGACATACCAAGCGTGCCAGTCTCAAAGATGAAGGTGACTTCCCACATGAGCGCTGACCCAATGAATGAGATGAAAGGGCGGGAGACAGGGAGGAAAAAGAAAGAAACGCACAGCAGCTATGTTCCCTACCTAAATATGGTGGACTTCACTTGTGCCTCCAGACACACTCATAGCATCACACCATGGAACTGTTCCTCACTGTCCTACTAGGACTGGCTTTGAAAGAGGAAACCTGCTGAAAGGTAGGGAAACATGGTTTTAGGCATGCCCTATTTGGGTCGTCATATTTTAGCAACCCTCAAGTGTATTTCTAGGAGCTCAATGGAGACAAGTATACGGGGCTGTTTAGGGGGTTAGCGGCTCAGCTCTGGTAGGCACTCACATCTTCTCTACCGTGGGAGTTGCAGAAACTCGAATTCATTGAGCTAATGCAGGCAAAGGTGTCTTAAGTTCAAACACTGTGGCAATTTGCATGGTAATTTACACAGCAACCCTTTGTCCCCCTGTCATCCCAAAGAAGCCCTCCCAAAAGTTGAGGGAAAGCAGCTCAAATGTCTAGACCCTGCTTGACATATGTGATTTCCCCCTGCCTCTTGCCAGACAGAAGGGGAGGGGACCTGGGGTGTGGGTTTTACTGTGGCGGCTGGCGTTCTTTGACATTGTTCAGTGGAGAGGCTGTTTAGAGGAAGACGGGGAAAGTCATCATTTGGCTGCATTTTAAGAAAACCTAATATTGGAAACTGTTTGTGATTAGCTAGGAGTTAACCTTTCAAATAGTACTAAAAATGATTACTCCGTTGGTATAATGCTCTTCACTTTTCAAAATATATTTCCATTTATCGTCTCCAATGGGGATAAGAAATTTTGTGTTAGAGCTCAAGAGAAAAAAATTCTTTTCTGAAAATGAGAAGACTTAGAAGAAAGACCCTTCCAGAGTTTGACAGTGGGATGGAAAAGCTCTACAGAAGGAGTGGAAGGGAGGTGGAGGGTGCAAGGGAAACCCCCTGTGAACTCAGACAAGTCACTTCCTCTTCCTAGACACCAGATCGTTTTCTGGAAAATAGAGGAATTGAATGAGACAACTGTGTTAAAGCAAACTAAAAATGTCCTGAGAAGGACTCAGTACTTCAGTATTTGAGTCTTTTTGGATGAACAGTAACCTAACTTAATAGGTAGACAAGATTGAAAACCTAACTTAGGAGTATGTGTCTGTAACAATGGCTGAGTGTTGGCCAATCCCAGCAGCCATGCTTCAACCACTCACACATTGCTGAGTGTTCAAACTGTGTTCAAATGAGGCAACGCCAAGCTGTCACCAATCCAGCTGTTTCTGTACCTCACTTCCGGTTTCTGTACATCACTTCACTTCCCTTTGTTTGTCTACAAATTTGTTCTGACCATGAGGCATCCCTGGAGTCTCTCTGAATCTGCTGTGATCCTGAGGGCTGCCCGATTCACAAATCATTCATTGTTCAATTAAACTTCTTTAAATTTAATTCTGCTGAAGTTTTTCTTTTAACAACTGAGATGATGACTGGGGTCCCTCCCCGTCAAAAACCCCCACAATCCCAAGAATTATGATGGCACAAGGAAGAATGCTAGCCATGTTGTAATGTCCCTCACACTCTGTGTGAATTTATTCATTCATGTAACCAGTATCTACTGAGTGTTGACTACACACCAGGCACCAGGCACTATTCCAGGTGCTGGAGATACCACTATGGATAAATCCAAGTCCCTGCCCCATGGAATTGGCATTCTGAGTGGGGAGACAGACAAGAAACTTGATACATAAGTGAAATAAATGTTTTGCATGTTTGATGGCAGTAAAAGGGAGGAGAAAAAAGTAAAGCAGGAAAGAAATGAAATTTTAGAGGAGGGGAGAGTGAGTTAAATGTGATAGAAAAGAAAGTCTTCAAGTTTTTTGAGGAAAGACCTGAGGGGAGAAGGAGAAAAGAGCCAGGTACAGATGAATGGGGGGAAAGTATTCAGGGCAAAAGAAACCAGAAGTGCAAAGGCCCTTGGGCAGCCTCAGGCCTGATGTGCTGCAGCCACAGTGAGGAGGCCCACATGGCCAGGGCAAAGTGATCAGGTGGAGAAGAGAAGGAAGTAAGGTTAAGGTAGAGGAGGAGGAGAACCACATAAAGCCCCAAAGACCACTGCGAGACTCTGGTTTTTACCCTAAATGAGATGGGAAAACACTGGACAGAGGAGTAATGTGATCTGACTCAGGTTTAAACAGGACCACTCCAGCTTCTGTGTTAAGAGAAAGGAGCCATGGGCCCTCATCCATGACCAGGGGCCTGGCACTGGAGACCTCCCGGTGAACCTGGCCAAAGCATATGGCAGGGTTATGGGCTGAGCTGTGTCCTCTCAAAATTCATATGCTGCAGTCCTAAACCCCGGGACTTCAGAATGAGACTGTGTTTGAAGATGAGATTTTTAAAGGGGTAATGAAGGTTAAATGAGGACATTGGGGTGGGCCTTAATCCAATATGACCCATGTCCTTATAAAAAGAGATTAGGACATGAATAAGCATGCACCAATGGAAGACCATGTGGAGATACAGGGAGAAGACAGCTTGGACTGCTCCAACAAAATGTCATAGACCAGGCACTTAACCAACAGGGATTTATTTCTCACAGTTCTGGAAACTGGAAGTCCAGCAGGGTCTGTATCTGGTGAGGGCTCTCTCCTTGGTTTGCAGAAGGCTGCCTTCTGGTTGTGCCTTCACATAGCCCCAGGTGCAGGCAGATGGATGGGGCACATGGCCGGGAGAGAGAGCTCTCTGGTGTCTCTTCCTATAAGGGAGCTAAGCTCATCATGGGGGGCTCCACTCTCATGACCTCTTCTAAACCTAATCACCTCCCAAAGGCCTCATCTCCCAATATCATCACACTGATGGCTAGCGCTTCAACATATGAATTTAGGGGGATGCTATGCAGTCCATGGCCATCTACACACCAAGGAGAGAGGTCTCAGAAGAAACAGCCCTGCTGACACCTTGATCTTGGAACTCCAGCCTCCAGAACTGGGAGGAAATAAACTCCTGCTGTTTCAGCCCCCCACCCTGTGGTGCTTTTTTACAGCAGCCCTGGCAAACTAATACACAGCAGATATACCCTGGGTGTTCATCCAAATGCCCTCTCTACATTGAGAGGACCAGTTTGGCCCATAGGGTCAATGAGGAGAACAGGCCTAGACCCACTTCCTTCAGAGACAGTGGGTATCAAAAGCACGTCGACGGGGCCCGGCGCAGTGGCTCACACCTGTAATCCCAGCAGTTTGCAGGGCCGAGGCAGGCAGATCACCTGAGGTCAGGAGTTTGAGACCAGCCTGGCCAATATGATGAAACGCTGTCTCTACTAAAAATACAAAAATTAGCTGGGTGTGGTGGTGGGCACCTGTAATCCCATCTACTCAGGAGGCTGAGGCAGAAGAATCACTTGAACCAAGGAGGCAGAGGTTGCAGTGAACCAAGATCTCACCACTGCGCTCCAGCCTGGGCAACAGAGTGAGACTCTGTCTCAAAAAAAAAAAAGAGAGAGAGAGAGAGAGAGCAAGTGGAGGGGCCCAGGGGTCCAGGGCAAAATACAGAGTGGAACAGTTTGAAGGCAGAGCAGGTTCAGACCAAGTGAAGACGGTCAGACGATCTTGCCATTTCCATAGATCCTTTACTGGTAGATAAGCCTCGGTGGCAGGGTGGATCAGGCTAACTTAATAGGCATATGTCAGCATACTCTTTCTTGGTGCCGAATCTTAATGTGTTGCCTTTCGCCGTTGTCACAGCAGGAAGGTGGTCAGCCTGAATAGTGCAATGTTTTTTGTACCAAAATCTTTCTCCTCTTGCAAACTCCTGCAAGAAACTCATTTGCAGGTGATGCTGTGGACCTACAGGGATGGGCTCAGAGGAAGTCCATCATGCCATGCTCAGCCAAGAACAAAGCCCCAGAGAGAGGCCATCAGGCATCCCTCCTGGTCTGACACTGGATTTACCATCCAAGCCTTCCTGGGCCTCCCCATACCTTGAGCATCTCTAGGGCTCCAAGATACCTGTGACAACTTCAATACAAGGCAGGGGATGGAGGAAGTGGAGACATGCCCAGCAGGAGCTGGAGTAGCAAGTAGAAGTGTTCCTGATACCCCAAAATAAGACAAGCCTGGCAGGAGTGATGGTTCCCAGCAAAAGCAGAGCACCTTACTGGGGTCACCATTCCACCACAGCTCATCAGTCTTGTAAACAAAGCTGCCTTTGTCAACTTCTCCAAAACTTTCATAAATACCTGCAAGGGACTGGAGTCTTATATAACATGTAATGGCAACAATAAGAAAACATGGCTGATAACTGAATGTGATGCCTTTGTACCTCCAGGATTATGTAGGAAAACTCCTGGGAGAACACCAGTTTACATGGAGTACAGTTATCAGACATCTTCATGCTGTGTCCTATGACCCCACAAAATTAAGCAGCTTGAGTCACTGTGCTTTCCAATAACAGGCCTTGTGCAAATCACTGAATTTCTCTAAGATTCCATTTCCTTATGCCTAAAATAGGTATAATAGGAGTATCTGCTTCATAGGATTGAAAGGATTAAATAAGATGATATACTTGAAGTACATAGTATATTATCTGTCATATGATTTTTAAGCTGTTTTTTTTTTCTTCTTTTTGAGACAGTCTCTCTCTGTCACCCAGGCTGGACTGCAATGATGCCATCAAGGCTCACTGCAGCCTCTACCTCCCGGGCTCAAGCGATCCTCCCACCTCAGACTCCTGAGTAGCTGGGATTATAGGCATGTGCTACCACTCCCAGCTAATTTTTTAATTTTTGGAGAAATGGGACCTCACTCTGCTGCCCAGGCTGGTCTCCAACTCCTGAGTTCAAGTGATCCTCCCTCCTCAGCCTCCCAAAATGCTGGGATTATAGTCATGAGCCACCATGTCCATGTCCAGCCTAATAATTGTTTTTAAGGAGAGGAGACTGGAGTGGATGAGGATGGCCAGGGAGCAGGTGGGACACAGAGCCTGAGCTCTACCAGGGGGCAGGCCAATGAGCCAGTGTTACCTAAACAAGCCAAAGAGGGCCTCTGTATATTGGCCCCTAGGTTGTTGACTTCTTTACAGAAGCTAAGACTTGTTAGCTCAAAAGCCTACTGATAAGAAACTCAAATTTTTACACATTCAGTTGTTTTCAACATAACCCAAATAACCATATCTATAGCCATTTACAGTCTGACTGCTTTGCATGCCCTGCAAAACTGCACCCAGTATCTGCTAGCCATACATAAGATAAACCCCAGGGCTATGAAGACCCCTAGTCACTGCCACCCTTTGGAGGTCTCTGACCCAAAGATTCCCCTCCAGACTGCTGAGAAACTTCATGTAGACATCTAAGACCCCTCTCCAAGTCCCCATTCCTCTGGAAGCTCCCTTGCCCTCATACCCTTCTGAGGAATGACCCTAAACCATAGCCTCTGGGCAAAGTCTCATGCTGCGAGGGACTTCCCCTGCATGCCAGCCTGTCAGGGTGTCACCCGAATAAAGCTTGCATGTGCCACTACCACGTGGCAGTCATATCTTTTTCCTTTCTTGATCAGCCCCAGAATCCCTCAAACTCCCTAAAACCAGGTTCTCAAAGAGTGAAATCTGCACAGGCATGGCCTAAATCCACAATGATATGAGTCTAGGAAGCAGCCAGTTCTCAGAGTTCAACAGGCAGCAGCAGCAAGGCTCAGAGGACCACCCTCCAGCCACAGCCTGACCAGCAACTGGACCATGGAAGGATCCAGCCTCTCAAGAGGAGCTGGCCAATGTCAGGCAGAATGTGTGGACCCCAGACAAATAGAGAACGATGAAAAGAGGGAGAGCAAAGAAGGGGCCATGCATCATGGCTGGAGGAAGGAAGGGATTCACACTCCTCCGCACAGGTACAGTGGCTACAGCAAAGGCTAGGGCAAAGCAGGAGCCTGGGATCTGCCTCATTGCCAGATATGGCTACATATCGGCTGCCTAGAAAGAGGATCTGGGAGGGCAGGGTGCTGCTGCTGGTGCAATGGTGTTGGTGAGGATGATGGTGATGAAATAAAGTTGATGGTGGCAATGATGATGATGGTGATCTTGGTGATGACGCGTGGACATAGTGATAATGGCAATGATGGCCCTGGTGATGATGATCATGATCGTGAAGATGATAATATTGAAAAATAACATGTATTAAGCACTTATCATATACCAGGCACTGGGTTAAGCTGCATTATTTAAGGTGCATCATTTAATTTAATCCTCATAACAACACTATCAGGTTGTTTGTCCTCCCACTTCACATATGGGAAAACTGAGTCCTAGAGAAGTTAACAAACTTGACCAAAGAAATATTGGAATCAGAACTCAATGCCAGGTAGCACCCCCCAATTCCGTACTATTATTCCACACTATCATAGAGAACCAGTGGCCCTCTGAGAGTTAAGACAAAATTTGTTCCATGCCCTATTTTGAAAGTTTCCAAAACCACACAGTCTCCCAGGAAAGAAAAGGAAACATTGAATGTGCAGTATGTAACAGCGCTTCTAACATCAAAGAAGCCTGAAACTCAGAGGCCATATCTCTGTGACCCCTAGAAATCCAGGTGCAAAATGAAAGTTTCAGCCACCTGGGCAGATGTGCAAGTTCTTGGAAGGCAGGGCTGTTACTTCTACACTGTGGGCAACACCCCCAGAATAAGGCTGTATAGAGAGCACGGCATCATTGCTTTGTTGGCACCAGCAAAGAACATGTCAAAGAGGAGCATTAGGAATTTATCCACCCAGGAGTAACGAGCTAAATAGATGCATTTTGAAAAAGTACACTCAGCCAGTGACAGCATCAACCAACCTGTCAGAAGTACAAGCAGATAGAAAATAATTCTAGCTTTCCATTAATGGCAGGGTACTTTGTTTTACTTTCAAATGCCTCAAAAAAAAAAAAAAGCAATCTGCTCAAGGTGGGTGGCAAGCTATGTTTCACACGCTATGGGAAACTATCATGAAAGATGTTCATATCTTCACCAAGAAGTTCCCAGTAAGAACTAAGGAAGAATGCAAAGGCCAGTAAAACCCAGCTCTGAACCACTGCTGCTCAGAGATCTGTGCCTCTTTCTGTAATCTAGACAGATAAAAGGAAAGCCCTCCTTTGTAAAAAGCCCAGTGATGGCAGGAACAGGAAGTGGACATAAAGCTGTGATATAATTTAAAATGGGGCTCTATTCATTTCTATCATTATCCAGTCATTTCCTGATGTTCATCTTGTCTCCTCAATGAGATGAGAAGCTCCTTGAAGCCTAGGATTATACAATTCCTTGCTCTAATTTCCCCGACAGCAAGCAGCACAGAGGTTACACAGCATGGACACCAGTTGTCTATCAAGGAAAATTGATCTTATGCCAGCCCACATTGGGGGCCCCTCAAGTCGCTTGGGACCAGAGACGATCATTATTGACACTATCCTTTTTTCCCATAATGGCAAGCAGATGACTGCCAACTGATATTTTCCCTTAGCAACAATCTCATGATTGGGAGTTCTGTTCTCATCAAGAATTCAGCATCAAATAGTCATAGCCATGACTACAATCACTTAAATAGAACACACATCATTCAAAAGAGTAAAATTATTCCCCAAGCTGCAGAACTTTAGAGCTTGCCTGGAAGGTGCTTTAGTCAGCTCCCTGCACTCCACACAAGCAGAACCAGAAGCCCTGGGCAGGTGAGGGACTCAGAGCCACCCAATGAGTTAGTAGCAGAGCCAGGATCTGACCTCCAGTCTGTGGTGTTCTCTCCCCTACATCTTACTGCACCCCTTTGGCCATCTTATAAAAAGGGGCATAAATATATCATCTTCATGCATTTTATGGAAGGTCTCAAAGTATCCATTTAAAAAGCCCAACTCTACTATATCATAAGGCAGAATCCCCCAAAATAGTTTTCCTAATATTCATCCACCAAATGCTAACAGATGCTGTCCAAGAGACCCGCCCATGTGCTTTTAGCCTTTACTCCCACCCTTCTGTACTGAATTATGGAGGATCTGGGACCCCATAAACTACATTTCCCAGACCCTCTTGCCAGTGGGCTTCCAGTTGGATTATATGAGGGTGGGGAATGGCGAGTGATATGGTGTGGCTATGTCCCCACACAATCTCATCTTGAATTGTACTTCCCATAATCCCTATACATCACAGGAGGGACCCAGTGAGAGGTAATTGAATCATGAGGGTGGTTACCTCCATGCTGTTCTCATGACAGTGAGTTCTCAAGAGATCTGATGGTTTTATAAGGGGCTTTTCCCCCTTTGCTCAGCACTTCTCCTTCCTGCCATCCTGTGAAGAAGGACATGTTTGCTTCCCCTTCCATCATGATTGTAAGTTTCCTGAGGCCTCTCAGCCATGCAGAACTGTGAGTCAATTAAACCTCTTTCCTTTATAAACTACCAAGTGTCAGGAAGTTCTTTATAGCAGCATGAGAATGGACTAATATGATGGGTGATTAGATGGTAGGATGGATTAATTTTCTATTGTGCTGGAACAATCTACCACAAACTCAGTGGCTTAAAACAACATGTAGTTATTATCTCACTGTTCTGTAGAAGTCCAGTGGGCTCAGTTGGGTACTCAGCTTTGGGTCTCACACGGCCAAAATCAAGGTGTTGGACAGCCTGGGCTCCCACCTGAAGGCTCTGTGGGAGAATCTACTTCCACCTCTTCTGGTAGGTTGTGGGCAGAATTCAGTTTCCTGAGGTTATAGGACTGAGGTCCCTGAATTTACTTGCTGCTGTCAGCTGGTGATTCTTCTCAGCTTCTAGAGGCTGCCCACTTTCCATGGCTCATGGCCCCTTCCTCTGTCTTTGAAGCCAGCTATGGCATATTGAATCCTGTTATGCTGTGAACCTCTCTGACTCCCTGCTCTGCTTTGCTTTTTCACTTTGAAGGGCTCGTATGATTACGTATGTTGTGCCCACACCAGATCAGCCAGGATATTCTCCCAATCATAAGGCCAGTTGACTAGTGACCTTAATTACATCTGCAAGGCCCTTTTCTCCAAGTAGCATGATGTATTCATGGTCATAATACCAGAGGGCAGAGATCATGGGGGCCAAAACTCTGCCTACCACAGACAGCAACACCCCTCCAGGAGTAGCAGAGGGCTGTGGGGTCCAGGGGCCTCCCATAGATCCAGGACACATTGCTCAAGCCTCTTTCTGCATCCCAGCACTAGGCTTAGCACCTCCCCAGTTGCCCCACCATCTGCTGGGTCCCACCACACTCTGCATCTCTCTTTTTGGTCTCAGCACCCTGTGAATTACCCCCAGGATTGCAGAAACAAGTGTGTTTCCAGGTTCTGTAACTCCATGTCCACGCTTTGGCTACTTACTGTCATTGTGAATCTCTAGATCACACCAACTTTTTAAACTAGATCTCTGTCTTCAATCTGAATTTCTTAGAAGCCTTCTATTTTCCTGAGCAGATTCTGACCAGTGGAGCTACCCTATGAAGGAAGGGCCCTGCAGCCTTGGGAAACAAAAGGTCAACCAAAGTTAAGCAGTTTTCCTTCCTGCGGAACTTCTCAGAGCATTGAATATATGAAGGGGCATTGTGGATATCGAAGAGGGGGATCAAGCAGGAAGCATCACTATTTCCAAACATTGTTTCTCAAAGCAGCCCTTGTTTTGTAGAGCATCTTGTGGACCTGGTGTTCACAGAACTTTAAGAGATACTGTCACCATTTAAATCCTCTCAAGTTATCACATAAGCTCTAATCAGCACTAAACATTTGATTAACAAAAATTGTACCTATGTTTATGGAATTTAGAATAGCATCTGGGAGTTGATTCTGATGGCTAGGAAAGTTAAAACTGATATAATAAACTTATTTTTGCAAACAGTTTCCAACAGCTACCTTTCTACCAGGTGTGGAAGGTCCCTCCAAAGAACTGTCTTCTCAAAAATAATGATTAGTGAAGGGGCTTAACCAGGTAAAGGCCAGGTTTCCTTCTAGTTATTGCTTTTAGGAGGCTTAACTGTGAATGTGTACACAGCAGGTTTCCTTCCATGCTCTTTGCTTGCTCCTTCCTCTGTGGTTTTTCTTCTCCTCCCTAGCCCCACCCTGTTGGCTGCTTGGGCTCCCCCTCTCCCTCACCCAGGGAAAGCAGGTAGAGATGACATCGAGGCCAACCCCAAAGGAGAAACAGATCAAAAGAGTCACAAAGGGCCCCACAGCAGGACAAGGGTTAAAAAATCTACTCCCCTCTTGATGAATTCTTATACAGTCATTAAAAATGATAATTACGATGACTTTGCAGCAACATGAAAAAATGCTTATGATATAATTAATGCTAAGTGGAAAATGCAGAACACAAAATGATAGCTACACTATGATTAAAACTCTTTAAATTATATGTTCATGGGGACAAAACTGGAAGGGAACATGGGAAAAAATCAACATAGTTTAATTTGTCAGGGATGATAGTGGTGTCATGAGTGAATTTTTCCTCTCGTTATATTTGGTTAATGATTATATAATGCTGAGCAAATTTTTACACACTAAAATAAAGAACAGCCTTAAGAATGTGTGGAAGTGAGAGAGGATAGTCATTCATCCTCATTTTCCTGAGGGTGAGAAAGTGGGATCTATAAATTAGGATAGGAATAGTCAAGCTGTTTTTTATCTCAAAATGCAATGTGGTTTTTGCTGCTTAGAAGATAATGCATCATGCATCTGAGTGGCCAACTATGCCCTATTTGGGGAAGACAAGACTTATGTTACTGTATTAGTCCATTCTCACACGCTATAAGGACATACCCAAGACTGGGTAATTTAAAAAGGAAAGAGTTTTAATTGATTCAAAATTCCATAGGGCTGAGGAAACCTCAGGAAACTTACAGTCATGGCAGAGAGGAAGCAAACATGTCCTTCTTCACATCGCGGCAGCAAGGAGAAGTGCAGAGCAAAATGGGGGAAAGCCCCTTATAAAACCATCAGCTCTTGTGAGAACTCACTCACTATCATGAGAACAGGATGGGAGAAACCACCCCCATGATTCAGTTATCTCCATCTCCACCTGGTCCCTCCTACAACACATGGAGATTATGGGAACAACAATTCAAGATGAGATTTGGGTGGGGACACAGGCAAACCATATCAGTTACTGAAGGTTTTGGGCTCTGTCTTAGTTCATCCAGGTTACTATCACCAAAACACCATAAACCGAGTGGCTTATAAGCAGCAAACATTTCTCACAGTTCTGGAGGCTAGGAAGTCCAAGGTCAAGGTGCCAACAGATTTGGTATCTGGTGATGGACCACTTTCTATCTTATAGGTGGCACCATCATGCTGTGTCCTCATATGGTAGAAGGGACAAGGAATCTCTCTGGGGTCTCTTTTATAGGACATTAATTCTATTCATAAGGGCACAGCCTACCAAGATACCTCACCTTCTAACACCATCACCTTGGGGTTAGGATTTTAACATATGAATTTGAAGGTGGGGAGCATAAACACTCCGTTTGTAGGCCCTAATCTAAAGGGTGACTACATCCTCATTAATTGTGGCAGGAAAACAAGAAGAGATCAGAGCTTTTAGCTGGGTGTGGATGGGAACTGAGAAAACTGAGAAGAAGGACTAGTAGGGAGGACCCTGAATAGAGCCCATTTACCCAAGGTCACATCCCAGAATGTTGTCTATGAGGGTTTATAGCAAGAAGATGGCAATGGAAGAAACGCACCAGCCAAAGGCCCAGGGTATCTTACTGGCAGGCCAGCCCCACTTTGTGTATGAGGCACTTGTACCCCTTCCCTCAGAGCACCTACATCCAGTGGTCCAGCAATGGCATGAAAAGACACAGTACCCTGCCTGAGCTATGGTTCTTAGGACTGGTGAGCCCAGAGAGACCTTGTGGACTAGCCAGGTGGTGGAGTGACTCCAGGGAGCACGCTGAACACATAGAACATTTGAAGCTGGGTGGACAGGAGAACAGGCTGGAAGAGGGGCTGTTGAGAGTGTTTCTGTTCAGGGAGGCAAGATGAACATGTGACAGTGAGCAGGGTTCCCCTAATGACATTTTGGCCAAGAAAGCAGCCTGGAGGTACTCGGCCGGGAATTCATTGCGGAGAGTGGGACTCTGGGGTGCTCAGAGTCAGGCAGTATGGAGGGAGGGTAAAGGAGGTGGGCTTATTCCAGGCCATTGGGAGGCTGGCCAAGAATGAGAAGTGTGGCAGGCCCTAGGAGGAGGAAGTGCTTGGCAGCCAGCAGAGCATGAATTGGAAAGACTCCTGGACTACCAAGCACTATGGAGGTTGTATTGGTCCATTCTCACGCTGTTAATAAAGACATACCCAAGATTGGGTAATTTATAAAGGAAAGAGGTTTAATTGACTCACAGTTCTGCAAGACTGGAGAGGCTTCAGGAAACTTACAATCATGGAAGAAAGGGAAGCAACATGTCCTTCTTCACATGGCAGCAGCAAGGAGAAGTGCAGAGAAAAGGAGGGGAAAAAGCCCCTTATAAAACGATCATCTTGTGAGAACTCACTCGCAATCATAAGAACAGCAGCATGGGGGTAACTGCCACCATGATTTAATTACCTTCCACTAGCTTCCTCCCATGACATGTGAGGATTATGGGAATTACAATTCAAGACAAGATTTGGATGGGGACACAGCCAAACCATATCAGAAGTCAAGAAGAGAAGCTGAGGTCTGGACAAGCCCAATTCCCAGGCATCTGATGGCTCTCTGGCGCAATGTTGTCTTGAGCTTCCCACTCCCACCTGCAGCAGAGGTGCTAGTCAGATGCTAAACTTGATCTCAAGAAAGGATCCCAGCTCTCAAATACCTGTCAAGTGTGTGCATACTTGTCAGGTGTACCCAGAGCCTGAGCTACCAGCAATGTCTGAGTTCAAAAGGGTGAGTAATGAAAGTGGTGTGAAGAAGGCACGCAGCAGGCTGAAGAATGGGCCCCCAAAGATGTCCACCACCTAATCCCAGGAAACATACATGGCAAAAGGGACTTTGAAGATGTAATTAAGGCCATAGACATTGAAATGGAGAGACTGTCCTGGATTATCTACTTGGCCCAGTGTAATCACAGTGTCCTTATAAGAGTGAGGCAAGAGGGGTGAGAGTCAAATAAGGAGATGTGACAATAGAAACAGAAGTTAGAGCCATGTGGGCCCACAACCAGCCTCTAAAAAGCTGGAAAAGGCAAGAAAATGAATTCTCCCTAGAGCCTTAAGAAGCAACACAACCCTGCCAACATCTTGATTTAAGCCCAAGAAAACTGATTTTGGAATTCTGACCCATAGAACTGTAAGATTATAAATTTGTGCTGTATTAAGCAACTATATTTGTGGTTCTTTGTTAGAGCAACTATAAGAAAGTAATGTGTGGAAATTAAAAACAAAAGCTGCTTTTGTGGTTACATACATTTAAAATTATCATAATGTTTATATTTGTCAACTTCTTATAACTCACAGTTTTTGTTATATCCTTTCCTTCTTAAAATATTTATTTTCCTACCTACTTCTATATCCATAATGTCTATATTATTTTTCTTAAAGAACCCACTAAATGTATCAGTTTTGAGTCCCCAGAAAAACTGGATCCACTAAAATGGATTATTAAATCTTGGCTATTGCAAATAGTGCTGCAATAAACATGGGAGTACAGGTATCTCTTCAAAAAAAAAAAAATGCCCCAGGAAGGCAGCAAGTAGAGAGCTTTAAACCACAGCTGCAGCTGCTTCAGGGCTGGGGCACTTGATAGTGTCAGGCAGTGATTTTGCACATAGCAATGTGGACTTCTGAGTAACAGGAGACAGACTTCCAGGAAGCACTCAGATCGTCGGGTATTTGTTTCTGCCTTATACAAGTTAAAATATACCAGACCTAACATTATGTACCTGACACACACTTCCTCATTTAATTCTCAGAACAACTCTATGATGCAGGCACTATTGGCATCCCCATTTCACAGAGCTAGAAACTGAGGCTCAAGTAGGTGAGGTTATGCACCCAAGCAAAAGAGCTGGGATTTGAAACTAGTCAGCCTAACCCCAGAGCCTACACTCAGAACCACTACATTATATTGTGTGATAAAAAGAAAAGAGTGCTAACTCTACCGTCTGCCCCACACAGCATGAGCAGGCTGTCCAGAAAGTGGAAGCAGAGAACATGTATTCTGTGGAGAGAGCTGTCCCTCTTAATTAACTATGTGGAGTGTGTTTGTGCAGTAGCAAGTGGGCCCAGAAAGGGCTGGCTTTAGGCACAGAAGACAAACTTTGCATGTTCTCACTGGTTTGTGGGAGCTAAAAATTAAAACAATTGAACTCATGGAGATAGACGGTGGAGTGATGGTTATTAGAGGCTGGGAAGGGTAGCAGGAAAGTAGGAAGTGGGAGTGGTTAATGGGCATACAAATGTAGTTAGATAGAATGAACAAGATTTAGTATTTGATAGCACAACAGTGTGACCACAGTCAACAGTCATTTGTTGTATATTTTAAAATAACTAAAAGATTATAGCAGGAATGTTTATAACCTAAAGAAATGATAAGTGCTTGAGATGATGGATAACCCATTACCCTGATGTGATTATTACACATTGTTCACCTGACTCAAATATCTCATGTACCCCAGAAATATGTATACCTACCACGTACGCAGAAATTTTTTCTTAATTTAAAAAAAAAAAACAGCTCTCCCTCTCCCTCTCCCCCTCCCCCTCTCTGCACGGTCTCCCTCTGATGCCGAGCCGAGGCTGGACTGTACTGCCGCCATCTCGACTCACTGCAACCTCCCTGCCTGATTCTCTTGCCTCAGCCTGCCCAGTGCCTGCGATTGCAGGCACGCGCCGCCAAGCCTGACTGGTTTTCGTATCTTTTGGTGGAGACGGGGTTTCGTAGTGTTGGCCGGGCTGGTCTCCAGCTCCTGATGGCGAGTGATCTGCCAGCCTCGGCCTCCTGAGGTGCGGGGATTGCAGACGGAGTCTCTCTCGCTCAGTGCTCAATGTTGCCCAGGCTGGAGTGCAGCGGCCTGATCTCAGCTCGTTAAAACCTCCACCTCCCAGCCGCCTGCCTTGGCCTCCCAAAGTGCCGAGATTGCAGCCTCTGCCCAGCCGCCACCCCGTCTAGGAAGTGAGGAGCGTCTCTGCCTGGCCGCCCATCATCTGGGATGTGAGGAGCCCCTCTGCCCGGCCGCCCAGTCTGGGAAGTAAGGAGCGCCTCTTCCCAGCCGGCCGTCATCCCATCTAGGAAGTGAGGAGCGTCTCTGCCCGGCCACCCATCGTCTGGGATGTGGGGAGCGCCTCTGCCCCGCCGCCCAGTCTGAGATGTGAAGAGCGCCTCTGCCCGGCCGCGACCCGGTCTGGGAACTGAGGAGTGTCTCTGCCCGGCCGCCACCCTGTCTAGGAGGTGAGGAGCGTCTCTGACCGGCCGCCCTGTCTGAGAAGTGAGGAGCCCCTCCGCCCGGCAGCCGCCCCGTCTGGGAAGTGAGGAGCGTCTCCGCCCTGCAGCCGCCCGTCCGGGAGGTGGGGAGCAGCCCCTGCCCGGCCAGCCGCCCCGTCAGGGAGGTGGGGGGCCGCCCCGTCCGGGAGGTGGGGGCCGCCTCTGCCCGGCCACCCCGTCTGGGAAGTGAGGAGCCCCTCTGCCCAGCCGCCGCCCCATCTGGGAGGTGTACCCAACAGCTCATTGAGAACGGGCCATGATGACGATGGCAGTTTTATCAAATAGAAAAGGGGGAAATGTGGGGAAAAGAAAGAGATCAGATTGTTACTATGTCTGTGTAGAAAGAAGTAGACATAGGAGACTTCATTTTGTTCTGTACTAAGAAAAATTCTTCTGCCTTGGGATGCTGTTAATCTATAACCTTACCCCCAACCCGGTGCTCTCTGAAACATGTGCTGTGTCCACTAAGGGTTAAATGGATTAAGGGTGGTGCAAGATGTGCTTTGTTAAACAGATGCTTGAAGGCAGCATGCTCCTTAAGAGTCATCACCACTCCCTAATCTCAAGTACCCAGGGACACAAACACTGCGGAAGGCGGCAGGGCCCTCTGCCTAGGAAAACCAGAGACCTTTGTTCATATGTTTATCTGCTGACCTTCCCTCCACTGTTGTCCTATGACCCTGCCAAATCCCCCTCTCCAAGAAACACCCAAGAATGATCAATAAATACTAAAAAAAATTAATAAAAATAAAAATAAAAAAATAAAAAGAAAATAAATTTTTTAAAAAAAGGGCTGACTTTCTAGAACTCCAAATAATAAACCTCGTACAACCTAGGCAAGACATTCTCTGGACTTTGAAGTCTTACCCTGGTGATCTAAATGTCCAAGAATAAAAGGGATTGACTGAATAAATTATAGCTCATCAATACAATAAAACATTAGGCAGCTTTTTAAAACGATGGTATAGATGATGTAGATCTATATGTATTGACATAGAGAGATGTTCCTAATACATCATTAAGTTTAAAAAGCAAGCGCTAAACTGTCCGCAGCAGGAACACCCACACACAGAGAGAGAGAAAAGGTCTGGAAATACATATACAGAAAGCGTTCACAGTGATTATCTCTGAGGAATAAGAAAACAGGTGATTTCATTTTTTTTCTTCCTGCTTGCTTATCTTTTTTCTCAATTTTCTACAATAAAAAGAAATTGCTGGAATACTCTTTAAATGTGGGAAAACTGAACATTGGTAGTTAACGAGCAAGGAACATGCAATGATAAAAAATGTTTTGAAGCATCCAATAAGCAAACCAAACACTGATAAATTTACATAAATTTCATCCTTACTACCACTCAGCCAGGTAAGGATGGGAGTTCCCATTGTTCCAGATTTTTTTTTTTTAATTGAAGCTCAGAGAGATTAAGTAATTTTCCCCAAAATCACCCAATCTGAAAGCAGTAGGCTGGGATTTAACCCACATCTGTCTGGCTCCAAAGACGATGCTCTCTCTATTACAAGACTCTAATATTTGAGCTCCAGTACCATGTGGGTTTCAAACAAGAAGGAATGTTAGAGGGACTCTAAGTGGACCAGAGGACATTGAGAGAAAATAAGGAGAGGATTGGGAAGGCCAAGAGTTCACGAATACCCTGGAGCAAGGTCTCTCAACCTCAGCACTTCTGATGTTTTGGGCACAATAATTCTTTGTTGCAGGTGAAGGGGAGAGGTCTGTGCATTGCAGGATAGTTGGAAGCATCCCTGGTCTTTCCCCACAGATGCAGTAGCAAGCCACCTAGCTGTGATCACCAAAAATGTCTCCAAACATTGCCAAATATCCCCTGGAGAGCCAAATCACTCCTGGCTGAGGGCCACTGCTCTAGAGAATTGCTACCACCAGAATGACATGGCAGTGGCCCTGGAATGCTGTTTGTTACTTACTATTCACATTCAGGCTTAAGCCAACCATATAGTACACTCCACAATGTTAGCTCTGTCCTCCTCAGCTAATCCTTTAGTCCTTATATATTCTGAGCTCAAACAACTCCTTCAGGCATTGTTCAAAACAAATGTCCTAATTGGTGAGCTCCAAGTGACATTGTGGCTATTGTCCTAATCTCCAGAAAGGACAGAAAATTAAGTTAGACCATTCCAAGAACAACCCCTTGAATGGGCCTTTTGCCACCCTTCTGTGGGGGTTCATCCATGCCCCTGCATTCCCTGAATTAAAAGTAAGAGAAGCTGTTTTTTTCTTGTAAATACCAAGCTGTGCAGTCATTACAAGCTTGCTTGGAGATAATCAGGGCTGACACTTGCTGTACGTGCAGGGTTTATTGGAGACCACCCACAAAGTCAACTCAATGCAAAATGACACTACTAAGTAATCTAATCCCAAAATGTAGATTTCATTCCAACAAATTGCACACAAGTGGTCTCCTGCTGGTTTAACTGTTGCCTGGAAAGGCAAACCCAACTGCATCCGTGGCAAATATATTAGCACAAAGCATCCAACCATAAACAGAGAACGAAAATGCCATGTCTGGGACTGTAAACACTGAATATCGCAGAGAGACATGAACTCCTTTATACTGAGTTAAAATATGATTAGAAGATAAGTTTGAATACCCCACCTTTGTCCTAACTCATTCCCCCTTTGAATCAAAGACCAAAAACAGTAACCAAAAGATGAAGCAATTAAGTATATTTCTCTTTGCATCAAAAACTCTTGCATACTGCTTCCTGAAGGGTCTCGTGTTTTGAGATTAACCAAAATTTTAGGGCACCAGCACCATGATTTTATCCTTACGTGGTAAGTATGTATCTACAGCTTCGAAACACACAGTCCCCACCCTCCAATAGAAAGGGCATTTTGACCAGGCAGTGGCTCATGCCTATAACCCCAGCACTTTGGGAGGCTGAGGCAGGAGTTTTGCTTGAGCCCAGGAGTTCAAGACCACCCTGGGCAACACAGCAGGACCCTGTCTCTACAAAAAAAAAATTAAAAATTAGCTGAGGCCGGGCATTGTGGCTCACACCTGTAATCCCAACACTTTAGGAGGCTGAGGTGGGCAGATCACTTGAGGCCAGGAATTCAAGACCTGCCTGGCCAACATGGCATTTCTACTAAAAATACAAAAATTAGCCAGACATGGTGGTGCACACCTGCAGTCCCAGCTACTCGAGAGGCTGAGGCACAAGAATCACTTGAACCCGGGAAGCAGAGGTTGCAGTGAGCCGAGATTGCACCACTGCACTCCAGCCTGGGCAACAAAGCAAGACCCCGTGTCAAAAAAAAAAAAAAAAAAGAAGGAAGGGAAGGGAAGGGAAGGGAGGGGAGGGGAGGGGAGGGGAGGGCAGGGAAAGGAAGGGAAAGAAAGGAAAGGAAAGGAAAGGGCAGGGCAGGGCATTCTATTAAAATATTCAAAGAAAAAAATCAGGTGTACAGTTGGCCTTCTGTATCCATGTGTTCCCATAATAGTGGATTCAACTAATTGTGGATTGAAAATATTTGGAAAAAATAAAAAATGACAATACAACAATAAAAAAATACAAAACAACAATATAGTATAACAATTATGTGTATAGCATTTACATTGTATCAGGTATTGTAAGTAACCTAGAGATGGTTTAAAGTATACAGGAGGATGTGTGTAGGTTATATGCAAATACTAGGCCATTTTATATAAGGGACTTGAGCACCTGTGGATTTTGATATCTAAGGGGGCTCCTGGAACCAATCCCCCAAGGATACCTACAGAATACTGTATAAATAAAGAATTGATGAGACCAGAGGATTTTTTTTAATGTCTCATAGGATAGAGTTTGGCCACAAATTCAGTGTAAGCCAACAATTTGACAAGGTTCCCTAAAAGGTCAATACCATCTTAGTATGCATTAATAGAGTTTACCTCTTGACTTAAAGGAGATAACAGTCTTTGCTCAAGTGATCTGGCCACATGTACAGAACAGGTATTCTAAGACTGACATTAGGGTGGACATCTGTGGTGTTTGGGCCCTTGGCATCCTTTCGGGTAATAGAGTACCTTAGGGTGGTGCCATCTTTGAGTAGTAAAGTCTGTCCCAGGTGCCATGAGATAGGACTCTCAAGTTTGTGCCTAACTCAGGTCCCCACCAATTCATCACCCTGAAGGCAGGAGCTGTACCTTAGCTCTCTTCTGCCTCCCCTCACAGCACTGAAAACAGTGCCAGGCACATTGTGGGCACTCAACAAATGCCTGATGGATTTTCAGGGAAATCTGCACTGAGGTTATTTCTACATTAAGAAGCTAAGAGGAAAGAAAAATGACTATACCATTTAGACCAGTGACTTCCAAACTGTGAGTCACAACTCATTAAGTTTAAGTAGTTTAGTAAGTCCATAACCAATATTTTTGTCCTGAGAAAATGAAAACAAAATGTGTCTATGAAGAAGAAATCTTCAGGGTGCTCCTCCCCTGTTTTGTAGAGCTACATTAGCAACCCCTGAAATCCAAGTCTCCACCCACTATGTACCTGCACCCACAACTGAACATGGCTGAAGTCATACAACCACACCCACTGGTCTTCCTGTAATTTGCTTCCATGATCTTGACTGGGTCCATATGCTGGTCATTGTACTTCATCCTGGGCCTGCTACCTTCCAAGACAACCACCATCTCCCATCCTCCAGGTCCTCTTCTCCCATTCTCTCTCTCAGCACCTCACCTGGCTTCCTACCTCACTGAGAAGATAGAAGTTCTTAGAAAAGAACTGCCACAGTCTCCCACCCCACTTCTGCCACCCACCAGCATCTGTTCCCATCGACTCTATCTTCCCCCCTTCCTATGGAGAGACCATCCTTGCTGCTGAAGAAGGTCGGCCTCTTCACCTATACACTGGATTCCACCTGCTCCCACTCAAGGACATGACCCCAGCAACCTTCCTCCTCTCTTACATTATCAAAATTTTCCTGCTCTAGCAGATTATTCCCCTTGGCAAGTTATTTCTCCCACCTAAAACAAAAACAAACCTTTTCTCACTCTACTTTCCCTCCAATTACCACTCCATTTGTCTGCTCCCCCATATGATAAAACTCCTTGCAAGAGTTGTCAATACTGCTTTGCCAAATCCTCTTTTCTCATTTCTCTTTTATATTCCCTTCAGTCAGGTGATTACCCCCATCACTCCACCAGAATTACTCTTGGCAAAGTCACCAGAAACATCCACACAGCTACAACCAACTCCTAATGCTCCGTGTTCATCCTATATATCACTGGACATGGTTGCTCTCTTCCTTCTCCTTGAAACGCTTGCATCACTTGGTTTTCAGGCTACCATACTCTTCCAGCTTTCCTTCTTATCTCATGGCCATTCCTTCTCATTCTCATTTATGGACTCCTCCTGAGTCCATATTAGAGCCTCCTGATCTCCCCAACCTCCTCATTCTGGAGGGCCCATGGCTCAGCATTTGGGTCTTCACTGCATTCCCCACTCCCCTGGTGTTCTCATCCAGTTCCTTGGTTTTAAATTCCATATGTCCACTGATGATTCTCAAATTTCTATCTCCAGCTAGAACCTCTGTCTCAACTCCAGACTCATATATCCAATGTCTTCTCATCCTTCCCAACCTGTGTAAACATCCTGATACTCTCCACCCCAAAATCTGTTCCTCTGTAAAGCCTTTCCCAACCCAACTGCTGGAAACTCAGCCCTTCCTGCTGCTCAAGCCCCAAACCTCAAATGCATTCTTTCCTCCTTTCTTTCACACTCTGATTCTAATCAGAACATTCTATTTGGCTCTGTCTTCAAAATATAACCAGAATCCAACAACTTCTCACTACCTTCAGCAATACTCCCATACTCTAAGTCACCATCATTTTTTTACTTTGATTATGTTACCTTGCTCCCTTACTGTCTATCCTCAACACAGCAGTCAGAGTAAATCTATTAAAACACATCAGATCAAGTCACCCCTCTGCTCAAAACCTCCGGTGGCTTCCAGCACACTCACTTCTATGCAAAATCTTAACAGGATGCTTTTAAGTCTCATCAATCCTGCCCTCTTCTGCCATGAGGGCTACAGAGATGCCACTTGCTCGCAGCTCAATGAATAGATGTCATTGACATGGACAATCTGTTTATTAGGAACTGTTATAGCCAGCTAATCATTTCATTCATAAACCACCAACTAGCCCTCATCCTGGAATTCTTTTGACTAATTCAAGTCAGGTGTGATCCTGTGACCTCCAGGTGAGCAGTGGGGTATCCTGTTTGCCACCCCCGGAGCCATCCATTCATCTGGCTTTAGAGTCCTGATGTTTCATGATATTCGCTTCCCTGAAAAATCTCCAGTCACCCAACTCCATGCAGGTGCATGCCTAAAATCTGTAGCTGCAGCAGCTCCTGCTGGTATCGGTGCAGCTGTTTCTTTTCATGAGCCTCTTTTGTGCACTGATGTAACTGAAAAAAGAGGGGGAGTGTATTGAATTTCAGGAGATAAACCAGCTGGCTTAAGACAGAAGAGGAAGAAAAAGATGACACGGTCAATGGGACACTTTTCATGAGAACATATTTCCAGAAATCCAGGTCCATGTGGGGTATTGCACAGTGTTAATCTTGCCCCTGAGATATGGATTAGGGAGATTCTGCCCATAAAGATGCATGCTTTTCAAATATTCCTCCGAGTCTGGAATGTAGAGACAGCTTAGGAGCTCAGAATCTGAACATTGTCACTGTAGCCTGCTCTCCAGTTTCAAATTCACTTTGCTTTCTTTCCTGTTTTAATTTTTATTTTTTCCAGGTGTGGAGATTGGTTAAGCGGCCACAACATACTCTTATTTAACAACATCAGTGCCGACTGCTTGAGGACTCAGTTAGCTAAATTGGCACTGGGGCCGACATGTGACTTTTTGACCCTACAATTGCAAGTATGGAGCTGTTTGTTTTTTCAGAAGTGTCTAAAACATGTGGAACAGGTATAAAGTTTCCACATGAGCCAACTTCTTTGGTTTGCTCTGATTTAAACAAACTGCTTCCCACAGCTGTGCCAAGAATATTCTTTCCAGTCTCATCTTTTTGAGCAACTCCAAGCTCAGAGCTTTCCAAAATGGAATTTTACCATGTCTCAGATGTGGCAAAATCTTAAACCAACACTTCTCCATGCCAGAATAATAGCAACCTAGCTCAGGAAGAAATCAAAGCTGCATTTCTATTAAACAAGATTATTAACATGGTAGAAAAGAGGAGACTATTTTGTTAATGATCAAATATACAGGCTTCAGCCAACTAAAGCTTTGAAGCAAATAATTGTAGATAGAATCCCTCACTGGAGCTAATCATTACAGCAAATGACATTTGAAATCTTCTTTCCTACTAACTATAGGAATTGAACACTAAAACAAGTTGCCAGCACAGCATTTGATCTTCTGAGCTCAAAGTGCACTTGCTCCAAATTGCAGAGCCTTGAACTCAGTTGGGACAATGCCTTCTTCTGCCCAAATGAGCTAAAAATAAGTTGCAGTGAAACTTACTAATCTAGTGTATGCTAGTGACAAAAACTGAGTCCTGGCAAAGCTGCAGGGAATAGAGTTGAGTGCTGGCATAAAGCAAGCTCCAAATAGCTTGTCTCACTTCTTGTCTGGAATTACCTGCCCATTCCTTGAGCCAGTCGGCCCAAGTGGCTTACATGAGCTAACCAAGAAATCAAGGCTTCTGTGGGTCAGTTAGCTCTGCTGGGGTTTTCAGTCCAAGACTGCACCCCTCACTTGGTCATTCACCCATTTAAAATGCAAGCTCCTTCTCCCCTGGGAGCAACCAGCCTGCGGAGGGTGAGGGAAAAAATTCTCTACCTTCGCTAAAACAGCTCATGGGTTTTTGCAAGTGATAGACTGGGATCTTGTCATATCAAAAATGGAAAGAAGACAAGGCTACTGTGGATTCTAGGTTGGTGAATAGAATATGGAGTGAATATCCCATTCAAAAGAGGCCCTATTTTTCAAATTTAATATAATAAGTATGCATATATACCTAAGAATTATTCATGTTTAATGTCATAGTAATAAACCCTGGCATTTTTATAGTACTTTAAAATTTACAAAACACATTCACACATGTCAATATTTCTTAATCCTATTAGATGGTAAAGTAGGCATTATTACCCTACCTTATAGATTAAAAAAAAAAAAAAAGCTGAAGCTCAAAGAGATCAAGTTATTTGCCCAACATCATTCTGTGATTCTGTGAAGCAATTAGAGAACTCCCAAGTCCCATCCGGACTTCCTAACTCCCAGGTGCTCACCTTGACACATACTGTTTCCTGGATGAATAGATTTTCACACCTGGCCCTAGAGAGATATCAAAAAGTTCAAAGCTGCAACTCTGATCAATCTCATGTGTGCAGATAAAATGGAACACATTTATCTGTAAGGGGAAGAAATATGGATTTTCCCTCCCTTATCCCCCACCGTAACTAAGTACAACTGTGTCCACGCGTATATGACCAAAAGAACTAAACTGTCCATTACACTGGTCCTTCTCACCAGCCACTTAAGGATCACTTAAGAGCTAAACAATTACTGTGACCCTTCCTCCCTCATCCAAATGCCATGTGCACTCCCTGGAGTAGAAGCCCCTCGGCCAGGTACAGTGGCTCACGCCTGTAATCCCAGCACTTTGGGAGGCCAAAGTGGGTGGATTGTGAGGTCAGGAGTTTGAGACCAGCCTGGCCAATGTGGTGAAACCCCGTCTCTACTGAAAATACAAAAATTAGCTGGGCGTGATGGCATACACCGGTAGTCCCAGCTGCTCGGGAGGCTGAGGCAGGAGAATTGCTCGAACCCACGAGGTGGAGGTTGCAGTGAGCCAAGATCGCGCCGTTGCACTCCAGCCTGGGCGACAGAGCAAGACTCTGTCAAAAAAAAAAAAAAAAAAAAAAGAAGCCCCTTATGGGAAGGGACTCATGATGGTCTGCTGTGCCTAGGAAAGCTCATTTCACTTAGCAACAGTTCATTAAATGTTTGCTTTTTATTAGTCTGGAAAAGTAAGAGTCCATCAGGCTGGAGCAAGCAGCCTGGCATAGACCACCTTGCATCCTCCCTAATGATGCTCACTCTCCTCTGATACAGCATGAGAGATGGGACCTCATGGCAACAGGAACAAAAACAATAGTCCATGTTCAACACAGCCTCTAGGTTTTGAAACTACCTATTATTTCCTGTTTAAGGGATTTCATACACATAATACTCTTCCTACTGAACACAGTATTGTATAAAGAAAACAAGTCTTAGACTCTACCCCAGAGAGTAAATTAAAGGAGGTTGCTCATCTCTAAGGCAGCTCCATGATGTGAACAGGCAGGGAAGCATAGCACCTGTTCAGAACACTGAGAGATTATGGGTAGACAGGGCACACAGCCATAAGCTACAAACCAGGGTTAGGTGGAATAAGGAATATTAGAATATGGACTCTGCCTTGTCCTGTCCAAGCAGACATCATCAGTGGATCACAGCACCCTTTAATCCAGTGAAAAATTCTGATCCTCCACGCTGGATACCACGCTTCACGCAGCCACCACCCCTCACTTGGGATCACAAGCAAAATGCCACCTATTTGCCAACCTTGTGTTTAAGGCCATTTCCTCTTACCAGAAGTCTGTTTCACATGTTAGGCATAAATCTGGGTGCTTCTTCATATTCCTCTGAGTTCAAGATTCCTGATTTCAGACTAACAGTCCAATTTGATGGCCTGGACTCTTGACCTCAATTCTTGGTTGCTCTCTGCCTCTTCTCAATTGCCAGTCCCCCAAACCCCCTCCTACCAACCAGGGATTCTGACCCAGCCTTGGTGACCTGCCCCAACTCCTGATTCCTCCTGGCAGCCTTCTTGTCATTCTTCCCCCTGATTTAACTCCCCATCACTGGAGCTCAGCAGGAAGTACCTTGACCAGCTCAAGACTACCCTCTATGCATGCATAATGGCACAAGGGCACTGAAGAACTGAGATAGGCAGGGAAAAAGTAGGAGAATTCAAGAGTCATCAAGGAGAAAGGGAGAAGCCTTAGCTGATTGTTCACAGTCGCCCTCCATGTGGAGTATATCTGAAGGTGGGGCCCAGCCTTCACATATCCCGTCAGAGAAAGTGAAAGATTCCAGTCCTGGATTTTTCTGCTTTACGGTGAAGTTTCTGCCTTCAAGGTAAGGAGCAGATGTTTTCTAAGCTCCCAGGGATTTATCTGCCTTGTTCACACCTTCAGCAGACAGTTCATTGCAGTTTTAATTTATATGGTTCTGTCTCACTGGTGGGACAATAATTCTCGCTCCACTTCAAGTCACAAAATGGCGGCATAAAGGAAAACCAGGCTGTGTCTCATCACATCCAGCTTGCATCCCTCCCTGCTCCTCATTTTCTTTATGCTTCACATGCTCCCTGAATCCAAACAATTCAATCAATCTCAGGTTTGCAACTTGCTGCCAAGAGAGGCCCCATGGCACAGCAGGGAGAGCATAAATTTGGAAGCTGCTTGCTGGGTTCAAGGCCCAGGTCAACCAACAACTCACCAGCCCGATCACCTCCCATCTCTGGGCCTCAGTTTATTCATCTGTAACCTCAGGGCAGGTTGATCCTAATGATTTGTAAGGTCCCTTCCAGCCCTGACATTCTGTTAAACTCAAGTTTATTTGTGAAAGGAGGCTTTCAATCTCTGCTCACCTTGTCCCATCCCAAGCCTGAAAAAGCTACCCGGGTGCCCCTCTGCTGCGCCCACCATTTAGGCTCAGACCCACAGAGGGAGAATCATTCCCAGCTGCTGGCAGCCTAATCCAGCAGCCATGCAGGGAGTCTCGTTACGCCCGTTTCACATGGGTCATGTCAAGTCAACGTGTATTTCTTAAATGCCTCTGACAAGCCCAGAAAGAGGGTGGAGCCCCCAGGGCCTCAGTGACTTCCTCTGCGAAACGAAAGACTTGCACTCGCTGCACTTGTAAGGTGCCTCCCACCTCTGAAGTCCTGAGATTCAGGATTCCGCTGGGGGAAGGGTGGCTACTGCCCAGGGTTGCCAACTGCCAGCCCCGCCCCTGGCATGGCCCAGGCCCAGTTCCTTTCAAGCCTGTGCACCTGAGGCTTCATGTGGGCAGAGTAACCCCCAGTCCAGATATAACCACACGGAGATGAGGGGACGTGTGTGTCATGAACACAGTCACGGCCCCAACACTTCTCCACGGCTGAGTCCCAGCCCTGCCTCCTCCCTGGCCCCCAGCTCTCTGGGCCACTCTGAGATGGATGGCAAAGAGGCAGATGCTTGTCTAGATGGTGTGGTTGAAAGGGAGTCCCCGCACACCCTCCAACTATCTCGCTCACAGACCTGCCTAAAATCCTCATCACAGGCACTTCGATTCTTTGCATTCAGGCATCTTACTTCCAGAAGTTTCCTGTTAAATGCAAATATACACAGAAGAGTCACATGTACTCAGCCTTGGACTTCTTTTTCCAATGCCACCCTTTCACTAACATGTACCAGCTCCCCTCACTACTCCCCAGCAGCCTGAGTCCAGAGCAAAGACCTCTGGCAAACACAAGAACTCTCCCACCAAGAGAAAGGCAGAAACCTAAATTTATGGAGAAAAAAAAAAAAAAACTAGATAGGAAGAGGGAGAAAACAAATAGTCATGCTATCTGACTTCCACCCTGATTTATTTTATGCCCTCCCACAACTAGGGAAAGAAATAGGAATTGGAAGAGGAATTGGTTGGAAAAGAAGAAAAGGATAAGGGGTAACGTAATGGTGATTTGCATACCCATTGTCTTACGAGTGTATTTAGGAATAAAAGTTCTCACTTTTTAAAGTTGTAAAGCCCCATCACATTTTGTTTGATTTGGCTACATGAAACTCTCCTTAAATTACTGCACATGTTTATAAACTTGAATGAATAAAAATTAATTTTGAGTGGGGAGACTTAGAGGGATACGTGTAGCTACACAGAAGGAAACCACAGATATGCAGAACTGGAATTAGCTCTCCGCCTTCCTCACTGAAGCCAGAAGAAAAACTGGAGTCACCATGCATGGAGCAGAATTTAGACCACGTGGAAGACTTTCCTAAAGGAGAGTTGTTGAAACTGAAAGAGAGAATTAGAGGAGATTGGGAGATTTCTTTTTTTGTAAATATTTTTTAAACAGAATCTGTCCCATTTGTGATGGGCTGAAATGTGTAACCGCACCCCCCCCACACACACACACCATTCATGTGTTGAAGCTGTAATCTCCAGAGGGGCAGCATTTGGATACTGGGCCTTTAGGAAGGTAATTAAAGTTAAATAAAGTCATTAATGTAAGGCACTGGGTTTACCGGCAGAAAACACGGCAGCATCCCCGTCAGGAGTCCGGCAATCTCCTCACAACACTCTGACCCATTGGTTCCAGAATCCATGTCCTTTTTTTGAACATACCACCTCCAGGCCTACTCAGCCATCCTTTTTTTTTTTTCTTGGAGTCTCACTCTATCACCCAGGCTGGAGTGCAGTGGTGCCATCTTGGCTCACTGCAACCTCTGCCTCCCAGGTTCAAGTGAGTTTCTTGCCTCAGCCTCCTCCCAGATAGCTGGGATTACAGGCACCCACCACCACGCTCGGCTAAGGGGTCCAGATTCGACCTGTCAAGAAATAAGAGGATGATGCTGTAGAGAAATGGGAAACAGCCATTGTCCCTCACAAACAAACCCAACAGGGGCAGGCAGTGTGCCCCTGTACACCAGGAAGGGATTTTTTTTTTTTCTTTGTAGACAGTCTCACTCTTTTGTCTAGGCTGGAGTGCAGTGGCGCAATCTCGGCTTACTGCAACACCCACCTCCTGGGTTCAAGTGATTCTCATGTCTCAACCTGCCCAGTAGCTGGGATTAAAAGCATACACCACTACACCCAAGTAATTTTTCTATTTTTAGTAGAGATGGGGTTTCACCATGTTGGCCAGGTTGGTCTCGAACTCCTGGGCTCAAGTGATCGGCCTGCCTCGGCCTCCCAAAGTGCTGGGATTACAGGTGTGAACCACCGCACCTGGCCTGGAATGGCTTCTCGAGTCAAAAAGAACCAAAGAAGAGACTGATGCCTTACACTAGGGATGGTGTCAGGAGACAGCTGCCTTCAGGAAGCTGGAGGTGCTGGGATGGGGAAAATGAGGGAATTTTAAAAGGAAATTTGGGGGTAAATATCTCAGCTAAGCATGGGCTTAGGGAAAGGAATTGAACTGCCCCCAAAAGCTGGGACAACTTGCCTGTTTTGAACAAACCTCTGGTTAACATTAAGAGTAGAAATCTGTACTTGATAAAGGACTTCTGTTCCAAAGCTTTTGAAGGAGGAGAAGTGAAGCTATTTCTTTTCTTTTTTTCCTAGTAAATATTTGTATCAAAAATTCTCAAGTTTGTCGCTATTAAAACGAGGTGATGTAGGTGTTTTCATTGGTACTAAGAGGAGCAGGTAAGCTGTGGACTACTGGTAAGCTGCTGGAGGCAAGACTTGATTTGTAGTATTTGCCAATTTCTGGGTTATAAATACTCCCACCAAGGCTGATTTCAAGCTACCAATGGTTTAACAACCAGCTTGCAAAATTCCTATTTAACCAGAGTCTCTGGCAAGTCACCACCAGCTGGCTCCAGCCAACTTCTGCAGGGCATGCAGGCTGAGCAGTGGCAGGTGACCCAGCACAGAACCAGCAGGGAGAGCCAGAGGCCTGGAGAGCAGAGGAGAAATCCCAAGGGTGATGTCAGGAACGCAGGCAGATCCTCCTTTCCAAGATGCATCGCTTCACGAGCACTACTGGAGGTCCAATGTCATGGTCATCCAGCTGTCCCACTTCCTGGAAGGGAGAAGCACATTTCTGTTCTTTGGGATGCACTACCTTATCCCCTGCACACTGTGATTGTGCCATCTGCAGTCCAAGGGAAGAGCAGCAGCCACAGAGAATACCCCAAATCCACCGCAGTCTTAAACTTCCAACATGTCCACAAGAACTTTAGTTTACAGAATAAAGAAAACAAAGGGAAGGAAGGGAATTTTATTTAGAAAAGATCTTCACTAACCATTGTAAAACCAATGAGCCCCACTTCCCCAGGGACCCCAAGAAAATGCCAATGGTTTCCTCCATAAAGTGAGGAAGAGAAAAGGAGTTTCCAAAATCCATGTTTGGATTTGGCCAGACACGTGCTGAATGCTTTTCCCCAGCAGATAGCAACAGGACCCGAGCAATTCCATCACCCATCTACCCCTGACCTTCTGTAGATGACACCTCTTGACTGACCTATACTCTGCACACTCACGTATAATTCATTTAGAACTTCATTCTGTGATCCAGTGTGTCTCAAATAAAATACAAACATACATTTTTGTTTCCAAAACCAAACCAAATGCAAAAGCTGAGACTGGGGCTTATACCTCCCTAGCTTACCCTTCAGTACCCAGCCCTGAGCTCTCCACTTGGCCAATGTTCCATACATTTTTGTCTTTCTCCCCTGCAGAAATTCACCAGGGGATTCTCTCTAAAGGCTTATGCCAGTCACTTCCAGGGTGTTATGAAAACCTATTTTTTGGCCCATGGGGCAGAGAATTGGGTAGAATTTGAGCCAGCACTGGCAAGCATTAAACTAATGCTTGATGAAGTGGATTAACTAAAAGATAGGATTATCAATACATAACCTAGTGGTTCTTATTATATGTATGTGAGTTATCCATTTAAGAGTCCAGGTAGGGTAATACGTTTAAACAGTGCATACGTAAGAAGACACAGAGGGTGTGAATGATGCATATGTTTCCACCAGCCCTCTGGCTGTGCTTCAAGCTGAAAACTCCTGCATTTCCTTGGACTAAGGAACCACAACTAAGAAGGCATTTATTGGGAACGATAAAGGAGAAAGGGTGACCTCTGCTGGGGAAATGAGTTTGTATCTCATTATTTTCTCCAACTCTGTGAAGAAAAAAGTGAATAAAGTGGGAGGAGGTAGAAATGTAACAATGTCCTCCAGGAACAAATGATCATTTTTCCCCACTAATAATTTCTACAATCTCATCAACAAAAGGTCATTGTTTGTTTGGCACATGAACTCTTTAATGATGTGTAGAAATGAGATTCGACTAGGTTTTATAGTGTTTAATAATCATTCTCTAGAAAAAAATGAAGAAATGCTTTCATTTGGAACTGAATAATTTGCTTTATTTTCCTTTTTCTTTTTTGATATTTCACTAATGAAATGAAGAATCTGCAACTGCTTTTTAAATATGAGAACTACTTAGAATAAATGAAAGTCCAGCCCCCAAATGTCTCATTAAGGTCTACAAGTATTCGTTGGATAAATCCACATTTTAGGAATTAAAATATTAAAAACACTTTCAAACAATCTCTACATTTTACAATTGAATGTTTTATGAAGAATGGGAAATACATTACATCGCTTTAAAACTCAGCAATGCTCAGAACAAAATCACTTCTTTGTCGTTCTCATTACATTGCTTGATTTCACTCCTTTGCGTGTCTTTCATCGCCTTTTGACGAGCAAAAAACATGTGTTGTGCCACTGGCCCTCCAACAGCATTCAGTTATTAGTCAGACTTTCCCTGATTCTAGACATCACTTTGGTCTTTAGCTTTGCCAAGTTTAAAGCAAAATACCTAATTTCAAGTTTTCCATAGAAAAGCTGGGCAAGATCCTTTTAAATCTAGCTTTTTAATTGTGTGATGCTGGTGCACATGTAATTCTTCTGTGTGTGTAATTAGGCTCATCAAGGGAGGGAGTGAAGAGGGGACACACAGGAAAGCAGACTTGGAATATCATTCAGAGTTATAGAAGCTGGATTACACTTTTGGGAAACCGTATGTCCTTTGGGAGTCATGACTATAAAAGACATCAGTATCCACTGTAATGGAACCCATGCTCTATCTTTACCAAAAAAATTTAATAAATCAACTTAAATAGAGTGTTTCTTTAAATACCTGTTTATATGTCCTACATAATAAAAGAATTGTATCTTTGTCAGATGCTTTGCTTAAGCTAGTGCACGCTTCCTTCCCACTTCCCTCAGCCTGATGACACAACAGACTATTTCATCGTCAACACCTTTTTGGAAATTGGGCAGAGAGGACAGAGAAAGGGGAAAGAGTAGATTTAACGTTTATTGGTTGGGTTCCTGCCTGGGCCTAAACTGGGGTGGGTGGGGAGGAGAAAAGAATAGGAGTGAAAACAGGTCAAACAGGACTCATTCCCAGCACTTGCCATGACCTCTTCACTCCCTTGCTTTTTCCTCTAATATCATAAACGTATTCATTCTTTCCTCAGAATATCAAGGAGATGTATTCTTCCTTGAAGGCAATGTTTTTGCTTCCTTTTGTTTTATTAAAAAAGTAGACAATGAATTAAGAAATTAATCAATTCTAAATGTTCATATTTATTTAAATGCCAGTATGCATCGAGTTTTTAAAAAATTAACATAAGACCCTAAAAATTCAAGTAATTGTATCTAATATTAATGACAAGAAACAGTAAAGATGGAAGAAACATATTCCTGAAACCATATGTATTTCTTAGAAAAAGGTGACCTTACAGGTGTAATCATTCATATTAGCATTCGATAGACAACCATCAGTTAAGTAAGTCACTACAAAGGCCTAAGTCATTTCTCTCATTTGATTAATATTAAGCACCTGCTGTATGCCATGCACTGCGCCGGGCATTAGGGAGACAACTCTAATAAAGTCAGATTTCCTTCTGGTCCTTCTGGAGCTTATAATATCATGCCAGACATCAATCAACCATCCACAATTTTAAATATAAAATTACAATAGTGATGAGTGCTACCACTGAGAGGTAGATGGTGCTACGGGAGCATTGTTTTTCTTAAAGAATTGTGTTTTTAAAATCCATCTGCATAGTGGGAAAATCCAGCATTGTTGAATTCTGGCCTAGGGCAGAAATAGCTCAAATCAAAGAACTAAAATCAACATTTTATAGGAACAACATGACCGAGCAAACTCTGAGGTAGTGGTCAAAAAGGTGCTTGATTCAATTTAAATATATTTGTTCAGCATCTATGCTATGTAAAGAAGTGCTTATCAAACTTTCATGTGCTCGGGAATCTCTTGGCAATCTTATTCAATGCAGATTTTGCCTCTGTAGGCTCAGGGTGGGGCCTGGGATTCTGCATCTCTAGCAAGCTGTTAAGAGATGCTGATGCTTCCGGTCCCTTCATCATACCCTAAGTAGCTCCAGTTCAGGCCAAGATGCTGAACTAGCGAGGCTGCTGGATGTCCATCCCACCTCTCACCCCTATTAACCCCACAGGAGCCAGAAAAGTAAAGAAGAGAACACTGTGAGAAGCTCTTGAGTTGACTGGGGATGTTATTTCAAATGAGGTTGTGAAGTGGTGGCTTTGTCCCAAGGCAGGAAGCAGCCCAGCAGGGTTGTGGGAAGAGAAAATAGAAAAACTGGTGGAATTCTGCTCTCACCAACCCCATATCTCCTTGGGGCAAACAGTGCCTGCACCTCACCTGCCAAGCTCAGATATCCTCAGAAGAAACTGAGGATCCTCAGAAGAAATAATCTGGAAGTTATTTCTATGTCTCTTCCCCTTCAAACTCCCAGGGCTGGAAAGTGACAATCTGGTCTTGATGGTGGGCCTCAAACTTGGCTGAAGATACAAATCATGTGGGGAGCTTGAAAGTACTTGGATTCCACCTCTAGAGATTCCATTGAAATTGCTCTGGAGCATGACCCAGGCATCCAGATTTGTAGAGGCTTCCCAGGTCATTTGAATGTGCAGCCAAGATTTAAAACCACTGAATTCTGACTGTCTCCTGCAAATCTGCTTCTCTCTGAGGGACAAAAGATGAAGGCCTGAGCTAAAAGCTTATTTTGTGAGATAAGGAGCAACGGAATATAATTTTCAGAGCTCTCCACCCTGGGGCTCATCTAGCCCCATCCCCTGAGTTCACTGGAGCTAACACGCCTGGACCTGCCTTTCTCAACTTGTACTGCCTGTGGAGTCAGTGCCCTAGGGAAAAAATGAGCACACAAAACAAAATAACAGGACATTTGAGGAGCACAGACATCTCTAAAGGAAGAGGGCCTCCTGGATGACAAATTCCAACAGAAGCAGAAATATTAGGACAGATGGATCAAGTATTTTTAATCATCCTGGTAAATATATTAAAAGATAGAAGGAAAATTAATAAGAAGCAAAAAAATATATAAAGAGAATCAAGCAGAAATACTAGTAATAAAAATATAAAAATACAAATAAAGAGCAGAATTGATGCTACTGAAGAACAAATTAGTGATTTGGTATATCAGATTGAAAAAACATATATCAGAAGGTAGATGAAAAGGACAAGGAAATAGACAATATACTAATAAAAAGAAAAGCTAAGAGATAAGGAGAACAGATGCAGAGGTACTAACATCCAGACAGTAGGAGTTCTATTTAAAAAAGAAAAAAAATAGAGGGGAAGAAGATTTGAGGACATAACAAAGATCAATTATTCTGCCACATCTATAGAGAGAGAAAGTGAGAGCAGAATACACACAAACACACACACACATGAGAGAGAAATAAAGGAAAAACTCATACCTAGGTATACTATAATAAAACTTAAGATTTTTATAAAACAAAAAAAAGTTCTAAAAGCTGTCATAAAAAGAGGAGACCACATACAAAAGAACGAGAATCAGATTGGCATCAACGATATTGGATGCAAAAAAAAAATGGAGTAACGTTTTGACAGAATTGAAGGAAATAGAATTTAGAACCTATTATTTTATAGTCAACCAAACTGTCATTCAAATATTAAGGTCAAATAAAAATATTCTCAGGCATAGAAGATTTGCTGCAGAAAGATGTGCATTGTAAACTGTTTTGGCTAAAGTACTATGTATGAGAGAGAAAAATCCAGGAGACTGCAAGAGATTTGTGGAACAACGGTGATCAAACACCTTGATAAACTCTTATTGCTTAAAAAGCAAAAAGCAAGCTAAGACCAATGAAAAGGAGAAAATATATCTGTAACAACGCAGAATTAGAAGCCTAGGTTATATCAACATAACAGGGCAGGGGAGGGAGCCAGGAATCTTAGATTTTTACTTCATTAAGAAGAATTAGGGAGATAAAAATATATTATTAAAAATAAAAGTAAGAAAAATAGAAGAAAGCATTGAAAAAGTAGCACAGCTGAAATAACAAGTCAGAATGATAAAAATTGGTCCATGTATGTAATTTATTATAATAAAGGTAGATGGATTGAGCTCACCACTTAAAACATAAGGTGTGACAGATTAGATTCATTTGTAAAATTTTGACACATGCTATTTACAAAAAAACGTACCTCAAACATACAGATATGCAAAGACTGAAAGCAAAAGAATGGAAAAAGACATAGTACATAAATATTAATCAGAAGAAAGCTGACCTAGCTATATTCATTCCACAAAACATAGCCTTTAAGTAAAGAGCATTATTAAGAAAAGAATGCCCTTGGACACAGCAATTTGCTCCCAGGTATAAGCACAGAGAAAATCATACACATGTGTAGCAATTGAGGCAGATAGAATCTAAAATGATCACCAACTATCCCTTCCTTCTGGTATTTATACGTGCAATCTCCTTCCTTTGACTGTGGGCAAGACTGGTGAATTGCTTCTAACCAAGAGAATATGGTCATGTTGATGGATGATATGTCTTGTGATTATTTTACCTAAGAATATAATGTTTGTCATGCCTGCAGACCCTCTCCCTTGCCGGTTTTAATGAAGCAGGTGATCACTCTGGGGAGGCCCACATGACAAGAAACTGAGGGTGCCCTCTGCCGACAGCCAGCAAGAAAATGAAGCCCTGGCCTGGCAAACTGCAAGAACCCGAATCCTGCCAACAACCACATGCACTTGAAAGTGAATCTTCCCCAGTCAAGCCTTGAGATTAGAGCACAGCCCTGGCCAACACTTTGACTGCAGACTTGTGAGGACTTGAAGCAGAGGACCAAGCTAAGCCCTGCCCAGACTCCTGACTCACAGAAACTGTGAGGTAACAAATGTATGTTATCTAAGTAACTAAGTGTTGGGTTATATTGGCCAAGTGCAGTGGCTCACACCTGTAATTCCAACACTTTGGGAGGCCGAAGTGGGTGGATCACTTGAGGTCAGGAGTTCAAGACCAGCCTGGCCAACATGGTGAAATCCTGTCTCTACTTAAAAAAAAAAAAGGGTTATATTCTTATGCAGACATAGATAACTAATACAAGAGACATATATAAGACTGTCAGTAGTAAAACAAAACAATAACAAAATCCTGGAAACAACCAAATGCCCATCAAGAAGAGAGAGGAATGAATAAACTATGTCACAATATGGATAAATCTTAACATCATGATTCTAAGTGAAAAAAATGTTAATTACTAAAAGATTACCTCAGCATGATACCCTTGTAAAAAACTAAAAACAAAATCAAATTCATATATTATTTAGAAAGACAAACATAAATAAATTTCTTGTGAAATTAAACATGACGTTCTTATAAAGTTATACATAAACTTACCACATGACCAAACAATACCACTCCTAGATATTTACTCAAAAGAAATGAAAACATGGCCGGGCGCGGTGGCTCATGCCTGTAATCTCAGCACTTTGGGAGGCCAAGGCGGGCAGATCACGAGGTCAGGAGATCAAGACCATCCTGGCTAACACGGTGAAACCCCGTCTCTACTAAAAAATACAAAAAATTAGCCAGGCATGGCAGTGGGCACCTGTAGTCCCAGCTACTCGGGAGGCTGAGGCAGGAGAATGGTGTGAACCTGGGAGGCAGAGCTTGCAGTGAGCTGACATCACACCACTGCACTCCAGCCTGGGTGACAGAGCAAGATTCTGTCTCAAAAAAAAAAAAAAAGAAAGAAATGAAAGCATAGAGCCACACAAAAACCTGTATATGAATGTTTAAAGCAGCTTTATTTATAATTGCCAAGAACTGGAAAAAATCCCCATGTCCTTTAACTGGTGAAGAGCAAAACATACTGCAGTATACAACAGAACCCTGCTCGGCAACACAAAACAACAAATGACAACAAACATACAACAACAACAAAGCAACAAACATACCACCACATGGATGAACCTCAAATGCGTTATGCTGAGTGAGTAAATCCAGACTCAAAAGACTACACATTGTGTGATTCCTTGTATATGACTTCCTGGAAAAGGCAGAACCATGGAGACAAGAAACTGAGCCACTAGGTTGCCAGGGGTTGGAGGTAGAAGAGAGGAATTGACAACAAAGAAGCAGAAGAGAACACTTTAGAGTGACGGACCTGTTCTATACCTTGATTTCGGTGGTAGTCATACAGCTGAATTTACATGTCAAAACTCATAAAAGTATACTCTAAGAAGAGTGGGTTTTACTGTATGTAAATTATACCTCACTTAAATAGATAATATATACACACATCAGGTAAGTGCTCCTTTTGACAATGCCCCAAACCACATCCTCCACCCTGCCATACCCTAGTGCCCCTCCCTGCTCCCTATGCAAAGAACAAAATGAGAAGTTGTGTCATTGGAAATGTTATGGTTAACATAACTACAGAAAACAACCTGGAATGGGAACCAGAGGAGAAAAAGGAGAGTTTCAACAATTAAAATGATGTCTAGAAAACAGTCAGGAAAATGGAGAGCATGTTCATTCCTCCGTTTGCTTTGGGATGCATGTCTATGACTTTACAATAGTGAATCTTATTTAGCTTAAAGTGGAAGTCACTGAGTCATTGTCCAACCACCTGCAACACAGGGAGACTCGTCCCAAAGTCAGTAGCCCTATTTCTTCCGGATTCACTTTGCCTTGGAACACCCTGATAAACGGCCCATTAGCAGCCCACGAAGAGATTAAGAAACAATTCTGTTTAAGAGAATGCAGTTTCGCAAAATGATCCTTGAATCAGAATGTTCTGCTTCTGCTATCTTTTATGAGCAAAAGGAGCAGAGGTTTTGAGGTCACAGTCAGCCTGACCATATTTTGTTCTTATCTCCCTATTTTCTACTCCATAATGAAATTTAAATAGCTCGCTATCGCTAAGTAAATAATTGGTGCCGTAACAGCCTTCTGGAAGCTTTTAATTGTGTCAAAGCAGCTCTTCAATTCTAAACATTCCTTACAACCGAACGATAGTTAGAGCTTTGGGTGTCTTCTTGGCAGATGGAGATAAGAACACAAAATGGGATAAGAAGGCAGGAACTTCCCATTAATCATGGCAGTGTTCCTTTATTCCAAGATCATAAAATGCTTGAAATCACAGCTTTGTCTTGGTGAGGGAGGGAAAGGGGCCTGACTGAGACGCAGAAAGTCTAGGTTTTAGTCTCTGCTGGGCCCCTGCCCAGCTTCCTGATGTGGAACGAGGTGCTTAATTACCTCTTTGGACCTCATTTTCCTCCTGTGTACCCCAGATTCCGTAGCCAGGGTGTCCCCTCCACATTGCCCCAGGTCAAGGTGCTCTATCAAGCAATAGTCTTACCCCCAGTTCCAGATGTGGAGCTTCTCCCCTTCACTTTGCTGTCTGTCCAGGGATCTGCTTTGATCTTACCAATGTCCTAGGGTCCTTGTGGAGAAGTGTCCCCACAGGGTGGCCAAATTGTGGCATGCAAGAGAGACTCCAGGCACTGGCCAGATGCTGCTAACCCAAGATAAAGGGTTACCCCAGACAACGCTTTCCACAATCAGAAATTACTGGGAAATCCATCTGAAATCAATCAAATAAATTTCTTTGCCGCACGACTTCCCAGAGTCTTTATTTTCTCATGTACTTTGAGACTTTCCTAGAGGGAGGGACAGAAGTATTTGACCAAGGAATCCACTTTTTTTCCAAAGATCTATGCTCAGGTCTGGCATGCCTTAAAAATGCTGGTCCAGATTTATGACGCTGTCTGTTGATTTTTCATTCATTATCTTCAAATCAGGAGGGACTCAACCTTGGCTGCAGAATAGCATCACCCGGGCCCACTCCCTGGGCCTCATCCCCAGGGAGTACAGTCACATTTGTCTGAGAGGTGAGTACTGCTTTCAGCTCTCCTACAAATTCTGACGTGCAGCCAGCATGGAGAGCCGCTAGCTCAGGGAGCAGGGGAAGGGGATTCCTGCTCCTAAGCGTATTCTAGAGTATACAAGAGGGAGCACAGCCCCACTCCCAGGTCAGTGTTAAGCAGTAAACCCAAGAAAGTGTTTATCTCTCTACCCAGAGTCAAAGCTACAAGCCCCCTAAGCCCCGTACATACTGGGAGGATCTCCATGGAGGATGTGGAATGAGTAACACAGTATTTCCTAACAGTTACTCAATTAGGATTCTGGCCCTAATCATCACTTTTAAAAACCCCGTGGACTTTTCCTTTCAAAACGGAAATAACTTTACTGATTTTCTGGTTGAAAATTTAATGCCTACTCATGGCTGGGTGGGGGGACTACATAGAAGTGTAAAGAGAAAACTAATTGTTCTTAATCCCCCTGCTGTGAGCATTTTGTATTTACTTCTAGGCCTTAATATGTTTTTAATGTCACTTTGTAACTTGTTTTTTTTTTTAACTCATCAACATTTCTCAAATGTCTTTTAATCTCAGTATAAATAAAACAAGATCATTATTTTTAATGGTATTGCCATATTCTAAGTAGACCACAAACTATTTAACCGAACCCCGTGTTTAGCTATTCTAGTGTTTACCATCAGTAAAGGAATAGAATCTTTGCACATACATCTGATTGGTTTCTTAGAATAAATTTTTGGAAGTGGAAGCACTCACTCCAAATCCCAGAAGCCAACTGAACCCACTTAGGTGGGCTTCCCTTTCTATTTACCATCCAGGGGCACTGCTTTTCCTTCTCATTTCCCTACCCTAAGCCCCTCCAGCTTTCTCCACTCCCTAGCTCTTGTGAAGTATTTTCTAGCTGTTGTTGATCCGTGTCCCTCCACCTTTTATTGAATCTCCCTCAAGATTCTCTGTTAAAGCCAGTATTTTACTTTAGAAAGTCTTGGTTCTATGCAAATCTTCATTCTCTTTGCACCCCCATCTAGTTGAGGCTGGAGGTCTCATCCCCCAGCAGAGGTCACCAAATCCTCTTTTAAGGAACGAGCAAGGGGAAGCAAGCTGAGGTTGTCCCTTCTGGAAAGTCTTAGGTGACCTCCCTTCCACAAACACCCTGGCCCCTCCAGCCTTCCCCAGAGTACCTGCCTTTCCCTCTGCAGTAGCACTTGTCACTCTGTGCTATGATTACTTATGCATCAGTTTTCCCTTGACAGTGAGTCCCTTGTCCCCATCCCTGTGCCTCCCGACTCCACCACCACCCTGGCTGAGAAGATGTCTTCAGGGTTTACTGAATGTCTGATATTAAAAAGCCACATTTTTTCCAGGAAAAACTCCAAGTGGTCCTTCTTTATAATATTAAACGTAGTAACTATGACCCAAATCCCCTCCTTTTGCCAAAAAAACAACACAGCCTCAAACTCATGCCTAGGCTGAGGCTGACTCTCGTGACCTCACCACTGTCAGAGGCATTTGAACCACAGCAATTCCATCTTGAATTGGGGCTGAGTAAAATAAGGCTGAGACCTACTGGGCTGCATTGCCAGGAAGTTAGGCGTTCTTAGTCACAGAATAAGATGGGAGGTCAGCGCCAGACACAGATCACAAAGACCCCACTGATAAAACAGGATGCAGTCAAGAAACTGGCCAAAACCTGCCAAAATCAAGATGGTGACAAAAGTGATCTCTGGTCGTCCTCCCTGCTCATTTTACACTAGTTATAATACATTAGCATGCCAAAAGACACTCCCACCAGCACCATGACAGTTTACAAATGCCATGGCAATGTCAAGAAGTTACTCTATATGGACTAAAAGGAAGAGGAATCCTCAGTTCCAGGAAATCCTTGCCCCTTTCCTGGAAAACTCATGAATAATCCACCCCTTATTTAGCATATGATGGAGAAATAACCAAAAAAATAGCTAACCAGCAGCCCTTGGCGATGCTCTGCCTATGGAGTAGCCATTCTTTATTCCTCCACTTTCTCAATAAACTTGATTTCACTTTACTCTGTGGACTTGCCTCGACTTCTCTCTTGTGAGAGATCCAAGAACCCTCTTTTGGGGTCTGGATTGGGATCCCTTTCCAGTAATAAATACCACTGAATTACCAAGAGCACACTACCTCTTCCAATGATCAGGCATTGAAAGGAGCTCCACTTTTCTTACTGCATTTTCTACACTGATGCCTCCTGAAGTCCCCACCTGGCCTTTGGCAGGGGCAGCAAGGTTGCTGATAAAAACCTTCTTGATGCCAGGGAGTGACTCTACCAGCAAATGGCTTAGTGTGTTTCCTTCCTGCCAACTCCACTTTTACCCAACTCACCAGTTTATTCATTCATTCAACCAGTCCTTTGCGACTGGAAACCCTATGGTAAAGCAGGGAGACATAGTCCCAGCGTTCAAAGAGGTTAATTTTAGGGAATCCAAAAACTAGTAAACAAACAAATAAAATATGTATGAATTTTGATGAACGCTTTGAAGGAAACAAAAAGGAGGCTAAAATAAAGAATAAGAAGTTCTTGTTGATTACTCTCAGTGATCAGGGTGATTAGGAAAGGCCACCTGCCTGCAGTAGGAAAGGAAGGAGAATATTCTTCCAGGACAGAGAACAGCACCCTGAGGCAACCTTGAAGCAGAAACGGGCCTGGAGCCTGGTGAGGCAGGGGCAAACTGGAGGTGAGTTTGGGGAGACAGGCAGGAGTGCTGATGTGTATATTTAGGTACGTGAGTCTTAGATTATCTGTTGGAATTCAGGGTCCAGTTGGTCATTATCAGTAAGCTACCCAGATTCAAAATTACAAAATGCCTCGGGTTTTTTTAGCATCTTCCATAAACAAAAAAATTATTATCTTTGACTCTTCAAAGTATCTCAAACCATGGTCATGTCAAGACCATCCACTTGGATAGAATGAAACTGGGACACTATGTTGAAGGAGAGTCACATAAAAATTATCTGAAACTCTGATTTTAATGTGTTTTCAGTTTCTCTGAATCAAAAAACAAAGCATATCTAGAGGTGTCATTTTCTATTTTTTTTTCTAGTTTCAACTTTTTAATTACAAGATCTTCACAGATTCCTCTGTGAAGGAAGGAGAATATGAGAGGAGGAGAGGTAAGATAGAGCCATTTTATACAAGTTTCAAAATAGAAATGTGGGCCCTCCTTTTCTACTCTAAATAGTATGGCTTAAGCTGCTCTTTCTTAGTTCCTTGCACCTATTTCTGCTCCTCTCTGGGGCCCCACTTCTAGCCATGACTTCTTTCAATGGAGGTATTTTTGCCTTCAGCCTCCTGTTTATTTATCTGGCCCCAAAGTTAGGACATATGCAGGCAAGTGTCCATGTAAACAAGGTCTGACCTGAAAGGATTGCATAGATAAGGACCTGTGTTCTGCTTCAGAGAAGGGAGGGCCACACTGGCTAAGGCAAGCATGTGTTATTGGGAAATATGACGACATTCACACAGTCTTCCTTAGTCAGGGCTGTTTGTGAATACAACAAGCACTGAATCCTTCTGAGTGCTGCCTTTAATATGCTGCCTCCCAATAAGAACATCTCCAGCTATTCAGCTTCAGAAAGTTGATCTTTGAGGATTTCCAAAAGCAACTCAAATCCGAACTCCTGGAGAAGGGGGAAAAGGCAGAGAGATGGAAGGCACAATTCCATCACAAATTGCCTAGGTTAACATGGCTCAGCCAGCCTTTTTATTCTTACCCTGAGAATACTTTCAAAAACAAGTGTCTTTGAAATAAGTCACTTCGCAAACACATACTAGGGTCTTAGAAGAGTCTTTGAAGGGGTCTTTGCAACACTGCCAGGAGTGACGAGAAGACAAAGAAAAGTAAAACATAATAATCATCCTTGAAACATTTTTGCTGATTAAACATTAGAAGATTTTCATCATCTACAAGGCAGGAGGTGGATGAAGGGGAACCTACTGAAAAAAAAAGCCAAACAGCACTTCATAGTTAACCTAAGAGGTTAAAAATGCTGTGGGATTCGAGGGAGGAAAATCCCCCCTTGAATCCATCTGTGAGTATCAGGCATAGCTTCACAGAAGAATTTTCTCTAAATTCTATTCTGCTTCTTATGCCTCAGTATTGAGGTAGGTGTCGAGAGAGGTTGGGTCTGCCAGGTTCAAATTTTCTTGGCACTTAAATTACAAGGAAACATCACAGAGTTCGTGCAACTACAAGAAATTTCAAGGTTCTGAAATTTTAAAAAGAAATTTTTTTTTTTTTTTTTTTGAGACAGAGTCTCGCTCTGTGGCCCGGGCTGGAGTGCAGTGGCACCATCTCAGCTCACTGCCAGCTCCGCCTCCAGGGTTCACGCCATTCTCCTGCCTCAGCCTCCTAGATAGCTGGGACTACAGGCGCCTGCCACCACGCCCGGCTAATTTTTTTGTATTTTTTAGTAGAGACGGGGTTTCAGCATGTCAGCCAGGAAGGTCTCGATCTCCTGACTTCATGATCCGCCCACCTCGGCCTCCCAAAGTGCTGGGATTACAGACTGAGCCACCGCGCCCAGCCCGATTCTAAAATTTCAATATGGACATGCCAACCAGCTGAACCCAAACAAGGTACAGGCTGGGGGTGGGGGTGCACTTCATTCTGCCATACTCTGTACTAAGGGCTCCTTTGTTGCAATGGGTTGGAAATACTTGTGCAGGAAAAACACCCAAAGCCTCAACAAGTGTTCTCTTGTTCCTCCCATATCTAATCTAGGGCATCACAGCCAGGGTTCCTTGTTAGTAAGAAAGCACATAAAATAGACCAGTGCTCATGGCCAATGAAGAGGCATGTTCTTTCCAAACAAACAGAGCTCCTGAGAGTTATTTTTAGGCCAGGAACATCACTTATGCTTCAAACACCCGGATAATGTCCCCATTCCACACCCAAGTAGACATCACAAATCGATCATGACCCTCATTCTCACCAAGCCCAGATGCTACCCCAGAAAGCTTTTCAACATAGGACTCCAGGAAGTTACTACCATTACAATGGGGTGGGTGGCCATTAAGGGTCTTGCAGTCTTGGGCCCTGCAAAAAGCTTTATGGAAACTTGAGGTAAATCATTAAGAAGATGGCTGCATCCTCTTCAACAAAATGAATTTGTTATGTACAATCTTCCAAGGCTCCTTGAATAAATAATACTCTTACGTTTTAGGTTGACTCAGGTTTGAGCTATAAAGTAGATATAAATTTTTGGAGGTTCCAACTTTCAGAGCAGTTAACTTGGGGGGTTAAGTCACTTTCAAAAGGGCTTTAAATGCCAAGCTCCCCTCCACCAAACGTGTCAAAGACTCTTAACTACCTGACAGAAAAGGAAAGGAGGAAGATAGATAAATATAAATTCTACCTGCAGCAAGATACCATGGCCATTTGAAAATGAATCCCAAATGACCATGAAGCAGCTGTGGGGAAATGTGATTCTATTTACGTAAGTCTGATCTATACACGCTTCTTCAGAAAGGACTCGACTCTGAAACCATCACACGCTGGGCTTGACCTGCAGGGCCCTGTGGCTGAATAGTTGTCAAGTGTGAACCACAGGCCAAGGGCAGAGTAACCTCATGGAGAGGCAGGAAAAAAAACTGGACATTTATTACTGAAAGCACGCATGAGGCCATGTTCACAAAGCACAAGTCAACTGCTCTGAAGTCATTCTGAGGTTTTCACCCAATCAAGAACAGTCATTCTCATTCAGGGGTTGCTAAGGTCAGTTGGACCGTGGCCAGTTTAATTTCGAGCAGTGGTTGTCAAACATTCCCTGGAGGTGCCTCAGAGCTGCCCAGCGGGCAGAGGAGAGGGAGGCACAGTGGGCAGGACTCTGATACAACACCCAACAAGCGCACACATGCTTCTCTTAGAGCGGCTTCTGTCATCTCCTCTGCAGCTTGATGCCCCACATAAGATTTCATTTGCAAAGAAAGTGCTTCACTACCCAGAATAAAAGTTTTTTAAGTTACTGGTGTTATCTATTCTAAGACGTGGTCAGACATCAACAGGATCCCCAGAACCAAAACCAACATACGGCATAGTAGGAAGACAAATGTTCCTGAACCAAAGCAGGATATGCAGGACTGAATATTTTTTATTTGAATATAATTTTAAACTTAAGAGAAAAACTGTAAGAATAAAAATAGCAAAAGAATGCCTGTATTTCTAGGCTGGGTGCAGTGGCTCATGCCTGTAATCCCAGCATTTTGGGAGACCGAGGCGGGCAGATCACCTGAGGTCAGGAGTTCAAGACCATCCTGGCCAACATGGTGAAACCTCGTCTCTACTAAAATACAAAAAAAAAAATTAGCCAGGCATGGTGATGCATGCCTGTGGTCCCAATTACTCAGGAGGCTGAGGCAGGGGAACTGCTTGAACCCGGGAGGCGGAGATTGCAGTGAACCGAGATCGCGCCACTGCACTCCAGCCTGGCAACAGAGCGAGACTCGGTCTCAAAAAAAAAAAAAAGAATAAAAAAGAATGCCTGTATTTCTTTTACCAAGATCCACCCATTAACAGTTAACCCATTTGTTTTATTATTTGTTCTTCCTCTCTCTCTCTCTCTCTCTCTCTCTTTTTCTAGATGTATAGTTGATCCTTGAATAACACAGGTTTGAACTGCACTGGTCCACATATACCTGGATTTTTTTCAATAAATACATTGGAAATTTTTTGGAGATTTACAACAATTTGAAAAAACTTGCAGATAAAGCGCATAGCCTAAAATACCCTAGATGAAGCTATTTTAACCACATAGCTTTAAAAATTAAGAAAAAATTAGGTATGTTATGAAAATATATGTAGATACTAGTCTATTTTGTCATTTACAACCATAAAATATACACAAATCTATTATTAAAAGATGATATTTATCAAAGCATACACACACAAATACTTCCAGACCAAACGTGGTATCATTCACAGTGGAGAGAAATGTAAACACACATAAAGATGTAGTTTGAAATTGTCACTGCATAAAGTTCACTGCAGTACATACTGCATTACTGTAATAATTTCATAGCTACCGCCTACTGTTATTGCAGTGGGCACAAATGATGTGAGTAGATGCTGAGCAACACTAATCATCTCCACGTGAGCAGTTGGTCTCTCCAGTAACTCCTTCATCACAGTAAAATGTGATCTCTGGCGGTTCTCGTGTATTTTTCATCGTGTTTACTGCAACACTGTAAACTTTGAATAACACCATGGGACCCATATCAAGTGCCACAAGTGATGCTGGAAGTGCTCCCAAGAAGCAGAGAAAAGTCATGACATTACAAGAAAAAGTTAAATTGCTTGATATGTACGATAGATTGAGGTCTGCAGCTGCGGTTGCCATCATTTCAGGTGGACGATTCATCTTGTAAACAGATGACGCAAACTTACAGCATCAATAAATACAGTACGGTACTGCAAATGTATTTTCTCTTTTTTATGATATTCTTTTTTTTTTTTTTTTTTTTTTTTTGAGACGGAGTCTCGCTCTGTCACCCAGGCTGGAGTGCAGTGGCGTGATCCCGGCTCACTGCAAGCTCCGCCTCCCGGGTTCGCGCCATTCTCCTGCCTCAGCCTCCTAGATAGCTAGCACTACAGGTGCCCGCCACCACGCCCGGCTATTTTTTTGTATTTTTTAGTAGAGACGGGGTTTCACCGTGTTAGCCAGGATGGTCTCGATCTCCTGACCTCGTGATCCGCCCGCCTCAGCCTCCCAAAGTGCTGGGATTACAGGCGTGAGCCACCGCGCCCGGTCTTTATGATATTCTTAATAACATTTTCTTTTCTCTAGCTTACTTCATAAGAATACAGTATATGATACAGATAACATACAAAATACATGCTCATTAACTGCTTATCTTATCAATAGGGCTTCTGATCAACAGTAGGCAATTAGTAGTTAAGTTTCAAAGGAGTTAAAAATTATATGAGGATTTTTTACCATGGGAGGATTCAGTGTCCATAACCCCTACACTGTTCAAGAATCACTGTACATGTTGGCCGGGCGCAGTGGCTCACGCCTGTAATTCCAACACTTTGGGAGGCCGAGGTGGGCAGATCACGAAGTCAAGAGATCAAGACCATCCTGGCCAACATGGTGAAACCCCATCTCTACTAAAAAAATACAAAAATTAGCTGGGCATGGTGGCGGGCACCTGTAGTCCTAGCTACTCAGGAGGCTGAGGCAGGAGAATCGGTCGAACCCAAGAGGCGGAGCTTGCAGTGAGCCGAGATCATGCCACTGCACTCCAGCCTGGGCAACAGAGTGAGACTCCGTCTCCAAAAAAATAATCACTGTACGTGTGTACGTGCATACATTCTCATATAGCCAGAGTATCATCCTCAACTTCAGTAAATTTAACAATGAAACATTACTTTTATCTAATCTACTGTCCCATTTTTGTCAATTGACCCAATAATGTCTTTATAGCATTTCCCCCTCCAGAATGGAATCCAGTCTAGGGTCAGGGATTGAGTTCAGCTGTCTCCATCCTTCATTGATCTGGAGCACTTCCAGACCCTTTCTTTGTCCTCCATGATGACATTTTCCAAGTCTAGAGCCCTGCCCCGTTTTTAACAGAATGTTTCTCATTTATAGTTTGTCTAATATTTCCTCATGACTCGGGTTATACATTCTTGGCTGGAATACGACAGAGGTGCCACTGTGTCCTTCCCAAGGCATCACATCAGGAGGCACACAACATCCATCTGCCCTCATTGCAGATTTTGAAAACCCAGTCAAGCTGTCAAATTTCTCTACAGTATAATTGCTATTTTGGTTTCCCTTGCAACTAATAGTATGTAGGGAGATATTTTTAGACCAAACAAATATCCTCCTCCTTATCTAAATTCCTCCCTAGTTTTTGCATCCATTGATGATTCTTGCTTGATGATTCTTGCTGATCTTTGCTGTAATGGTTCTAAAATGCTAACTTATCAGCTCCAGCCCTTCCTCCCAATTTATAAGTTGGCATTCAGCATTTCACTGTAAGCAAGAGCCCTTGCTTTTCCTCATATAAATATTTAACCCATTTATTATCAATAGGGACTCATAAATTCTGATTTTTAATAGTTTATAATTCATCATTATACTTAATTACTTAAATTGTCCCAGATTTAGCCAGTGGGAGTTCTTTCAGGCTGGCTCCTGTGTCCTTGTGACATGGTCCCATCTCTTTTTGAGCTCATTCTTAATTTCTAGTATCAGCATAACAGAACATTCTGTTATACTAGAAATTAAGAAAGTTCCAGGCTCACCTGTTAACAGTCCTGCCCTAGCCTGGAATCAGTTGGTTCTCCCGAGAGCCCTGAGTCCTTTTGGTGGGGAATGGAATTAGAGACCAAGATCTGGGCACAAGATGTGTCCATTGGCCACTGAGGTGTTATTGTTTCTTGGCCCTTTCAGCAGACAAAACTAGGTAATACACACAGGTATATATATTTATAAGTACATATTCATGCAAATTTACATGCACACATACATATGCATTTTAGAAATATAATACACAGTGATACCCCAAATTTCAATCCATCTCAACAGGGCTCTTTCTTGCTTTCTCCCCATTCCATATATTGTCACTTTTTCCTTAATGAGAACCCTGCTTCCCAATAGTAACACATTTACTTATTTGCTCACTCCTATAATACATATGTCAAACCTAAATAACAGACAGAGTGGGAGACTCTCTAAAAGAAAATGATATTTATTAAGGAGTAGCATTGCAATGGGAATGCACATGCCATAGTAAACTATGTGCCTATTCAGGGAGGTTGAGACAAATGGAAGTTTTTAAAGGAAAAATGAGGGGGATTACATAATTTGCTTTGAGTCAATTATCCTTGGCTACAAGGATCAGTAACAAGGGTGGTGTCAGTCTGAGGTTGGATGGGCAGTTGCTGAACAGACATCCTTGTGAAAGTATTTTCTATGTAAAGTTACAGTGGCCTTTGTGCAAGGTTGTGGTTTTTGCAGTGTTTTGCGAAAGTTCTTACTATCAGGCATACATTTATGAGAACCCGCCCTTCATAACCTTCCCTGGCTTCATTTGTCAGGATTTCAACACAAGTGACTTCCTTTTGATTGTGACAACTTTCACAAATATAAAGTTGTTTCAGAATTGCTTTTTCTCGGCAGGATGCAGTGGCTCACACCTGTAATCCCAGCACTTTGGGAGCCCGAGGTTGGCGGATCACCTGAGGTCAGGAGTTTGAGACCAGCCTGGCCAACATGGCGAAACCCCATCTGTACCAAAAATACAAAAAATTAGCCAGGTATGGTGCCATGTGCCTGTAGTCCCTGCTACTCAGGAGGCTGAGGCACGAGAATCGGTAGAACCCAGGAGGCGGAGGTTGCAGTGAGCCGAGATCGCACCACTGCACTCCAGCCTGGGCAACAGAGCAAAACACCATCAAAAAAAAAAAAAGAAGAAAAAAAAGAATTACTTTCCTCTATCACTACAAAAAACAAGTCTACTTAAAAAAAAGTTCAGAATTTATGCACAATTCTATGTATTCCTTCACCTAAGACTGAGGGTATATAGTCAAATACTATGTTCATAAGTTACTAGGATTAGTCCTTTCTTTTTTTCTCTTCAAGGTGGTTATGGTATTCATTTGCAAAACAATTGACTAATTTGTTTCAGTTTGCATTCAGTTTTAGGGATTTTTGCCCTTTTCCATCCTTATTAATTTTACTTTAGAATATATAAAATATTAACATGCTTCTGAAGGTCAAAACTATGCAAAAAGATCTATTCAGAGAAGTATTCCTCCTTCCATATTTTTTCTGCCCTATTTCCTTCACCAACTTTAATGCTTCCTGATTTATCCTTTGTTTCTTTTGTAGAGATAAACAAATATATGTTTTCTCATTTTTCCTTCTCTCTTACATAAATGATAGCATACCATATATATTATTTTGCACTTTGCTTTTTTTCTCTTAACAATATCTCTTAGAAATAATTCCACATCAGTTCATAGATAGCTTCCTCATTCTTTGTTGTTGTTGTTGTTGTTGTTGTTATTGCTGTTGTTGAGACAGTGTCTCACTCTATCACCCAGGCTGGAGTGCAGTGGTGTGATCTCAGCTCATGGCAACATTCACCTCCCAGGCTCAAGCAATCTTCCCACTTCAGCCTTCCAAGCAGTTGTGACTACAGTGATGTGCCACCACTTCTGACTAATTTTTCTATTTTTTTTTTATAAAGACAAGGTTTTACAACATTGCCTAAGCTGGTCTTGAATCCCTGGGCTCAAGCAATCCACCCACTTCAGCCTCCCAAAGTGCTAGGATTACAGGTGTGAGCCACCTACCTAGCCACTCATTCTTGTTTACAGCTGCATAGTACTTCATTGTGTGTGAGTACCCATAATTTAGTCAGTTTCCTATCCTTGGACATTAAGGTGGTTTCCAACTATAATTAATAACTTTGTGCATTTGGGTTTTTTTGTATTATTAGAAGTACATCTTCAGAATAAATTACTATTAGTTTAATTGCTGGGTCAAAGGATAAATGCACATATAGTTTCATTAGCTATTACCAAATTCCCCTCCATAAAAATTATGCCATTTTTCATTCCCACCAACAATGGATAAGAATAGCTGTTTCCCTATAGCCTTGCCAATGAGTGTATTGTCAAGCTTTCAAATTTTTGCAAATATGATGGGGCAAGTTTGGATTTCAAGGAAAGGAACACAGCTATGCACATTAAAGATTTATGATGGAAAAATAAAAACCAGACATAGAAAAATTGTTGGAGAGATTGAGGGCAGAATAGATGACCAAATGCATTTTACATTATAAGTATATAAATTAGGGATTAAGAAGTACAATGAGATGAAAGAAGGAAGAGACTAGAACTAATAAAAACCCAAATTACTTCTCAATCTCTGGAATTCAAAAGATTCAACTAACATTACATGCAAGAAAGAATCCAGTTTTGTCAAGTGATTGGTGAATTCTGAGGTTACACATTTAGACAGTGATGATACCAACACGTATTTTGTCCTCCCAGTTGAAATGCCAAGGCATTTTTGTTCCTTCTTCTTGAGATGCCACCTCTGTACCCTGTATATATTTATTCAATGGCATTTGTCTCATGTACTGCAATTATTTATTTTCAAGTTTGTCTTCTCTCCCAGACTATGAGCTTATTGAGGACAGGACTACATCTTATTCCTGTCTATATTTTTACCACGGAATAATTACAAATGAGCTTGGTCTCCAGCAATTAAATCTTGGTTGAAGAAAAAGAAAAAGAACTGGAATGGAAAATGAAAGTATTTAGTAACAACTAGAATAGAGGCACCATATATCAAAACATTGAGGTTCAATCCAGTGTGAGATTCTTATTCAAAGAAAGCCCATTTTTTTCCCCAGTTAACTTACTGGCTCTGAAATGATACTTTCTTAACCTATATTTAAATATATGTTTAGAAATCAGAATAAGAGAAGGATGTCACATATCAGGGGTGATGGCTAATGTCTAGTGAACAGAAACTTCATGAATTTTATCAAGATTAATCTTTTGGTGCCTAAGTAAATCTTCAAGCTTTGATTACAGGTGTCAGTGCAGAATGGCACCTTGGTGAGAAAAGGAAATCAGTGGGATTCAATGAAGCATGAAATTTAAACACAGAAGCATTCACTAACAGACATTAGCAGCTAATAAGGCATCATTATCACTAATGTAATAAATAACTAACCTTGAGAGCTTGCCAACATTTTACATATTACTTTTTGGATTCTTACAGCTTCAAGAAATAAATGTTGTGATAGTCTTTTTACGGAAGAGGAAACCAGGTCTTACTTACTTTATCCAAGATCACTGGATCCTGGTTTTCTGAACTCTATGGCTGTACCCTGCAGGCCAAAGAAGCTGTGTTAAAATCTAGCAAATGATTAGAATTGACTGGGAAAACAGGAACCCAACTCTAATTAAGGAATTTGCTAATTACCCTTCTCTCTGCAGACATTACTCCATTCTTGGTCTTCAGCCCTGGCATGGATTTGGCCTCTATCACACTTTTTGCAAAACAGAAATGGCAGACAGAATATTGTTTCCAAGTTACATTTGGCCACAGAACAAATCCCTTCTGTCCTTTCTAGAGCTACATCCCCAGCCCTTGGAGAGCAGAGCTGCCTACTGCTCCCCAGAAACCATATTAAGCCTAGCTCCCCACCCAGGCTTTCCGAGGCATGAGCTTCCCAAGGCTCTGGGTCCCACTAGCTTGCCTCTTGGCTTTTCCTTCCTCTCTTGTCCCATTTGGACCTGGTAATATAGGTTCTGGGCAATCTACTTCCTGACCAACTGGGACATCTGGAATGCAGCCCCCAGAACCACCCCCAGACCCCACAAGGCATTGCCAATGCTCAGTGCCCACCCCAGGCCAAGGCTTGAAATTGTCAATGACCAAAACAAAGGACAGGTTGTCAGCACTTTGTGTACTCTTCCAAGCCCACATGGGAAAGTCAACTCAACAAGTTTTCTATACCACCTACAACTGAGCACCACAGAAGTTAAATATAATCAAGGAAAAAGGAGAATAATGTGGAGAAAAAAAGTGGTATCAGCACACAGATCTAGATATTTCCCTGTTCCCTCTCTCTCTATTCACAGTGCCACCACAGGCATAGTGGTTGTCTTAGTCCATTTTGATTGCTATAACTAAAATATCATAGACGAGTGGCTCAAGCCTTTATTTCTCACAGTTCTGGAGGCTGAGAAGTCCAAGATCAAGGCATGAGCAGATTCAGTGTCTGATAAGGCCTTGTATTAGATTGTTTTTGCATTGCTATAAATAAATAAATACCTGGGACTGAGTAGTTTATAAAGAAGAATTTTAATTGACTCACAGTTCTGCGGCCTGTACAGGAAGCATGATGCTGCCATGTACTCATCCTCTAGGGAGGCCTCAGGAAGCTTACAATCATGCCAGAAGGCCAAGGAGCAGACAGCACTTCAAATGGCTGGAACAGCAGGAAAAGAGAGAGGAGAGGGGTGCCACACACTTTTAAACAGCCAGATCTCACAAGAACTTACTATCATGATAACAGCATCAAGGCTGATGGTGTTAAACTGTGAGAAACCACCCCCATGAGCCAATCACCTCTTACCAGGCCCCACCTCTAACACTGGGGATTACATTTCAACATGATATATGGGCAGGGACAAAGATCCAAACCATATCAGGCCCTCCTCCTGGCTCACGGATGGCTGTCTTCTCACTGAGACCTCATATGGCAGAAGGGGTAGGGAGCTTTCTGGGGTCTTTTTTATAAGGGCACTAATTTCCTTCATGAGGACTCCACTCTCATGATCTAATCACCTCCCAAGGACCTTCCCACTTCCAAATACCATCACACTGGAGATTAAGTTTCAACATACAAATTTTGAGGGGACAGAAAGATTCAGTTTACAGTAGTGCTTAAGGGTACAGGCTCTGGAACCAGCTGCCCAGGTTCAAATTCTGGTTCTGCTACTAACTGTGACACTTGGGCAAGCAAATTACCTCAATGTCCCATTTCCTTCATCTGCAAAATTGAGATAATAATAGCAGGACCTACCTCATAGTGGTGTCATGAGAAATCAATGTGAAATACGTGCAAAAACATTTAGACCAGTGCCTGGCACACATTAACTATGGTTTCCACCACTTCACTTTACTCAGGCTCCAAACCTCTCTTATTTCCAACCCATTTCTAATCACTTGTCAAGCCCAGTCATTATGTACCTGCATATCTCACATATTCTCCCTCTCCTCTCCATTCTCTTCACCACTAGTTGAATTCAGACTCTGAGGCATAACCTACCATTTGCCTTCCCCAACATCCCTTCTCCCCTTTCTCCTTAATGAATGAACTCTCCATTTTAGCCAGGCACATGGCGACCCAGCTAAAAGACTACATTTCCCAGACTCCCCTCCAGTTAGATGTGGCCATGTGACTAAATTCTAGCCAATGGGAAGTAGGCAAGCATGTTATGTGGGACTTCTGGGAAGTTGTTCTATAAAAACATGCTTTTCTACCCCATTCCTCAACTTTGCTGCTGGAATGACCTTGAGAATGACTGCAGCACCCTAGGGATGGCACAGCAGAGAGCTAGAAAAGGACTAGATCCCTGTTAACTTTGTGGTGCCTACACATCAATTTTGGACTTCTTACCATAACTTCTTTTATATGAGAGAGAAATAAACTTAACTTGTAAACGTTCCTAGTACAGGCAGAGGAAATTAATCTTGACTAATCACCTCTCTGTTTCCCAGATTACAGGAATGGGTTCCTAATTTCTCTCCGTCTGTATCCCCATCTGACCTCTCTGCCTACACTGCTGCCAGACTGATCTCCCTGAAGCACAGCTCAGCACCCTGACAGAGTCTTCAATGACCTCCCCATTGCCCAGTCTTCTCAACTACCATGATTTGTCCCCCACCTTCTTTTCCACTCTTACCCCCACTCCTTCCCTCCTTTCCCAACCAGATCCAATTACGTCTCATTTCACATTCTCATCCCATTCTGTCCTGCCCTCTGTCTTTACCTATACACTCTCCCTTTAGACTTTATGTGTCCAATTCTGGACAGTCTTTCAGTGTTCAGATGCCATTCAGCCTCCTCCATGGAGCCAGTCTACCCCTAAGCCAGGAGTAATTTTCTATCCTCAGAACCTCCCCAGTGCTCACCTCCTGCTTGTGTCAGGGAAGGTAACAAACATGATAAATGTTAGGCAAGTCACAGGCTTAAGGAAGCTCACAAGCCTCTTTTTCTTCTTTTTAAATTAAACTTTTTTATTTGAAATCATTATAGATTCACATGCACTTGTAAGAAATAGTACAAAGACATCTCCTGTACCCTTTACCCAGTTTTGCTAATCACACCATATTTCAAAACCATAGTACACATAGTACAATATCAAAGCCAGAAAAATGACATTGATACAATCCACCAATTGTATTCAAATTTCTTTTTTTTTTTTTTTTTGAGACGGAGTCTTGCTCTGTCACCCAGGCTGGCGCAAGCTCAGCTCACTGCAACCTCCACCTCCCGGGTTCAAGCGATTCTCCTGCCTCAGCCTCCTGAGTACCTGAGATTACATGCACATGCCACCAAGCCTGGCGAATTTTCTTTGTATTTTTAGTAGAGACGGGGTTTCACCATGTTGGTCAGGCTGGTCTGGAAAACCTGACCTCGTGATTCAGCCTCCCAAAGTGCTGGGATTACAGACGTGAGCCACCGTGCCCAGCCTGGATTTCCTCATTTTTATGTGTGCTCATGTGTGTGTACGTCTGGGCTTCTGCAGTTTTATTACATGTGTAGATTAGCATATCCACTACTACAGTGAAGATACAGAACCATTCCAAGGCTTCCTTCTCCTGTTACCCTTTTATAACTACCTACATGCATCCACCTCACTCCCACCCCACACTCCCATTGCTAACCCCATCCATCTCTAATCTGCTCTCCATCTCTACCATGTGTTATTGTTTATATAAATGAAATCATACAATATGTAATCCTTTGGATTGACTTTTTCACTCAGCACATTTCCCTTGAGATTCATCCAAGTTGTCCCATGCACCAGTAACTCATTCCTGTTTATGGCTGAGCAGTATTCAGTGATATAGATGTACCATAGTTTATTTAACCATTCGCCCACTGAGAAACATCTAGCTTATTCCCAGTCTTTGGCTATTACAAATGAAGCTGCTATCAATATTTGTCAACAGGTTTTTGTGTATTCTTCCTCTGTTTTTAGAAATACAAATGCAAATCCTGGTGGACTTTTGCTACAAAGACGTTATTTCCTTTAAAGCTGTAAGTTAAACAAGAGAGTCACAAGCCTCCTTGGACCATGACTCCTGCTCAGAGGCTCTGGCATCTTCTTGAGCAGGAAGCCATACCAGCACTGGGCTTCCTCCTTCTGGCTTCACATCTATGGGTGGGGCTCACCAAACCCCCAAACCATGCCCCCCCATTTTAAACCTGCTGTCAACATCCTCCATGATAGCCCTTTTTCCAGAAGCTAGGAAAGAAATAGAAATAAAAGCCCAAAGCAGATTTATCCTGGCTCAAGAAGACATTACGTATCTCAGAGAACTTTCAAACTAGAAACTGCCTTTTCAGGGGTTCTCTGCCCCTTATGAGAAGGAGTCACTGGGGCCATTTCCTCCTGTCTTCTTTCATTACATTTTGTCTCCTTCTATCTTAACACACCCTATAGTAACGGTGTGTCTATTTGCATCCCTTCCCATCCCCAGCTATACTTGACTTCTCTCCTGGTAGACTGTAAACTTCTTGGGGAAGAATCTAAATTTGGTTCATCTTTGCAGCCCTACCGAGCATACCTAGACCAATACCTCGCATGAGTAGCCACTCATTCAAGCATTAAATTAAAATAGATGAGATTTATTAATTAACTGCATCAGTGAAGACCAGACTTGGCAGAAAGAATCTATGGAAAAGACAGACCCCAAAACCATCATACAAAGAAGGGATCCACTTGGATTTGCTGAGGAAAGGAAGAAACACTGTTGAGCAGGGGTTGCTAGGACCCTAGATTGATATTCTGGAAAACACTCTCCCTCTGCCTCTCTCATGAGCACATACCGGCCCTCCAAGCTTCATGCATGGGAGCCTCCAGCTTTATGCAGGCTTTGGGAACTCAAGAATTTCTGAAGTCAGGTATCTCAGGGCCCTTCGATTCTACTATTAATATATCTGGGATAGCTGGTCTTCTGGAAGACCAATGACAGTTTCAAGGGAAACCTCAGACCCAGGCTCTACAACGTGCACAATTTTTCGATTCCCACATTCTCCATCCAGTTTTGGAATTAAAAATAATAATAATAGGCCGGGCGTGGTGGCTCACGCCTGTAATCCCAGCACTTCGGGAGGCCGAGACAGGTGGATCACGAGGTCAGGAGATCGAGACCATCCTGGCTAACATGGTGAAACCCCGTCTCTACTAAAAATACAAAAAAAAATAAGCCAGGCGTGGTGGCAGGAGCCTGTAGTCCCAGCTACTCGGGAGGCTGAGGCAGGAGAATGACGTGAACCCGGGAGGCGGAGCTTGCAGTGAGCCGAGATCACACCATTGCACTCCAGCCCGGGCGACAGAGCAAGACTCTGTCTCAAGAAAATAATAATAATAGTAATAAAAGGCTATGTGTATGTGTTGAGAATATGGAGGGGAAGGTTGGAAGTAAATTTGTTGAGTAAATATCCTCCAATCTGCGTAATTCATTGTAAGAAAAGTCATTAGACTCATATCAGGCCATCTTTGTGAAAGCCTGTTACATGAAATTGTTTGGACTTGCAACCAAGGCAAGAAATCCTTCTTTGGAAAGGAAACAGTTATTTTATTATAAGATAGGCTATCAATCTCAAAATAATTACTGATGGTCAAGGAAAGATTCAAGCCAATTAGGTTTTTTGCTCAAGTTGATTCCGTCCCCGCTTCCAGTACTCTTGTGAAGCCTTTATATAATCCAGAGCAAGTCCCTCCCGACCACAGGAGGTCACAGATGAGAGGGGCAGCCTGACCCAGGCTTCATGCAGAGCAGATGTCCCCACTTCAAGCCAATTTGGAAGCAGGAACTGTGCTCTCCAACTCTAGCCTCTCATTATCTGTTTATATGAAGTTCTATGTAACTGGAACTGCTTGGAAAACTAAGCCATGTGGAAGCCATTTAAAATCATTTCACTTCTAATTATAAACCAGATAGAGTCATTTTCATGCAAGGGCAGGAACACTTCAGAGACTGTCAGGGTTCAGAACATTCCTTGGGTGACAGGTGGCTGGAATATTTAAAGAACTCTCTGTGCCCAAGATAACCTTGACTAGAGGAGTGAGCAAGGGAATTTTAAAGATACGTGAAGTTTGCATATGAAGTTGGAGCACGTGAAATACTTACTCAGACCTGATTTCAGAAAATGCATTGGACAGGTGGGACCACTGGGTTTCCTTGGGAGGCCACAAAGTGGGAAGGATAGATGGCTTTGGTGCTAGACCGAGCTGGGCTAAGTAAATGAGTGAGTTATAAGTCTCTCAGAGCCTCAGGTTATTTATCTATAAAAGATGGGAAATGCCTATTTGCAGGATTATTGTTCTAAAAACTAAATGAGGCTGGATGCAGTGGATTATGTCTATAATCCCAGCACTTGAGGAAGCTGAGATGGGAGGATTGCTTGAGGCCAGGAGTTCAAGACTAGCCTGTGCAACATAGCAAAACCCCATCTCTAAAAAAATTAAAAAAAAAAAAATTAGGCATGGTGGCACACACTTGTAGTCCTAGCTACACAGGAAGCTAAAGCAGGAAGATCACTTGAGCCCAGGAGTTTGAGGCTGCAGTGAGCTATAACGGTGTCACCACACTGCAGCATGGGCCACAGCGCAAGACCCTGTCTCAAAAATAAATAAATAAAATCTAAATGAGATAATGTATGTGAAACCATCTAGCCCTGTGTTCAGCACATGGCCGCTCCATCACTACATGATAATTATAGTCCTACTTATTATTATTATTATAAGTCATAATTATATGTTTGGAATAGTAGGTCAGGACTGGCCTACCACATATGACTGGCTGTGCTTATGCAAGAAGTATTTACAATGGCCCAGGAAAAATGAACGAGAGAAATACAATCTCCAACTTCAACATTGTTACATAACTCCCAAAGCTTTTTACCTTTTCCCATCTTCCTCCCCATTCTCAGCCCTTCCAGACAGAGTGATGCATCTGAGAAATTCAGTGTAGAATACAACATTCAGGACTAGGGATTCAAGGTGACCAGGGGATCAACTTTCTTGATCTTGCAGGAAAGCATATGTACAACTCCATGAGAGCTGACCTAGTAAGCTGAACCATCAGAGTCATGGAGGCCAGAACATGGTTGGACCAGATGAGCATGTCCACTAGTCTGGACTCTAGGGAGAAATGGTTACAAGTAAGGGATGTTACTGACCTACGGTCCCAGGTATGATCAACCCTGGTTTGGTAGTCTGCCCACTGGAAGTTTAAGGAACTGTAAATAAAACAATTATTTCAACAGCACTCAGTTGCCTCATTTGATGAAGCCTGGGGGGTAGCTCCTTGTAAATCTACTGCATTTCATCAGTTGCCCATAAATTTTAGACATGTCAGTGGTGTTTATTTTCATGGTTGGACAGCTCATCTTGGGTTACAGCTTGGTAATCCAACCTACATGTGAAAAAAGGAGTGCAGATGTAAGTCAGAAGAAATATTCAAAATATTTTGACAGCCAGGATGACACTAATACAGACCAATCAAGCATGAGCTCTGTAGCAGGAAGGACACTGTCCCTTTCCACAAAACGGATCCAACAGCACCAGTGCATGTAGGCCGAGTTCCCTGAATGGAATTAATTTTTCTTCACACTGGTAGTCAGAATGCACATTTACCAGCTACACTAGCTTTATACAAAACTTGAAAGCCAAGTTTAATCCTGTGTGATTAAAAACCCTGAGCGCCACATTCCCTCAAACTGGGCTTAAACACAGAACTCAACAGGTTTGTAATTACATGCAATGCCACTCTCTGGCATGACTATAATACCATTTTACAACACAAAGGAGAACTATTGAGTTCTATTCACAAGAGAAAGTGCTACATTGATTCCTCTCTTGGTGGGATAGAAAGCATATGTCACAGCATATATTTTTTCTGCAATTAATTTTTATGAAACCAAGCATAAAAGATAATGCACCTGATTTCTGTATTTGTTTTAATGTGCCCTGGGGAAGTTCTAACAAACCAGAAGCAGGAACAATGATGGGACCCATCCGGATTTCAGCAACTGAGTAAGCAGATACCCCTAGTGTGAGAAGTAAACTTGTTTTGTTATCCTTGACTGCCTTTCCTTCTCCATCCCCTATCCCCCATTCCCTACTAGGCAAGACCACACGAAATCCAAAATCCACCCCCAAATGGATGAGACTTGCCTATTTCAAAGGTCCCTAAGGAAAGCCCACTTGGTCTTCATCCCAGTGACTAACACACCTCATTATCAGAAAACTCTGCCTCACAACTAAGCCCTATGTAACTGAGATGTCCAGCGCTTCTGACTCATCCACATTTCCCCAGGGGGCACTTGCATGCTTCAGACACCCTTCAAAGTGTGGGCACTGGAGCCCCTCTCCCTGACTGGGTTAGTGGGTGTCACTGCCTGCAGGAGCCCCCAAGAGAACCCTGGAGCAGAGCCTCAGTGGGTAGGACGGACAAGCCAAGAACGAGGGACACGGGCACACACCAGGCCAGGCCAGGTGGGTCCTCTGCCCCACTCTTGCCTCAGGTGCTGGCAGGATGCCAGTCTTCACAGCTATTTCTCTGTGCTCCCTTCCTCCCCCACTTTGTGGACTGCAAGCCAACCCTAGAATGCAGGATCCAGGTGGGCTCAGCTTTCACTGCCTCATGGCCCCAGGGCCCCAGGCACCATCTCTGCTCCAAGCATCCTCTGGAGAATTATTAGTCTCTCCACCCAGACCCTGGTCCCAAAATGTCTGCTCACACCTCTTTTTCTAAAAAATAAAACTACCTGTAATCTTTCTCCATGTCTCCAGGAGTCTCAGACCTCTACATAGGAGCAGGAGACAGTGTACTTTCAGTCATTCAAAGATTTATTCTCCCTAAGAAATAAGATATCGTCGGGCATGGTGACTCATGCCTGTAATCTCAGCACGTTGGGAGGCTGAGGCAGGAGGATCACTTGAACCCAGAAGTTCAAGACCAGCCTGGGAAACAGAGTGAGACCCCATCTCTACAAAAAATTTAAAAATTAGCCAGGCTGGCAGCATGTGCCTGTAGGAGGCAGAGGTGGGAGGGTCACTTGAGCCTGGGAGGCCAAAGCTGCAGTGAGCTTAGATTGCCACTGCCCTCCAGCCTGGGTGACAGGAGTGAGACCCTGTCTCAAAAAAAAAAAAAAAAAAAAAAAAAAAAGCAGGGGGAAACAAGATATCTTTCCAAACCTTTCTTGCTAGAACAGAGGGAAGATACAGATTTAATCTCCAGTAGAGCACACTGCTACATTTACAGGGTACATTTATTTTCTGTTTTTTAGTTCCCTCTATAGTGGATACAGAATAAAATTGATGAGTCCTCTCGATGCAGTCCTTGAAAATTATTGTAGTAAATCTCCCTATGATTCGTTTTTCTTCAGTTAGAACTAAGTTCATTTCCTTCACATGCCAGATAATTCAGATAAAATCCCACTAGAGCAAATACAATTAAGTAAATGTTCTACATAAAGCAATTTGCCTTTTATTAAAAACTTCATTGTTAAATGCCAATGTGAAAACAGTAAATTTTTTATTTCATCAGCTTTATATTTACACTGACTATGGATGCATGTCTCAGTTCAAATTGGTAGCAATTTACTAATTAATTAATTGCATTAAGGAGATTACAAGGTTAATAGCTGCCGTTTCTGATCATCGTTGGACTTTCATGCAGGGTATTAAAAAGTAAAAATATACTAGTATTTATAGAGCGTGGGTTTGCACCAAATAAATTCAATCTAATCCAAGAAGAGGGGTTCTTTTCAATGCAGGCAATATCAAATTTGGTGCAAAACCCAAAAACCTAGATTTGACTTTTGATTCCCCAAATCACTCCATCTCCTTCTTCTCTCCACTAAAAATGTATTTGACAGACTTAGATTTCAAATGGGAAAAATGATACCCAAGTGGTAGCTATAAGTGGGTAACAAGATCTGCCCAAGTTCCCTGAACTTGGATGTCACTCCGCAGTCTCACTTTCCTATCTGCAATTGTCCTTTGCACCTGACCTTGGCATCTACATTTCTCTTTGGAAGCTGAGCTCTGTGCACTGTTGAGCCCATTCCATTCTTCTAAATATTAATACAAGCACAGAGTTGGACACACAAGCTTAGAGAAGCTGCATTGGAGGTGGAAGCTGCATTAGAATCAGCCATAGCGCCCCTCAGACCCACCAAATCAGGATTGCTAGGAGCAAAACCCAGCAATGAGCATTTAAACAGGCTCAGGCTGAAGCGTAAGCACACAAGGGACACAAAAGGAGATGATGATGCTGTAGACAAAAGATCTCCTGCAGATGTCCATGCCGGAGGTCATTGGATCATTGGCCACAGTGGGAGGCCACAATACTGTGAGTGACAGTGTGGGTGGCCTACCTAAAGGGCAGGTTCTTCCCAAAGCCAGTTGTCCTAGATCAGGACATTAAAACATGGTGGGCAGGCTTGAGATAAGAGGTGGGGACTTCCTCTTCCTGGACATAGCTCTCCTAAACTGGACTCTAAGTATATAGAGATTCTCAAGATACCCCTGGGCAATGAGATGGAAAAATTGTCTTTGATGAGGGCCACAAGCTGGGGGCTGCCAAGAGAGGCCCCAGGGACAGAGCTGTTCCCATTGCAGCCACAGCTGGCTGCCCATACTCACTAGCTTATCTGTGGGGAGCCCCCTTTGCAGTTCCCCCAGCAAGCCTGCAGAAATGTCAGAAGCACACACCAGCCTGGTCTCAGCTGTGCTCTAGGGAAAGATCTATGTCTTCCCTTGGCCAGAGCAGTAATCAGAGAACCAAGTTCAGAGCTAGTGAGTGAGGACAGCAGTAAACAGTCCCCCAAGAGGATGACAAACCTCCAGAGAAGTGTTGGAACCGGGAGTTCTGCTGGTGAGAGTCAAGGAGTGGGGAGAGGGCTGCGTTTGAATGCTATGCTAGGAGTCCAGAAGGCCTGGGAGGCCATTGAAGAGGTTTTAGCAGAAAGAGCATTATGATCAGATTTGTGTGCAAGAAAAATAACTGTAGCAGTCAGGATGGATTGCCTGGGGGAGGGCAGTGTGGAGGGGAGAAGGAAGCAGAGGGATGGGTTAGGAAGACACTGCAGTCATTGGGTTCCAATGATGAGTGAAAGGGAGCACCTGTATCACTTTCCCCATCTGTCACTTCCAGACATGCCATCAGGCCCTCATCCTTGTCCCTTCTGCCCAGGACACCCCTCCTAGGAGATACTGTCTGGACAGTCCCGCCTAGGACTGGCCAGAACCCTGGTAACTCCTGTCTCCCTCTCCTCCGCCAGCACCAGCTAAACTACTTAGAATGATTATTTTGTTTAAAACCAACTCTGTTCAGCTGTGGTTATTTATACCTTTCTTTGGTCCCTGGGAAGGCAAGGGCCTTTTGGAAGAAACCCCTCCAGCTAATGCTATTGAAGACCCCTTTGCTGTTCCCCCAACAAGCCTGTGGAAACATCAGAACCACACAGCAGCCTGGTCTCAGCTGTGCTCTAAGGAAAGATCTATGTCTTCCCTTGGTCAGAGAAATAATCAGAGAACTGAGCTCAGAGCTAGTGTGTAAGGACAGCAAGAAACAGTCCCCCAAAAGGATGGCAAACCACCAGATACAAGAGTTGGAACTGGGAGTTCCAACTGCTGGAATGTCCCTTGCTGGGAGTTCCTTGCTGGAGTGAAGCTCACAGGCCCAGGCAATACAAATACTCCTTCGTGCTTCCTCACTGGTAGGGTTAGGGTTAGGGTGAGGGCTCAGGGTCAGGGTGCTCCTTGCATTGTTTTGTTCTTCATTTTAACTATAATCATATCCCTTTTGCTGTGCTGCTTTTTGCAGTGCATCTGGCTCAGCTCTCACCACTGGCTGTGCGACAGCCATGGGAAGTCACCTCACCTCACATGCCTCCAACTCTACGTGGATCATTCCCCAAGGGCCCCAGAGCTGCATTCTGAGAGCTATGTCACCTTTGCACTGAGGCCAATGACTGCACGAAGCCCAGATGCCAAGGCAGGTCAGTCTGAGGCTGGTGGACGACTTCGGTTCTGAGACTCCACAGCAGCCTTGCTTAACCTTGCTTTATTTGCAAAGCACTCTATGATGCTGCCACCCAGCCTTCCCTCCCCGCTCCCTCCTGCACTGGGGTGCGGAGTCACTCTTGCATCACACTCTGAAAGCTCCCAGACCTTTTCCCAGCTCTCTCCCCATTTTCCCTCACATAGGAATTTCCTCTAATAAAATCCTTGCATGTCTAATCCTGTCTTGACCTCTGCTTCTCCAAGGACCCAGATAAACACAGCTGTCCAGAAAAGAGAGACAACAGTTGTGCATTTGGAACCTGGGACCCTCTAGCCCCTTATTCTTTCATTTCTGAAACGTCTGTGGAGAGCTTCAGGAACTCCCAGCACTGGGGTGGGGGATGGGAGAGTACTAAGGTGGTGCTTCCAGAAGAGGCAGGTTGGGGATAGGAGCTCAAAGTCAGGTCAGAATCTACCAGTCTGAACAGTGCCCTGGGCACTGCCAAGAACTCAGCATGGCTCCATCTCAGACTCTAACAGGAGGAAAGATAGAAAACCCTTCCTTACACTGCCACCTCTGGGAAATATTTCACACCCCTAACAGAATGACAGTTGTGAAGAACACCTAGCCAGCTTGATTGACAGGACCCAAGGACAGGTAAGGCAGAAGAGGAGCCTGAAGGATTAGAAACCATATAGGAAACACTTCCCAGCAAAAACCCAAATGTGAAATCAAGCTGAACGATTAAAATGGCTTACTCGCAACAGGACTTCATGGTGAAAACCCAAAAAGTCGCTGCCAATCAGGTGCTCTTTTTGCAATTTTTTTTTAAATTCATTTATACTTTTAATGAAAATGAATGCTGGGGCATGAGAAAATTTTGTTAACCCTCAATGTTGCCTAATCATGGCTAACAAGGATTCTCATACTTCTTCTTGACTGAGGATTAAGCTGCTGACAGCAAGTTTATTAAATGAAGTCATTGTAATGAGGCAGCCAGCTAAGTCTGCAGAGCTCTGTCCTGTGGTTCATGGTAGGTATCATTTAACCAAGAGCCATGAGTTGATGGACCTCAGTAATCACGTTAATCTGCCTTTTCATTGTGATCTGGAGGATGTGACAAAAAGGAGTTTCAACATGATCTGCAGACAAGTTGGATCAGAGGAGTTGACGGAAGAGTCTTTTTATCCCCCAAGAAAATCAAGGGGCCTAAAAAGTGTTAAGACTCCATATCTGTCACTAGGAGGTTGAACACCCCAAAGAGCGTTCACAAAGACAGACCTGTAAGAGAGCTAACAGAGAATAATGCGGAACTTGGCCAGCTTCGGCAAGCAGACTTTGCGTTGCAGTGTAGTCAGCTTGCCCAGAGGCCGCGAGCCAAAGGACTGTTTAAAGACATTCATCTAGGTGGGGGATGGTTGCTAGTAGAGCCAGCTGCAGGCAAACTGTGAAGTGGCAACTTGCTCTCTGCAGCTCCCACCCTTCCCTTTGCTTGTCCTGAAATGCTCTCTCCCTCTCTGTCCTAAAGATCCTATTCCAGACCTAAGAAGAGAGAGGGAAAGAAAGGGAAACTATTAAGTGTTCCATTTAGTTATTCTATTTCCCACATTACCACAAGCCCATTACAGTGGGGTTGGCTGATAAATTTCTAACAGTAATGTTTGAATTGAATTTTTCCCCTGTCCTGCTCCATAACCACCCTCTAATATCTCCAGGCTTTTAGTGAGACCTGCTCTGCCTGGGCCTTATCATTACTGTATTGGAAGAATGAGGACTGGTGGTTTCTAACAGAGGGGAAAGCAGGTAAGTAAGAAGTGAAGGCAGTCCCAGGAGACGGCATGAAGGTGAGGAGAGAATGACAATGGAGACAAAGGCAGGGACACAGGTCAACACAGGCACAGCAGAAGAACTATATCCTAGAGGAAGGTGACCCTCAAAGGGAGAAGGCAGACACTTGGGTAACATGTATACATCTAGCTTTCTTTCTGCTTTTTAAAAAATTTATTGCCATAAAGACATGGAATCAACCTAGGTGCCCATCAATGTGGACTGAATAAAGAAAATGTTGTACACAGACACCATGGAATACTACCCAGCCATAAAAAAAACACAAAATCATGTCCTTTGCAGCAACATGGCTGCAGCTTGAGGCCATTATCCCAAGTGAATGAATGCAGGAACAAAAAACCAAATACCACATGTTCTTACTTATAAGTGGGAGCTAAACATTGGGTACACATGGATATAAAGATGGGAACAATAGACAATGGGGACTCCAAAAAGGGGTAGGGAGGGAGGAAGGGAGGGAGACAAGGGTTGAAAAACTATTGGATGCCATGTTCACTATTTGGGTGACAGAATCAACAGAAGCTCAAACCTCAGCATCATCACTCAATATACTCATGTAGGAAACCTGCACATCTACCTCTTGAATATAAAAAAAATTTTTTTTTTTTGAGACGGAGTCCCACTCTGTCACCCAGGCTAGAGTGCAGTGGCACGATCTCAGCTCACTGCAAGCTCTGCCTCCCGGGTTCATGCCATTCTCCCGCCTCAGCCTCCCAAGTAGCTGGGACTACAGGTGCCTGCCACCACGCCCGGCTAATTTTTTTGTATTTTTAGTACAGACGGGGTTTCACCGTGTTAGCCAGGATGGTCTCGATCTCCCACCTCGGCCTCCCGAAGTGCTGGGATTACAGGTGTGAGCCACCACGCCCAGCCCCAATAATTTTTAAAAAGAAGTCAGATTTAAGTACAAAAAAAATTAATGCTATAATGTACATAATTGAAATGAAGGCTAGTTTTTGATGACATAGGCTTACCTGAAGGGGGGTACTGTCCTTACATTTTGGTTTATACATTCCAAAAATGTCTGACCTTCCCAAATATCGCCTATATAGTTTCTAAATACCATAAAGTTTGCTAAAAATCCATAGCATAAGAATTAAGACGACCTGATGTGAGAGCAAAGTACTCAAAGGATCTTAATCTTAAAAAGGGAAAGCTTTAGAATCCAGGGAGTGAAAGGAGCTGAAGGCAAACATAGCCTCAAACCAGGGATCAAGGCTAAGAGAGGTTAAGAGTCTCATTCAAGGTCACGCAGTGGAGATGAAGCTCCAAGAGCCAGGTCTTCATTTAACTAATGCTGGGTTCTTTCAGCTATAGTCTGGCCTAAGAGTGTCCTTACTTGTCCTCTGAAAAAAAAAAATTTTTAATATTTCACTTTTGAGGTTCTCGATCATTTGAGACTAGAACTTCTGTAGGACAGTAAAGCCTTGTTTAATATTTTTTTAACCAAATTGTTTCCCCAGGAGTCTGTTCTGGTCCTTTGCTTGTCGCTCCCCTTTTCCATGTTTGATTCAAGCCTCTGGATTTATTTAGTCATGGCTGGAGTAAAGAGAGAGGGGAGGAGACGGCACAAGAACGTCTTTAATAACCATAAGATGGCTGGCCGCTAAATCCTTTTCAAGAATTGAAGCTTTTGCTGTCTCACTGCTTTTCAGTCAAATTACAGGGAATGATGTCTTGGATGATTAGGTCTGTGATGAAACTGGTTATAGAAGCTATTTCAGAACCCACAGTGGTTCCCACTTAAATCTAAACACGAAGACCTGCCACAGATACTCTATCTAAAACTATTTCAACGTGTTACGCTCTTCTGCACATGTCAATATTCTCTCCTTCGCAAAGCTAATCAATAACTAAAGAGAAAAAAAAGCAGATCTCGGTGAAAAAACATATTTGGCAATCCTTGGCTATATAAAATACCGCTTCAGTGCGGCATCCTTCGGTTGTATTTGCTGGCTTTGTTATCTGTGTAGGCTGTCCTCTGAACTATTTTTGTTCTCTGTGTTTACTTTTGAAATTGAATTTTTTTCATTCTAAAGTGCACCAAGGATGCCACTGTAGACAATCCAAGCTCATGCAGCATAGAGTTAAGATTTGATAACAATCTGGTTTCGTTTGACCATTGGAGGCCATCAAATCAGTTCTTTTAGTCGCAAATGACCATTTGTGGGTCCGAGGGGATCCCACATAGCTCTGAAAAATCAATCACGTTAACTGGAAAATAGGCAAACTCCCAAAGCCCTGTGTACGGTAAAGACCTCTCCCAGTTGTTTTTAACAGGTTTGAACTATTACCAATGAGTCACCACGGACTTTTGTCTTCATTCATTCCTTACTCTATGAAGACTTTTCCAAGGCAAACATTACATGCTATGATGTGGATCACAACAACAAAACAAAATAACCCGGTCGGGTGGTATTTTCCTTTGTTGTAATATCAATGTGTTTTTTAATTTACCACATGAAGAAAGCTACGGCAGGTACAGTATTTAGGAAATGCTAAGAAACTCGCTCCATAACACTTGAAGCAACCGGTTTCTGCCCTTGATGTACTACGGCTCTCCTTCCACACCCATGACCCCTGGGGAGAGAAACAAAATCAAAGGTAACCACATCCTACTTACTTTTGGCAAGTGGGATTACTCTCTATTGGAACCATTAATAACCCCTTTCCGGGGTTTTGTTTCCTGCCCTGAATTCACTGCAGATTGAGTATAATAAAGAGAGTAGAAAAGGGCAAGTAAACTCCTTTAATACCATGTCCGAAAGGCCGCTACACCCTGGAGAGTGAGCCAGTGTCTATGGTAACTAGCCCCCTCTCCAGCTGCGTGTGAAATGCTAGAAACAGAAATCTTTAGAAGTAAACAAAATAAGCTAAGAAATGTAGATGTGCTTTGTAAATGATAAAGCAGATAAATGTTTGTTGTCCCTGTTACTTTGGTAAATGTAAATGCAAACATTCTCAAATGCCCTTAGTGATGAACAAGACATTCACTTACAGGAGACCTAAAATGAGACCCAGGAACTGCTAATGCTGTCCTCTACCTGCTCAGGTTTCAGTTCTTCCTATGAAAGCCTCAGATTGCAGGGAAGTCTTTTTTTTTTTTTTTACTTTGGACATCCCCAGCTGGCGGAATGTGCTCATTTATAGGGCCCTCTGTGACTGAGGGGAGCCAAGGATAAAAGGAAAAATGGTATTCTCAAGTACGCAGATCGAGGAGGAAAATCCACCAACTTCTATGTGACCAGTAAGAGAGTAGTGGGAATATGCCAACAGTGTGGGGGTAAATCGTTTTTGGTGGGTGTTTTGGGAGGCGGGGGCAGAGTTTAATGTTTTTTTTTTTAATTTTTTACAAATACGCTAAAGATTCAGGCAGTGCTGCCAGCATTGGACGTCAGCCTGGGCCACATGGCTGCATACTCCTTTGCAACTGGCCCTGTGATGACAGAACTTTTCATCACACGTTTATTACTTACTACAACCCTGGCATTATCTTCAAAATAAAGAAACAAGCCATCTTTTCTCTGGCATGACTTCTGTTGTCACATGACCACTGCTGGATGCACCTTCCTTCTGAGCTCTGGCTCGCCTTACTGACCATGGCCATCACCACGTTACCCACACCAGCAGAAAGTTTCGCTGTCGCTTGATCTCATTCACAGAGATGACTACAGATTTTTCACTCCTGTGTGGTCAACACACTTGATCACATTTCCTACCAGAAGACCCAGGGAAACCCTGAATTTCACATAGAAGGACCCACCACATCCTCACACTTCAACATCTTCAGAAAGAGCATTGGTAAATATTTAATAATTGCTCTCTGGGGAAAAATGAATGCATATATAGATATACTGCATGTAGATGTTTGATACAAATCTTACCAATATAAAGGATCTATAGTACCCAATTTACAGATAATAACAAATTATACTCTTTATGATAAACTCCATATAGCCAATAGATCCTCACACAAGGCTTTGTTGATTTTTGCAAAATTCTTCTATCTGTACTCAATCTAGGGTTGGAATAGATAAATGAGTGTGGTTACAACATGAATGTTGGTTGATATTTTCCTTTACATTAACAAGAAAAAAGAAAGTGAGTTAATAAAGATGTATGTCAGTATTTTCACTTGCTCTTCAATGACATGAGTGATTGCTTGCTGTATCAGATGATAGTTTCAAATACCGGGAGAATTTCCTAAGCCTTTTTTTACTATTCACAATGTAATAGTTATGGACATGACACACGTTTAAGTTTAATATGCAATATTCACATCTTCTCCATCACTTTCTTAAGTCTAGGCAATCAACGAGACAATAAATCAAGCCCTGATTTGTACCATTTGCAGATTTCCAAGGTGCAAATATTCCCACCAGGGTTGATTCCAAGCTACCATTTTGATGTCATGGACTACAGAATTGGGAAGAAATGTGCAATAGCACACCGTGATATACTGTTTCCACCATACTGAAAAAATGGGTAGAAATAACCTCACAATCATAGAGAACAGTAAAAAGGTAGTAGAATAAATAGGAAGTAATGAGTTTCGAGAATTTATTGCCTTTTTCATGTAATTTACTTAATTGTAAATTTACACAATTTAATTTTTAAGAATGGCTGTGTTTAACAATTGGCTTGAAAATTTCCTGAAAATTTGACAATCAGCTCTCATGAGCTGGTATGAGCCACTCCAGGACACCACAGGAAAATGCCCAAAACACACCTGTGTTGGCTGGGAATTTTTGAGAGGCTGAGCATTTGAGGCATTCACATACCTGGGTTTTAGATTTTAGGGAAGTTGCCTAATTTTGAGCCTAAGTTCTTGAAGTGGTGGTTAGGATGTGGAGAAGCCCATCTGAGCTCCTGGCCAAGCTCCTGGCCAAGCTTTGACAGCTCCTCCTAGATGTCACTGTTAATCTTCATGTATGATCTTTCCAGTCCAACTAATTATACCTATTTTGTTTTGTTCTGAATATCACCCATTTGACAAGTAAGGTTACCAAACCTAGCACAGCCTTCTCCAAAGCACATCCTGAGCCTGAAGTCTGATCAGCTTGGTTCCACCAGGAACCAACCGTCAGCTGATAAATCACAGGAAGATGACTGGCCAGGGGAAGGCTGAAGGATACCTGAATAATTTCACGATAATCATCTGGAAGATACTTGATCTAGGAAGAGGAGGCAGGAAAAGAAAGATTGCTGGACCAGGTTTGAATGCAATAATATGCCTGGTGAGAAGAGGGAGGAGACGGTGAGCAGTCACATGGGTTGGTACCCAGATCCTTAATTTAGTGTTTGGTGAAATCTTGCTACCACTCCTTTGCCCCCATGGCTTAGGGGAAATGCAAACATCAAAATTACCTAAAGTCAGAGGTATCTTATTTGGTGCACTTGAAAGTTGACATGGTTCTCCTGTAAGGTCCAATCACCCTTGGGTCAGAAAAGCGTTGAAGTAGAGAGCTAGTTGCACACAACTTGGGGAAATTCTCCTGATATTTCCTACATTTTCAAAGAATATGAACATCTGAACACCCAACAAGAGGGAAAGAAGCATCATGATGAAAAGTCTGCTAAGAGTAAGTAGAGCCAGAGAGATCAAGGTTAAAATCTCTGCTTCCCCACTTACTAGCTGTGTGACCTTCAGTGAGCTTCCTTAATGGTAACATGGGAATAATCGTTTTACTTACATTTTAGAGTCATCTGCAGATTATATTTAAAGCCTCTAGTAAGTTGTAAATATATAATATATTCGCTTTAAAAAATGGAAAAAGAGGAAGCACCTATAGTTGTTTTTTTAAAAGCAGAAGAATACAAATTTATTTACATTTCTGTAGTATATCGGGAAAAATGGCCACAATGTTTTGCAACTTCTCTCATCAAGTGGCAAAATCCGTTTATCCAATCCTCAAATACGGGCTTGGCATGTAACTGGCTTTGGCCAGTGGAATATTAGCAAATGTGACACAAGCAAAGACTTGATAAGTACTTGCACAAGTTCTTGAGAATTACTTCCCTTCTTGCTGATGGGAACACTTCTGCTGTCATGTGACTGGCCCGTTGGATAATGGGAGGCAGGTGGTCATCATCCCAGCTGTCATCACATCAGCTGCCACACATGTGAGTGAGGCCATCCTAGACTATCCAGTACCAGCTTAGCTGGCCAGAACAGAAGAACCACCTACCAGACTCCAAGAATCATGAACAAATAAAATGTTTCTTGTTATAAGCCACTAAATTTGAGGGTTTTTTTTTTTTTGCAGCAACAGCTAACTGATACAGTTCTGACTGCAGCTATATAAAGATACTTATGCAATGAAACAAGATTGAAGGGATACTGAGCTAAATGCCTCTTGCCCTCAACTGCTCACAATCATTTAAGTGAGAGAGACAAGACATAGAAATAGATAATACAGTTCAGCACAGAAGTTGCCAATAGGTTCAGGGTGGTATTAACTATGAGTAATTTTTTAAATGTTCTCTTAATATTATGATCAGTTTTTTCATACAGTTTTTAAATTGAATTTAGAAGGAGTGGCTTAAGACTGTTAAGCTAGCATCTGCCTGGAGTGGAAGTTATAGGAGACAGAAAGAAGATGTGAAGTCTTCCCATGTGTACCCTCCTGACTCTAAAGGAGAGAGCCAGCCTGGCCAAATCATTTTTATTACCTTGAACAACCCCATATCAAAGTCAGGATGTGTAGATTTACCAGAAGTTATCTACCTTATCATTTCAATTAAACATATGGCTGAGGAATCTAATGAAGAAGGCTTGAGTGATGGCCGTAGAATCAATAAAGTCTTTCTGGACTTATCGATTTAGCATTCTCCATGCAGTAGAATTGATTTATGTCCTCGGATTTATTTTGATAACTCAATGATAACTCCACTATTCCTAAATTAATGTCAACTTTTCCTCAGGCTAAACTTTTTTCTAGGCAAGGAAAAAATCTTATATCAAGTCAAACTGATTTTGCTAAGTAATTCCATGGCTAACAGGATGCCATAAATCAAAGAGAACCATGTACTACTATAATTGTAAATCATCCTTGTCATGGAAAAGTACAATGGCATTTATTTGTCAGTATTGTGATTGTATCATGCAGGGCCTCTTTCCTGTCAAAACTCATATCTTCCAATACAAACTCTATCATCTAATTGCAATTTAATAAATTCAATAGATTGCTTAAAAACTACATTAATTTTCATCTCCTACAGCTTAAATTTCCAGAACATGTGAGATGGATAGGTCCTAATTTCTAATTAGCACAATCTTATTGAATGAGATAAACCATCATCTTTGCATGAGGAATATTCATCTTGGGCATACACAAGCAAGACAATTAGTCAGTGCCATGTAAATGGGTATATTTGCAAATGCTTTTTGGGAAAAGTATTTTTCAACCAGATCTACAAAGCAAAAGGAAAAACAGAAATTTTTCAATAAAAAAATACCATAATAGATAGTTCAATTAATCACCAAGTCTGTGAGTCCACCTCCTACACAACTCTGAAATCTACCCAATTTTCTCTATTGGCCCAGCCACCATCAGGACCAGGAGAGCATCACTGCTTGCCAGATGCTGCAATAGACTCCTTGCTTCTCTTCCTGTCACCACTGCCACTTTTTCCAATTCATTTTCTACATTGCAGCAAGAGGGCTTATTTTCAAAAATGCAAATCTCATTATAACATCACTGCCTACTCCTTCCCCTGGCTCTCAGAATAAAGAAAAATAAGCTATCAAAGCAGTCTGCAAGACCCTGCCTGCCTATTCTAACTCATCTGTCCAGGCCCCTGCACTCTCTGCTCCAGCCAGGCTGGGCTTCTGTCAACACCTCTGACATGCCCCGGAATCCCACACACATGCTAGTCTCTTGACCTACAGCACACCTGCACCCTCTCTTTGCCAAGCTAAACCCCACCATCCTACAGTTCTGGGCTCAAACACCACTTGATATGATTTGGCTGTGTCCTCACTCAAATCTCAAATTGTAGTTCCCATAATTCCCACGTGTCATGAAAGGGACCGGGTTGGAGGTAATTGAATCATGGGGGCGGGTCTTTCTCATGTTGTTCTCATATAGTGAATAAGTCTCATGAGATCTGATGGTTTTATAAAGGGGAGTTCCCCTGCACAGACTCTCTCTCTTGCCTGCCACCATGTAAGATGTGACTTTGCTCCTGGTTTGCATTCCACCACGATTGTGAGGTCTCCCCCACCAGTCACATGGAACTGTGAGTTCATTAAACCTATTTTTCTTTATAAATTAGCCAGTCTCACCAGGCGTGAGTCTCACAGGCTCACTCCTGTAATCCCAGCACTTTGGGATGCCAAGGAGGGCAGATCACCTGAGGTCGGGAGTTCAAGACCAGCCTGACCAACCTGGAAAAACCCTGTCTCTACTAAAAATACAAAATTAGCCAGGCGTGGTGGCATATGCCTGTAATCCCAGCTACTCGGGAGGCTGAGGCAGGAGAATCGCTTGAACCCAGGAGGCGGAGGTTGCCGTGAGCTGAGATCACGCCACTGTACTCCAGCCTGGGCAACAAGAGCAAAATTCCATCTCAAAAAAAAAAAAAAAAAAAAAAATTAGCCAGTCTCGGGTTTATCTTTATTAGCAGTGTGAGAACAGACTAATACACCACTTCTCCCAAGAAGGGTTCCCTGCTTCCCCAGTGGGTTAGACCCTTCCACAACCTGCACTTCTCCTTTACAGCCTTTTGTGCTTCTCTGCTTAGTTTCTGTCTTCTCTGTTAGATGGTAGCGTACTGAGGATAGGGACAATGTCTGCTTACTCCCCACTCCCCTGTCATACTGGTGCTCAGCTCATATTTGATTACTTCTTGACTGAGATGGGGCAGGCAAGTGGGGACAGGGACCAAAAGAGCAGGAGCATTCACTGGGACAGGGCTGACGTAAATCCAAGTACACACCAAAGTTCCCATGGGGGAAGGCGGGCCAGGCCAGCAGTGTGCAAATGGCAGGTGCTGCTGTGACAGAACGTTGACCCACCTTCTTAATTAATGGACCTTTTCATTTTCAACGAACTTCAAACCAACAGAAAAGCTGCAAAAATAGTGTCACCAAACCACCATATATCCTTCACCCGGATTCACATATTCAAATTTTACCAACTTAATTTGTGTCTTTAAACCTCTTAAACAGTTACCAATTGGAGACAGCTAAAATACTTAGTCTAGCCAACTAGGCAACACCTTGTCTCTGAAGTTTTCCAGAGGTGGCAAATTATTAAAACCCAGTAAAACCGCAAAACCAGAAAAGTTTCAGGTAAAGTAAAATTCCTAGATTTTCTCTGAGCAAATGCAAACCACCTATAAGCACAATTCCAGGATCAGTTTGGCCTCCAAAAATCCTCCAGAGGCAACCCCCTTGGGCTTATAAAACTTTAAATCAGATCAAATCCATCTTTAATGCATTGCTAGGTAGGTCAATAGCAAGCACAAGCTCATTCCCAAATATAAGTGCCACCTCTCCCGACTGGACCAAAGTGAGATACAGAAACAGAGTTAATAAGGGCAGGGACAGGGGCTGGTCACAGAACAAGCACAGCCAGGGGACATTCAGTAAATTAAATGGCCCATGGGAGGCAGTTCACACTCGAAAGAGCAATTTAAACTATTTATGATCGTTGATGGGCCCTGAATTAGTTATAACTTCCTAAAGAAAAAAATCTTGAAATTATCACAAAGCCAGCACTGAATATGGCTGCACAGTGCTCACTGGAGGTCATGAAGGAGAATGAGCTATTAGTCTGTATTAAGGAGCGAACACCATGGTAATGGCGAACTAGTGTGTAATACAAATGCGGGCGGCCCGACCTTGACTGCCGTTCAGTGCTGGGCCCTCCATCTCAAAAGGAAATAGACGAGGCAACAGGAGGGCCACAGGGTGATTAGTGTATCAGTGAGGGCTCAGAACCTCTAAATGAGGAAAGGTTTAATTATACAGGCAGCTAATTAGGAAGAAAAGAGGAGAAAACGGACAGAGGTGTGTACATGAAAAGATGAGGATTCAGGGGTGACTGAGTGAGGCCCCAAAGGTTCTAAATGAGACTTTTACAAAACACATCCATAAGGTTGTTTTTGAAAGAAAATTTTCAGTAGATCAACAAATTCTTTGGAGGAAATAAAGGGCTGGGCTCCACAGAGCAGTTCTAAACATCTAAATAAATATGCGCCTGTTTGGAATTGACCAGAAATTTTAACCGGTTATGAACTATGTTTTATCCAGGAAACTGGATAGAATAGAGTCGTGAATTCAGCTGTTTGTGACTGTTAGAAAAGACTGCCATAGCTAGAAAGGAATAACGGGATACTCAGACGAGGGTCAGCAAACGATGGCCCTCGGGCCACTTCCAGCCTGTTGTCTGTTTTTATACTGTCAGCAAGTTAAGAATGATTTTCCATTTCAAAGCGGTTGAAAAAACTCAAAAGGAGAGTACTATTTCAAGACACATGAAAATTATATTCATGTTCATGAAATTTTATTGGAACACAGTCACATCCTTTCGCTTTTGCACCAAGACAACAGAACTGAGGAGCTGCGACAGAGACTGTATTGAGCCACAAGTCTAAAATATTTACTTTCTAAACAGGGCATGGTGACTCACGCCTCTAATCCCAGCACTTTGGGAGGCCCTGGTGGGCGGATCACCTGAGGTCAGGAGTTCGAGACCAGCCTGGCCAACATGGAGAAATCCCATCTCTACTAAAAATCAAAAATTGGCCAGGAGTGCTGGCGCACGCCTGTAGTCCCAACTACTTGGGAGGTTGAGGCAGCAGAATTGCTTGGGAGGTGGAGGTTGCAGTGAGCCAAGATTGCACCACTGCACTCCAGCCTGGGCAACAAAGCCAGACTCTGTCTCTAAATAAATTGATTAATTAATTTAATCAAATATTTACTTTCTGGTCCTTTTCAGAGAAAAATCTGCCCACCTCCACTCTAAGGTGTTGTGTGTTAAATATTTCCATTGTGGCCAGAGACCCACACAATCAGCAAGTGCTACCATTCCCATGCCTGGTATCAGGGGACCACGTAAGTAAGCCTCTTGCTAGGGTCCCCCGCCTGGGCCCCAGGCTCAAAGGAATGCAGGTAAAGTGACCGGAGGAAGCTCCTGCACTAGCAAAGAGGGCCACATACCACAGCAGATCCCAGTCGGGGCCGCCCAGCGGCCTGCTGGCCTCCTAGAGAGGCTCCCTAGCAACATGGAGTCAGCGTGCTCGGAACCCTTGACTTCACAGAAGCATTAGGTGAGCGCTCAAGGGCTTTTTGTGCACCAGAGGCAGTAAAATGCCATGTTTGCCAACATGTGAAATGCGCGGGGATATCAGATACATCTCAATTTTTCAGAAAGTTTTTTGGAAAAATAAAGACTAAGCTGTAAGGGAAATATTTTATTCCTATAAATATAGTACACAGGATTGTGACTCCATTAAAAAATAGTACGGTTTTGATACACAGTCTAGTATCCCTAAAAACAAGAATAAAATCACAGAGCTAAAAAGAAATATCTTGGTATTTAGGAATATGAGTTGCAGTGAAAAAATACTTAAATTCATAACATAGGGGAGTTACTCAAATTCCATATTCATCTGTGTGGTCTCTGGTTTTTGTTTTGTTTTTTGATAAGGGGATGAAAAGCGCTCACATTTGCAAAATGTATGTTGCCATCTTCTGCCACTAGGGGGTAGCATGCCCCATTATTTTACCTCTTTCTCAGCCTTCCAGCTGTGCCTGATACCAAAGCGTAAGACTGACAAGAAAACTTGTGTATATAATAAACGATTAGATATCGTACAATGCCATATATTTGATATATGTTATGTGTATAGTATTATGTAATACGTAATATATCTTATGTTGTAACATATACATTATTCATATATAAAGTATAAAATTTTATTTTGCATATATAATCCATCATTTGGGAAAAGCGGGGAATGTATCCTATATACCAGTAAACACAGCAAGCCTCACTAGTGCACAAAAAATCTAGTCGGAGTTCACCTGCTTCTATTAAAAGATTGAGGGCAGCTCTGCTTGATGTTAAAGGAGGGATTAGGGCTATTAGGATCTTCCCAGTGGAAAGCTCCAGAAAGTTTGGACCACCTAGAAGGCTGCGTGGTCACCGACCGGCTTGTGGAAGGAGAGGGAGGACGGGAGTCATGGGATGTACAGACTCAGTAGCCAAGGAATCTGAGAGATGCCCAATCTAACTCAGAAGCCAAGAGGCCGGAGCACCGCAAGGGCACAGGGAGCCCTGGAGCCTGAGGGAGAGTCCAGAGCTGCAGGCAAAGCCGTGTCAAGAGTCCAGGCTTAGAAACAGCCGCAAACCAACGCTCCAAATAGCTCAATGCGTCACATAGTCGGAATCTCAAAAATGTGACTTTAAGTTCATTTCCAAAATAAGACAAGGAGTGGCAGAAGGGAGATTCAAATTCCAACCTGTTCAGACATTCTAAAACATAAAACCCTGAATGTTTGGGGGCAATTAATCCAGAAAACATCTCAGTCAGCTTCTAACATCTGCCGCTGGAGCGAGGATGGAAAGCACTGGAAATGAAGGGCTTTCCTGGATCTGGGAATCTGGGTGCGCAGGCCAGTTCCCAACGCGCATGTGAACATCGCTTTTCTGCAGTCAGGACTAAAGCTGCCTTCCACATGGTCCACGTACATGAGGTCCGCACACATGAAATGTCTTTGTGCTGCTTCTCAGCATACATCATACTTTTCCCATGAATCATTTAAGACCAAAAAAAAAAAATACCTATGAGATAGGTATTAATATCATACCCACTGTACAGATTAAGAAACAGACACAGAGAGCTTAAGCAACTTGCCCAAGGTCACAACAGTGAGTGACGGTGCCGGGAGTTAACACAGAAAACTCTTTGTATTAGTCTGTTTTCATACTGCTATAAAGAACTTCCCGAGAATGAGTAATTTATAAAGGAAGGAGGTTTAATTGACTCACCGTGCAGCATGGCTGGGGAGGCCTCTGGAAATTTACAATCACGGCAGAAGGTGAGGGGGAAGCAAGGCACCTTCTTCACAAGGTGGGAGGAAGAAGGGCCGAATGAAGGGGGAAGAGCCCCTTATGAAACCATCAGATCTCGTGAGAACTCACTCCCTGTCACGAGAACAGCATGGGGGAAACCACTCCGTGGTTTAATTACCTCCACCTGGTCTCTCTCTTGACCTGTGAGGATGACGGGGTTTGCAATTCAAGATGAGATTTAGGTGGGGACACAAAGCCTAACCATATCACTCTTCTTGCTTCAGAATTGCCTGTTCTTTCTGCTACATTTGCTGCCTCCAAAAAAAGTATTTCTCTGAGCCAAGAAGTGTATAAAAAGGCAAGCTTCAATGAGCACAATAGATTTGTACACATCAGAGGCATTCGAACCAGAGTGACTCCATTTTGAACAGTGGCTGGGTGAAATGAGGCTGAGACCTGCTGGGCTGCATTCCCAAGAGGTTAGGTAATCTTAGTCACAGGATGAGATAGGAGGTTACGCCGGGCGCGGTGGCTCACACCTGTAACCCCAGCACTTTGGAAAGCCGAGGTGGGCGGATCACGAGGTCAGAAGATCGAGACCATCCTGGCTAACACGGTGAAACCTCGTCTCTACTAAAAGTACAAAAAATTAGCTGGGCATGGTGGCGGGCGCCTGTAGTCCCAGCTACTCGGGAGGCTGAGGCAAGAGAATGGCATGAACCCAGGAGGCGGAGCTTGCAGTGAGCCGAGATTGCGCCACTGCACTCCAGTAGTCTGGACAACAGTGCAAGACTCCGTCTCAAAAAAAAAAAAAAAAAAAGACAGGAGGTTGGCAGGACCATTATCACAAGATACAGGTCACAAAAACCCTACTGATAAAACAGGATGCAGTAAAGAAGCTGGACAAAACCTGCCAAAATCAAGATGGTGACAAAAGTGGCCTCTGGTCATCATCACTGCTCATTGTACACTACTTATACATAAGCATGCTAAAAGACACTCCCACCAGCACCATGACAGCTTATAAATGCCATGGCAAACTCTGGAAGTTACCCTATATGGTCTAAAAGGAAAGGAATCCTTAGTTCTAGGAAATCCTCCCACCCCCCGCCTTTCCCAGAAAACTCATGAATAATCCACCCCTTGTTTAGCATATGATCAAGAAGTAACCATAAAAATAGCCAGCCAGCAGCCCTCGGGTCTGCTTTGTCTATGGAGTAGCCATTCTTTTATTCTTTTACTTTCTTACAAACTTGCTTTCACTTTACTCTGTGGATTCGCCTGAAATTCTTTGTTGTGTGAGATCCAAGATCCTTCTCTTGGGGTCTGGATTGGGACCCCTTTCTGGTAACATATACATTAAAAAGAAAAAAACAAACAGGCAAACATAATAGAATTTTTCCAAAGGCTAATGGGTAGCCAGGGGTCATGAGAGAAAAAGAACAGGAATTAGGGAAGAAAGAAGGAAAGGATTCGAATCATAAGACAGGAAGATGGGCACTAACCTCATAAGTATATTTTCAAAGCAAGCATAAGAGGTGCCTGCTGGCCAGGCGCCGTGGCTCACGCCTGTAATCCCAGCACTTTGGGAGGCCAAGGCAGGCGGATCACGAGGTCAGGAGTTCGAGACCAGCCTGGCCAATATGGTGAAACCCTATCTCTACTAAAAATACAAAAATTAGCCGGGTGTGGTGGCGCTCGCCTATAGCCCCAGCTACTTGGGAGGCTGAGGCAGAAGAATTACTTGAACCCAGGAGGTGGAGGTTGCAGTGAGCCAGGACAACAGAGCGAGACTCCATCTCAAAAAAAAAAAAAAAAGTGCCTGCTGCATTTGGTGGCTTAAAGTTCTTAAAGTTCTGAGGGAGTCTTTGGCCAAAGAATGGAATCAGGAAAGGTGCCTTGGTATGTAAAATGAGCTGAATCAACAACAGTGGAAGGAATGCAGGAAAAAGGCGGATTTCTGCCCGGTCTAGTGGCAAAGGACAGCAGTGAAAGCAGGGGCACTCCAGGGACTGAACAGAAACAAAGACTCTAAGAGCAAGTTGAGTCTCTCCACAACTGCACAAAGCCACATTCTTTGCCTAATTACTTAAGCCAGAGTGTGTTCACCTGGAAATTTCCTGCTGGTCAGAGGAAGCAGTTTTGTTTCTGTTGTTGATGTCTTGGTTGAGGGAGGGGCTCCAGGTGATTGTAGCAGACAGACAGGGCAGGACAACAGGGAGCAGGGAATGTGGCATGCCGGATGCCACGATTCCACACACCACAAGTGGTTCCATTTCAGCCCAGAAATGATGAGACTAGCCTGGGATTTGCTACTTTTCCCATTCCTCCTGCTATGTTATTTGCTTTAATGAGAGAGACAAAGGGAGAGGAGAGATGGACAGAGAGAGAGAGAGAGAGAGAGAGAGAGAGAGAGAGAATGTGTCTCTAACAGTAAGAAAATAGCCATGTATCCATCCAACAGGAAGGCAGGTAAAGAAAGGGGGAAGGCCAGGCACGGTGGCTCACGCCTGTAATCCCAGCACTTTGGGAGGCCGAGGCAGGCAGTTAGCCTGAGGTCAGGAGTTTGAGACCAGTCTGGCCAACGTGGCAAAACCCTGTCTCTACTAAAAATACAAAAAAAAAAAAAAAAAAATTAGCTGTGCGTGGTGGCGTGCGCCTGTAATCCCAGCTACTCCGGAGGCTGAGGCAGGGGAATTGCTCGAACCAGGGAGGTGGAGGTTGCAGTGAGCCGAGATCACGCCACTGCATTCCAGCCTGGGCAACAGAGTGAGACTCCACCTCAAAAAAAAAAAAAAAAAAAGAAAGAAAGAAAAGAAAGAAAGAAAGGGGGAAAAGTGGTCACTGAGAAATTTCCAGCAAAGACTGGCCTCCTGGAAACCTTGGCATGTCCCTGGAGAGGCTGCTGACTGCACCGTGTGCCGAGTCCTGCCTTGGCTGATGCTCACCATCTCAGTCCAGAGGGGAGGCTGTTGCAGCGGATCAAGTGAGGCTGAGTCAAGCACTCGGGGCAGATTTAGTGCCTGCCGTAACCTCATCTAGTTATGTTGTAGGACTTTCTCCTTAGTTCAGCTAAAAACGGGGTCCTTGTCACATAGCCAGGAGAGATTAGGCTCACAGGCACTTTGAAGGGTGAGAAAAATTGAATTTATTGGGCAAAGAGGAAAAAAAGGAAATAGGAACTCCCAACAAAGTGAAAGTCCTACTAGCTGGCTTCCTGCCTCACAGATTGAATCCCCAGGGTACCAACCCAGAACAGGAGAGGCCAAGCTCCTCCCCACTGCAAATAGTGCGAGCTTCCGTGGCTCCACCCTCCTCCCAGTGCGTAGGTGGATCCGAGCCGCTCCGGCGAGCCCTGACTACCTGTCTGTCTCAGCTGCACCTAAATTACCTGCTTATAGAAGACTGTGGTTTAGTCTACCCAGGATGCTTTACCCACTGTCTTCTCCTGACCCTTTGGGGAACTCACCCTCACTCTTTGTGGCCCCTTGAGGCTATCAAACACTTGGTGACGTTTCAGGTGGAGACCCTGCCCACACTTGTGATTCAGAGGTCCCCAGATCTCTCTGTCTGTGGTGAATTGATCGGGAATCAGCCAACCCAGGCCAATGGTGATCTTGTCAAGGCCAGATACATGGATAAGAGGCGAAAGAGAAAGGAGAGCACAAGGGGCTGCCACCGCCACCACCAGCACAGTGTGCGGGAGCCCAGAGGAGACCTGGGCTGTCTCCCTGCCTCCTCTTTCCAGCAATCTGCTAAAACAGGGTGGATTACCAAGAAGTTCCAGGCATGCAGAGACATGCCTCACCTGAGGACATTAAAAAGGCATATTGGAAACTGGCCCTGAATTGGCACCCAGAAAAAAAAAATACCCTGAGAGGAAAGAAGCAGAGAGAAAATTCAAACAAGTGACTGAGCCATATGAGGTGCTACCAGATGCTTTTTTTAAAAAAAAAGACATCCACAGCAAAAAAAAAAAAGTGACAATTACAGCCAAGAAGTATTAAATGAGGGAGGTAGGAGATAGAAGTCATTTTGTCAGTCCGTGTGAGCTTGGCTTCACATTCCATAACCCAGGTGATGTCTTCAGGGAACTATTTGGTGGAAGGGACCCATTTTCATTCAACTCCTTTGAAGATTCATTTGAGGACTTTTTTGGGAATTGGAGGGGATCCCCGAGGAAGCAGAGGCCGAGGGATGTGGTCATTTTTCTCTGCCTTCACTGGATTTCCATCTTTTGGAAGTGGATTTTCTTCTTTTGATACAGGATTTATTTCAATCAGGTCACTAGGTCACAGGGGCCTCACTTCATTCTCTTCCATGTCATTTGGTGGTAGTGGGATGGGCAACTTCAAATTGATATCAACTTCTACTAAAATGGTTAACAGCAGAAAAACCACAACAAAGAGAATTGTCAAGAAAGAGTAGAAGTTGAAGATGACAGCCAGTTAAATGATGGCCAGTTAAATAAAGTCTTTAACAATACATGGTGAGGGGCAGGCAGCAGCTGAGCTTGGATAACAAGCAATTCAATGCACACATTTAACAGAAATGTTCAACTACAACAAGCACCATTTGAAGATTAACAGGAACAATTTTTTGACGATTTCAAACAAACTTGCCTTTCAGTATAGTTGCACCTAATCTAAAGTATTTAAAAACAGCTCATCAGAGCCCCTATTTGTCATAGACTTTTGAGTTTATTTGAGACTGTATTAGTCCGTTTTCATGCTACTGATAAAGACTTACCTGAGACTGGGCAATTTACAAAAGAAAGAAAAAAAAGAGGTTTAATTGGACTTACAGTTCCATGTGGCTGAGGAAGCCTCACAATCATGGTGGAAGTCAAGGAGGAGCAAGTCACATCTTACATGGAAGGTAGGCAAAGAGAGAGAGAGCTTGTGCAGGGAGACCCCTGTTTTTAAAACCATCAGATCTCATGAGTTCCATTCACTATCACAAGAACAGCACAGGAAAGACCTGCCCTCATGATTCAATCATCTCCCAGCAGGTCCCTCCCACAACATGTGGGAATTATGGGAGCTAAAAGATGAGATTTCGGTGGGGACACAGAGCCAAACCATAACAGAGACCATTTTTTTTTGGTCTTTAAAATTGTTGTAAATCTCTGTTTGCACTTTGCTTTTTTATTAAACTTACTCCAAGGTGAGCCTTGACTCTTTAGTGGTAGGACAAGATCATACACTGATACCAGCATGGACCTGCTTTTCCGTTGTGTCTGAAATGTGAGTCAAGTAGTATCAGCCTGCTATGACATTAACATTGCCAGGATGAATCTCTTACAGAAATCATTTCGATTTTATTCGGTATTTAGTAGTGAAAGATATTCATGCTTTAATGGTAATACTTTCTGATTTAATACACATTAAGGATGTTTTTCAATTGTGCATGAATGCTGATGACTTCGTTTTGACAATTGTTTATGTATGTCATGTTAAGCTTAGGTTTAAAAAAGTAAAGCCAGTAAACTGGGTCTTTATTATTTGCTTTAAAAAACGAAAATAAATGTGAATGCGTTTGATGCATTAAAAACAAACAAAAAAGAAGTCCAACCTTCTCGTTCCACACACGTTCCTAAGCTGGAAGAATGTGGGTCTGACACGACTACTGGTCATCCTATCTGCTGCTCAAAGGCAGCTCTTCAAGGACAAAGGCAGAAAGAAGAGCTGAAAAGGCAACAAACTCCCAACGATAAAATGTATGTTCTTGGATACAAACATGTCTGAAGTGAGTCCAGCCTTGGGCTTCCCAATCACACGAGTATTTGTTGTTCACTCAGGCTTGGGTTTCATTTCTGCAACCTGCTCACCTCTTTTCCCCAGCGGTTCTTGCTTCCCACATCAGCCTCTGCCCACGCCATGGCTTACTCTCCTCCCATCTCTACATATTTAACCCTGAAGTCTTTTAAGTCTCCACTCAAATGCCACGACCTCCCCCATGAAGTCTTTCCTTACCTCTCCTGTGCCAACTCCCCTGTCCCACCTGGACAGCCCCCTGACACTTAATCTGTACTTTTCCGTGTCTGTATCAGGATTACATTGAGCCTCAGGGCACACAAAACTACAGAAGCTTAGATAAATAGGGATTTCTTTTCCTCACATAAGAGGTCGTCTCATGGAAGGCAGCTGCCAACTTTGCTTTGGGGGCCTGACAATATCAGGGACAGCATCTCCACAGTGGCCTTTATCTGGTACAGTCCCCAGATGGACTTGGAAGACCCAGTTCCTAGCCCCTTCCTTTCTGCATGTAGTTCTCAGGATAACTTTAGAATGTGCTGGAATGCAACATCCTGAGATAGGACTGCCTGAAAGAGCTTGGCTCTTTTCCTGTTTCTCCTGGGGAATGTAAGATCTTGAGTTAGAGGGAACTGTTCAGGACAGCCCACACTTTGTTCCTCTCTTCCCTGGAAGTAGGATGTCCTTCCGAGCTTTGCTCGGTGAGTCATGGAGCCCCTGAGGCTTTTAACTGGAAATGAGCTATCTTTTAGGGGCCCTCAGCTGCCATGAAAGTAGGGCACAAGCAGTGGAAACTCCATCCACCCTGGGCAGCTTTCTTGAACACATTCACACTCCTTAGGGGACTGGCTCACAGTGGCTCCCAGTCTTCTTTGTCCCTTGCTGACTATTGCTGAGTAATAAATCCATTTCCTGTAACTTGTTGCATGTGAGTCTGTTCTATCTCACGGGACTCAGGCAATTGGTAAAACTACAGCCCGCAATGCAATGGGCAGAAGTGTTCAGAATCCTAGTCATGGTGGTTGGCATAGTGATAGTCTTTGCCGTCCTCCAAGCACTGGGGGTCCTCTCTTGTGACTGGTTATTGGTGAACCCGTTTCTCAGCCTCACGGTTGCAAGATGGCTGCCACACATCCAGGCATCATATTTGCTTTCCAGGCAAGAATAAAGGAGAAGTAGGAGGACCAGTTGCTTCCTCCTTTTTAATCCGGAGAACAGAAGTTTTCCTGGAACCCACTAGCAGACTTCCACTTAAAATTCATGACCCCAAACCACATCATCACTGACTAGTTGCAACAGAGGGCAGGAAATGAGGATTTAAGTCCCCTAGAGTAGACAAGGAAAATAAGAAGGAGATAGGGAACGGCTATTAGGTCAGCCTAAGAATAGTCACTGCCCTGCTTGCTCAAGGCCCTGGTCACAGTTGTATCTTTTATTACAGTTTTTTGCTTACTAAAATCTGAGCTCCCTCTGGGAAGGGGCTGAGTTCTCAATCACTACACCCTTCAGAGAGCCCAGCACATGAGACTTTGATAAATCTATGCCTGGTGACTGTGGCGCTGCTACTTGCTCATGTTCATGGGGCCTCCTGGCAGTTTGAGCAGATTGTGGCTGCAGTGGGGTAATTAAATGTGCATCCTTCTTTGATCTCTAAGCTCTCCTGTTTGAAATTCATCTGAAAGGAGTGGAAAGATACTGGGGATGTGGACTCCCCTGCCTTGTCTAATCATCCAGAAAGGGTTAAACCATTTCTATTTCAGGTCTCTTGTGATCAAGAAAGCTCTGCTGGCAGGAGTGCCTATTTGGTGCCTTAAAGGCAACCAATTGTGGGAATTCAGAATTAGCTCTCACCCTGACTATTCTCTCGATATAGTTAGAATAAAAGCAGCAGTGACATTGCCAATGACCCAGATGTTGGAGAACCTTGGATTAAGCCACAGAGGCCCTTGCCTCCAAATCCTATAATATTGCATTAACACAGACTCAACCTGCAGAATTGGATTTAAATCCAGCCCTCGAATGCTCACCCTACTCCAGCCGCTTCCCCACACCTAATCTCATTTTCTCCTCAGAGTGCTGAAAATAATGGTAATGTAGTTGCCGTGGAAAGTGACTGTGTGAGCATATTTTACATCAGAAAGACTCTTAATAAAGTAAAAATGCTTTAAATGCAGAAGTCTCTCCCTTTACATCCCTCCTTCCTGGATAATAAATGATTTGTTACAGTTTCAAACTTCCATGGCCTGCTGGGTACAGGGGCTGGAGACAGCCAAGCAGCCCTCTCCTGGGCACAAGGTGCTCATGTGTGCTGGGATGTTGGGTCCAGACCTACATGAAACACAAGACAGGGACAGCTTTATGGCCAGAGGCTCTCCTCCACCTTCACTCATGCATGTCAACAGAATAATAATAATAATAATAATAATAATAATAATAATAATAATGGCAGTTACCATTTGTTGAGTACTTATGACATGTTAAGAGCAGTTCACACATTGTCTCATTCAATTTCCTCAACCTACCTAGAGGCTGGGCGCTATCATTGTCCCCATTTTACAGATGAGGAAACTGAGGCTCAAAGAGGTCAAGTCACTTACAGGATCACACAGATAGTGGGTAGGAGAGCTGGGACTCATGCCCATGAAAGCCCCCATGCTGCCTGGTCCACCTCCATGTTGGAGTAGGGCAGTGGTTCTCAGTCAGGGGTGGTGGGATACAACCACCTGGCAAGTTTTAGGGACCCCACTCAGACAATTAAATCTTAACCTCTGGGTACAGGGCCAGTGCTTGCCGAGACTTTAAGCTCTCAGCCGCATTCTGGTGCTGTGGTCTGAATCCTTGTGTCTCTCAAAATTCCTGTGTTGAAACCTAATCCCCAGTGTGATGGTTTTACAAGGTGGGGCCTTTGGAAGGTGATTAGGTCATGAGGGCAGAGCCTTCTTGAATGGAACTAGTACCCTCATGAAAGAGGCTCCAGAGAGCTCCTCCACCCCTTGTACCATGTGAGGACACAGCGAGAAGGCACCATCTATGATCCAGAAGGTGAGTCCTCACCAGATACAAATCTGCCTTGTTCTTGGACTTCCCAGCCTTCAGAACAGTGAGAAATCAATTCCTGTTGTTTATAAGCTACCAAGTCTATGGTATTTTGTTATAGCAGCCCTAAGGGACAAAGGCATCCAGGTAAAGTGGAAAAGACACCTTCCCTGGAGTCAGGCCTCTGGAGTGGCATTCTGGCTCTGAGCCTCACTAGCTGCCCTGCCCACTTCCCAAGGTGTTTGCAAACATCCTGTGAGGCTCAGTGATATATGACAACACAGACAGGCCCGGGACCCGGGCAGCAAAGTACAAAACCAGCTCTAAGAAGTGCACCCAGGAGCCATGATTCTGTGATTCATCCTTTCACCATTGATTTTCTTTATTCATTCAATAAGCATTCACTAAGCACTTATTATGTCCAAGGCTTTCAGCTAGAGAGGGAGGAAGACAGAATTCCTTCCATCCACAGGAATTATCTTGCCATTCCCTGCCCTCAATCCATTTATGATCTAACTGAGGAGAGCAGCTGGCGTAAGAAAAATGACCACATCCGCATGTACATCAAGTGCCAGATGAGTGGCACAGCCAGGAGGGCTTTAAGGGTTCTAAGAGGGAGTGATCTCCAAAGTCAAGGAACTTCATATGAGGGGAGGGTTAGGGCAGGGCTTTGGAATGCCAGCATAGCCTTCCCGCTGGGCAGTAGAACCTACCTACATGCTCCCACTGATCCAGGGAAACCCTTCCTATCCTAGGTCAGTTCTGGCCCGAGCAGGGCTCCTGGTAGCTGGTCCTGGAGTCTGCAACTTGGTGCCCACCATGGCAGGAGGGCAGGATGGTGGAGAGAAAGAGCAAATCAGGTTCTCTTTGGCAGTTGGGTGACAGCAGGACAGCAGGCATCTCCTGCCCCATCAGAACACCTCGGCAGACTTGAAGACTGGTTTTCTCAGCTGATAAACCAAGGCAATAGTACCTTTGCACAGCGCCAATGGGAAGATCAACCATTACAATGACGGTCAGCTCCACCACCATTGATGGAGCCCTCTCCAAGGGCCGAACACAGTGCTCACCATGTCATTCACTTTAGAATCTCAGGGAATCCTCCCAACAATGATGGGAAGGGCACCATTATTATACCCTGTTATCCAGAGAAGGAAACCGATTCTCAGAGAGGTTAAGCAATTTTCTCAAGGTCATATAACTAATGAATAACACAGCTGGCTCAAACTCAGACCTGTCTGATTCTAAAGCCCACCCCCCATACCATGACACACCATACAACAAGAGTTTGTAACCTGGAGTCCATGGATAGGATTTAGGTGTCTTTGAACTTAGATGGGGAAACAACGATACCAGAATTACATCTCTATTCAGTGGCATATGGGGGTGAGGAAGACAAGCAATGGGAACCTTTGGCCCCCTGCAGGGATGTATTTTGTCACTGACAATCTTTTTTGTTGTTTTTTTTTTTTTTTTTTTTTTTTGTGGAGTTTCACTCTTGTTGCCCGATCTTGTTGAATCTCCGCCTCCTGGGTTCAAGTGATTCTCCTGTCTCAGCCTCCTAAGTAGCTGGGATTACAGGCATGCGCCACCACACCCAGCTAATTTTGTATTTTTAGTGCAGACGGGGTTTCTCCATGATGGTCAGGCTGGTCTCGAACTCCCAACCTCAGGTGATCCGCCAGCCTCCATCTCCCAAAGTGCTGGAATTACAGGCATAAGCCCCTGCGCCTGGCCACTGACAATCTTGAAAGCCAATGGTACATAGTGATAATAAAATCAAGACTGGCCAGATGTGGTGGATCACACCTGTAATCCCAGCACTTTCAAAGGCTAAGCAGAAGGATCACTTGAGCCCAGGAGTTTGAAACCAGCCTGGGCAACATGGTGAAACCCTGTCTCTACAAAAATTACAAAAATTAGCTAGGCATGGTCGCATGTGCCTGTAGTTCCAGCTACTCGGAAGGCTGAGGTGGGAAGGTCACTTAAGCCTGAGAGGCTGAGGTTGCAGCGAGCCGAGATTGCACCATTGCACTCCAGCCTAGGTGACAAAGTGAGACTCTGTCTCAAAAAAATAAAAAATAAAAGACGGCAAGACCAACTTCAATTTTTTCATTGTTTTTAAATTTATTACAAACCATGGACCCCTTTCTGCCTGCATTAACCTCTAATTAAAATTTAGCATTTCTCTCAATTAGAATGTAGGCACTCACATGGAGGTATTAACATACCTGTGACTTTGTCACCAACAGAACCACAGATATTTCATGTCACACTACAGTTGTTGCAGTGTCTAAAATATATAGTTTATACTCATAACTACTTCAATATTAGGGTGATTATAAAACTATTGCTAGGTTTTATTATTTAATGGGCTAATACAAAAGATAAACTGTTACTACATTCACAAATTTGATTTTGTTTGGTTTTTTAGTGTTTGGACAGCCATATTACAATATGATCAGCTTCCTTTATAATCTTATGTATTATAAAAAGAGGTCCCTGGCCAGGCTCGGTGGCTCACGCCTGTAATCCCAGCACTTTGGGAGGCCAAGGCAGGCGGATCACAAGGTCAGGAGTTCAATACCAGCCTGGCCAAGATGGTGAAACCCCGTCTCTACTAAAAATATTAAAAAAATAGCCGGGCATGGGAGCAGGCGCCTGTAATCCCAGCTACTCAGGAAGCTGAGGCAGAGAATTGCTTGAACCCAGGAGGCAGAGGTTGCAGAAAGCCAAGATCACACCACTGCACTCCAGCCTGGGCGACAAAGTGAGACTCTGTCTCAAAAAAAAAAAAGAGGTCCCTAAACTCCAACAGACAGACACACACAGAAAATGAAGAGTACCTGCTACCCACTCTCTTAGATAAGAGTGCTATATAAATGCTGGAAATATTATAATCTTTGTACTATTTTACTTTACATGTTTGTGGCTCTTGAGAGAATGGACTGAGTCATATAGTTCTTCCTTTCCTCCACAAGCCTTTAGAAAGCATAATCACTCAACCACTACTTATTGATTCCCTGGCTGGCAGAAATCCCTCAAGCTTCCGTAAACTCAGTATCACACTCAGTGACCAGGAGATAAACAATATGGCAGGAGGAAGAAAGGTATTGAGATCAAACCTTCCAGATGGTTGGCAAACCCTGTGCATGGGGTGCTGGAACTTGCTTCTTAGAGAATAAATACATCTGTAGAGAAAAAGGTCCATTGGAATTTTCCATCAAGGCTGATAGGGTACGGCAGAGTGCCCAAATGTCATGGGAAGCGAAGCAGACTCCAAGCTGGGAAAACGCTCCTGGACAAGATGGCATCGTTTTTATATGCATTAGAAGCCCTTACGAAATAATATCAGATGTCCCGGGATCCCAGTTCCCTGCAAAGAACCCCACTCTACCCAGAACATCACACAACTCCTGACTCTCTGGCACTAGAAAGCTGAAGGGGGTTCTGGGACCCTCGGTTATAGCTGACATCAAGAGACTCTGACTGTTTCCGTCATCTTTGTTGTATCCCCAAGACTTTGTGACAGAAAACAACCACCATTTTATTTTGTTCCTAATTCCTGTGGGGATTCAGGTACAGTGGGGATGGTTCTTCTCTTCTCCACGATGTCTGGGGCTTCCAAGGTGGCTTCTGCACTCACAGGTCTAGTGCCTGGGCTGGGATGGCCTAAGGACTAGCCAGAACACCTATACATGGCCTCTCCACGTGGATTCGGCTTTTCACAACATGGCAGTTGAGTTAGAGAGAAGGCTTTCTGAGAAGGGGTCTCTAGAAAGCAAACACTATCAGAGCACCAAGGGGAAGCCACATGGCCTTTTCAGTCTTAGCCCTTCCACCATACTCTATTGGCCAAAGCAGAATCAAGAGGAAAGGTCATAGACTCCATCCCAGATAGGAAAAGTGCCAAAGAATCTAGGAGCTATGTTTTACAACCACCACACTGGCCAAGTGAATTCCTTGCTTCCAAGCTTAGAGATAATATCTAGAGTCCCCAGGGGGCTAAACATGGACTGGTCTCTAACTTGGGTGGGAGAAGAGCAGGTGCTGGGGACTCCAGCAAACTCCTCACAGTTGATTCTCAAGAGTGTGTTTGCCCTGCCCCAAGAGAGATGCCCAGAGGAGGCTCAGCCCACAGGCAGCCCTTCACAAATGAAAAGAACCCTCTTGTCACTATTACCCACCACCCCACCTTAACTGCTATTCCTCCTGAACATCTTTTCCCCTCCAAATTACCCTCCAGCAAAAAACCTGCTCCCACAAAGCACGCTGTGCATGCCAGTGTGTCTCATTGTTCCTCTATTAAGACACATCATTCACAAACACTACGCTTCTTAAAAGATACCCTCAGCTGTCACTTACATAACAGAACTTGGCAAAAACAGATGGAGCATGCCAGCGGTGTCTTTGCCTGGGGCAGTATATGCTAATATCTTGGCACAGGCACCTTGAGCTGCTTTTTTTTCCCAGCAAAGTTCCATCAGCTGGAAAGTTCGAAGGGGAGAGCAAGATCATAGAAAAGTCAGTAGAGGAAGCTGTTCCTTTTTTACCTTTGGAAAATAAAACTACCTTTTCATCAATCAAATAGTGGGAAAAATCTGTAGAGCTACTCCCCAAAACTCAGGAGAAAGGAGGAAGCTTGATGCTACCTAAAGAAAGGTATGACACACAAAAAGAAGGGACATTCGACCCAGGATGTAGGAGAAAAGGGCATTTCGGAGAGAAGGAATGACAGGCACAAAGATGGGGAGGCAGGAATGTGCCTGACTTGTTCCCAGAGCATTGAAATAGCTGGTCTACCTAGAGTGGAGGGTTTGGGCTTGGGAGTTGTAGGGGCCATTTATTATTTCGCCTTCCCAGAACAACACCCCCGCTTCATTTGGGAAAGAGCTCTACTTCCATTTGGTTCTCTATAGCCCTGGCTGGGCTAATCCTAGAGACTGATCCCTTTGACATCAGTAATTGGCCCAGGGATAGGCAAACGACCAGGCCAATCTGAGCCCATTCCAGCCCAACTGGAGTGAGTGGGAAGAGCTCTTTTCTCTCTGCTCTCAAGAGGAGGGGCAGGAGAATGCACAGGGCTAAAAGCCCAAGCTCTTCAATCAGAGTTGACTCCAGATCCCAAAGTTCTTTACCAGCTTTGTGAACTTGGGAAGGGTCCTCACTGAGGCTCCATTTCTTCATCTGTAAAATGGGGATAACAAGACCCACCTCATAGGTTCATGTCATGGATTAAATGAGATAAGCAATTCAGGTGCTTAGAATTAAGATGGCAGCCCCAGAGCTGCCCACACCGTGGTACCAACTTTAGGGTACTGGCCAGCCTGAGAGTTAAGTCAGTCCTCAAAGGAAGCAGGGATGAGAGTAAGTTAAGCAACAACCCAGGCTTCCTGCAGCTTGGTGATAGGAGTCAATGAATTTGCCTTTTCCAAATGTAAGCTGGCTTGAGTTTGATTTCTGTTCATGGCACCTAATAGTGCTTGAGTTGTATTTTTTAATGCAAAAATATACTTAGAAATACATCCACAGTGTATTTCTCTAATTATAAAATCCATCCATTGAAATAATCCTAGAGTTTTGTAACCATTCCTTTCTTGGTTTTCCTTTCCCTAAAATCAACTTGCTAAGCTCCCAAGACTACAAGTCAAGCTGGAGGAAGCACCAGGAAGGAGGAGGGACGATGGGACAGGGATATGAGTTGTGGACGTGGAGGAGAGGATTAAACAGTCCACCAGCCTTGTGGACCCCCAATTCTAAGGATCCTCTGAGCCCCTGACCTTCACTCCCCAGAACCAGTGAGAGCCCAGGTCAGAACTCAGGTTCAATATCCCAAATCATAAACAAAATCAGAGAAGCAGAATTCTCAGAAGAAACCAAATGGAAAACCCAAGAAGACAGGAAATGTCCATGTTCAGCACTGAAACTCACCATTGCCATGGGAGAATAAAAGTCATAAACATAACAGAGAAGATAATATTATAATTATTTGCAACTAGTTTTGACTCTACACCTGGAAAACCAAAGAGAATAGAGTTAAAACAAAAACAAAAACAAAACTGTTAAAATCAATAGGATAATTCGATAAGATGGCTAGCTATAAAAATGTATGTATGAGAGTCAATAGCTTGCTACATACACACAACTGATTGGAAAATAAAATGAAAGAAAAAAATCCCATTTAAAAAGCCGCAATCAGCTGGGAGCTGTGGCTCACACCTGTAATCCCAGCACTTTGGGAGGCTGAGGTGGGCGGATCACCTGAGGTCAGGAGTTCAAGACCAGCCTGGCCAACATGACAAAACCCTGTCTCTACTAAAAATACAAAAATTAGCTGGGCGTGGTGGCAGACACCTGTAATCCCAGCTACTCGAAAAGCTGAGGCACGAGAATCGCTTGAACACAGGAGGTGGAGGATGCAGTGAGCAAAGATCGCACCACTGCACTCCAGCCTGGGCAACAAAGCAAGACACTGTCTCAAAAAAAAAAGGTAGCAATTCAAAAAAGTAAAAACAAACAAAAAGGCTACATACAGATACACCTAATAAGAAATGTACGGAATCTACATGAAGAAAAAATGTTTAATTTTTTTTTTTCTCCTAGACAGGGTCTTACTTTATTGCCCAGGCTGGAATGCAGAGGCATGATCTCAGCTCACTGCAGCCTTTACTACCCAGGCTCAAGTGATCCTCCCACCTCAGCCTCCTGCATAGCTAGGACTATACTATATGTGCATGCCACCATGCCCAGGTAATTTTTGTATTTTTTGGTTTTGCCATGTTGCCCAGGCTGGTCTCGAACTCCTGGGCTCAAGCAATTCACCCACCTCTGCCTCCCAAAGTGCTGGGATTACAGGTGTGTGCCACCACACCCAGCAGAAACATTTTTAAATTCTAATGAGGACCTTATATAAATTTTTAAAGACCAGCAAATGATAAGGCAGAATGGGAGAATAGACATACAGTACTGGAGAATAGAGATCAGAGGAATCAGATAAAAGAGAAGCATGGAAGAGAGGCAGAAAGACAAAACCTGTCATTTTTCTTGGGCCAGTGAGAGTGGGGGGGCTTCAGGTGCTTTCCCAGAGGACCCATGGTCTGGGCGCTAGTGGGGAGGAACTGACCTGCATGGCCACCATGAATCCCTTAGGCACCCCTCCTCCCCTGGGGTCATGTTGCACTCCAGGCCGCCAAAATTTAGGGGCAGACTGGAGACTGAGTAAGCCAGCCAAGGTGGCCACTGGGCGGCAGAGACATTGCTGTTGGCAAAAGCAGCACTCCATCCCAGCTGATGAAAATCAGAACCCCCATCTCAGATCCCAATTTACAGAGCATTTGCACTTTCATGAGCCTATATCTTGCTCACAACTTCCCTGAGAGAGAAGAAATCCAGGGCAAATATCCCTGTGCCTAGCTTCCTGAAGATCAACTTGGATTTTGTATTAGTCCATTCCCACACTGCTATAAAAAACTACCTGAAACTGGGTAATTTATAAAGAAAAGAGGTTTAATTGACTCACAGTTCCGCCTGGCTAGGGAGGCCCCAGAAAACTTACAATCATGGAGGAAGGCAAAGGGGAAGCAGGCACCTTTTTCACAAGGCGGCAGGAGAGACAGAGCAAGCGGGGAAGTGCCACACTTTTAAACCATCAAATCTCATAAGAACTTACTCACTATCACGAGAACAGCATGGGGAAAATCTGCCCCCATGATCCAATCACCTCCCTGATCAAGTACCTCCCCCTGACAAGTGGGGATTACAATTCGAGATGAGATTTGGGTGCGGACACAGCAAAACCACATCAGATACCCGGGTCACATGTGGGTCCTTGGGTGGCAGACCTTTTCAAAGGAATAATTTTAAGGTTTTCAAGTGTATACATCCTGCTTGAATATCAAATTGGTTTTTTAAAAATTGTATTTCAGTAGCATTAGGGGTACAAGTGGTTTTGGATTACATGGGTGAATCATATTCAAGTTGTTTTAAATGAGAGCAGGACAAGAATTAGAATCTTGCAATCCATGGCAGTTCTTTCTCCACAACACTCAGTAGATACCTTGATATATGCATACTCGTTTGTTTGATATGAAACATATGAGGGGAAGATAGGAGAGGAATCTCTCATTCTGATTCAGTTGCCTGAAAATCCTTGCCTTAGCTCATTCCTTTGAGCCGAAGGTATTGAAGCCCTCCTTTAAAATGCAAATATCATCTAGGAAGAGTGACACATAAATCATTGTCTTTCATTAGTCCCACAGACCAGAGCACTTTATCAATCACTAATTTTTCTCCATGCTACTCAAGAGAACGCTAACGTGGAACGTGTCTAGACTCACTGAGTGGGGTGGGGTTGCAGCTGGCAGGACACCTGTGTTCTGGCCTCTGTGTTTTCACTCTCGAAACAAGGAGGGATGGATTTGATGATCTTTGAAATCCTGAGGCTCAATGCCCCCCACTATAGCCTGAATGTGTCCTTGCAAAATTCATAGGTTGAAAGCTAATCAACGATGTGATGTGTTAAGACATGGGGCCTGTTTAGGGGGTGATTAAGCTCTCATGGGTGGGATTAGTGGCCTTATAAAAGAGGTATAAGGAAGCTGTTCACCCCTTCTGTTGATCTCAGATCTCTCAACCTCCGGAACTGTGAAAAATAAATTTCTGTTGTTTATAGATTACGCATCCCAAAGAATCTTGTCATAGCAACCCAAGTGGATGAAGAGACCCCCACATCCATCGGAGGGTGAACTCTAACTCATACATGTGTCTTGGGGATGCCGGCACAATAAAGTCTCGCCTCGTCCCATCTCTGTTTGGCATTTGAATCCAAATCTCTTTGTTCTGTTAGGCAACTGTTTGGGGCTTTTTATTCATTTGACAGGTGGATCTTTTTGAAGTTCTCATTTAAAATAATTTGATATTCAAGCTGTATGTGTGTGGTTGAAAGTCATAAAATTATTCATCTGAAAGACCTCTCCTTTTCTCTCAGATACCAACTGAAGTTTGCAGCAGTTCCCCCGAGCAAAGCTCGCTGCCTAGAAAGCTCTTTTTCAGCAACGCTCTGCCATCATCACTAAATTGAGTTATTCCAACAGCCTTTGATGCTCTGTTTTTTTTCCTAAGTGTGCATATGAAAGCTGAACAGCAACATAATTTAATTCTTCAAGATTTACTTTTTAATCACCAGGGTGATTCTTGTGGGGTACAGAGAGTTGACCCCGTTTTCTCAAGTTGAAATTGATTTAGGTCAAACAATTCTTGGAATTTGAATTAGATATTTTTCTCCTTATCGGCATGAACTTCAAGCTTCATTTTCCAACAGCTGGAAACATCTGTGCTACCCATGAATTACAGACGATTTGAGAAAACTAAATGTGGGCAAAGAAGATATTCACAACTCACAGAATTCTATCGGCAGAATTCTTCATAATGAGCTGAATTGGTGTTGAAGTACAATTGTGTTAGGTGTCTGAGTTCCTTTTATGAAAGAAAAATGAGACAATTACCAAGGACTAAGAATGCAATCAAAATAATACAACCATTTTACTGTTGAATAAGAAATCTTTCTATAAACACTATGGCATATTATTCCAGAATAAAAATATTTACCAGGAGGGGATTCTACTGAGAATTGTACCATGGAAAGTTAAGAGGCTTCTTCCCCCTAACTCAAATGTGCACCCACAGCATTATTGTCTGATTATGTAGTCAATGAACAAGGAACAAATATGTCTATCTAGAATAAAGCACCCTGTTTACATCAAGGTATTTCTTCACACAGGGATTGAATTTGAATACATAAATATTTCCATATGATTTGTTAATTACCTTTAGTAATAAATGTACTTAGATCCTCCCAATGCAAAAAGAATCTCTGAACAGTCAACTGATTAAAGAAAAAAAGCAGGGGATAGATTAGCTTGGAAATCAAAGAGGTAAGACAAAGCATCTTGGGTGAGCAACCGATAACTCCACTCCTCAGCTGCTTGCAGACTCATACCTTCATTTATTTGACCATCTGGGCACTCAATGAATTAAAGTCCACAGCTGTCCAGCCCTCCTCTCATACTCCCAGTTTAGGATGTTTTGGGAAGACAGGGAAGGGCTAGGGGTGGATCCCCAGGCCTGAGGCCCGTGAGGATGTCAATTTCAGGGAAGTTCTAGGGATTCCCGCTAGACTAGGGTTTCATGAGAGCTTTGATCTCCCCACTAAGCCAACAAAAAACATCTGCAGCAGGACAGAGAAGACTGAGACACCCTTATATCAATTCAGTAAATACTTCCTGAGCACTGATTATGCTTAACTCTATGGGGACTCCAGATCAAGGATTCAGGCATGAGGTGACACAAGTCGAGTTCCAACACATATCAGGCACTTGATATTTACTGAATGAAGGGTTGGTTGAAGAAGAGGGCAGTGTGAATGGAGAACAGAAAATATTTAGTAATATTAGTAATCGCACAGAAAATATTTGAGGACTTGATAACTGTCTGGGTGGAGAAAAGAAAGAGAAGGGAAATTGAACTGTGGCCCCAAAGGTTTCTCACCCAGGGACCAATGTAACAGGAATACCAAAGGTGCAAATAGGGACATTGGAGGAAAGAAGGACATTCTGGTGGAGACCGCAGCCTACCTGTCCTCAGAGAGGACTTGTTCAGAGCTGGCACAAACCGCTCCAGGATGGTTTCCCTTGGAGAGCTGAAATTGGAGGTCCAAGATACCGAACTGTAGAAACAGATTCTCCAGTTGGGGGTCTCATTAAAGGCCTATATTTCAACCACCAATATGATCCATTAATTTCTGGCTTATGCTACCCAAATCTTCCTTACATGGGCCCCAAACCTGTTTCTCTGTAATTACTCAGATTAAAATTTTCAGAATTTAACATTTCCATCTTTTTCAATTTATTTGCCCATGGTGCTTAAAAACACATTCTCCGGTCTTTATGCTCTCATCTAATTTCACCCGGTCTCCTCCCTCCATAGAAATAGCTACTGACATTCGCTTTGCCTTCCTGAGACTTGGCAGACCTGCTTTCTTTCTCATTCAGGAGGCATGAAGGTATCTGATGCCTGGGAAGGGAAGCCAGTCGTGGGTTCAGGCTTAACCAAACTGCATCCGTTGCGTACAACTGGTGTAAATGATCTAAATTGCTCTGATGTTGTGTGACTCCCCAGATGCCATGCACTGATTAAGAGTCTGCCTGTTTCTTCTGGGAACCCCCATCCCAGAGTCAGAGGGTTGCAGTATCACGGGGCAGGGATCGTACGGCCATGGGATGGGGCAGTCACTCAACTGACCCAGTGACTCGTCTCTGTGGCCGTGCACAGATGGAAGAGCAAAAGGAAGCCGGGCGGAAGCCAGAGGACGCTTCCTGCTGAAGCTTCTTCCTGAATATAAAAATGCCCAGAGGTATCCTCATTCGAAAAATGCTTTGCCGGGCGCGGAAGCTCACGCCTGTAACCCCAGTGCTTTGGAAGGCCGAGGCGGGTGGATCACAAGGTCAGGAGATCGAGACCATCCTGGCTAACACGGTGAAACCCCATCTCTACTAAAAATACAAAAAATTAGCTGGGCGTGGTGGCGGGCGCCTGTAGTCCCAGCTACTTAGGATGCTGAGGCAGGAGAATAGCTTGAACCTGGGAGGCGCAGGTTGCAGTGAGCCGAGATTGCGACACTGCACTCCAGCCCAGGCAACAGAGCAAGACTCCGTCTCAAAAAAAAAACAAGAAAGATGTTTGCGCTGGAAGTTCCTTCAGGTGAGATTGGGAGTCTACTGCTTCCCAAACTTCTGTCACCTGGGTCCCACCTTCAGAATTTTTGCCTTCGTCACATCACACTTAGATTTATAATTTTCTTAATACTTTTTGCTTAAGTCAACTCACACTGTATTTAAATAAAGTTACTTTCTAAAAAAAACTTTATGTCACTGTTATAAAAGGGAAAACCAATTTCTCTTGCCATATAAGTGCAAAATGTGAGATAACCATAAAAATAAATGTAATGAAAAACTCTCACAAATTAATCCCTGCTCTCTGTTAAAAGGAGATTAGCAAGTGCTAAGAGAGGTTGTTGAAAACATATTAGCACCAAACTGAGATCTTCTCTTTATTAAATCAGAATTAAAAGTAAATTCATCATTATAACAGGAAACACTTACACAAAACTGTGCCAGGCACAGCTCTCGTGACAACACCAAAAGGCAGGTATCAATCTTATTACCTTGAGAAATGTGGAAACTGAGGCACGGAGAGATTAAGTAACTTGCTCATGGTCACTTACATACTAAATGGTAAGGCCAGGATTCCAACCCAGCCAGTCTGGCACCAAACAGAATCCTTTGGCCGGGCATGGTGGCTCACATCTGTAATACCAGCTACTTGGGAGGCTGAGGCTGAGGTGGGCGGATCACTCGAGCCCAGGAGTTCGAGACCATCCTGGCCAACATGGTGAAACCCGTCTCTACTAAAAATACAAAAATTAGCCGGGCTTGGTGGCAGGCGCCTAGAATCCCAGCTACTCGGGAGGCTAAGGCAGGAGAATTACTTGAATCCAGGAGGCGGGGGTTGCAGTGAGCTGAGATCGAGCCACTGCACTCCAGCCTGGGAGACAGAGCGAGACCCTGCATTAAAAAAAAAAAATTAATCCCTTTCTCATGATGTTGCTTAACGTTGTGCATGTATCACCTGCAACCCCCACCCCAACTCTTCAGCAACCAATGATCAAGAGCAGCCTCAGTCAGAAGGGAGATGTGTCAGGCCAAGCTCACACATTCAGAGTCAGGACTACTATTCACTGCACCGTGACCTGGATCAGAACAAATCCTGCTCTCAAGGCCTATCTGCCTTATTAACTTGTTACCTTCAACAAGTATTTCCTTTACAACTCACTTATCATCTCTGTTTCTAGGTGAGCTCTGCCTGTTGCTCTGCTTCCTGTTGTTCAAATAATATGGTCCTTTTTTTTTTTTTAGACAAGGTCTCACTCTATCATCCAGGCTGGAGTGCAGTGGCGTGATCACAGCTCACTGCAACCTCAACCTCCCGGGCTCAAGCCATCCTCCCACCTCAGCCTCAGCCTCCCAAGTAGCTGGGACTATAGACACACACCAACATGCCCGGCTAATTAAAAAAAAATTGTAGAAATAAAGTCTCACTCTATTGCCCAAGCTGGTCTTGAACTCCTGGGCCCAAGCAATCCTCCTGCCTCAGACTCCTCAAGTGCTGGGATTACAGGTGTGTGACACCACACCCGGCCAACATGGTACTTCTTAAAACAACTGGACAGACTTCAAGAAACCTGAACATTTAACACTTAATTTTCAGCCTCACCATCTTCAGGCTTCAAACTAATCACATTGTTCCTGGGGCGGGAGGAGCGAGGGAAACATCTCACTCAGGCCCCTGCAATTCCTTCAGGAAAAAGGGAGACGCAGCCTCTCGAAGCTTGAGATCTGATTAAAGAGGCAGCAGTTCCAACCATTTTAGAACTATTGACTGAAGAGACTTCGGTAATTGCTCAAGCCAGGGTTGGTGACTTAATATACTCGTGTTTGGATTAGTTAATAGTTCAATTCCAAGAGGTTATGATTGTAAATCCCAGGGCTGCTGGCTTAGCTTCAACGTGCAGCTCAGGACGGTCTGTGAAGTTGCCATTTACAGTCAATTTCCTCTGAGGCAGAGGGAGAAGAAAATGGAAAGAGGGAATATTTGAATATCAAGTGAGTGCTTTTAATGCCTATGTTAGCCCCTGGAGAATCCTGGTGAAGTTGACAGTACAAGTTGACGACCACACAGTGAAGCTGACAGTAGACAGGCTGGGACCATACGTCACCCTCTTTGGAGTGGCACATTCATTCCTCAAAACCTAGGGGGTCAGCTGGGCGCAGTGGCTCACGCCTGTAATCCCAGCACTTTGGGAGGCCGAGGCAGGCGGATCACAAGGTCAGGAGTTCGAGACCAGCCTGGCCAATATGGTGAAACCCTGTCTCTACTAAAAATACAAAAACTAGCTAGGCGTGGTGGCACATACCTGTAGACCCAGCTATTCAGGAGCTGAGGCAGGTGAATCGCTTGAACCCGAGAGGCAGAGGTTGCAGTGAGCCAAGATCACGCCACTGCACTCCAGACTGGGTGACAGAGCGAGACTCCATCTCAAAAAAAAAAAAAAAAAAACACCTAGGGGGTCATGATGGTAGAAAATACATGGGCTTGAGTCCCCTCTCCCCACCCATAACTCCCCCACTTCACCCTCATCCACTCATCCTCAGGTCTCTCCTCCACCAACTGGTTTGTCTCTCTGCCCCTCCTGGCTGGAGCCATCCTATTGAAACCTCTCAATTAATATTTCTAAAGCCACCCTGATTGTGCCCCCTCTTAAGGACAGGCCAGAACCCATTTCTGGCAGGTTGGCCCTGCCAGCCCAAATGGTGATCTGGGAAAAGACCTGTTTATAGAAGCTCTTATTTAGCTTTGAACCTGATAAATTACTTACATTTAAAAAAAAAAAAAAATCCAGGGCTTTGCTGAGGCAGAAGCCAGGTCACTCCCTGATTGGACCGTATTTACAAAATGCGTGCAGAACAGGCTAAAATAAGTACGAAGCCAGCAAAGGGAAAGGAGCTGGGAGCATTCACTGCAGCCGATGACAGCCTGTCCTCTGGAGCCCAGCCAGGAAAACACCAGCTCCTCTTTCAGCAGGCAGTTCACACATCTCAATTTACAGCAGTGGGGTCCTAACTGGACTCAAACACTGCAGAGCCCTCTCCCTACCACCTTGCCCTTTAGTAAACCACTACTTTCCTAAATGAGGCAGATGGAGTTTTCTTGCCCTTTCCAAGCTACAGTGATAGAAGGGCCACCCCAAGGCTTTGGTGGGGTGGCAAAAAGAAATTCCAGGAGCATATTAATGCGTTAGGCTTTTTTTGTTTTTTCTTTTTTTTTTGACACAGAGTCTTGCTCTGTCACCCAGGCTGGTGTGATCTTGGCTCACTGTAACCTCCACCCCACATGTTCAAACGATTCTCGTGCCTCAGCCTCCCAAGTATCTGGGATTACAGACGTGCACCACCGCACCCAGCTAACTTTTGTATTTTTAGTAAAGGCGGGGTTTCACCATGTTGGCCAGGCTGGTCTCAAACTCCTGACCTCAAGTGATCCACCCACCTTGGCCTCCCAAAGTGCTGGGATTACAAGTATGAGCCACTGCGCCCGGCCTAATGCACTTGACTTTTGCTCTGAGGGGATCTCAGGGTTAGCAAGAGAAAGATGCTTATCTTGTAGAATTTCCCCCCTTGAGTGGCTAGAAAAGCCAGTCCCAGGCCCAGAAGAAGGTTAGGTTTCCTGAGAAGCTAATGAGGGCCCCTCCTGAGCTCTGGGTAGGGTAAGGCATGACTCACCTGGTCAATGGTTTTGTAAAATTTGCAGAAATAAGACATTTTTGTATGCTTTTTCTCAAAGAAGACCTCTAAGTATAAACTTCAGGCTCCACAAAATTCAAATCTACCCCTGCCAGACCTGGGACCGCGCCCATAGCTCCCTCCTCCTTTTGCACAACAGAATTTTCCCTGCTGATACGGTTAGCCTGTGTCGCCACCAAAATCTCAACTTGAATTGTATCTCCCAGAATTCCCACTTGTTGTAGGAGGGACCCAAGGGGAGGTAATTGAATCATGGGGGCCTGTCTTTCCCGTGCTATTCTCATGATAGTGGATAAGTCTCATGAGATCTGATGGGTTTATCAGGGTTTTCTGCTTTTGCTTCCTCCTCATTCTCTCTTGCCACCGCCAAGTAAGAAGTGCCTTTCACCTCCTGCCATGATTCTGAGGCCTCCCCAGCCATGTGGAACTGTAAATCCAATTAAACCTCTTTTTCTTCCCAGTCTTGGATATGTCTTTGTCAGCAGCATGAAAACAGGTTAATACACCTACCGACACTAACTGGTTGACACACTAACCACAGAAACCATAAGGTAAAGGAAGGAGTGATGGGACCCATGAAGAGGACAGAGCCAGAGAAGAGAAAGAAAGAGCCAGGAAGGAAGAGCCATGAAGGCCTCCAAGGGGACAGGTGAGGAGCAAGGTGGAGAACTGCCTTCCAAGGTCTTTTAGACTCAGGATAGCCGAGGCAGCCTTGTGTAGAGCAACCAGACTGCTGGGGTTCAATATGGGCTCTACCGCTTATTGGCTGGGTGATCTTAGGCAAGTTACTTGACCTCTCTGTGCCACAGTCCCCTTCTTGGCCAAGTAATAAAGAGTAGGTGTTTCATTGGATTCTGAGGATCAGATGAGCGTTGTGCATATAAAATGCTTAGACCAGTGTGTGACACATAGAAAGCACTAGCGGGTGACAGTACCTTCCTGCTTTATCAAACATGAAATGCACAGCTAAGGTATTCTTTACAACAGGGATCCCCAACCCCCAGGCCGAGGACTAGCACCAGTCCGTGGCCTGTTGGGAACCTGGCTGCACAGCAGGAGGCGAGCAGCAGGCCCAGCGAGCATTACCGCCTGAGCTCCACCTCCTGTCAGATCAGCAGCAACATTAGATTCTCCTAGGAGCGTAAACCCTATTGTGAACTGTGCATGCGAGGGATCTAGGTTGCATGCTCCTTATGAGAATCTAACTAATACCTGACTATCTGAGGTGGAACAGTTTCATCCAGAAACCATTCGCCCATCCATGGAAAAATTGTCTTCCACAAAACTGTTCGCTGGTGCCAAAAAGGTTGGGGACCGCAGCTTTACACAATGCCAAGCCCACTGTATATTTTGTCACTCCAATAGCTTGCAAGTGGTAACAATATCTTCCTTAAAAGCATTCAGAGACCAGCTCCCCTTGCCTACTGTGCATTTCCTACACCAGCAGTAGAGACCTGTCCCAGGCAGGACCTACTCCACCTTCCAGCATACTCCCCACTTCCTCTCACACAAACTGCCCATTCTGGCTGGGCACCTCTTTCTCTCCCCAGGTCAAGCCATGCTCCTCCCAGCCTCAAGCCATTGCTTTCCCCCATCAGGAATGCCTTTCATCCTCCTTTCTAAATCTAGATCTCTGAATTCCTGTGACACTCAGGTATTTCCTTCTTCATTCTTGCACTTAATGATTGCCCTCTGGCTCAACAAAGAAAGCATGGCTTTGTGTTCATGCTAATGATCATCTGAGCTTCCACCAAAGTATGAGAACATGAAGGAGAACAGGCATGGGGGAGAGTGGCAGGGAGGGGGTTTATATTTGTCCTTTCCTTTATTCATTCATTCATTCCTTCAAGCAATGGTTATGGGGTACTCACCATGTGCCTATATTCTATAGAGGGATACAGTGCTCTAGAACAGGGCACATCAGAATTACCTGGAGGGCTTGGGAAAACACAGATTCTCAGGGCTAGAATTGGCTTATGAATTTGCATTTCTAACAAGATCCCAGATGATGCAATGCTTCTGGTTCAAGACTACAGTTCAGGTAGCACTGCCACAGAAGGCAGCCCCCACTTGGTGACTGATCTATGATGATTCTGATTCACCAGTCACCTCTGAGCAGCATTCCCTCACCCATGCATGCATTCCTGCTGGCATCAGAGTCTCCACACAGAGAGTATTTCCTCTGGAATACTCTTCAATACTTGTACTTCCTTACAAAGCTTGCCTGACTTCATCACAGCCTCCCTACCCAGCACCCTCACTCCACACACACACACACACACACACACACTTCTCTACTTCTGCTCCTTATTTGTTTCTTTCGTAGGACTTTCCAGAATTTGCATGAGGTACTTGTTTACTTGTTTCTCCCCCTAGAATAGAAACTCCATAAAGGTGGGAACAATTTCTCTATAATTTTTCTGTGAATCCCCGTGAGGTGGGAAAAATTAAAGAAAGAAAGAAAAATAGAAATTAAAAAAGAGAAAAAACAAGCTGCCTGTATTAGGCTGACTCATTTCAAAGGCAGTAACAGGCAACGTTTTGATAATGTTATCTAAGGGCCAGAGCTCAAAGGAATGTGCTCTGAAGACTCTCCTAGTTCTCCCTCAACATAACGATGTGAAGAGATAAGTTTTCCTAGCTCCCCTTTAGTGTAAGTAAACTTCCCCTCGAATCCCATCCCCTCTACTATGTGACTATACCTTGCTCCTTGCTCTGTAAATTTTATGAGTTCCTGTTTTTCCCATAGTTAATGATTGTAGGTTCCTGCTTCTTCACCTAAGCAGTATAGCAAAGGTTACCAGACATGCCTGAGCAGGTCTAGCTTGCAGCCAGCTAGACACCATGGTGGGGGTTGCAAGATGAGTCTTTGTGAAACTCCTTTGAACTAACCAGATAATGACCATCTGGGCTGCATAGTAAGGAGTATACTGAACCTGAGTTATGAGCCTGCCTTAGTTTGATTAATGGCCTTTGTCTTGCCTCTGTACATTCGTGTTCGTGCCACTTAGGAGTGGGTATATAAGCAAAACCTTGTCTTTGTTCAGGGTCCAGTCTTTGGACGTTGAGTCCACTGGGTCTGAGGACACTTAATAAAAGATCCTCCTGTGTACCCTGAGGTCTCTCTTGCCCTCCTGATTTTCTGCAATACCCAGTGTCTAGCAAAGAGCTTGGAAGATAGCAGGTGCCCAATAAATGTGTTGATCCATTAACTAACTCTTCTGACAATATTTGGTGAGTGCTCACTCTGTGCCAGGAACTCTTCTAGGTGCTGGGGATACAACAGTGGACAAAATTGACCCAAAAAACCCTCAGTTAGTGGAGAATACATTTTCATGGGGGGAGCCTGATAGTAACCAGGGAGTGTGATAAATGATTATATTGTATAAGACACTATAAGGTGTTAAGTGCTATAGAAAAAAAGTGAGCAGAGCAAGGGAGCAGGAATGCTTGCAGTGGGGAGCTGGGCTGTGGGTTGAGATTTTAAATTGAGTGGTCAGTGTGGGCCTCATGGAAATAGTGACATATGAGCAAAGATTCAGGAGTTGAGGGAGTTTGCCAAGTGGATATCTTTGGAAAGAGCTCTCCAGACAGTTTAAAGTCCTTAAGGCAGCACTGTGCAATGGAACTTTCTGGAATGATGCTTTCTACCTGTGCTGTGCAATACAATAGCTACAGGCCACCTGTGGCAATTGAGCACTTGAAACGTGGCTAGTGCAACTAAGGGACTCAACTTTTTTCTTTCTTTCTTTCTTTCTTTCTTTCTTTCTTTCTTTCTTTCTTTCCTTCCTTCTTCCTTTCTTTTGAGAAATGCTAGAATGCAGTGGCACAATCATGGCTCATGCAGCCTCAAATTACTGGGCTCAAGTGATTCTCCCACCTCAGTCTCTCCTCCTACCTTTATGAGGAAAAGAGGTTTAATTGACTCACAGTAGCTAGGACCACAGGCACACACCACCACACTCAGCTAATTTTTAAATTTTTTGTAGAGACAGGGTCTTGCTGATATGGTTTGGCTCTGTGTCCCCACCTAAATCTCATCTAGAATTGTAATCCCCATGTGTCAAGAGAGGGACCTGGTGGGAGGTGATCGGATCATGGGGGTGGTTTCCCCCACGCTGTTCTCGTGATAGTGATTGAGTGAGTTCTCACGAGATCTGATGGTTTAAAAGTGTTTAGCAGGTGCCCCCTCACTCTCTTTTTCCTGACGCCATGTAAAGAAGGTGCTTGCTTCTCCTTCACCTTCCACCATGATTGTAAGTTTCCTGAGGCCTCCCCAGCCACACGGAACTGTGAGTCAATTAAATCTCTTTCCTTCACCTGGGATTACAGAGGTGAGCCACCACGCCCAGCCTCAACTTTTAATTTTAGTTGATGTTAAGTAGCTGCATGTGGCTAGTGGAAATGACTCAAGCAGTACAGCCCTAAAGCATGAACAGGTGAAGGAATTAAGTGTGGCACAGCGGAGGGGGCTGGGGAATGGTGGGAGATGAACTCAGAAAGGCACAACAGGATGGAGAAGGACTTTATTGGTCATTGCAAGGACTCTGGCTTTTATCCCAAGTGAGATGGGAGCCATTGGAGGGTTCTGAGAAGAGCAGGGATATGATATGATTTCTGCTTTTAAAGGATTCCTTTAGCTATGCTTTGAGAGTAAACACAGAGGGGCTGAGGGTAGATGGAAAGAGACCAGTTGGGAGGCTGGGAGAGGCAGCCAGGTGAAAGACAGTGGTGGATCAGACCAGGATGCAGCAGTAAAGGAGATGCTAAGTGTCAGGTTAGAGATAGATTTTGAAGGTTGAGCCCCCAGGATTTCCTGGCAGATGCTGATTAAAGCATATATTAAGCTCCTAATATATGCCAGGCACTAGGTATGAACTACTTCTGATCCAGATTTGCCAGAGAAATGTCACCCAGGCTTTGACTGGTACCAGCTATTCCTAAGACTGATTGCACCACAGGGCATTTCTCACTCTCAATGTCCCACAATTTGGTCTTCAAACATTGCCTCTTCAGATCAGAGCCAATATAGCCTGCTGGCACTGTGAAATTTGTTGTTATTCTTATTATTATTCACCCAGCATCACTGCATGGTATCTACATTAAGGAAATAGATGACTTGAGTCCTCCATAAATCCTTCATTCTCCTGCTTTATTTCCCTGTCCATCACCTCCTCATTTATTCTTAATATTCAGGTTTTTGCATTCAAGGCCGGGCCAGCTCTCTTGAGGACATCCATCTTCTTCCTTGCACATCTGCCCTGTCCTCCTGAGACTCACACAGCCTGAGGATGGGAAATTGAGTCATCTGTCTTCTGTAACCATATGGATAAGATGTAGTCATTACCGTTCTTAGCATTGTTGTGCTTTGGAAGCTAATTAAGACAATTAGCTATTAAATACCAAAAACAATTAAGCTAATTGAAATAAACCATATGCAGTTTACAACCTTGCGTAGACAAAAAATTAACATGTGGCTGAATGGTAGCACTACAGACACTCCCATGCCAAAATAAATCAGGGACTATGGGAATCAAAGACGGAGGTGTCTTTGCACCCAATCCGTTTACCACCACAAAATGTTTCTCAAAAACATTCGGCTTGATTTTTGGAGGTTTCTTGTATTCTGAAAAAGAAAAAAGTGCATTCCCGTCCAGATGTTTCTTTCAGGCTGTAAAACAGCAGAATCATGCTGTTTCCCTGCCTCTGACTCAACTCTGTGGCTGGATGCAGCACAGAGGAGAAAGGCAGCTTCTCAGGGGACCTCTGAAGCCTATCTTTCAAAGTTAACCAAATCTCTAGGTGGAAAGGTGTCCCATGGTTTTAGGTTGCGACTGGAAGTTTTAGATCACATTTATAGTTTCCAGAGTGGAGCCAGAGGAGGAAAGAGAGGCTATATGGATGAGGGGTGCTCTGTAGGGAATGTGTTTATCTGGAATTTTTTCAGCTGCTTGTGCCAAACAACTCAACTAGAATTTGCCTAAACCGAAAATGGAATTTAGCTAGGGAGGACAAGCTGCAGGGACCAGGAACTTAAAGGTTCCCAGGGACTCAGCCCAAAAAAGATTCTGTCTGTCTGTCTGTCTCTTATCTCTGCCCGGTTCTGTGTTGGCCACACTGTGGCTACAGAGAGGTCCCCCCTCTCTGTGAGGCAAGGACCACGGATGCTGCCAGTGCCAGTTTCGTAACTCTAGTGGGTGAAGAGAACTCCTTAAAACCAATGACCATGTGGCCCCTTGTCTATACAGACCTGGCCTTTGGACCTTTCACCATAGCTGTAATATAGACTAGGATGGTTCATCAGATCCACAGGCCCATCTCTTCCCGCTTCCATCTCATTTATGGCCAATTAGACACACAAGGAATGGAAAAGCTTGCAGAAGAGCAAAGCTGATAACTAGCTACATGGTCCCTAGATCAAAATGCTAACAAAAGGATTTGACTTTGATGGAGAAAGATTAGAAACAGCAGTGCCTAGGGAAAAGTGTAAAAGAGATCTGAGCATTCATAAAACTCCATTTTTTTGTAGTTTTACCATCCTGCCATCTCTATGCTGGATATTAAAGAAATGAGATTATAAACAGCCAGGATTCCATTCCTCCAGCATCTGCTTCAACCACAGTCCACAACAGCCTTTTATAAAATGAGGGAAGCAATGAGGTAGAGAGGAAATAGCCTTAGGAAGAGCCAGCTTCTTCCTCCTCTATAACTGATCTGAGACATTATCCATTTTTTGATTGACATTTGCTATTTGGGAGGTGGAGTCATCCAGCATCTAAACCCACTTCCTATGCATGAGAAATTCCCTAACTTAAAAGCAGTCCCGGTAAAAGTTTAACAACCATCTACGAAAAAAAGGAGGGGAGGACCTAATTTGTAGTGTCTGCTGATTTCTCTGGTGTAAATACTCCCACAATGGCCAATTTCAAACTATTAGTGTGACATCACTGAATGCAGAATTGGGAAGAAATGTGCCATAGCACATCACTATAGAATATTTCCACCATACAGATATAACAGACATAAATAACTTCCAGAATATAGACAATAGTAAAAGTAACAAAATAATTGGGAAGTCATGAATTTTGAGTGTTTAGTACCTTTATTTTTAATATAATGTATTTACCTGTGTTTGAATATAATGTATTTATTTTTTAATTATACATTTTATTTTAAGATTAGTGTCACAACCAAAATATTGACATGGACGGGGCAAAATTAGAGAACATTTCAATCACAATAATGGTCCCCCAAGTTGCCTTTTTGTAGCTGTCCCCTCCCTAACCTCTGGAAACCACTAACCCGTTCTCTATTTCTGCAACACTGTCACTGTAAGAATATTGTATAAATGGAATCATACATTGTGTAGCCTTTTGAGAATGGCTTTTTCAACTCAGTGCTATTCTCTGGAGATACACAGTTTACTGTGTTGTGTGCGTCAAAAGCTTATTCTTTATCACTGCACCATTCACCATTCACCCATTAAAGGACATCTGCATTGTCTCAGTTTTTGGCTATTGCAAATAAAACTGCTATAAACATTTGTTTAGTTTATTGTGTGAATATAAGTCTTCCTTTCTTTGTGATAAATGCCCAAGAGTGCAATTGCTGAGTCATATGGTAGTTGTATGTTTAGGTTTTTAAGAAACTGCCAAACTGTTTTCCAGAGTGGTTGTCCCATTTTACCTTTCCACTGGTAATGTATGAGTAATCCAGTTTCTCCACATCCTGGCCAGCATTTGATGATATCACTATTTTTCATGTTTCTCTGTCTCTCTCTGTCTCTCTCTCTTTCTCTCTCTCACATCCTGATAGGTGTATGGTGATACCTCATTATGGTTTTAATTTGCATTTCCCTAATAGCTAATAAGATTGAACACCTTCTCATGTGCTTATTTGCCATCTGCATATTCTCTTCAGTAAAATTTTTCTTCATGTCTTTTGCCCATTTTTTAAGTGGATGGTTTGGTTTTTTGATGTTGAGATTGAGGAATTTTTTTTTTTTTTTTTTTTTTTTTTTTTTTTTTTTTTTTTTTTTGAGACAGACTCTTGCTCTGTTACCCAGGCTGGAGTGCAGTGGCATGATCTTGGCTCACTGCAACCTCTGCCTCCCGGATTCAAACGATTCTCCTGCCTCAGCCTCCCGAGTAGCTAGGATTACAGGCACATGCCACCACACCTGGCTAATTTTTGTATTTTTAGTAGAGATGGGGTTTCACTGTGTGAGTCAGGATGATCTCGATCTCCTGACCACGTGATCCACCCGCCTCAGCCTCCCAAAGTGCTGGGATTACAGGCATGAGCCACCATGCCTGGCCCTGAGGAATTCTTTATATAGTCAAGACACTAGTCCTTTATTAGATATGTGGTTTGCAAATATTTTCTCCCACTCTGTACTTTGTTTTTTCATCCTCTTAACAAGGTCTTTTGCAGCATAAAATTTTAAAATTTTAGTGAAGTCTATTTAATCAATTTTTTCTTTCCTTTTATGCTTTTGTTGTCAAGTCAAAGAACTCTTTGCCTAACCCTAAACCCAAAGATGTTCTCCTGTTTTCTTCTAAAAATGTTTATAGTTTCAAGTTTTACATTTAATTCTATGATCTATTTTGAGTTAATTATTGCATAAGGTATGAGATTTATATCAGAGTTTTGTTTGTTTGTGTTTGCCAATGGATGTCCTTTTGCTCCATCACCATTTGTTGAAAAGGGTATTTTTTCTTCAATGAATTACTTTTGCACCTTTTGTCAAAAATTGGTTGGGTATATTTATGTTGGTCTATTTCTAGGTTTTTAAATTCTGTTCTATCAGTCTTTGCAACTATCCCTCCACCAATACCACACAGTCTTGATTACTGTAACTATATAATAAGTCTTAAAATCAGGTAAACTGATTCATCCCACTTTATTCTCCTTTTACAAAATTATTTTAGCTATTCTGGTTTCTATGCCTTTCCATATAAATTCTAAAATAATTTTGTCTATATCTACAAAAAAGCTTTGCTTAGATTTCAATAAAAATTGCATTAAACCTATATATATTAGTTTAGGACAAATTGACAACTTTACAATGCTGAATCTTCCAATCCAGGAACGTAGTATGTCTCTCCATTTATTTAGATCTTCATTGATTTCTTTCATCAACCTTGAGTAGTTAATATAGTTTGGATATTTGTCCTCTTCAAATCTCATGTCACCTCAACGTTAGAGGTGGGGATTAGTGGGAGGTGTTTGGGTCCTGGGGGTGGATACCTCAAGAATGGGTTGGTGCCATCCTCATGGTAATGAGTGAGTTCTCACTTTATTAGTTACCACAAGATCTGGTTTTTAAACAGTGTGGCACCTCCCCACCCCCTTGCTTTCTCTATCACCTTATGACACGCCTGCTCCTCCCTTCCCTTCCACTATGATTGTAAGGTTCCTGAGGGCTTCACCAGAAGCAGATGCTGGCACATGCTTGTTGCACAGCCTGCAGCATCATGAGCCAAACAAACCTCTTTTCTTTATAAATTATCCAGTTTCAGGTATTTCTTTATAGCAACACAAAATAGACTAATACAGAAGTTTTCAGCATGTAGATTCTGTAAATTTTTATTAGATTTATAAAAAAGTATTTCACTTTTGAGTGGGCTGCATATGGTATTGTACTGTTAATTTTGGTATACATGTGTTTACTGCTAATATATAGAAATGCAATGGATTTTTGTATATTTATCTTGTATCCTATGATTCTTGTTGAACTAAATCACTTGTTCCAAAAGTTTTTTTGTTTTGTTTTCATTTTTATAGATGTCTTAGGATTTTCTATGTAGACAGTTATGTTATCTGCAAACAGGGACAATTTTTTTTCTGACCTGTATGTCTTTTGTTTCTTTTTCTTGCGTGTTGCACTAGCTAGAACTTCCAGCACTGGATTGAATAAGAGTGGTAAGAGAGGATATCCTTACCTTGTTCCCAATCTTAGGGGAAGTGCATTCACTCTCTCACCATTAAGTACAATATTAGCTGTAGATTTTGTGTAGACACCCTTTGTCAAGTTGAGGAAGCCCCCCTCCACTTCTATTTTCCTAAGAGTTATTAACATAAATGGATGTTGAATTTTGTCAGATGCATTTTCTGTGTCAATTGATAGGATCATGTGATTTTTTTAACTTGTTAACATGGTGGATTACCATAATTGATTTTTAAATACTGAAACAGCTTTTCATCTCTAATAAATTCCACATGATCATGATATATAATTTTTTTCTATATTGATGAATTATATTTGCTAATATTTTGTTAAAGATTTCTTGCATCTATATTCAGGAGAGATGCTAGTCTTTAGATTTCTTTTTTGGGGATTATTTTTGTCTGGTCTTGATATCAGAGGAATACTAGCTTCATAAAGTTCATTAGGAAGTATTACCTCCTCTTCTATTTCTGGAAGAGGTTGTGTAAAATTGGTAGCAATTCTTATTTAAATATTTAGTAACATTCTTCAGTCAAACCATCTTGGCCTGGAAATTTGGAGGTGGGGTAGGTGAGGAGGAGTTTTAATTTAAGAAATTAGCTTTGTTAATCATTACAGGGCTATTCATTAGAGGCTATTCATTACAGGGCTATTGTCTCTTTTTTTTAAGAGACAGGGTCTCACTCTGTCACTCAGACTAGAGTGCAGTGGCTTGATCACAGCTCACTGCAGCCTTAAACTCCTAGACTTCCTAGACTGCAGTGATCCTCCCATCTCAGCCTCCTGAGCAGCAGGGATTACAGGCACAAGCCATGGTGCCCAGCTTCAAATTAGCTCTTTTATATAGAGTGAGTTGTGGTCATTTGTGGTTTTTTGAGAAATGGTCTATTTCATCTAGGTCGCTAAATTTATGTGTGCAAACTTATTCATAGTATTCACTTATCAGTCTTTGATGTCTGCTGCAAGGTCTTCAGTGATATCCCATTTCTTTTTTTTTTTTTTTTTTGAGACGGAGTCTCACTCTGTCACTGAAACCTCTGTGTCCCAAGTTCAAGGAATTCTCGTGCCTCAGCCTCCCGAGTAGCTGGGATTACAGGCATGCACTACCACGCCCAGCTAATTTTTGTATTGTTAGTAGAGATGGGGTTTCACCACGTTGGCCAGGCTGGTCTCAAACTCCTGACCTCAGGTGATCCACCTGCCTCGGCCTCCCAAAGTGCTGGGATTACAGGCGTGAGCCACTGCACCCGGCCTGTTTCATTCTTGATGTTGGTAATATGTGTCCTCCTTTTTGTCAGTCTTGCTAGAGATTTGTCAATTTTATTGACCTTTTCAAAGAACAAATTCTTTGTTTCATTGATTTTCTCTATTGTTTTTCTGTTTTCAATTTTGCTTATATCTACTCTTATCTTTATTATTTCCTTCCTTCCGTTCACTTTGGGTTTAGTTTGCTTATCTTTTCTAGGTTCTTCAGGTGGGAGCTTAGATTATTAGTTTGAAACTTCTCCTCTTTTCTAATGTACACATTTAATGCTATATATTTCCCTCTCAGCATTGCTTTGGCTGTGTCCCACAAATTTTGATGTGCTATATTTTAGTTTTCATTTAGTTCAATAATTTTTTAAATTTTCCTTGAGTCTTCCCTTTTGACTCATTAATTACTTAAAATATGTTGGTTTAGTTTCCAAGTGTTTGGAGATTTTCCTATTATTTTTCTGTTATTCTAGTTTAATTCCATTGTGGTCAGAAAACTCTATATTATTTTAATTCTCTTAAGTTTGTTGCAATGTGTTTTATAGCCCAGAATAGGGTCTATCTTGGTATATGTTCCATGAACATGCAAAAAGAATTTGTATTCTGATGGTTTAGTCTTAGTGTTCTATAAATGTCAATTAAATCCTCTCAGTTGATGTTGAGTTCTTCTATATCCTTGCTGACTTTAGCTATCAATTGTTCTAGCAATTGTTGAGAGAGGGGTGTTGAAGTCTCCAGTTACAACTGTGATTTGTCTGTTTCTCTTTTCAGTTCAATTGGGTTTTGCTTCTCCTATTTTGCAGCTCTGTTGTTTGGTACATGTACATTTAGGATTGCTATGTCTTCTTGGTGAATTGACTATTTTATCATTACATAGTATCCCTCTCTGTCTCTTACTGCTGAATGATTACAAAGGTTCTGACTCCCCACTAGGCATCCTCTGACACCATCCAGTGGTGCCGAGACCAGCTGGGTCAGGGAGACCCTAACCTAGCGGCGCTAGAGGAATTAAAGAAACACACACAGAAATATAGAGGTGTGAAGTGGGAAATCAGGGGTCTCACAGCCTTCAGAGCTGAGAGCCCCGAACAGAGATTTACCCACATATTTCTTAACAGTAAACCAGTCATTAGCATGGTTTCTATAGATATTAAATTAACTAAAAGTATCCCTTATGGGAAATGAAGGGATGGGCCGAATTAATTTCAGCAGGAACACACCTTAAGACACAGATGGCTCATGCTTTTGTTTGTGGCTTAGGAATGCCTTTAAGCGGTTTTCCGCCCTAGGCGGGCCAGGTATTCCTTGCCCTCATTCACGTAAACCCAGAACCTTCCAGCTTGGGCGTTAGGGCCATTATGGACATGCTACAGTGCTGCAGAGATTTTATTTATGGCCAGTTTTGGGACCAGTTTATGGCCAGATTTTGGGGGGCTTGCTCCCAACACAGTGGGAAGGAGGAAGAGTGCCTTATTACTGCTAGATGGGGCTGGAAGTCCAGGCTCTACTTGGTCTCCTATGACATCACTTCATCGTGAGTACTGAGGTGCCTTGACAGTTTCTCAAGGTTGGAAGTATAAGCTGCCAATTTAGCCTTTGTTAGCCTGAGTTGGGATGGGGAGATCACAGATTTTTCTGCTGCATTTGGCTGTTACTGTCTGAAAGTTTTCTGTCTTGCTCTGTTTCTTCTTTCCTACCCCTTTGACTAGAGAGAGCAGACTTTGGTTGGGGCTTTTTTGCCTACACCTATTGGCATTTCTGCATTGCCAGCTTCTTCAGCTCCAAGTCTGGGATATATGACACAAAAAGAAAATACAAGGAACTCAGTAATGTATTATTCCTTGGGTCCCAAGGTCCCTAGCTGGTCTGCCTTCTTCTTGCCTCCATTCAGAGACTTATATTTCTTTTATACTTTGCAAGAGGAATAGAAACAGTATATCTACTATAATTTACTTTTTAATAATGACTATGTTTAACAACCAGTTCACAAGTCCCTGAAATTTTTACAAGCAGCTCTTGTAAGCTAGCTCCAACACATCACTACTGAGTGTCAGAGCCAGAGCTGCCTCCCACCACAGAAGCTGAAATGCCAAAAGCCTCTTTCCCAGCCTTCTAGCAACTTCGACACAGGCACATGACATAAGCCAGTCAGGAACATCCACCTGAGACCTTGTGATGGATGCAGGTATTAGTGATGGATGCAGAGAAGAGGGGCAGTGCAGAATCCTCCTGGTGGCCGTTCCAGGGGTGATATCCCCCACCAGGGGCGCAACTGTGGCATCTCACGTTCCACAGCAACAGCCACATTGCCACCGGATGTTTTCTGTGGCATGTCTGTGACCATGGTTCTGAGTTGGAGTCTCCTACCTTCCCAGTGTCTGTGAATGGCTTTTCAACAGCCCTGTTTCTGCTTAAATTAGCTGGAGCTGGCTTCTGTTTGGTGCAAATAAGAATTTTGACTGATACACATTCCCACTGGCTCTCAGCAGCAAACCCCCTGGGAAACAAAAACCTCAGCCTCTACCACAGAATGTCCTTATTCTTGCTCAGGGGAAATTATCTGAGGAATAATTAACAGCAAACAGAACAGTAGAATGTAACTTAGAAGGGCTTACTGAGAGGGACTGCTAAGACCCCAAAGCCATCACGATTTAACCTGCTTTCTTAGTTGCCAAATACCCTCCTCAGCAATTCTGATCCCCCGCACAGTAAGCGTGTGTTTAATTACAGTCTCCTGTGAGATGAGCAATTTGGCATGGTGCAGAATATACCATCTAGCCTGACCTTGGGAACAAGACAATCCAATGACACTAAAATCTTACTTTCCTTTCTCCCTTTCCCACTTCCGTTCTCTCCCCCTGCACTGCTGAAGACTCACTGGTTAGGAAAATATTTTATGTCTTATGTCCTTGAGGGTGGCTTTTGCGCACTGAAAAGACCACTCTGAGATTTACTGGGGTTTTGAAAATCAGTATTCAATTTATTAAATTTATAGATTTAGAAATTTATAGCTCTTCCTTAACGCTTTTAAAATCACCTTAGGAATCTTATTGTCCTATTTATAAGTCTAGCAAATATTAACAATCACTTTGAGAGGGTTTTGATTAATGCTTAGCCCCATTTACACACTTAGTTAATTAAAAGTCTTTAACATTTTAAATGGCACTTAATAAATTTAATAAATTCAATTCCTTTTTAAGTATTTCATCTGACTGATAAAACTTCCCAAGTACAAAAGTAATTCTTACAGATTTAATAAATTCAGCATACAAGACAGAGTGAACCTTAAATTCTCTTCAATGTCCAAACTATATGTAAACTTGGAAATATTTCAACTTATCACAAATTTCAATCAATTATTCAAGTACATACATTAAAATGAAATATTGAAGGTGGTCTAATATTCCAGTAGGCCGAATTCTCTAAAATTATGCCTACACAAATATTATATATGCACAAATTCTTTAACTTGAAAACATGAAAACTATAGTTTTGATTCCCCTAAACATTTGTGTGCTTAATTTTAAATTTTCCCAGGGCTAAAAAAATTAAACGAGATGAAAATAAATTTTCCCAGGGCTAGTAAAATGTCTATCCACAAGAGAGGTATTCCCTTCTCAGCCACCTGAGGTTGCTAATCAACCAGAGATTCTGGGTGGGATGCCGACTGCATCTTAGCTGCTGACTCTATGGACCTGTAGAGCCCTATTTCCAGTTTTTAACTTTCTAACTTAAAGATGGAGGTGGCTGAGTAGACTAGTCCCTTGATTACAAGTGATCAGTTACTAAAGGTCAAGCCAGAGTGTAGTCCATAACTCCCTATCCAGGTTCTATACCTGATTGTGTATTTATGTGACCATTAAGGCTTATAACTACATATTTGTCCATCTATCTCTACAGAATCCTGCATCCTTTTCATGTGCTTCTTATCTCATAGGACCACACACCTCTTATAGATGTTTAAACGTCACCTAATTGAATTCTAGTGACGTCACAGCTTTGTCCAATATCCTGAGATCATTCTCCAAGTCACTGCTCACCCCCACCCCCTCACCCTACCCATCCCACCCTCTGTGGTCTCTGAGTTTCTGACTCCCCTAGGAATGCAAAAATGGACTCCCCCAGGATCTACACACCTTTTGACGTGGCGAAACTAAAGAAGAAAGTTCCTAAGCCTAGTAACTCTGCTGAGAGATTATTTGGGGATTCCTATAGCACTACAGCCACTGCTTCCCCCCTCCTGAACCCCCTGCTTCCTGAGCAAAACCACTGCAGTGATCAGGGTCTGTTGAAAGAATATGGTCTATGAAGGAGGTGCTGGAGCCAAATTCCTAATCTCTCAGAAAGATGAGGCCACTTAACCAAAGTCCAGCTAGTGCCTGAGGTGAGGCCAAAGCCGAGGATTCCTGACTGCCAGTCCCCATGTTCTGGCCACTCAACTGTAATGCCATCAACAACAGCAAAGCCAGCAGAGCAAGAGAGGTGCTCACAGATCACAGTCCCAACCAAGCAGCCTAAACATTAGAACGTGCTACGTTCAGCCCTTTCTTTTTTTTTTTTTTTAACTTTAAGTTTCAGAATACATGTGCAGAACATGCAGGTTTGTTATATAGGTATACGTGTGTCATGGTAGTCTGCTGCACCTATCAACCCATCACCTAATGCATTAGCTATTTGTCCTGATGCTCTCCCTCCCCTCACCCACCACCAACCCAACAGGCCCTGATGTGTATTGTTCCCCTTCCTAAGTCCATGCGTTTATGTGCAGCCCTTTCTGTTGCTTGATAAACAGAATAGAAATAGGCATGGGTCCTGCCCTCAAGCTTACTTTCTAAAATAAATATGCATACTGTGTATTTGCATTTTCATACCAAGGAGAAGCAATAATAAGAAATAACTTTCAACCACAGTGGAAATTGTAGTGGAAATCAACCATAGGAAAGAATATATTGGTTTAGGACAATGGTTCTTAAACCTGACTCCATATTAGAATCTCTGGGGTTTTGAGGGGATGTCGGGGGAGGGGAATGTTTAATAAAATACCAGTGTGAGCCTGACATGGTGGCTCACACCTGTAATCCCTGCACTTTGGGAGGCCAAGGCTGGAGAATCAGTTGAGCTCAGTTCAAGACCAGCCTGGACAACATAGTGAGACCCTATTTCTACAAAAAATAAAAATTAATTAATGTAATTTAATGCCAGTGTGAACCTGTAGAGATGAGGCTCAGACACTGATATGTTTTGAAACACTCCAGGTGATTCCAGCGCTTAACCAGAGCTAAGATCCTCCGACTTGAAGCAATGATTTCTGACATTTTAGTCCTTTCCCTGGCATTGTCACAATTTCTTGCTGTGTATGCTGTATTAGTCCATTCTTGCACTGCTATAAAGAAATACCTGAAACTGGGGCCAGGTGCAGTGGCTCACGCCTGTAATCCTAGCACTTTGGGAGGCCAAGGTGGGTGGATCACTTGAGGTCAGGAGTTCGAAACCAGTCTGGCCAACATGGCAAAACCCCATCTCTACTAAAAATACAAAAATTAGCCCGGCATGGTGGCGCACACCTGTAATCCCAGCTACTCTGGAGGCTGAGACATGAGAATTGCTTGAACCCGGGAGGTAGAGGTTGCAGTGAGCCAAGATGGCACCACTGCACTCCAGCCTGGGTGACAGAGTGAGACTCTGTCTTGAAAAAAAAAAAAGAAAGAAAGAAAAGAAAAGAAAAAAAAGAAATTCCTGGAACTGGGTAATTTATAAAGAAAAGAGGTTTAATTGGCTCGTGGTTCTGCAGGTTGTACAGGAAACACAGTGGCTCTGCTTCTGGGGAGACCTCAGGAAACTTACAATCATAGCAGAAGGTGAAGGAGAAGCAGACATGTCTTAGATGGCCAGAGCAGGGGTAAGAGAGAGAGGGGGGAGGTGCGACACACTTTTAAATGACCAGATCTCATGAAACCTCACTCACTATCACAAAAGCACCAAGGGGGAATCTGTCCTCATCATCCAATCACCTCTCACTAGGCCCCACCTCCAACACTGGGGATTGCAGTTCAACATGAGATTTGGGCAGGAACACAGATCCAAACCATATCATATGCCTACTAACTGTACAGTTATAAAGTTAGTACTTTTCCTTTAAATCAATTCACTAGTTTTAACATATGTATTTAGACTTATCCTACACAATACTGTCTGCAAAATTATGGGGCTCAAGTACTCATTGTATTTTTTTCTAAAACACATGAAAATATATAACTGTGACAGCTAAACTATCAAAACCACACCTAAAATCATCTCACACACCACTACTGGTATCCTTCCCCACTTGGGGAAATATTGCCTAAGGACTCCTCTGATCTCAGAGAAATGTTCCCCACTTCTGGGCTCTTTTCAGTAGTTTTGAGGACTTGCTGCTTTATATTTGTTGACACAACTTAGTTATTTTAAAATGTTGTTTGCTGATTGGGTACAGTGTATACGGCTCGGGTGATGGGTGCACCAAAAGCTCAGGAATCACCTCTCAAGAAGTTATCCATGTAACCAAACACCACCTGTTCCCCAAAACCTATTGAAGTAAAAATAATTTTAAAAATTAAGTTTAAAATATTGTTTGCTGTGTGGGCCACATTCGTAGAACAAATCCACCTATCTCAAGAGCCTGATATCCTGACCAGCTGCTCCGGACCTTATAGTCTAGGCTGGATGTCCCTGGAAGAGACACCACTTCCTGAGAGTGTGTCCTTCCTAAGCTCCCCCAACCCACCTTCTCTCTCCCAAGCCTAGAAAAGCTGCATGAGCTCCCTGGTGGCCCTAGAGCGCAAGGACCGCTATGGTCTCTCTTATGATAACCAGTTGTCACAGACAAGGACGCACTGCTCACTGGATCTAAATGTGGTGGAGACTGTGACCTCTTGGTCCTTCTTTCTCTGCCAACTGCTCACCCCCTTACCCTCCATGCACCCCTGTGGCCAGGCACTGTGGGAGGCATTACGAGTACAAAGGTGACTCAGGCCAGGTCTCTGCCCATCTCACAGCCTATAGGGAGACAGACAAGAACACGCAATGGGCGTGCAGTGAGAGAGGAGGCGTGGCAGGGGATGCTCAGGGACTCACGAATGAAAGTCTGGTTTTGCACCCTCCTCCACGCTCCCCTCACCCCCACCTTCCCACCAGCTCTGAGCCCTTGCTCCCAGCCCCTTCCTCATCTCCAGCTGTGCCCCACCCCCTCTTTGTCCCTCCTCTCCCATGGTCCTAAGCCTTGTCCCTGGAATTGCTGGCATTAAAGAGCTCCCTGCTCCTCCCCTCATCTCCCAAACCCAACTGTGACTCATCCACCATCCAGAGAACAACCCAGTGGCTGTCCGCTTAGTCAGCACTTAATAAAGCATTGTTCAGTAAAAAGAAACAGTTCCAACAAAATTAAAAATAATCTCAGCAGTAGGCTCAAATATTAAATCTTCCTTCCAGAACATAAATCCTACAAACACTGGAGTCTGCTCTTTGCACAAGTGGTGAATCACAATTATATAATTTATTTATCTGGAAACTACATTCCTCACTTTGCATTTCCTTTTTTGCCACACTGGATTCAATCCACCATTCCCTACTTGCCCAAAATCTGTTTTATTGTTGTTTTCGGCAATGGCTTAATTGCCAGCTGCATGGGCAGCGCTCAGCGCCAGTGCCCTTGAGTTCTGTGTCACCTTTCCTTTGCTGCTCAGAATTCCCTTTGAGAGCTCCAAGTGTCAACAGGCATGATCATTATTTGAGTCACCTGATAAGATACAAGAAGAAATGTCACACAGGCTGCCAAATGGGACACATTATTGCCACGTTCTGTGCCCTAAAGGAGGGGCCTAGGGCAGTCCCAGCAGATGGTCTATGAGCTCTGACAGCCAGACGCTGTCACAAGGGCATCAGATATCTTGAGTGAGCCGAATCCTCAGCATGAACAAGAAAGTGACAGCCGCCCTCTTTGCCCAAAGTAAAAGAATGAGCTAGCACTCCTCAGGGCCTGAAGTGGGCCTGCACTTGTCCGGGGATAATGAAAGCTTTGGGCAGCTACCCAAGATGTGGCCATAACCCCACTCGGAAAGCAGTAAGGGGCGGGGGAAATAGCGACAGGCCGGATGTCCTTACTGAAGGGCTGGTGCACGTGCACGTTCCCAAAGCCGCTTCCAGTCCAGAGCAGATGGCAGAGAGGCCGGATGTTCGAAAATACAATGGCCTTTGTCCCCTTTTTAGTAACTGTCCTGTCCTACCCCCCAGAGCTGGGCCATCAGGGCCGGCTGGGGCTCCCCTCCACTAACTCTCCTCTGCACCTTGAAGAGGGCCTGAGTTGAGGGCCCCAGCACTCCGAGAGGAGAAGCTCAGAGGCCCGGTAAAGAGAAAGTCAGAGGAAACACCGGGGCTACAAAGGGCTTCAGGACAAACTCTGAATGTCCCCATATGACACGCTCTCTGGCCAGCCAGGCCCCAGGCCAGTCCCGGTTGCCTTTCTGTGGGTTTGCCGTGTATCTTGTCCGCCAGGTTATTTCTGGCAAAACTGAGACTGTTGCACAAGGAGTGGCCTCGGGAATCCCAGAACTGCCTCTCTAAGCCAGCAGAATCTAAAATGGTCCAGGGTCCCCAAATCCGGCATCACCCTGGCGTCTAAGGGATTGGGCTGCTATCTCTGCTCCTCGGAAGGCCAGAGATCAAGAAAAGAAGAGAGACGTTTTCCATTCCCTCTGTGGCCCCACAGCCTCTGATTTCTCCAGTAGCTACAATGGAGCTCATCCCCTGTGTCACACAGCCAAGCTGGGTCTCTCTTTCCTCTCCTATCCCTCTGGGTCTCCATCCCTGGCAGCCATTTTGGTTGCTGCAGCGTCCTGGGTCTTCTCAACCCTCCATGGTCCCCCTGAGTGTGCTGGGTGTGTTGGGTGAGCTCAGAATGTTAGCTAACCCTCGCCTCCTGCCCTTCCTAAACTACGGCCGCCCTCCCTTGCCATAGATGGGTCGTCTTTAAATGAGTAAGGCTGCCAGGGTGACAAGCGGTTATCACTGGCTGTCACTGAAGCTTTTTCGCCTACTGCTCTGAGGCCTCAAGGCCTAGCTTTGCTGGAGTCCACCCTGACCCACCAACCGGGACCAGGACTCATTCCCCTTGTCAGAAGGCCCCGCCCCTCTTTTCATTTTGCCGTGGAGGAACACCCACAGTTCCCGGCTATTTGCCAAGCCGCGAGATGACTGACACCAACTGTGCCCAATGAGGAATCCACCTTCTGGGCCCACACAGACATTTCCTTGCAGGGGCTGGAAAAAGTGCAGTTCCTTCCTGTGGGGTCTAGGAATCCCCGAGACCAAACAGGGGAGCCTTTCCTGCATCCGGGCCCGCAAGGAGAAGCAGGACTCTAGGAAGGAACCAGGGTTCTCATATGCAAAGCCTCTCAACCAAACTTGTCTGAGAGGCCCCTGACATCTCTGTTTGGAATCTTCTCTGCACATGTCCCTTCTAGGTTTTGCGTTTGACCTTGACTTTGTTCCTTGGCAAAGTTCTTTTGAAATTCCACCCAGCCTTGGCCAATCTAAAGGAAAAGGAATCTTGTCCTCACATACACATACAAAGGAGAGGCTAAATGTAGTTAGAGGCCACATGGCACCAGAGACCCAGGGAGCCAAGGTGGACTGGAATAAAATACTTACACCCGGACAATAATCCAGGGCAGCTGGAGGGCTCTTCTCTTCCTTAGGAACACAACAAACAGCCTCACGGTGGCCTGTCCCTTCTCTCCTGACCAGTTTCGGGGCACCAGCTGTTGGCCTGAACACCTAGGAGTGTATGGTAACCGCACCTGACCGCAGGAACTTAAGCACAGCCTGAGAATGGCCCTGTGTGGCAGGCACACCTGAATGTATCTTCCAAGCTAGGGAATCCAGGAGTCGCCAACCTGGAGAGTCCTTCCTTGTCTATGAGAAACATCTGAGGCCCCAGGCTGTGGAACACGGGACATAAAGGGAAAGGTCCAGGCCCAAGTCTGGGTTGAATGAAGATCCCCAGGTGGAGGTTGTTAGGGTGAAGGTGCTAAGTGGAAATGCTATAGAAACTGCTTTTTGCAACCGGTTGTGGTTTCTCCTGCCCCCGCTCACCACCAGCGGACTCTCTCCCCTGTATGTAAGCCCCAGTAAAACCCCATGTCTCGTTTGCCAGTCTGGGTCTCTTCTTCCACCTCTTGAGCCTGGTGCCTTCCCCACTGGAGTTCATAGGAGTTCAGCACATTGGGGAGCAAAATTGGAAAAAGAGAAGAAAGCAGCAGCACCAGCTCCGGAGGAAACCGCTAACGTGGAGCTGAGGGATCCCCAGCCTCAGAAGCTCTGAGCTGCCCAGAGCTGCAGAACACGGAACTTGCCTGACCGGGCTTGGTCTCCGCGGGAGGAACTGGATGCGCTTGAATGGGCTCTCTGAGCGCCGCGGATCCACCAGGTGGCAGTGCTGCTATTCCTCAGTCGGGACAGAGCCTGCAGCATGCGAGAGCGGCCACCGGAGGGCAACGGGGGACGATGCGCTCCTTCAGGCTGGGGGTTGCCTAGCAACTATGACGCAATGGGCTCCCGCTCCCCTCAAGTCCCCCAGGTTATTTCTGGCAAAACTGAGACTGTTGCACAAGGAGTGGCCTCAGGAATCCCAGAACTGCCTCTCTAAGCCAGCAGAATCTAAAATGGTCCAGGGTCCCCAAATCCGGCATCACCCTGGCGTCTAAGGGATTGGGCTGCTATCTCTGCTCCTGGGAAGGCCAGAGATCAAGAAAAGAAGAGAGACATTTTCCATTCCCTCTGTGGCCCCACAGCCTCTGATTTCTCCAGTAGCTACAATGGAGCAACTTTCTCCCTCTCCCCTCCCCGGTTCTTCCGTCTTGCTAAGCAGGGGTTGGATTCATGGGCATGTGATCTTGAGCAGAGCTTGAGTGCCCCCACCCCTACCGCCCGCTCCTCGGCTGCACTTGAGGGGGCCTGGGGGATGATGATAAGGCCCAGCTCTGGCCTTCTGTAGTCTCGATTCTCTCTTTTTCTCCCAAGGACTCTCCTTGACTCAAACCTCTCCCTGGTTTTGATAACCCTGAAAATAGAATTCTTCCAATTCCAAATGGATAAGTATGACCTGAGAAACCAAAGATGAAACCAAGAAAGTGAGGCAGACACGAGACAAGGAGTGTGGTTATAATGAGCTCAAAGCCTGTGCCGGTCTGGTCTGTGAAAGGTGAGGCGAGGTCAACACCCCGGGCAGAAGTCAGGGGGGCCACTCTAGCCATGGCATCAGGAGTGGTTCCAGGCACATCTCTGGGTCCTGAGGAGCCCCCCAGCCCAGGGCTGGGCTCTGCCTGAGGCCCAGGTGTCAATCCCTAAGGTCTTGGGGTCTCTGAGGGGCACTGTCTTCAAGGGTCACACTGGCATGTGCAGCTCATTGTACTCATCCTGGCCATCCTCATCGAAGTTTGGTTCAGCATCTTCCGAGTCCAGCTGCAGAGGGAACAGAAGGTTGGGGAAGGCAGGGAAGCATGCTCGTCCCCTCCCATTCTCCAGCTCCTCCTCCAACCTGCAGCCCTCCCTGCTCCCTGACCTTTCCTGGGCCTCTCTGCAAGTACCATGACCCTGGGTGGCAGCACTGCCCTTGGCCAAAGCCTTCAGGTCACCTCCCAGACCAGATACCTGGCCCCTCCTGGTGATAATAATAATGATTATTATTATGAAGCTCTTTCCTGAGGCCACTTCTAGTTGCTATGGTACCTTTGTACACCATGTTTGAGTATGGATAAATTGCAAAAAGATGTCTTTTCCTCTAGTTGACAAAAACAGGGCTCAGGGTGGACACCAGTGCCACATCAACCCTGTAGCCTCTCAGCCGGGTGTTTTTGGTCAGGCACCACCTGCACAGCTGTGTGCAGCAGCCCCGTGCCAACTCCCTTACAAAACCACCATCCTAAGGCCTTTACCTGGACTAGCACTTGACCCTCCCAACAGTCCTATAAGGTAGGGTCTATGATCACCCCTATTATACAGGTGAAAATAAGATTTCGGAAGGTGAGATAACTTGCAACACAAGTTACACAAGTTTCACAACTAACACAACTAGTGGGTGGCCAAACAGAGATTGGAACCCAGTGCCCATTTGCCCTAACACTGTTTCCCCAGACCACCACCCCCTTACCGCCTGCAGCTCCCTGTCCTGGAAGAGCCGGGGCAGAAGGCAATGCCTCAGAGGCACCGTGAGCAGCAGCAGGAAGGGAAAGGCGAGTGAGGCCGCCGTGGACTTGACCACCCAGAGCAGTGCGATGCAGCCCAGCTGGATGCAGGTGAACAGATGCATCCGCCACGTCTTCACCTAGGGGAGCAGCCAGTGGGCCCCAGTGCACAGCGTCCCGGCCTGCTCCCACCCACCCACATCGTGGGGAATTTGGCTCCCAGGTCACAGCTTCTCCTTCATATTCATCCCATCCATCAATGCTCCCAGATCCCTCTGGATCCCCTTCCCGTCACCCCACTGCCCTACCCCCATGCTTCCCGGCCCTACCTTGGTCACATAGGGCTGCTCAGGATGGTGTTTTGCCGGCATGAGGATGAGCAACAAACGCTGGGACAGCTGGATACCAGACAGGGACGTGACCCCCATGTACAGGAAGATCCCAAAGAGCACAGCCAATGGGATCCGACGCAGCACAGCCCCCATGACGATGGACAGGCCTGGAGGAGGTGACACAGACCCGCCTGACCCTCAGACAGCCCCCGTGAGGATGGACAGGCCTGGAAGAGGTGACACAGATCTGCCTGACCCTCAGACAGCCCCCGTGAGGATGGAGAGGCCTGGGGGGAGGCGACATGGACCCACTGGACCAATCAACTTGGCCTTATCACCCTGAACAAGAGAAGGAGGGGCGGGGGGGGGGGCAGACACATTGGCTCACGCCTGTAATCCCAGCACTTTGGGAGGCCGAGGTGGGTGGATCACGAGGTCAGGAGATCAAGACCATCATGGCTAACACGGTGAAACCCCTGTCTCTACTAAAAATACAAAAAATTAGCTGGGCGTGGTGGCGGGCGCCTGTAGTCCCAGCTACTCGGGAGGCGGAGGCAGGAGAATGGGTGAACCTGGGAGGCGGAGCTTGCAGTGAGCCGAGATCGCGCCACTGCACTCCAGCCTGGGTGACAGAGCGAGACTCCGTCTCAAAAAAAAAGAGAGAGAAGAGGGGGCAGGACAGAGAGCCAGAAAAGGACTCCAGGAGTAAAGGGCTAGGGGAGTGCTGGGAAGCAGGTTTGGGGGTCAGATTGAGGGCAACACACAGCACATTGGGAGATTCAGGGTCAAGCCTGGGATAGTGAAGATGTAAGACCGTGGGGCCCAAGGAAGGGGGTGTGCAGGGTGGAGGCGGGCTCTCACCCACGAGGCTGGCGATGAGCACACCAGTGACCCGCTGCTCCCGCACCTCCTGGATCTGGGGCTTGTCACCAGGCGCGATGGCAGTACGCATCACTGTCAACGCATTGACATGGGTGACGGAGCGGACCGTGGCAGCCGTGAGCCAGGGCAACCCAAACAGCCCACAGAGCCCCCCCAGGGAGCCAATGAGGAGCAGGTCCAGGTGGAAACCGGAGCCCTTGAGCAGCCTCCGCGCCTTCTGGCTGACGATAAGCCTGCAGGGAGAAGGTGGGGAGCGGGGTGTGGCTGGCCTGGCAGGGGCAGGGGACAAAGACAGGCACGCACACAGAGACGAGATGGTGGGGGGAGGACGTGCAGACAACAGTTCTCCCTAGGACTGCCAGCTTCTTCTTTCAAGTTCCCAAATTGAAGTTCTCACATTGAAGCAAATGTGAGACAAATTCTCATACTGTGAATATTTAAAACACCACAAAAGCCAGATGCCAGATCTTACCACGTTATTGTGGTTTAACCAAAATTAGATACATGTGAGCATCCCTGGGTGCAAGCTTAGACTGCTAGAGTGTTCTGAGCACTGTCAAGTGCCACCCTGCAAAGAGTGGTGGCAACAGATAGATGTCATGTCAAACCATCACGGGGAAACCATGCCCCTGCCCCGGATGCCACTGCTCTCTGCTCCTCCCCCACCTCCTCCTCACCCCTGCCAGCTCCTCCACACACACTCTCTTCCTCAAGGATTGCCACCAGCTCCCACCACCCAGCACCCTGATACTGATAATGATGTCCCTGCTATAACCCTGAAACCAAGCCAAGGAGCCAAGGAGCTTGGCCTCGTCCCTCCCACCTCCTCCTCCCATCTCTCTCACGCCGTGATCTGTGTCTCCATGAAGATCAGGATGAGGACGAGGAGGGCGGGAACAGCGGCTGCCACCATCATCCACGGCGGGAAAGGACGGGCACTGCCCAGGGGTGGGATGAACCACGAGCGCTTATCGGGAGAGGTCACTGAGAGCCCTGTAGGCACTGTCAGCTTCTGCATGGCAGGAAAACAGGGTTCAGGGACACAGCCTCCCCATGCTAGAAAGCCCACCAAGCAGCCCACTAAGCTGCGTCCCCAGTCCAGGACTTCAGGGAGCTGGGGTGTGAACAGGTCAGGGGAAAATTAGTTTTGCATCCTCCAGAAGTCACTGTCCTTTCAAGGATCCAATAGAGGGCAGGGAAATGAAGCGCCTCCTCCCTGAGCCCCAGAGCTTCAGGGGACCTGTGTGGGATACTGTCATTCTGCTCCCAGCCCCACACCTGCTTCTCCCGGATTCATCACTCAGGCTCCCTGGGGAAGGCCCTCAGCCCCCAGGGCGGCCACTCCACTGGGAAAGTTGAGTTCAGGCCTGATCCCAATCCCAGGGCCCATGGAAGTGTGTTGTGGGCTCCCTCTCCTGGCCTGGGGGTGACAGCAGCTGCCACAGGCTGGGGCTCCCTCACCTGCGTGTAGGTGTCTGTGATGGAGTAATCCACCAGGACCATCACCAGGATGGAGATGGGGATGCCAAAGTCCCCGATGATGCGACGAGCCTTGAGAGGGGCCAGTTGGGGAAGGGAGCAAAAGGTGGAGGCAAGGTCAGCAGACTAACACGGGGCTTGCCATCTCTGGCCCTGCCTGGGTCCAAGCTGGAGCCAGAAGGCCCCCCACGTGCCTCTCAACCCCACAGGTGCCAGCGCAGCCTGGGAGGCTGTTGTCTTGATTAGACTTCTCTGAGCAAAGGGCAAGAAGACACCCAGGGAAGAGGCTTCCGAAGGGGTGAGGGGCTGCCCGAGCTGGGTTTTGGTCCATGGGCTGACCGGGGAAGGGGTGCAGCCTCTCTGGGGAGCTCCTACAGCAGGAATTGTGGGACTCTTGGGGGCTCCACACCCAGCAGCCACGCACCTTGCCCCCCAGGAAGCGGCTGTTCCTGAACTTGCGCAGGAAGAAGGCTATGAAGAAGGTCCCGAGCATGAGGATGAGTGAGAGCAGTGCCGTATTGGGCTGGTTCCTCGGGCTGGGGGGGCCCTCGGTGGGGGGCAGGGCACTGCCATTTGGCTCCAGACCAGCATCCAGGGACCCCTCCAGGGCCCCCTCAGGGGGGTAGAACGGCAGCAGTGGGTGCTCTGTGAACACCTGTGTGTGGATAACAAGGATGCCTTGTCACTCACCTGGCAGGTGACCTGACTTCATCGTCATCAGTACACCTGTGAGAGAGAGGGTGGCCCCTCAATACCTGGTCAGACAACAGTAATGCACGGACATCCAGCTGCACCACACACACAACACACAGAACACACAGAACACACACATACAACACACACAACACGTAACAACACACACATAACACATACAACACAAAAAAAACACAACATACCACATACACACCACACACACAACATACATACACACAACACACACAACATGCACACACAGGCACACACACGCACACACACACAACACATACATCACACACAACACACCATACTCACACCACACCCACACCCACACACACACACACACTCCTCTACAAAAGGTGACCCAAGGACACCCAGCCCCTTAGCACTGACAGCTCCCTCCCCATCACATACCTGTGCAAGTGAGTCCTTATTACTAAGCCTCCAACCAGGTGCTTGGAGTCGTGACCTGGCACCCACCCCCTGGGTCTGACTCCCTCCCCTTCAGCTCAGACCTAGCCTAGGGTGTCCCTAGAACCCCTCACTCCCAACACAGTCCCTCTCCTTGTCCCCTAGTTCTCCATACCTCCCCCTCCCATGCTGTCCTCCCCAGGGCAATGTCCACCTCCATCTCTGCCACCCCCAAGACCTCGCTGGACCTCCACCTTGTAGAGCTTGTAGAAGGTCTCGTAGATGAAAATGAGTGAGATGAGAAAGGCAAAGATCTCCTGGGTGAAAGGCGAGATGTAGCGGACCAGGAAGCTGCCTTCGGCGGCCACCAGGGCAAGGACGAAGACCACCAGCCAGAGACCAACCCACACCCGGCCAGTGAGGTACTCCAGGTCCTGGGCTCGGCAGAACTAGGTGGGGGTAGGAGCGGTCGTTACCCACAGGTGGACTGCCCTGGGTGTCAATGCCCCCTGGAATAGGCAGCGGATGAACTCCGAGGAAGAGGGAGAATGCAGGGACCCATCCCCTAGGTAAGGAAGAGTGTGGGGCAGGATGTAGGTAAGGAAGAGTGTGGGGCAGGATGTAGGTAAGGAAGAGTGTGGGGCAGGATGGATGGAGCAGGGCAAGGCTTCGCCTCACCTTGAAGAAGGCTTCCTCAAACACAAGCAGCGGCCCAGAGAAGCCAACCACAAGCAGCGGCTGAGCTCCCAGCAGAGAGAAGAGGACGCCGAGCACAGCGGTGGACACGATCAGCTCGGACACGCCCATCAGCCCCTCGGTCTTCTCTCCTGCCATAGCACGGGTAGGATGGCCCTAGCCTGGCTCTGTCTATCTGCCCCCTTCTTCATCTAGCTTGTCCTAAACTGGGGCCCCCAACAAAAGCAGAGCAGCCCCTTAGAGTGACACACAGGGCCCCTTCCATACCCCATTGCTCCCAAACCCTCCCCACTAGCCCCCAATGGTGATCACAGGATCCCTCATCCCTTACACCTCTCCCACACCCTCACTTTATAGCTCCCCAAAGGTGATCGCTGGGATTCCCTGATCCAGCATCTCTGTAAGGTGCTTACACCTTTGCTAGCACATCTAACCATTGGCCCCCTAATGTGATCACACCCAGACCCAGAATCCTGCAAGTGACACTGGGACCAGAAGTGACTAGAGGAGCCCCTCAACTCCCCAAGCCCCAGTCCCTTACCCAGCAGCCCCCCGAAGGTGATGGCAGGGCTGAGGGCTGCGAAGTAGATGAAGAGCACAGCGGCCACACACTGGGAGTGCAGCGCATCTCGCAGGTCACTGGGGTAGTGCGGGTACCGGCGCCTCACATCCCGCACAAGCCCCCCAAATACCGAGCCCGTCCGCAGCAAGGGGTCATCTTCAGGGGTTGCCTCAGAGCCCCCCAACTCCAAAGACAGTTCTGGGGGAACAAGGGGCTGCTGGGGCACAGACCACTCCCTCTGGCTCGGAGGCCCCGGGCTGTTGGGATCAGGGATGCAAAGGACTCCAGGAGTCAGGACGGGGCTGGGGTCACAGCCTTAGGGCCCTGGGATGGGGGAGTGTGTATTGGGGGCACTCAGCCTCCAAGGGTCTGACCTTTCCCAGGGGCCGTGTAGCCACCCCGTGTGGTCATCTCGACTTTGGTCTGTTCACGCTCTCGCCGCTTCCTAAGCAGCTCTCGCTGGAAAGCAGCCACGGAGCGCAGCAGGTCACGGCCCTCCACCTCGGACGGGGGGATCACAATGCTGCCATCCAGGAACTCGCTGATGGCACTTAGGAGGTCTTGCCGGTCATCTGCCTGGTAGGCAGCCTCATGAAACAGCTGGGGGCAATGAGAGGGCCAGGACCCTCAGGGACAGCCAAGGGAGCCTCCAGGAGGGAGACTTGAGGCGGGTGTTGGGTCACTGAGCTACAGGCAGGGTGGACATTCAGTCGTAGATACTGGGCCAGTCCAACAGTGTTGGCTGTTGGAACACTGACACCCATCCCTGCAGGCCAGCAAGCCACTGCCCCAAAGCCCCAGGTGCCCTCCATTCCCCCAGGAGATGCCAGACTTCCACATGCAGCAACTAAAGGGATAACACCTGGCAGAGCAGGGGCTTCCAGAGCCATTCCAATTGGATCAGCTACACCTTACAGGCTGATAAATATTGTGAACGTTGCCCCTGGCTAAAGGACCCTCCTATCTAATCCCAGGAGAAGCCACAGCAAAGACCAGCGCATCCAGCCCTCCTGATCAAGTCTCACATCACATCCAAAGCTCTGGGGTCTGGGCTTTTCCCCTTATGTCACCAGACCCTCCCACAGCCACAGCCCAAGGCTCTCTCTTCTCCCCTGGGCCAACAGCTCCCCCCACCACCCTCCAGGGCATGGCCTCCACCCAGGGGCCTCTAGCACCCTTGCCTCTATGGGCACCACTGTGGACAATGAGGGACAGGGGTAAGCAGGGCCTAGGAGAAGAGGCCTTGAGAGCCAGCACGCGCCCAACCTTGTCAGACATAAGGGTGGCAATGGAGCGCCCAAGCTCGTGATAGTCAGTGCTGGTGTGGCTGGGCCCCAGCATCACGAAGAGGAAGCGGACCGGGACAGGGACCTCAAGCACAGACTCCAGGAGTACAGCCTCATTCAGACGCACGAAGGCTGCTGCAGGCTGCTCCAAGAAAGGCACACAACCTAGGGGAAGAGGAAAGCACAGGGCGCTGGGCAAAGAGAAGCAGTCAAGGCAGGCCCTGGGGCAGCTATCTAGGGCTATCATGGACAGTTGAGCAGGTTGTAAACTGCGCAAAGAAACCCCAGTCTAAAAGGGCACTATTCGCTTATGTGTCTACACATTGATTACAATTCGCCAACAGATGGAAACTCAGGGTATTAAAGAAGTGTTGCTTTTTTTTCTAATTCCAACTCCAAGATAGCAGAAAACTGGACAGGAAGCAGGCAGGGGACTACGAAAGAAAGGGCTGGGCTAAGACAGGTTGTGAGGAAGAGCAGGGACCAGGTGGGAGCCTGGAGGGAGATGGAAGAGGCGGCCTCGAGGCCAGAGCTCAGACAAGCAGGCCCCCAGGAGAGGCACACACACACTGCAGACCCTGCCCCCGGCGCCCGGCCCTCCTCACCCACAAGCACAACCGTGGCCTCAGCATCTTCAGGGATCTTCTCCAGCAGCTTCAGGCTTTTCCCCCGGTGACCATCTCCCCCAGGCATGTGGAGGGGCTTCTGAGGACGCAGAACTGGAATAGGGCTGGGACCCAGACCGGAGGCCGTGGCAGGCCCTCCCAGCCCTGGCTCCAGCCCTGGCTCTGAGACCTGCTTCTCCCTCCCAGAGTAGGCAGGTACTGCACTGTGGCCCCACACTGGGAGCCACCAGCTGGGATGTGGACCCTGCCTCGATGTCCCCAACTACCACCTCAGCCTTATCTTGTTTAAACAGCTCCTGTGGGTCTGCCACATCATCACATTCAAAACTCCTGCGTCTCAGGGCAGGGACCCCTCATGCGGGTCTCCTCTAGGTCCCCGAATGCCCAGCATGATGCCAGCAATCCAACCTTCCCAACCCACTCAGTGAAGTCGTCGATGACCTCGACTGAAACTGGACACCCTCTCAGTCCCCTGGCCCAAGCCAAAGCAAGGGCACTGACCTCCTTGGCGTCAGGGTCATGTGGCCAGAGTGGGGCTGGCTCCCCCAGGTCATCAGCCATGGTAGGCACCGCCCCATCAGGGCCATGGCTGGGAGTTGGGTGATGATTCCCCAGAACCGAGTTCATGCTGGAGCTCGATGGGTTTCGGGGAAAGAAGCCACTGTCCTTGTCATCGTTGGGATGGCTGGAAGGGGCAGGGTGAGGCAGGTGAGGAGGAGAGGCTCATGGTAGACTGAGGTCATGAGGTGAGTAGTGGAGGGTCAGGACCTCCATCCCTCTGCCTCAGTGTAAAAAGAAACTTTATAATGATTGAAAGTGTCAAAAGATAGAAATGAGCTCTCTGTCACTTGTGGCATTCAAGCAGAGGCTGGGAGCCACTTGGAAGAGGATGTGCTCCTGGAAGGGCAGCTGAGCTGGACAGGCCCCTCCCAGGGACCCACCCCGGCACCTGTGCTTCAGTAGCAGGGTACGTAGGACGCTGGCCCTGTCCTCCGGCCGGATCTGGTCAGACACAATCATGGTCTCCACCACGAGGTGTGCAATGCCTGGCAGGGTGGTTTGCTCCAGGTCCAGGAGGGCAGCTCCTAGGGGGACAGTCAGGCACAGAGAGGGCACAGTCCCATCAGACAGGAAAAATCTCCTCCCACTCTGCCTTGCCCCCCAAAAGCATGCGAATGTGCTGGAAGGGCAAAGCGCCCAATGTACCCAGATGGATACACAGCTCCATATTGCCACAGGCCAGTCAGAGAGGGGCCGTGAAAATGGAGCATGGAAACGAGGGCACGGCCCCTCCCCACCAAGGAAGGGGAAGCCATTTGTTGACTGACTGCATGCACCAGATACAGCCCTGCCCCTCGGGGCTCACGGGCTGCCCAGGCAAATGGACCCCCACGGTCCCAGGTGGCAGTTGGATCTTGCCTGTGCCCAGGACTCTAGAGAGTGTTCCTGGGAACTGAGCAGCCTGGCACAGACTGAAGAGGGCTTGCAGCCTCGGGCCAGGCCTGGGGGTCCCTACCATGGGCGATGGTCCTCCTGAGCTCCAGAAGGCTACGGAAGGAGAGCGAGGCAACATGGGGCTTCCCCCAGCGCTCCGTCTCCTCCTCCACGTCCTCCTCAAACTTGATCCAGCGGGCCGTCTCCCGCCAGTGGGGCTCCTGGCTGCGGTCCAGCATCAGCTCGTTCAGCTCCACGAACACCTGGGGGGCGTGCCAAAGGTGAGGGCCCAGGGGCCAACAGGTGTGGGGAACACCGTGATGGGGCAAGGCAGGGGGGCAAAGAGAGGAGGGCTCCGGGGCCGAGGGGCATGAGGAAGCCACAGGCCCACCCAGTCAGCATCCTGACCTCATGAGGCCTCCGGTCCAGCTTTTTCTTCTTCTTCTTCCTGCGAAGGATGGGGGCCAGGCCGCTGGGACTGCCCCTCCCGCCCTGCGTCCGGGAGGGCTTTTTCACTAAGTGTCGCCGCACACCAGGGTTGTCCTCCAGTCGGTGACCTGCAGAGAAGATGGGCTTGGGGGTCCCACAGGTCCAGCTGGGGCCCTCGGGGTCACGGCCCAGCTCCTTCTGCCCAACCCATCTACTTGGTGAGCTCTACAGTCACCAACAGGCCATGCCGACGGGAACCACATAATCCCATGTGGCCATTTCATTGATAAGAAGACTGAAGCTCAGAAAGAGGGAAGGACCTCCCCATGGTCACCTGGGACCACCGGCCAAGATGCAATCCAAAGGTAGACCCAGCTCAGTCCACAGCCCCAGCCAGACCCTCCAGCCCCTGCCATGGCCACTGCCCCTCCTTCTCCATCTGGGTCCCATGACAGGCACTGAGTCAGAGTCCCCAGGCACTGAGCCCCCAACATTTTCCGTGCACCCTATCTCAACACCCACGTCCCCTCCCCGAAGGTACACAGCCCAGTAGACTCAGGCAGGGCTTCGCTCCCTTCCTCCTGTCTGCCCCACCCAGGCCAGCAGCAGTCGGGGAAAGGCCAGCAGCCCCGTTACTCACAAGTTGGTGGCCCTGCCATGGGGCCCAGCTGGCCCCTGATGGACTCCCACAGGTCACCATCCTCAAAGTCCAGCACAAACATCTCTAAGTCTTCCGGGGCCAGTGAGTCTCGAGGACTGGGGGCTGGATCCCTCCCAAAGCCCCAGCTATTGGTATCCCCAGGCCCAGGGCTCAGTGCCCCATTGGGCTCAGGGTCCTTCTCCAGTGGGCTCGTCATTCTCCCGGTGGCCGAGACCTCGGCCTCCGCTCCCTACCAGACCCCTCGGCTCTCCTACAAGGTGGGAGCCTGGACGGGGTGGCTTCTGTCCAACCAGAGCTGAAGGTGGCACAGCCTCCCGACCCCAACTCCCCAAGTCCACAAGCCTGCTCCCTGCGGCATCCAGCCCCCACCCTGGGTCTGTAAACACGCCCTCCCCCACCCCCCATCCTGCTGCTACTGCTGCCATCGGATTGTTCCTGTCCCTGTCCTCAGGCCCTGGCAACTTTCCATGACGTATTGAGCTCAAAGCCCTACCCTTCCCCCCACCCCACCCACACACTGTGGCTCGGAGGAGGGGGAGGGATCAGTGATGCCCCTGGCCTGGGCACAGAGCCCCACGGGTGATGACAGGTGGCACAGAAACCAGGGCACTGATAAGATGGAAGGAATGTGCCGAGATCACAGCCAGGCCCCCCCCAAGGGTAGTGGGATGGGAGTGAAGGGTCCTGACACAGGGAGAGGCAGGGGTCCGGAGCAATGGCTCAGACTCAGGGCCTGGTTTGGAGGGGATCAAAGAGGAGACAGAGAGTTCACCCCGAGAAGAGGGGCCTTGGGGAGGGATACAGTAATGTGAAAAAGAGAGCTGCCTTTTTCTAGGGGTGACTCAGAGGACAGAATCAGGACTGAGGCGTGAGGTGTCAGGAAAGGAAATCTCAGCTCTGGCCGTCAGAGAGGGTGGCTGGGTGAGGTAGTGAGGTCCCCATCACTGGCCACATCCCAGCAGACAGGGATTCAGAGAGGACTCAGCCCTTAGCAGGGGACAGCTCAGAGCCTCTCCAAGGTCACTCGCAGGCTGGGAGTCCGTCGCAGTGGACCATGGGGGCTGCCACAAGGTCTCACTCACTCTTCATGTCGTCCAGGTCTGCAGAACCCAGCATCTGGGCCTCCGCCTCATCTGTGGGCACCTGCTGCTCTGGACCACCTGGGTTGCCCAGGGCACTGCCTGGGCACAGTCGCTCCCGCAGGTCATAACTGGCCGATGGGCTCCAGGGCCGGCTTTTCTCCCCAGCGAGTCGGGAGGCCCGGGCCCGGGGGCTGGGGGAGCTGGGGAGGCAACACAGCAGCCTTGGACTTGACAGGGCCAGGTCGGTGGTTCCATCACCGTCCCTCAGCTCAGAGCACGGCCTGGAGTAGACCCTGAGCATGAGACCCAGGCCCCTCCTGGGCAGCAAAGGATGCTGACCCAGGCCCCCTCCCCATCCCGTGGCTCCCCCTTTCCTCCACCTTTCTCCTCACCCTCTCTACTCTGTCACTCTCTCCTGGGGAACTCCTAACCTCTTCACTCTGCTCTTCTCTGTTTTTCTCCCCCCCCCCTTGTTCTCTCCTCCTTGTAAATCATGAGGACAGAGAAGGATCCCCACCCCCCTCCCACACCCTGCTCCTCTTTTCTCAGGGTCAGAGCTGGGGACACTCCCCAGGGTCAGGAAGGAGGTGACTGCCAGGAGCTCTGGACCCTGTGGCTCTGGGCTGGGCCCTGCTGAGTAGAGGCTGCAGCCAGTACCTGCTGGAGTGCTGGGGGCTCTTGTCAGTGTGTGGGCCCACCGAGGGCAGGGGCTTGGTGACAGCAGCCCTCCCAGGGAGGCCTGGACTGTCATCCTCGTCACTTCCAATGGAGAACTGCAGACATAGAATGTGCCCTGGGGCCTTGCCCCGACCTACCATACAGCCCCCAACCCTACCCAGCCTCACACAGGCCCCCAACACGCACTCCTCTCCTCCTCTCTGTACCCCTCCCTGACCCCTGACCTGCCACCCCTCCAAAGGGAAGCCCCTACCTTTGCCTTCTGTGGGGTCCCTGAGTGGGGGGGCTCCACAGGTTCTGCCTCAGATTCTCCTTCCTCTTCCTCCTCTTCCTCCTCTTCCTCATCCACTCCAGCTCCCCCCTCCTCCTGGATGGGAGGGGTCCCCTCGGAGGGAGGAGCAGAGGTTTTCTCCTTCTTCCTCTTTCTCCTGGTGTGCCGGGCAGAGGTGGGGGGCAGCCGCCGCAGCTTGTGGGGTGGAGGCAGGCGCGCTGAGAGCGGGTGGTGGGTGTGGTGGGATGTGTGCCGGTGAACTGGGGGTGCAGGAGATCCGGTTGAGGCCCCCACAGCAGAAACAGGGGCCCTCCCCACCCGAGGGCACACACCTTCCAGCTCAAGGCCGCAAACAAGGGCACCCTAGTCCTTCCTCCAGGGCCATGACCCCCCAACACCTGTGTCCACGTGCCTGTCATTGATGAGGTCTGGTGGAGTGGGAGGAGAGGGTGGATGGACAGGGAAGGTCATGAAGGGGGCTGGGAGGGGAGACGTGATACAGCAAGGAGGGGAAAGGCGGAGTTGGACTAGCCGAGGTGGGACAAGGAGGGAGTGAGTGGGGACGAAGGGGAAGGGGAAGGTCACCGTGGAAGGGCCCAGGCCCAGCTCCCTAGATCTCCCCTGGTCTGGGGCCCACCTCCCCAGGCAGGCGGACAGGCGATGGGTGGGGGAGGCAGGATGACTGAACACGGCATGTGGCCCAGCACAGAGTCCAGCACAGTGTCCGGCACAGGATGGCACTGGGTGACCAAGCCGGAGGTGAGCGCGGTGATGGTGGCGATGAAGGTGATGGTGGCGAGGGCGGCCGCACTAGGGGTCCCCAGGCTACCCACACTCAAAGTCCCGCTCGCTGTAGCTGCGGCTGGGCTTCTCGGGGTCCCAGGCCGGGGGCTTGCTGATGAGGTCCCCAAACCTGCTCACAGCCAAGGTCTTGCCCAAGTCATCGTCCTCCTCCTCCACGTCTGGACTTAGAGGGGGCTCCTCCAAGGGCACCCGGACCTGCAGGCCCAGACGGCCTCTGCTAAGGACCCCTGACCCATGAAGGCCCCACACCCACCCCAACTCCAAGCCCTAGTTGGGGGAGCTCAGCAGGCTCTCACACCATCGGGCCCCCTCCCCTTGCTCCCAGGCCTGTGTCAGCATCCCAGAAACCACCCTCTCTGGGCTCCCAGAGCTTGTAAAGAGAGAGGGCTACGGATCTGGAAAATATCAAAAACCCCCCTCTTTCTCCGTAACCCCCAGCCCAGCTCATCCCTGGATCTGGGGGGTCCCGGGGTCGGCCAGAGGACTCCTCTGCCCACCCTAAGGTCCCTCCCCTCTCCTCCCCCATCTCTCCCCCGCCCCCGCGCGCGCCGATCACCTGGGGTAGGGGGGAGGCGCCCCCGGGCGGCGGGATCACTCCGTTGGCCATGGCCAGGTAGGCGGCTGGGGACGCTCTCGCTCACTAGGGGACCCGAGACCCAGGTGAGAAGGAGGGGCCACTGAGGGGGCCTAGCGGGGAGCCCTGGGGGAGGAGGGCGGGGTCAGGTTCCTTGCGCTGGCGCCCCCCACCCGGGAGCCGGATGCACGCTCCCGGCCCAAGCGCCCCTCCGAGGCCCAGCCACGCCCGGGACAGCCCGGGTCCCCCGCCCTGCCCGGCGTGCCCCGCCCCGCGGTACCTCGGGGCTCCGGAGCCTGCGAGGCCCAGGCGGGCCGCCGCGCCCCATGTCCCCCGCGCTCTCTCCCGAGCGCAGCCGCGACTGCCGTCCGGCCTCTCGCAGCGCAGAGCCGGGCTGGCCGGGCGGACGCAGGCGCCGGAGCCCGCAGCCCGCGGCTCCACCTCCTCGCGCTCCGCTCCGCACCTCCGCCGCCGCCGCCGCCGCCGCCGCCGCCGCCGGGCCGCACAATGGGAGCGGGCGGGCCGTGACTCACCCCGCCCCGGCCGGCGCGGCCCCCACGCGCGGGCCCCGCAGCACCCCACCTGCCCGTGCGCCCCTTCTCCAGGCGCCCCACGCATCGCTGGGGGCTGGGGCGCGGCCCGATATTCCCACAATCCCCCAGATTCGCTCCCCAACCCTGCTTTTAGCCTCCCCTCCCCTCCAGAGCCCAGGAAGCCACCCCCTCCGCAGACACAGGCCCCTCCAGTCTTGGGAACGGAGCTCACAGACCCCTGGAAGCACCCACCACCTCCCCTTTCATTTCTACCACAGCCTTGCCTCTCAAAGGCCTGGCTTCTGTCGCCTGGCACCACCCAACGTTTGACCTTGACACAGTACCTCCCCTCCTCCCGCCTCAGCTTCCCCAGCTGTAGCGAGAGGGGCCTGCAATAGGGGTGTTCCAAAGTTCTATGCAACTCTAAGACTGTGTGGCTCCGTTTCCACATTTCCTCTCCCTTCTCCCCCTATCCCTGAGGTCACATCTCATTTTCCAAGGGCAAAAGGTCTTTCGAAGGAGCCACTGGACCCCAATCGGCCCCTATCCCGAGATCAATGAAACTGGACTTCTACACAGTGCGATGCCATAACAGCCCTGTGACCTTGGTACTTCACCGCGTCTGACCCCTGGCCTCATCTAGATCTCAGCTCAACCCAAGGAAAGATTTTCTGTGTGCATAGCCTTCCAAGGGGAAGGGAGCTAGGATCTGTTGGACGCCCACATTGTCTTGTGTGTGCTCACAGTCCTGTGCTAGGTTGGCCCTCTCCAGACTGGCTGCCTCGTCTCAGGCATAATAATAAGAGGAGCTGTTATGATTCCCATTTGGTCGGCAGAGGACAGTGGAGACTCAGGGAGGCTCGTTACCTGCCATGGTCACAGCTGGAAAGCAGGCTGCCGACAGGTTTGGGCATCATTATCCATGTATTGAAGTGACTCTCCAAGCCACAAACAAAATTTTTAACTGAAAGAGATGAACTGTCCTCCTAAGTCTCACATGGTGAGTCCCAAGGTGGGAATTCCTAGGGTGGGAATCAGCTATGCCTAGGCAGAGCACAGCTGTGCCCCAAAACTCAGAATGGGAGACCCAGCTGTTGGGAGTTGAGTAGTGTCCCCCAAAATTTATACGTTGAAGTCCTAACCCCTGGTACATCAGAGTGTGCCCTTATTTGGCAATAACGTTCTTGCAGATGTTAAGATAAGGGTGGACTCATCCATTATGACTGGTGTTCCAGTGAAAAGGGGAAATTGGCCAGGTGCGGTGGCTCACACCTGTAATCCCAGCACTTTGGGAGGCCAAGGCGGGTGGATCACGTGAGATCAGGAGTTCGAGACCAGCCTGGCCAACATGGTAAAACCCTGTCTCTACTAAGAATTAGCTGGGCGTGGTGGCACACGCCTGTAATCCCAGCTACTCAGGAGGCTGAGGCAGGAGAATTGCTTGAACCCAGGAGGCAGAGGTTGCAGTGAGCAGGGATCGTGCCAGTGCACTCCAGCCTGGGTGACAGAGCAAGACTCCATCTCAAAAAAAAAAAATATATGTATATATATATATGGGGGAAATTTGGACAAAGAGACGTGCATTCAGAGAACGCTTTGTGAAGACTGGAGTTATGCTGCCACAAGCCAAGGAACTACCAAAGCTAGGAGAGAGGCCTGGAACAGATCCTTCCCTAGTCCCTTCAGAGAGAGCCTAGCCCTGCAGACACCTCGATGTCTGGCTTCTAGCCTCCAGATCTGTAAGACAGTAGATTTCCATTGTTTAAGCCACTGGGTTTATGATACTGTGTTACAGTAGCCCTAGCAAACCAGAGCTATCCCAATTCTTTATTCCTCTGAGCCAGGCAATGTGGTTCCAAGTCCCTACCTTGAATTTTGTTTTGGTAGGGCCTTCACGTCCTTAGAGACACTCAAGAGCCTTGGAACCTTTCCTGGTCGGCATTGCACAGGGGCTCTGGTCTTCAATCCACCTCGACATTGTGTTCCCAGCCCCGCTCCTCTAGTCTGTAAAGTCAGACAGCAGTTACTTTAATACTGAGACAGCCTGAGAAGGGTCTTGCCAACCAGGGACCCCTGGTGTACCAGGCCATGTACATCCTGCACACCAAGATGCCATAAGGGTGTCACAGGACTTGTCCCTCTGAGGTTCCATCCACCCCAGAGAGGATGCTGAGCACAGGCCCTCAACTTTTGGTAGCCCCAGACCCCCATTCTTTCAGTTGGAGACCCGCACCCCACCCAGAGTCTGAGGCTTCGTTCTCTACCCTTACAGACCTTCCTCTCTCCTCCACCCCTCTGAGATGATGGAGTAAAATCTCCCCTTGAAGAGCCTTTAGACACCCATGTTTATCTCTTTCTTTCCAGGCTGGGGGGAGTAAGATGATGCTGACACCCACCAACTCATCCTATTAGACATAAACGCATGCTTTCATTAGGCCCGCTCTCGTCTTTGACATCCTGCCTGCGGCGCACCTGTAATTGTCAGTCCCCTACAGTGTGTTCCCGATGGGGTCTTCATTTCTGTGACAAAAGAGCACTCCTTGCATGCACAAAGGATGGCCACTCTGGGTATGTGTCAGCTTCTAGCTTACAGCCTGTAGACACTGAAATGGTGACAGGAAAGGTGACAGCAAAGGCTGAAGCCAGCGACAGGCCAGCTTAGAGCAGTAGCCAACTGTCACACCCTTCCTCACAGTCCAGTCTCACAGGAATGTCCCCACCCTGCATGCTGGCAGCATAGGACACTTGTCTGCACATGCAGCAGCACCACAGCCTGTCCCTTAGGTCCGAAGGAGCAGGAGCCATCCCGCCACACCACCCAGATTTGGAGGCAAAGCACACCGTTCTCTGGGCTCCCCATGAATGGGCCAGAAGCCCTCGGGTGGATTCCTCTGATTCTGTTCCCTGAAATCACTCTGCGGGTCCAGCGTGCTGGGAACTAGACCAGTATGGCAGATATCTGTCATCTGTGGCCACCCAGATCTTTGAAAACCCACTTTTACATTTTGGTCATTTCTCATAAGTCTTCTCTTGCCAAGATAGAAGCCAGAAAACCATTGCAGCCAGGGCACAGATACTGACCTCGGTTCCACCAGTCAGACTCACCTGTGCAAGACCTGAATTTAGAAGTGAGCATTGTGCACAGGAGACTCAGACTTCTGCAGGCATGGAAGGCAGAGAAGTTCTCATGTTATAGCTGGTCATTAAGTCCTTGCTCTCTATTCCTCCCGAGAATACCCTCTAATCCTCATTATTTTTTAGTAAATTCCCTTCCAGCTTAAAGTGGCTGTTATTTCCAACTAGTCATCCTGACTGCTAGAATCAGGGGAATGGGCTCTAAGTCTAGGTCATGGGATGAGCAGGCACCAGACATTAGTGATGCCAACATCAAGGAGCTGGCAGAGAGGATGTGAGGGAATGGCCCTCCTGTTAACAGGCCTGGGTAGCCCCTGCCTGTCTTATGATTACTGTGTCATTCGCCATCATCTCCATCCAGTGCTCTTAAGGATAACAACAATGATAACTTCATTATTTTAAATGCAGGTAGTGCTTTCCAGCTTACAAGCCACTTTAATATTCATATTCTCATTGGTTCCTCACAACAACCCTCTGTGGTAGAGCATCTTAACCCCATTTGACAAGTGAGAAAAATGAGGCTTGGTAAGTTTAATTGGCTTGCCCAAGGTCTAAGGCTCATAGGCAACATGGCCAGAAGCAGATGCAAGGGCTTCTGGCTTTATGTCCTATATTTATCCTCATATATCACATACCACAGTACCTCCCCGCACCATGTCTTTTTTTTTTTTTTTTTTTTTTTTGAGACAGAGTCTCGCTCTGTCACCCAGGCTGGAGTGCAATGGCACAATCTTGGCTCACTGCAACCTCTGCCTCCCGGGCTCAAGCGATTCTCCTGCTTCAGCCTCCCAAGTATCTGGGACTATAGACGGGCACCACACCCAGATAATTTTTGCAATTTTAGTAGAGATGGGGTTTCACCATGTTGGCCAGGCTGGTCTCGAGCTCCTGACCTCAAGTGATCCACCCATTTCGACCTCTCAGAGTGCTGTGATTACAGGCATGAGCCACCATGCCCAGCCTCCCCCACCATGTCTTGATGCCCTCCCACAACTGTTAGACCTTCCATGCCATGGGCACAAACTGAAATAGACCACTAACTTCCCAGATCGACTTTTCAAGGAGACTGCATCTTTGTGACTAGCGTCTGTATAGGGGAATAGTTAAATGTGAGACCTCTAGAGCCAAGCCGCCTGAGTTCATAGCACAGTTCTGCCACTTGACAGTTGTGTGACTTTGATCAAGTTATTTGCCCTCTCTGGGTCTCAGATTGCCTATCTGTAAAATGGCAATAATAACAGGGTTGTTGAGAGGATGAAATGAGTTCATTTGTATAAAAGGGTGACTGGCCTATAGTAAGTGCTCAACACTGTTAGCTAGTTTCAATACTACTACAAATCTAAGAGACAAAAATACCAAAAAGTCCTCAAATAACTTGCACTGTGAAAAAATGGTGAAATGTACACACGTAAAATAAGCAAAAGCTTGTCCTTACCAGAGCAATAATTCTAAGAGCCATATTAAATATGACAATTGCAAACTCTAAGAAGGTGGGGACATCCAGAATGACTTTTATCCCCACCAGGGTAGATTGTGACACTCTTTGGTCATGGACCAATCTTTGCCTTGGAAAACCTAACTTGGCAGGCTGGAGAGTTTCTGGAATAGAGCAGGGTATGGGTTGAGCTAGCCCCAGTTTCACTTAGACTCTTGCCAAAAGTATCTCCCCACTCCCCACAGCAGAGCACCCAGTGCCATTTGCTGCTGACTGGCCTGGTGGTGAGTAAGATCTTATTTTTACACAAGAGATAACATGGCATTGAGAAAGAGCTCAGACTCTGGAGTTAGAGATGCTATATGTAAAATGCCAGTTGAATGCTTGGCACAAAATAGGTGCTCAATAAATGACATTCTTATTATTTACTATCGTTGTTACTCTGCGGTGGTTTATCCCATCATAATTCATGGGTTGCTTGGTAAATTTGGACTCAACTTTGAAATAAATCCAATCTCAGGACAGCACCAATGTCCCTGAAGTTTCTCCCACCCCTGCAGAATCCACCTTCCAGCTCCCGTCTTTACTGATGTATTTGGCTAACATAGAATTTTGAGATACAGATCTATGTCCTTGCATGCTCCTCTTCTGCCCCTACCCAAGCAGGTAACCTGCTTCGAGTTTTGTTATTTGGGGCGAATGGGTAGGACAGAAAGCAGAAATCGCCTACGAGCCCTTCTGCCTTTTGTTCTTCCAGAGACAATGCTTTAGGGAACCAAGGGAGGTTTGTGAAGGAAGAAAGAGGAAGAGGGTTAGCAAGAGAGACAGTGTCTTGGCTGGAAGATGGGGAAGGAGTGGAGGAGCAGACCCTTTGACCTTCCCCATCAGCAAAGCAGGAGGGTCCCCAAGATGCAGAGAGGGGAGAAAGTGAAGTCAGTGAGTCCTGCTAACCCTGTGGGATGGGGGCTTGAAATAAAATCAGGCTGTTTTGCCAGTGTTATGAAGTAACATTTCACGCACCCAGTGTGTAAACTGAAGCTCACACACTCACTCAGAACTCCATGCCAGGTTGCGTATATATTGGTGAAAAAATCCTGGTCCCTGTTCTTGGGTACCTTAAAGACAACAAACAAGCAAACACAACTTATAATTAAAAAACATGGCAAAGGCCATGAAGGGAAAGGACAGTTACAGTGAACATTCAGGAAGTAGGATTAGGGTCATCCTCTGTAAGAAGGTGACAAGGAGGAAAAACCTGAAGGGAACGAAAGAACTGGCCATGCCATGAAGGGTGAGTTGGAGAAGTGGGGAGAGAAGAACATTCTAGGCAGAAGGAAGAGCCTGGAAAGGCCCTATGGCAGGAAAGAACAGTCTGCCTGGATATTTAGATGATCTGGTTTGTGTTTTTCTGGAAGAATGTGGTTTCCCTGGAAGTTGGTGCCACAAGGAGATGCATAGAAAAGAACTGAAGGTCAGGCATGGTGGCTCACGCCTATAATCCCACCACTTTGGGAGGCCAAGGCAGGTGGATCACCTGAGGTCAGGAGTTCAAGACCAGCCTGACCAACATGGCAAAACCCCATCTCTACTAAAAATACAAAAATTAGCTGGGCCTGGTGGCACATGCCTGTAATACCAGCTACTCGGGAGGCTGAGGCAGGAGAATCGCTTGAACCCTAGAAGCGGAGGTTGCAGTGAGCCAAGGTTGTGCCACTGCACTCCAGCCTGGGCAACAGAATGAGACTCCAGTCAAAAAAAAGGAAAGGGACTGAAGGGGGAAGTAGGGTGGGCACTCTGGAAGGCCTGAGAGGCAACACAGTTGAGAGGAAAGAGCACAGATTCCAGACAGATGGCCCAAGTTTGACATCTAGTATCCCCTTGGTGAGATTCCCTGTATTTAACCTGAGCCTCAGCTTCCTCACCTGTGAAATAGAGATCACACTTTTCATTCAGGGTGGTCGTACTGAGTGAAATAACGTGAACAAAATTATTAGAGCAGGTGATCAGAAACAGTCACTATCGCAGTATTCTCCTACTGTAACCTTACCCAGCCTTCGCGACCACCACCAGGGCACCTTTCCCCGTTTCCTCCCTGGACCATAAGCTCCTTGGAGGCAGGAGCACATCTGATTCATCCTTGGATCCCTGCCCCCATCTTCTCACATACATCCTGGCACGTTCTAAGAGCTCAATAAATGTCTGTGGAATTGAAAGCAAGTGCACAAGTAATTATAGTAACTAATAAACTGAAGAATGTTTTTGTGGAGAATGGAAAAGTCACTGAGTCCAAAACAATCAAATGACAAAGATGGGCCAAAAGAACAACAACTATGCTATGGTTCACTCCTTTCCCCAGAAGCGTCTGAAGACATATCCCCTTAGAAACACATGGGCAATAAAATGCAGGCTTTTTTTTTTTTTTTTTTTTGAGATGGAGTCTTGCTCTGTTGCCCAGGCTGGAGTGCAATGGCATGATCTCAGCTCACTGCAACCCACTTCCCGGGTTCAAGCAATTCTCCTGCCTCAGCCTCTTGAGTAGCTGGGATTTCAGGTACCTGCCACCAGGCCCAGCTAATTTTTGTATTTTTAGAGATGGGGTTTCACCATCTTGGTCAGGCTGGTCTCAAACTCCTGACCTCAGGTGATTCACCCGCCTCAGCCTCCCAAAGTGCTGGGATTACAGGCGTGAGCCACCATGCCTGGCCCTTCCCTCTTTTGATTACAAATAGTATTTCCAGGCAACAAAGCAGCTTGTGATAAGTAATAGGCAGGTTTTTGTTTGTTTCTTTGTTTTTTGAGACGGAGTCTCGCTCTGTTGTCCATGCTGGAGTGCAATGGCACGATCTCAGCTCACTGCAACCTCTGTCTCCCGGGTTCAAGCAATTCTCCCTGCCTCAGCCTCCCAAGTAGCTGGGATTACAGGCACCCATCACCATGCCCAGCTAATTTTTTGTATTTTTGGTAGAGACAGGGTTTCACCATGTTGGCCAGGCTGGTCTTGAGCTCCTGACCTCAGGCAATCCACCTGCCTCAGCCTCCCAAAGTGCTGGGATTACAGGCGTGAGCCACCGCACCCGGCCTAGGCAGGTTTTTAACCAGCACTTATTTCATGTTTTATGGACCACATAGTACTTCCATATACATGATTACACACAACAATTTTGTGAACTAGGTAAGTTACTGATCAGTCTCATCCCCATGCAGTAGATGAGGGAACAAGGGTGAGCACTTTTGTGATTAAATATGGAGCCACAAAACTAAGGCATAACCCTGGATGTTTTAGAGCTAAATCCACCATCTCTTTTCCTATACCACCACACCACACCACCCCTTGAGTAGATGAATAGATAGATGTGAAATAATGCATGTGCTCAGTGATGGGCAAAACATAACACACAGAACCATAGCTGAATTTTCAACCACAGCCAAACAATCTGGGTAGGGTCTCTTCAGAAGCTACCGCAGCATCTTGACAAGGGTGGAGGATGTCGCCTCCACGTGGCAAAGACAGACCCTTTCCTACAGAGAAAAAGAGACAGGTCTGTCGAGCTGGCCTGCTCCCTGCTTCTGAAGTCTTAGTCATTGATTTTTCTATCACTTAGTTAAGTCACTAACCCCCCTAGGGCCTTATATAAATTTTTAAATATAATTTTTGAATTTATAATACAGAGGGTTTTTAATTTTTCTAAGTACAAAAAAAAAAAAACCCTCAATACCACCTCTGTGCCCCTTCCTCCTCATCCTCATCTTCATTCCCCACCACTGATTTCCTGCTTCTCCCTTGGATTTAGTTTCAGGTGAGAGGATCCCTTCTCTCCACTGCTTTCCAGGAGCCAGAGGTCTGCGTCCTTCATGCCAGCAAGCCCAAGGCCAAACAGAGGCCAGGCAATCAATAAGCACTTGCTGGAGGGAAAAGGCCAGACTGAATGGAGGAATCCATCTCTGGGAGTTGTCCAGGGTCAAGGGCCTCCTACTGACACCTGTGCTGAGCACCAGTGGGAAAGCAGTCACCTTTGCTCAGAGGGCGGAAGGGTCAGAGGGGCAGGTGCACCTGGTTCATCTGCTCCTAGTGAGGTGCAGAACTAAAGGGACAGACACCTCCAGGAGTGGTGATGACCTCACACTTGACCTCTGTCTTCTGCGTCACCAAAAAAAGAGCACTTTTGCATAAACACTGCAGAAGACTCCACTGCACTGTTCTAGAAAACAAGGTGTTCACAGAGATGGTAAGCACAAAGAAATGGAAGGAACTCCTCTTCCAACTCCCTGCCTCGCACTTCTCTACCAATCACCTTGAATGACTGGAGATTATTCTGCCCCATCTGCACCATGGCCTGATTTGACCCGGCTTCTGGGGAAGTGCCTGCAAACAGGCCTGGTGTGAAGGGCAGCCTCTGGCCAGGGAAAGGCCTTCCTCAGGACCAGTACCAGCTCCTGTTTGCAGATGGTCCAAAATCACTGACTGAGAAGGGGCTGTGTACCTTGCCAAGAAAGTGGACTAATATTTTTGGGAAGTTTTAATTTGCTTCAATTAAAAATTGAGGGCAGTTCTGAGCAAAACAGAAGTAGGTGAATTTATTTTCTGGGCCTCTGCACAGATCTTTCTGGGCCCTCAGCCTCTGCAGCTGTTTCCAAGAGGCCTCTACCCCAGCCAGCATTTCCCAACTAGCCGGTTCCATGACTCCTACCATTCCCCCCCTACTCTCCCGCCAAAGCAGGCCAGACCTGCCAGGGAGAAACTAATCTTAGAAATCATCTTTTTTCTTTCTTTGAGACGGAGTCTTGCTCTGTCGCCCAGGCTGGAGTGCAGTGGCACCATCTTGGCTCACTGCAAGCTCCGCCTCCCGGGTTCACATCATTCTCCTGCCTTAGCCTCCAGAGTAGCTGGGACTACAGGCGCCCACCTCCACCACTAATTTTTTGTATTTTTAGTAAAGACAGGGTTTCACTATGTTAGCCAGGAAGGTCTCCATCTCCTGACCTCGTGATCCGCCCGCCTCAGCCTCCCAAAGTGTTGGGATTACAGGCGTGAGCCAGTGCACCCGGCCAATCTTTTTTCTAAATGGAAGTGAATGGCTTAATTACCCTTTTCTGGGGAAAATTGTGTACATGCACTGAGATTTTAAGCAGATACACAAAAATTGGGTAAGAATGCTTGAATCTAGAGTTAGGGGGTCAGGCATATGAGAGCAACTCACTCTACATTCTTAAGTACAGTATACATTTTTTTCCTGTATACATTCTTTTAAATACATTTTAAATAATTTTAAATAAATGTAAAAGTACAGGATTTTCAATGACCCTTTTTCATTTTTAAAAAGTTCGCCCCATGGATTTAGAGATGTAGTGGGCTGGTTAGGCCAGGCAACCCTTCCCACATCCTTTCCAGGTAGAAGGCCCCAGTGACACAGCCCCAGTACTGCTGTTCCCACCAAGCAGTCGGGTCACAAAGTGGTCAAGGCCATAGACCTGACACAAAAAGTGAGCTGGATTAATCATTCTGCCTCACTTCAGAATCGGAACCAAGAACCAGAGCCTCTCTGCACAACTGTGTGGCTGTAATGATCTCCATTGTGTTCATTCTTGGGTACAAGAAACAGATCTCAGCCCAGCTCAAGTTGGAGTCGGGGTTTGTTTAGTTGGGACTCTTGGTGGCTCATACTTGCTTCGAATTAGCTTAAGCCATAGAAACAGGGAGGGGAGGGCTTCTTTTTTAGATCATGTTACCTAAAGTCACAGGGGTTTCTGTCTTCGGGCACAACTAGACCCAGGGGCTTCAAAGATATCCCCAGAGTCTGGCCCTGCTCTCTCCATCTGGGCCATCTTCCTCTCTCTCATGGTTCCACTTTAGGAAAGCGCCTCCCCACAGCCAGCAGCTCCAGGCTTATCCTCACAGCAACCCTGAGAGGAAACTTGCCTCCTTCTTGGTTGCTCTAGTCAAATGCCTGCGCTGGGGCTTCATAAGCCAAACGAATTCACATGAGGATTCCTGAACCAATCACTGGGGCCAGACTTGGAGACAAGAGGTGAGGGAGTGGGGCTGACCATCCAGGCCTCCAGGCTGAGTGAGGCGGTGCTGAGAAGGCAATGGCAGGAAGCACCAGAGGTCACCACTCAACTCCACACACCCTCTCCCCAGACACCCTCTGCGATGGCCTGAAGTCCTCACTACTTTCCATGTAAAGTTCAAGAGAGCAGGACCGTATCTGGCCCAGCTACTTGTTTGGCAGCAATTCCATGCCGGGCCACATGACAAGTCACTGCCAGCTTGGGGCTGTGTGCCTGTGGGTCAGGAGCTCTACTTGATCTCCCATGCTGGGACCACAGTTGGGTTGGAGATGGGGTCTCATGGCACAAACAAGGCTGCTTGGAGCTGCCCATTCAGGAAAGGTGATGGGTGGGATAGCTTCTGTCAGAAGAGGTTAGGGGAACTGCAGGCCTTATGAGTGACTCTAAGTACCACACATGACCTATGAGTTGGAAACAACTTTATTGATACCTGAGAAAAAGTGCAGGAAAAATATTCCTCCTGACCAGGTGGCCTGTCCCCTGAGGCCAGATCATTCTCTCGCCTCTCCCTTAAGCCCTGGGTCATTTGGGACCTCACTGGCCAGCACCCAGAGGCTGAAGACATCCACAGCCAGAGCCTGGAAGCCAGACCCAGAGACCAGGAGAGGGAATGTCTACAGCGTGGCTCCTGAGGTCAGGGCCAAGGTCAGCGTGGGACCCTCATCGGTCAAGGGCCAGCGCCTCTTGGATCACTGTCCGGAGTCCGATGGAAAACAGCTCCTCCCATGGTTCCCGGATCCAGGCAAGCAGGGCTGTCAGCTGCTCCTGACACACCACACGGAGTGCCCAAAAGCTCTCCAGCCGGGACACCTGGCAGACCGAGCAGTTAGCAAGGCGAGGCTCATGGGGACCACACCAGGGTGGGTACAAGGGAGGTCTCTGCGAAGGCCTCACTGTCTCCACCTTGGCTCAGTGCCTCTCCCCTTCCCCAGGCCCATGTCACTCCCCATAAAAGATCCTGACTCTGAGCTTTGTAAACAGAATCCAGCCGACGTTTACTGAAAGCCTCCAGAGGACCTGTCTTTTTCATCTTCCCTGTTGTACAGAAGATGCGGGCTCAATTTCAGGGAACTGTGGATTCAATTCCCGGCTCCACCACTTTGGACTGGGCAAACTGGTTAACATCCCCAAGCCTCAGCTTCCTCACCTGTAAATAGGACCAGTAACCGTATCTCCTCAGGTGGTGGTCACAAAGGCCAAACGGCTGGCATACAACCGGCCCAATCCTGCCAACTCAAAGCTGCCGGAAACCTCACTGAAAGCCTCGTGGCCCAGCTAAATGGCTGGGCTCCCAGTCCAGGTGTCTCCCCTGCCTACAGCTGCCTCCCTGACTTGATATTCATCCAAGCCTAGAGTCCCCCAGTTCCTCCAACCCTAGTTCTCTCATCTGTAAGTGCCATCCTGCCACCAATGCCCAGGGTTCCTAGACCCATTTCCCACCCTGCCCTCATGGCCCCAACCTGTGCTCACCATCTCCCCTCCCTCCCTCTCACTGGAGATACACATACACACCTCATCGTAGAAGAGCAGCCGCAAGTCCTCAGGGGCTGAGCGGTAGAGCAGCACGGAGCTCAGGCTGCTGAGTGGCTGCTGCTCCCTGACACGCACAGCAGGGCCCGGCCCCGAGGGAGGCACCTTCTCAGAGGCTTCGCCAGATGCTGCTGGAGGAGAGGGCTCTGCCGGGGACCCTGCAGCATCCTCATCTAACAGGAACAGGGTGGACGGAGTCAGCAACAGGGATACGAGGCAGGTGGAAGGGCCTGCAGGGAAAGAGGCATCCAGTGTGGAAGGTCATGGAGGGGCCCAGATCCCTGGGGCCAGCGTCCCAGTGCTGCTGGGGAGAAGAGGTGTGAACCACACTCTGAGGTGGGTCACAAAGCAGCCTGTGCCCCTGGGGCCAAGACCCTCCCTTTCCCAAGCTCCATGAATCTCTACTCTGGAATACCTCTGAGGCCTACCGCCCCCCACTGCCCCACACCCACCCTACTCAGAAACAAGGCTCCACCCTCTCCTTCTGTGACTGATGAGGCAGGGCCGACTCAGCCACGCTGCTCCACTTCATAGAAAGCCTGGGCCCGAGAGCAAAGGCTCTGGGTAACTGAGGATCCTGGGTGCCTCCTAACCCCACCCAGAGGGTCAGGGCACACTGAGGCTGTTACTCAGCTATGCCCTCAAGTGAGAGGTTCTCCAGGTTCCAGGAACTGACAGTTGCTGCAAGGGCACTGTACAGGTGCTGCGCGTGGGCCAGTGCCTGTGACAAGGTAGGGTACAGAGACCAGGGAAGCATCAGCTGCACAGAGGCTTCACCTTCAACCAGGAACGCCCGAAGGTAGAAGAACTGGCGAGCCTCCAAGGATGAGTCTTTTTCCAGCAATGGCCTAGAGGGAATATGGCAGGCACAGGAAGATCAGCTAGCGGGTGGGAAGGACTTGAAGAGAGGGGAGTGGGAAGAAAGCCCTGCAGGGGGTTGGGAGGAGACACTAGGGGCCCATAAGGGGCATGGCATGAGGACAGGTGGCTGCCCAGGACCTACTCAGCACAGGGCCATGTCTGGGGCTCTGTGGAAAGAGGATTGGGCAGCAACCCCAGCCTCTGCCTCCTATCGACTCACCAGAGCCGGTGCTGGGGGGTGACCTCCTCCTCTGTGGCACTGACACAGTTCCTCCAGGCAGGGGGCAGAGACTGCAAGACATCTAGACAGAGGCAGGCCAGGGAACTTTAGAAGGCTCTGCTCTCCTCCAGCCTAAACTCACCACCTCTCAATCCCTTCCTATTCTCCACATTTCTGGATTTCAGAAACTTCTACAAGGGACAAGTCCTGTTACCTCTCTGTCTCCGCTACTGGGTACCAGGTGGGGAGCCTGGCCCCAAGGCCCTGCCCACCCTCCTGCCCACCCTCCTGCCTTCCCCTCCCCTCTCTCACCAAGGAGCTCCTCTAGGAAGGCCCGGCAATGCCTGGCATCTCGGGGCAGCAGCACACAGCGGCCCGCCCCAGCTGCCCACTCTAGCCGCAGGCTCTGGCCTGCCAGGCCCAGCTCTATGCCACTCAGATCCTGCAGGGGAACAGCCAGGGTCAGCTGCAGCCAGCTAGCTGGAGGCTCACTGTGGAGAGAGGGGACAGAGCAATGGAGAAGCATGAGAGTGGAGTGAGAGTCCCAGAGAGGCCCTGCCCCAGCTGCACCTGCCTCACTCACTGCATCACCCCCGTGCGCTCACCACACCCCATCTTCCCCCTCATTCCATCTCCTCCCTCACTCACCCCATCTCCCCCTCACTCACCCCATCTCCCCCCTCACTCACCCCATCTCCGCCCCCCACTCACCCCATCTCCGCCCCCCACTCACCCCATCTCCCCCTTCACTCACCCCACGTCCCCCCCACTCACCCCACCTCCCCCCCACTCACCCCACCTCCCCCCTCACTCACCCCACCTCCCCCTCACTCACCCAATCTCCCCCTTCTCTCACCCCATCTCCCCCCTCACTCACCCCATCTCCCCCCTTAACACCCCATCTCCCCCCTCACTCACCCCATCTCCCCCCTCACCCCATCTTCCCCCTCACTCCCCCATCTCCCCCCAACTCACCCCATCTCCCCCCTTACTCACTGCATCTCCCCTCTCACTCACCGCATCTCCCCAGTCACCTTCAACAGGTACAGCCTGCGGTCAGACACAACCACAAGGCACATGAACTCCCCAGTGTGGCCTGCCAATGCCACTGGCACCTGGGGGAAGAGGAAGTTGGTGAGAAACCTGATGAGAGGCCTGGGGAGGTGGGGCCAGACTGAAAGCCGAGTTCCTGGTGACAGCACCCTCGGCCTGACCCTCCCACTGCCCACCCACCAGTCTATGGAGCTTCCCTCACACTCGACAGCCTCTTCATCCACCACCGCTCTCTGCCTTGCAGCCCCTGCCCGCTCAGAGCCTCAGCAGCTGGCTTCCCTGCCTGTCGCCTCACCCCCTCCACGCTCCGCCAGACTAACTATTCTAAGGCACAAAACTGACCATCACTGCCCCATTTCAAATCCTTCAGTGGCTCCCAGTGGCCCTCAGAAACAAGTCCAAACTCCTTGGCAGACACAGGAGGCAGCTCCTGACCTGGCCCCTGCCGGCCCCCCAGAGTCCTCTCAGGACCCCTGCCCCTCGCCCTGCATGTCCAGGTGCCCTCATCCTGGGCAGTTCTCCCCACCAGCGACACTCTCGGGCCTCCATGCATTTGCGGCTTCCTTTACCTAAGACATTCTTTTCCTCCCTACTCCTTAACTTACCCTTCAAGACTGAGCTTAGACATCACCTCCCAGGAAGGTTCCTTGACCCACTCAAGCTGGACTAGACACCCCTTCAAGGGCCTTAGCCCGATTACAGCATTTGCATATTGCATAATCATTGTCAGCTTCTCACACCAGACTGTAAGATCAAGGGCAAGATTGATCTGTAGATCCTCAATGTCTAGCACAACAGGTGCTCAACAAAGGCCTAACGACATCATGTGTTTATAATAATGCTAGGAGGCCCCATTGATGAGTGCCAGGTGCTGGGCTGGGCAGCTTCAACATGAGCCCTGACGCACGCCACTGTGTAAGGGAGGCATCGTTATCTCCATTGCAGACAGGCAACAACTGGGACTCAAATACCAGGGAATGTGTCCACGGCCACACAGCAAGAAGCTGCTGGGGTTGAAACCAGAAGCCAGATCAGGTCTCTAGAGTGCTTGATCTGACTCAGTTGGCTGTGATGGAAACGAGTGGGCACCCTGGACAGCTGGGGGCATGGGCAGTGTCAGGGAGCACAGACCTTGAGGCAGCACTGGAACTCCTCCTGGGCATCGCTGAACACCTCAACATCCAGGAAGAGCCGGAGTCGGTGGTCCACAGAGCGGAGGCCACAGCGCTCAGGGGCTGAGGGCAATGAGGGGGCATCAGCCTGCCCATGGCAGCCCCTGGGCTCCATCTCCACCTCCCCATCAGTGCCCCTTCCCTTCCCCAAACTCATCTATGTCTTGTTTTGCCTATACTCACGGGGACTGAGGCTCCAACTACCATGGTCACGGGTGCTCGGTGCCTGAGGTGGGCTGTTCTTGGCCCTGTCAAGGTGGTCACCATGGCCAGGAGGGTGGCAGACAGGGCTGGCAGACGGAGAAGGAGCCAGAGACTGCTCTCCCTGTTTCCGCTCCCTGTTGGGGGTTCCCCGAGACACAGCGAGGAGAACCACGTGGTCACTACCACAGTTAGGACACACAGCAGGAGATTCTGGAGGGAGGATGGACACGGTCCCCATGAGCCCCCCCCACAGTGCCACAACTCCCACCATGCTCACGATGCTCCTTCCCCATGCTCAGGTCTCCCCTGAGCCCAAGCCTCCAGCTTCATACACAACCACCGCGCCCCAGGCCACCAGCTCCCTCTCCCGGCACAGCTGCCAACTGATCACTCCCCACCCCAGGGAGGGATGAGCTAACCCTGGCCCACAAACTCCTCAAAGTGCACTCTACCTTCTAACTCTAGGCCCTCTCAGACTGGGCCAAACACAACCAGGACCTGCTCTTATGCCCTCTTACAGACTTGGGCTGATCAAGTACTTCAGGGCTCTCCTAGCAACGTCTGAAAGACCAAAATCAACAGGTCTGGAAAGGCAGAGAACTCTGTTGCCAAATTTCGGTCCAATTCCAGGCTCCATCAATTAATGGCTCTGTAATCATGGGCAAGTCATCTAAGCTCTGTGAGCCTGGTTCCTCGTCTATAAAACAGGGATGACAATAGCATCTATCTTATACTCATCCTTAGTGTCAGGAAGCTGGGAAGGAATCAGGACATGGATCAGCAATGAGAGAGGCAGCACTCTGAGCAGCTACACCGTGATGGGCATGCGCTACCTCCTATGCCACTATGATCGCATTTCATCACCAGAGAAACTCTCCCTATCCCATTTTGCAAAGAAGAAAGAAAATATTAAATCATTTACACATGCTGCCCAGGACCATACAGCTGGGGACAACGGCAGCAGCTACCATTTACAGGAGACCTTTGTGTTGTGCCAGGCCCTCTGCTTGGTGCCTTACTGTCACATTTAAATAGCGTAACAGCACCATGGGGTGAGTTCATTCCCTTCTTTGTTCAGAGGAGGTAACTGAGGTGCAAGTGAAAGGAGAATGGTTGGCCGGGCGTGGTGGCTCACGCCTGTAATCCCAGCACTTTGGGAGGCCAAGGTGGGCAGATCCGAGGTCAGGAGACAGACCATCCTGGCTAACACGGTGAAACCCCATCTCTACTAAAAATACAAAAAATTAGCTGGGTGTGGTGGTGGGCGCCTGTAGTCCCAGCTACTTGCGAGGCTGAGGCAGGAGAATGGCGTGAACCCGGAAGGCAGAGCTTGCAGTGAGCCAAGGTTGTGCCACTGCACTCCAGCCTGGGCAACAGAGCGAGACTCCGTCTCAAAAAAAAAAGAAAAAAAAAAATTAAAGGAGAACAGAGCCCACAGTAATGTTCATTAATAACGCCACCATGGAAGAGGCTCCAGAGACCACAGCACCTCATGGTGTACAGCCAGGGTCCGGGAGGGGCTGGGGGCTGTTTCTGTTTGCGCTGTGTCACTAAGGCTGCATGCCCAGGCCAGTTCACAGTGGGGAATGGAGCAGGGCTCCATTTTCTGAATAAAATCTAAACCCCTGCTCCAGCTGCCGCCAAGAAGAGAAAACCGTCTAATAAAATTCTGGCATTTCCACAGAGCTGTTATCAAGAATATTTATTTCTTCTTCAATGTCTTCTTCAAAGATAGTGCTGACTGGTCTACAATGGAAACAATTCTTGTTTTAAGGACTAGCGCATGAAGAAATGCCACAGGACATTATGTACCTTCCAAGGTCAGCCGGGAAGGATAAACCAAGCCAACTCCCCAAGCATCTCACTCAACAGCTACACTTGCTGGCAGAGGCAGCACCACAATCCAATACTGCAGTGAGGGCTCATTAGGTTTTATGTAGTGTCTGAAATATCAGCCAAAAAATCCCCAACACAACAAGCCTTCAAGTTATGAAAAAATAATGAGTATGTTTAAGCACAGTTACAGAGATTGCATTTCCTGACTTTTAGAGTTAAAAAAAAAAAAAAAACAGGATATAGTTTCTTCTTTTTTTCTGTTTTCCTTTTTGTAAATGCAGCAGGCAGACGGTTTTCTTTTTCCTCCAGGCAGAACAACTGCTCTCCACTCTAGCCCCTTCTCCCTAGGGCTCCCCCTTCACACTCCCCTACACAGAGCCACTTTCCCTGGAACAGGGGAGGCGTGTGGGCAGAGAGGTCAAGGGCAGGACTTGTACCTGTCTTTTGGAACAGAGGCCTCCAGCCTTCCTCACTGTCTAATCCCATCCTGGGCTCCTCTGGCTTGAACTCATGGCCACAGCGTAGACACTGGAATCTACCCAGCAGGAGGTCCCTGGCCTCCCCAAGCTGTTCCCGAGCCACATTGGTGACTGGGGTCAACACGGCAAGCAGCTCCTGACAGAGGGTGGATCAGAGGCAGCTGTGAGCAGGCGGACCCCAGACGGACACCTCCCACAGGCCCCCGGCCCTCAGGCCTGCTGCCACTTCCCTCTGGCTCTCTTAATCCCCACAGCCTCCTGGGCCCCCACTCTGGGCGCCATCACCTGGACAGCTGCGTGGGCATCAGGCTCCAGCACCAAATAGCGACGCAACTGCCGGTCAGGGCAGATGTAGGAGAAGCGCAGACTGAGGATGGGGGCTCCAGGGAGCAGATCTGAGCCCTGCGCAGCAAGAGGGGGACCGGGTGAAAAACAGCAGGGGCGGTGATCAGAGGGATGAGGGGATGCTGAGAGCATGGAGGATGGCAGGACCTCTGAAGCCTGTCAAAGGCCTGTACTGACGTCCAAGCTCCAGCACAGAATCCCTGCTCCTCAGCCCAGCTTCCCGAGTGCTTGCAACCTCTGAGGCTCCCCTCCTCGGCTCCTAGTGCCAAGGAGAGACTGAAAGAAATGCCCAGCCCAGTGCAGGGCACACAACAGCCATGTTCCCATAACTGGCTCCTCCAGAGACCCTGCCACGCCCCACTCACCGTGGGCCTGGGCGACCTCTGGGCCTGGGCCTCCGGCTCTATCTCAGCTGCCTCCAGACTCTGGAGCTCCAGTCGCTCCAAGGTGCGAGCTGCTTGGAGTTCCACCTCAAACAGGTGGGCAGAAGTGACCCTGAGAAAGCATTCCCTGCCCCGTACGCCCTCAGGCCCCTCCAGGGGACACACCAACAAGGGGCGACAGAGTTCCGCTGTGGAGAGACCAAGAGAAAAGGCCTGCAGGGAGGGAAAGTACCCACACTCTGCCCTCCCCCGAACTGGCCCTCCACCCGCCAGGCCCCACCACTCACAAACATCCCAAGGGCCCCTGGCCTCAGCTCGCCCCAGCCCACAAAGGGCTCACCTTCCACTTCCTTCTGGTCCTGCTCCTCTTCTTCCTCCTCTCCTGCCTCCTCTTCTCCCTGTTCCACCATCTCCCCCTCCTCCTTCTCCTCCTTCCCCTCCTTCTCCTCTTCCTCCTCCTGTGGCTCCGCCCTGACCTCCTCTGACATTTTCTGTGGTGACTCCTGGGGGCCTCTGGCTTCCTCCTGCGGGGGTGAAGGTCTGGGTGCAGTGTCGGGGCCCTGGGAGCTGGCTGGAGGTGCACTGGGTGCAGAAGTAGTGGGGGTGGCCGGCAGAGGGTTTCCGGAGGGCTCCAGGTGACTCCTGTACTGCAGCCAGTTGCGGCCGAACCGTTCCCGGAAGCTGCTCATGAGCTCCAGCTCCGGGTGCTGCTGCACGAACCATCCTAGGCAGGAGGGGAACCCAGAACTGAGCAAGCCTGCCCCACACAGATGGCCCCAAATCCTTCAACGGTGCTCCTCAGCGATGAGGGGGCGATGGGCTGTGTATGGGGACACGGGCAAGGGAGGCTACAGGCGTCCCCTCCGCGGCATGTACTAAAGCGTGTCCTATGGAACCCTGTGGTCACATGCAATCCAAGCTGCGCATCCTATGCTACTTCCAGAGACTCAGCATACATGATAGCATCCTGAAGGGCCCGAGACGGCCGGCAGCTGACACACCTATTTCTCTTCAACCTCACATTTCTCAAACTTCTCTGGCCACAATCCTATTATTTTATATATATACATATACACTTTCTTTTGTTTTGGGGTTTTTTACTTTTTTTTTTAAGAGATAAGGTCTTACTCTGTCACCAGGTTAGAGTGCAGTGGCATGATCATAGCTCACTGCAACCTTGAACTATCAGGCTCTGGCGATCCTCCTGCCTCAGCCTCCCAAGTAGCTAGGACTACAGGCGCACACCACCACGTCAGGCTAATTTAAAAATTTTTTTGTAGAAATGGACATCTCTCTATGTTGCCCAGGCTGGTCTCAAACTCCTGGGCTCAGGCAATCCTCCCACCTCAGCCTCCCAAAGTGCTGGGATTACAGATGTAAGCCACTGCACCTGGCCTACATGATCTCTTGACACCCCACAAAATTAATGTTCCTCGAAAAGTTTTCAAAATGCTCCCAGAAGCAGTCTTCTCCTTTCCCTAAACTAAAAGAAAAGAAAAAAGACTAAGAAGCCCTCTATAATACTCTACCCCAACAAAAAATAACATTTCTTCCAGCAGATCTTCACTGTAACTTAAAAATTAGAGTGAGCTCGCTGGGGACGAGAGAGGTTAGTGGGATGAAGCTGACTTACCAGCCGGAGAGGGGTTCAGAGTTCGGGGCTCCGGGTCCGTATCACTGGGTTCAGAGATGCTTGCCCGCCTCACACGGACTCGGCTCTGAGGTTGGTGGAGGGAAGAAGTTCTGTGAAAGCCAAGCCTCCAGCCCTGCCATCCACGGCTGGCCATCCAACCTATCAAAGAAACCTTGACCACGTGCAAGCACAGTTCCTACCATTCCCTGCCCACTGTAGCCCAGAGTCCCCGGAGAGACACCCAACCGCAGGCACAAGGCAGCGGAGGACGCTGCTTACCTTAACCTTATGAAGCAGGGGCTGGGTCACAACACCCCCTGAGGAGAGGCTGTCACTCAGGTCAGGGCCACCTGAGGTTTCAGGAGTACTCCCCACTGGCCAGGGCAAAGGTGGGCCCATGGGGCTGAGCCCCAAGGATGTGTGAGTCTGGCACGTGACGACAGGAAGGAGAGAGAGGTTGGAGCCTGGGAGCACCTCTGCCTTGCCCAAGCCAGCCAAAAGGCGGGACCCTACTTTCCACTGACCAGGAAGACCCTGTCACCAGCCAGCCCTCTGTTCTCTCCCCAGCGCCCTCCCTTCGTGTCTTCCCCCAACAGTCCTCGCCCCCCAACCACACCGACCTGAAAATCTGTCAGTGACAAGACCTTGCCATCGAGAAGGAACTGAGCAAAGACAAAAAGGGGGAGGGAGTATGTGGTAGGCCCATCCTGCTGAGCTCCAGGTATTAAGAACACAGTAAGCAGGGTCCAGGTCCTTGGCCCCTCACCCAGGGATGGCAAGAGGGTGCAAGGTGGGGGAGGACTGGGCAGGAAAGGGGAAGAAGAGTGGACACAGGACGATCACTCACGCCAGTAGCAGCATCCCTGGCCCGGGGTGACAAGTACTGGGCAGTGGCTGCTCGGTGCTCAGGGTGGAACCAAAGAGGGTTCCCCTCCAGGTAGAGCTGAGGGGCAGGAAGGGGAGAATGAGGAGGGCCTGGGGCCCTGGCCCTCCCTGTGTGAAGAAGGCACTGACCAAACCAGCATGGGGGGGTACGTGCAAGGGTGGTTCCCAGGCCCCTGATGCATTCCCATCTCACCTTGCGGAGCTCAGCCAGCAGCCACAGTGGTGACAGCTCCCGGTGTCCTTCCAGCAGGTTGTATGCCAAATCCAGGTGCCGCAGATTCCTCAGCTGCTCTAGGCCTGGGGTGGACGCAAGAAGGAAGGAAGAGCATGTGGATGAGTACACGCAAGTGAGTGTGGTGCATGCACTGGGGGAGGTTGCAGCAGAAAGACCGGCCAGAGCACCCCTGCACTCCCCATAAGCCCTCTCAAGGCTCTAGAGGCACATGGTCCCCAGGCCAGCCCCAGCCTCACTCTCCCCCTTCCCCTCCATGCTTGCCCCATCACACACCCCCACTCACCATGCAGGCTCCGAAGCTCATTGCCTCGCAGTATCAGGACCCCCAGAGCAGCCCCTGAGGGTCCCATTCTTGGCACCAAATGCAGGCGATTATAGGAGATGTCCAGATGGTGGAGCTCACACAAATCCTGGCAGGGGTACAGGGGAGAAAAAGATTATCTCGTTGACCAAACTCTAGCCAGGGTCCTCTGAGACCTCTTCTGGACTAGGCCTCAACCTTGGCCTATATAAAACTGCACACACTCAGCACAAATGATTTCATCCACCCCTACTCCCACGTTAAAAGACTTGAACAACACCAGCACTGTTCCTAACAGTTCAAGGCCACACCCTGAGCATGGCAACTCCAAGCCCCTTAAATTCCTGCCTGGGAAAAGTCAAAGCTGCCAAAAGAATTTCCCATTTGTTTCAGCCAACTCCTGAAGATAGGGCCCCGTCTCCCAGTCTCTGTGAAAGGGTAAGGGCCTTATTTTGGTAAGTGCCAGTTAGTTAGCAAACTCAGATGGGTTTCATGTGGACCAACCTGATTTCCACTCCCCCAGCTCTGCTCAAGGCCCTACCATTCCCCTGCCCACTCCCCGCCGCCCTCTTTTAAAATGCCCAGCCGGCCAGGTGCAGTGGCTCATGCCTGTAATCCCAGCACTCTGGGAGGCCAAAGAGGGGGGATCACTTGAGGCCAGGAGTTCGAGACTCACCTGGCCAACATTGTGAAACCCCGTCTCTACTAAAAATACAAAAATTAGCTGGGCGTGGTGGCACACACTTGTAATCCCAGCTACTTGGGAGGCTGAGGCAGGAGAATCGCTTGAACCCGGGAGGCAGAGGTTACGGTGAGCCAAGATCGTGCCATTGCACTCCAGCCTGGGCAACAAGAGCGAAACTCTGTCTCATTAAAAAAAAAAAAAGGAAAAAAGTCCACTGACACTTCTGTATCTTCCAGGCTCTGTTCAGGGAAATAACCGTGACTGCAACACTGTCTATGCTATCACCACAAACATTCAAACTACAAACGAAGAAATCCATCGGTTGCCACTGCTATCCTCATTCCACCATCTAAAGAAACATAGAGCTCAACACCTAGAAATCTCAACTGGCTGCCCTCTGGACTCAGAAAATGGATTTATAGTCTGCTCCAACCATTCATCTTTGTTTCCCTTTTTGTTTCCATAGAAATGTCCCCCATTAAATGCCTGGTCACTCTCACCATCCAGCAAAATTCATCCACTACCAAGTCCCAATAAATGGCTCAGTTGGTTTTTAGTGAACAAAAGGTGATCAAGGAAGAAAAGGATTTATATTGTTCAGGGGAAAGAGGAGTGTCTCTTCTTTCCCTGAATTAGAGGAGGTTCTCACCTTGATCAAACCCTACTCAGGCTCCTCTGGGCCTTCTTTTTGACTAGGCCTCAACTTTGGCCTGTTAAGAACTGCAGACTTGTTCAGCACAAGTTCAACAAAATTCAACACAAATTATTTTTGTTGACTCCTCCAACCCCCACAGTAAAAAACCTGAACAAAAACAGCAAAGTTCTAATATCTCAAGGATGCATCCCTAGAATGGTGACTCTAGCCCCCTTAAGCTCCTGCCTGGGAAAAGTCAAGGCTGCCAAAAGAATTTCCCATTTGTTCTAGCCAACACCTGATGACAGGGCTCCCATCTCCCAGTCTCTGTGGGAAGGTAGGAGCCTAACTTTTAGCAAACCCAGAAGGGCTTCATGTGAATCAACCTCCACTTCTGCTTTTCGTACATTTCCACTTCCCTTACTCTGCTCAAGCCCTCACAGTTCCCCTTCCTATTCCCTCACTCTCCTTTTAAAATGCCCAGCCACCTCTGCACAAATTGAAGTGGCGTTCAGTTCAGGTTGCACCCTCTTCCCCGCTGCAATAGTTTATCACTGATAAAAAATCTGTCCTTACTTGGTCGGGCACGGTGGCTCACACCTGTAATCCCAGCATTTTGGGAGGCTGAGGTGGGCGGATCATGAGGTCAGGAGTTCAAGACCAGCCTGGCTAAGATGGTGAAACCCCATCTCTACTAAAAAATACAAAAATTAGCTGGGCATGGTGGCGGGCACCTGTAATCCCAGCTACTCGGGAGACTGAGGCAGGAGAACTGCTTGAACCCAGGAGGTTGAGTTTGCAGTGAGCCAAGATCACACCACTGCACTCTAGCCTGGGTGACAGAGCAAGACTCTGCCTCAAAAAAAAAAAGAAAAAAAAAATCTGTCCTTACCACTTTAACTAGTTCGGCTTTATCTCTGACAGGTGGATGGGAGGACCCAGAAGAAAGGTTCTTCATCATAATCACAAAAGCTACCAGTTTCTGAGCTAGGCACTAGACTAAGCAACATTGGGTACTTCTTCACAATCATTTTAATACTATAAAAGCAGGTATTCAGCCGGGCGTGGTGGCTCATGCCTGTAATCCCAGCATTTTGGGAGGCCAAGGCAGGTGAATTGCTTGAGGTCAGCAGTTCAAGACCAGCCTGACCAACATGGTGAAACCCCATCTCTACTAAAAATACAAAAATTAGCCAGGTGTGTTGACACGTGCCTGTAATCCCAGCTACTTGGGAGGCTGAAGCAGGAGAATTGCTTGAACCTGGGAGGCAGAGGTTGCAGTGAGCTGAGATTGCGCCACTGCACTCCAGCCTGGGTGACAGAGCGAGACTCCATCTCAAAAAAAAAAAAAAAAAAAAAAACCAGGTACTCTTGTGATTTCTACTTTACAGGTAAAGAAACCAAGAGGTAACTAACTTGCTCAAAGTTGCACAGGTATTAGAAGTTGAGATATGAACTCTGGTTTGTCTGATGCTAGTGTCTAAGCAGTGCTATCTCCCAGAATGCAGCTCCACCCTCATGGCAAGAGCAAGGTGGGAGTAAAAGCTGGTCAAGGAGAGAGAGTGAGAGCAGAGCAATCAAAGACCCATGGTGTGCCAGCTGCCAAACTGCCCATACTCACCATCAGGAATCCCTGACAGTCCTGGACTTGATTGTGGCTTAGGTTCAAGAAACGCAGAGCTGACAAGAGGCGCTGAGAGAGACGGGGAGGAGGCAGAGAATCGATGTTCACTACAATACTATCTGGTCAACCAGCTGGCCCTCCTCCCCAAAGGCCTGGCCTTGCCCTTCCTCGAAACCCTCTTCCCTCTGAGGCACTCACCAGGGAGCTGTCTAAGGCGGTCAGTGCATTGTAGCTGAAGTTGGCAGAAAGCAGAGCCAGCCAAGGGAGGGCAGAGCAGAAGTCGCCGCCGCAGGCTGAGAGGAGCTCCTGAGCAGACAGATGGGTGCTTCATTACCCCACCCTCCCCTTCCTCCCTATGCCAAGGCCAAGCTCTACCACCCAGTCACTCATTCATTTTTTATACACTGAACTCCATCTGAAGATACAGGCTTAAAGCCCAGGTCCCTGACCCAAGAACTCACTGTAGGGACAGTGGGAAGGTAGACACTAGAATATGTAATATAATATGGTAGGTACGACTATAAATATACAGGCAGTTACAGAGTGCTGCGGGAACACAGAGAGGGAGTGAGGACACTGTCTAGAGGGAAGCAGGAGGCAGGGAGAGCTGCAGAGAGGGGAGAACATCAGAGCTTGGTCTTCTACATCTCTCAAGTTGAGGTGTCTGAGCTCACCCCTCACTCTCCTTACCTCTAATGCCTGGAGGCTCCTGCTGCAAATCAGGGTCTCCAGCTGGGAGTAGATGCCTCGGAGGCCATGCAGACAGTGGAGGGGAACACCTCGGAGCTGGGACAAGGAAAGAGGAGGGAGGAAGGCAGAACCCCACAGAAGACAAAGACCTCATCCCCATCCCCTAGTTGGGAGGAGGGAGAAGACCACAAAGCCCAGCTATGATTTAGGGAAGCAGTAAATGGAAAGACAGTGGATATCACATGACTGCAGAGCAATGGGTATACTCAGGCCTGGCCTCCTCACCAAAGAGGCTCTTCTCTTTCCCATCCCCAAGGGGCTGCCTCAAGTTGGGTGCTGTGCACCAACATCCCCCCGTGTCCCCATACCTCCAGGTGCCGAAGGGATTTGAAGGGGAAAATCTTGATGGGCCCTGTGGGGCCAGGACCAGCAACATGGACCAGCTGAAAAAAAAAAAAAAACTCAATTTACTGAGGCACAGCAGATCTTCCTGCCCTCAACATTCCTTCCTTAGCACAACCACTGGTACCTCTGACACCCTCTGGATCCTGGCACTGCAGACTTCTGCACCCCTACCCTATCCCCAACTTCCATCATTCTCTTGGGCTCCTTGCACATCCTGCCTCTTCCCCACACCCAGAACCTTGAGTGAAAGTGTTTTCTGCAGCACATCGAAGAGAAACTGAAGCTGAAGAATAACAGGGGAGTCGGCAGGATGGGAGGGCAGAGCCACAAAGCCTGTCTGGCCAGGGCCCCATGGCCCCAGGTGCAGCTCAAATACGTGGTTCAGCTGTTGCAGTGTGGGAGTCAGCAGGCTCAGGGTGCTACAGCCAGACAGGACCACATCCCCTGCAGAAAAAGGGGCAAACAGGAGGGAAGACACAGTGAAAAGATTTTTCTCTTTATTCTAAGGCTCTATGATGCCAAAATATACCCACTCCAATCCATATTGTAGATCTTCTATTGCAGGATCAAATTTTCTATCTCCTTCTCAGCTCAAAAGCATTCAATGGCTCCCCTCATCTTCAAAAAAAGTCCTAACATTTCATTCAGCCTGATGAGACTGCTTGGCTACACAACTCCAACCAACTCTTCCAAATTTTCTTTCACCTTCTGCTCAAAAGAGCCTCATCTACTGACAGTGCTGGAAATACAGCCAGCTTGGTTCACAGTTCTCTCTTGTTATGAGACACCCCCTTCCACCGCCCAGCTTGAGACCAGCCTCCTCCAGGAAGCCGCCTCAAGAAGTAATACTGCTGAATTTTCATATTGCAGTCACTCATTATTACACAAAAGTTAATTGGAAGTTTTATCTTTCTTTCTTTTTCTGATTGCAAAGCACATCTGTAGAAACTTTCAAACAATACTAAAAAGTATGTCATAGAATAACTATTCATTATAGCACTAAGGCATTGTTATTGCTGTCTGTTAAAACTGCTCTCTCTAATGAGACTTTCATCCTTGAGGGCATCTTTTGATCACTCTGGTATTCATCACTGCACCTAAAAAAGTGCAGCTACAAGCTAGGCATGAAGGAATGCTTTTTTGGCTTAAAAAATATAATAAGTATGGAGTCAAAGAATGCTGCAGAAATAATACAGAAAGGTCCCCTGTATCCTTTACCCAGTTTTCCCTAATGGTTACATTTTATATAGCTATAGTACAATATCAAAGTCAGGACACTGAGCTGGTTGCCGTGGCTCAGGCCTGTAATCCCAGCACTTTGGGAGCAAGGCACTTGAGGTCAGGAGTTCAGGACCAACCTGGCCAACATGGTGAAACCCCGTCTCCACTAAAAACACAAAAAATTATTCTACGACTCTAACCTCGTCTCTACTAAAAATACAAATATTCTCAGCTGGGCATTGCGACATGCGCCTGTAATCCCAGCTACTCGAGGGGCTGAGGCCAGAGAACAGCTGGAAGCCAGGAGGCAGAGGTTGCAGTGAGCCGAAATTGAGCCATTGCACTCCAGCCTGGGTGACAGAGGTAGACTCCATCTCAAAAAAAAAAAAAAAAAAAAACAAAAACAAAAAAAAAAACACAAAGGGCAGGCGTGGTGGCTCACGCCTGTAATCCCAGCACTTTGGGAGGCCAAGGCGGGTGGATCACGAGGTCCGGAGTTAAAGACCAGCCTGGCCAATATGGTGAAACCCCGTCTCTACTAAAAATACAAAAATTAGTAGGGCATGGTGGTGCATGCCTGTAGTCCCAGCTACTCGGGAGGCTGAGGCAGAAGAATCACTTCAACCTGGGAGGGAGGCAGGGGTTGCAGTGAGCCGAGATCATACCACTGCACTCCAGCCTGGGTGACAGAGCGAGACTCCATCTCAAAAAAAAAAAAAAATTCAGGACACTGATGTTGGTACAATATGTATATATAGCTATATGCTGTTTATATAAATTCCTGCAGCCACGCAATCAAGATACAAAACTATTCTGCTGCCACAAAGCTCTTCTCCTGCTACCTCCTTGTAGTCACACATTCACACACCCACCATTCATCACTGAATAAATTAACAAGTCCTACAACCTGACATGAAGGATTCTGTATGTACTAGACACTGAGGATAGATACAGACATGGTTCAAGGACTCTTCCCACGTTCAAAGGGCCTCCTAGTTGTCTCCTCCCAGAGAAGGATATAAGACATTTGCAAAGTTATCAATACAAGCCAGGAAATGAAACTGCTACTGGCCAGGTGCTGTGGCTCACGACTTTAATCCTAGCACTTTGGGAGGCCAAGGCAGGTTAATCACTTGAGGTCAGGAGTTCAAGACCAACCTGGCCAACATGGTGAAACCCCGTCTCTACTAAAAATACAAAAATTAGCCGGTCATGGTGGTGCACACCTGTAGTCCCAGCTACTCAGGAGGCTGAGGCAGGAGAATCACTTCGTCCCAGGAGGTGGAGGTTGCAGTGAGCTGAGATTGCGCCACTGCACTCCAGCCTGGGTGACACAGCAAGACTCTGTCTCAAAAAAAAGAAAAGAAAGAAAAGAAAACTGCTATAAAGAGAGCTTCCACAGATATCGTCAATAGGAGCATGGAGTGATGGAGGACAGCTAACATTAACTGTAGTATGTACCAGATGACTTTGGTATCTCATTCAAACCTTCTCAGAATCTCTCAAAGAGAAGCACTATTAACCCCATCTTACAGATATGAAAATTGAGGTTCAAAAAAGTGAAAAATCTTGATGGAGATCATATAATTGGTAGGAAGTTACTTCTCCTATCTGATCTCAAAGCCAAGGCTTTTTCTACCACAACTAATGCCAACCAAGTATTCAACAACTACTGTGGCTCCATTATGCCCAGGCACAGTGCCAAGCATCAGGGAAATCATTACAATAACAATAGCTCCCAACTGTAAGCAGTTACTATACTTGCAGGCATTGTACTAAATACATGAATTAAAACGAATCCCCACAAATGTTAAGTACAATCACTATGCCAATCTGTGAGGAAAACTGAGCCTCAGGAAACAGTATGGCAAGTTTGAAAGAGGGTTGATATTCCAACCCAAGTGGGTCCGACTCCAAATCTCGTGCTTCTATCTACTGTATTTAGTACCTTGCTACACAATAATGATTATGACCGAGATCAGTCCCTGGTCCTGAGGGGCTTTTAGTCAGGTAATGATCACTTCCTTCTGACAGTGTCAGAGAAGGCACGGAGGGAGGGATACCGCCCTTTGGCCTCAAAGGACGGCTAGAGTTTAGGCTATCACAGGCAAAGGACACTGTAAGGGCGAACAAACCTGGGAAAAGTAAAGAAATTGAACTCTGACACCTGGTGACCCTACCAGTCGTAACTCCATGACTCTCAGGGCGTGTCTCCAGAAAGCACCACCCCCACCTCGTCCGAGGTCCGAGGCCCAGCCCAACCGGAAGTCCACTCACCGGACTCCCGCAGCAACCCCGCGAGCTTCCACAACAGGGAGTCCCTCTGAGCGGTCGTCATGGCCACGGGACGCTGGGGGGCGGAGCCTGGGGGGGGAAAGAGGAAGCGGAAGAGCCTCAGGTGGGCGGTAGTGCCAAAAGCCCAGGGCGTCCGCGCAAACCGAGGCGTCATGCGGAGAAAAAGGCGAGAAAGAAAAGAGAGGAAGAGCATCCTCCTGGCCGCCCTTTCGAGGAACATAAGTCCTGGTCAGACATACCGAACCTCCCCGTCTGGTCCTCCTACCAGCTCAGCTGCCCGGCGCCTATCAATGATGGAAAGGAAGTCCCGCCCCGGAAGAAAATCGAGCCAAGGGACGACCGGAAAACATGTCTCTGCCGCCGGAAACCGCGCCGTAGATCATGCAAACGAATCGAAAAGGGGCGGTGCGGGGGCTGTCTCCTGACCGCGGTGGTGGCTGCAGTGGTTCCCTGGGCTTCCTGGCCCGGAGCTGGGCACCCATTATTCCCCCGCCCTGCGCAGCCTGGGGCTCCCGCTTGGCTTTCGGCGAGCCTACCGCGCCGGTGAGGAAACCCTGACTCGTTTGCAAACTGGGCGGGGAAGCAAAGTTTAGAGAAATGGAGCTTTGTTAGATAAAAATTTTTTCAACGCAAACAGTCATTTTCCAGTGAAAGGAGAGCGTATCCGCCGTAGGATGGACTTAGATCGTGTAAAAGCTGAGGCCACCGAGGATATAACCTCCGGGGTCCTTTGCCTCCTTTTCCTTAGACTCCCTCCAAACTCGTGTATCTTTCCTTCAGCAGTACTGGGCTCCACGCGAACCTAGTCCTTTGTCTTTACCCTATTACCTTTCATAACATCCTAGTTGAAAAGTAGTTATTCAACCGCGTTTGAAAATGAGAACAGGTTCACAGAGGCTAGGTTACTTGCGAAGGTCGTTCAATTAGTAACCAGTAGCGCCAGGACTGCCAGTTTCTTGCTTCCGAATTCTCATGGTAGCTTTCACCAGGCTCCCCGTCAAATGCTAACGTCAACTACTGAACTAGATTAGCAAAAAGGTCTTTTAACAGAATTCCTGGTTTTCAGAGAGAGTTTCTTTCATGAAGCGCCCCATTTCTACAGAGGAAAATCAAAATGAATCCTAAGCCAGTTGAAAGGAGGGATAGGATCATAGTCATCTTTATCCCAAGTTGCCAGATTTGAAAGATTTTATTTTCTCAAGACAAAATATTTGAAATGGCAAATATTTCAAATATTTTGAATATTTGAACCACACAATTTCGCATTCATGGCATACTACTTGTGCTCTGAGCTGAAAGCCTTTTAGGTTAAATAAAGTAAGTGGAGATACATCCGAAGCAGCAGTGTTGAGCTCAGAAAAACAATACCCCAAAATACGGCGCTTTGGTATGCTGACTATTTTGAACTAAAAGAGACTGGAAGGCCTCAGGCACAGTCTCTCCGACCTTTTCCTGCCCTCCTGTCTCCCAGCCTTCTTTCTTCCCCAAGGCAAGCCATAGAAACCAGAATTCCTCTTCCCCAAGATGAGTCACAGAAACTAGAAGCCCTCTCCCCCAAAGCCAGCCATAAAACCTAAACTTCCCCCCACCTTTCTATGTAAGAGCTGGCCGTGGCCTGGCGCGGTGGCTCACGCCTGTAATCCCAGCACTTTGGGAGGCCGAGGCCAGCAGATCACCAGAGGTCGGGAGTTCGAGACCAGCCCAACCAACATGGAGAAACCCTGTGTCTTCTAAAAATACAAAATTAGCCGGGCATGGTAGTGCATGCCTGTAATCCCAGCTATTCGGGAGGCTGAGGCAGGAGAATCGCTTGAACCCGGGAGACAGAGGTTGCTGTGAGCCGAGATCACGCCATTGCACTCCAGCCTGGGCAACAGGAGGGAAACTCAGTCCAAAAAACAAGCTGGCCGTAAAGAACTTCTCTGGCCTACCTTGTCTGATAGGCCGTAAGACCCTCATTCTGGAAGAGATCCTGCCTCATACCTGGGAGGAAGGAATGCTACACAGAAAGACCTCGTTGGGTTTCCACCTGCTGTCTGTTACTATTAAGTGGCACACTTTTTGCCCAACCACATTACTGCAGGCTGTCCATTTTTCATAGAATCTAAGCATTAAAAACAAGTTTTCCCTGGCTCTTTGGGTAGCCATTTCTGAAGGCTCCCATGTCATGTAAAACTTTGATTAAATAAACTTCTTAGTTTATTTTAGATTTTTCTCTTAACCTATCTTGTTATACGAGCTCTGACCCTTATGATGAGGAAGAAAGGCATCACAACTTTTCAGCCCCTACAACAGCTAACTAGTATGCAAATATAAAGTCAGAGTAAGAGCTCAGTATATTTTGTTGAATTATTAATCCCATAACCTGACGATTGTCAGTCCCTGTTTATTAATCATCTGGAACTTAGAAGGGCAGATTCTCCCAAACAGTAACTGCCAACTCTACCCCTCTTAGGCAAGAAACAGATTCTTTTCAAGTCACTGACATTGCAGTGTCTTGAAATCTGTTTCAGCCGTGCCTTTTCAACCCATAGTTATTTTCTGAGAATTGCTCCACCCACATGGGTAGCCCCTGTAGCCAGGTTTGCTCTATATCCCTTTGCTTCTCAGAAACATGGAAGTGGACAAAGGGAGAAGCAAAGAAAGCTGAACTACAGAGGGAGAGAAAAATAGATCTACTAAGGGAAAGCAACAGGAGACTCCGTAGTTCTTGTTTCCCTCCCCCTTGTGAGGCCCACTCTCCTTTCTACCCTTGGCCTGTAGGGGAGGCCTTGGCTGCCTTCCAGAGAATTCTCCCCCGCTTTTTTTTTTTTTTTTTTTTGGCCTAAGTTAATCTGAATGTATTTCTGTAAATTGCTACCATAAGAACTTCAACTAAGACAAAACCTTTACAAAATGAAGTCTAGATTAGCAAATCTAAAAGGGAAAAAAATTCCCATTCATCATAGCAGCCAAAAAATCAATAAATTATAGATATAAATACAAATACACACATGCTTATAATATTTTGAGAAATATGCCAGATCTATGTGAAGAGAACAAGAGAACTTTAGGACATTAAAAATGACCCAGCCAGGCACAGTGGCTCACACCCAAAATCCCAGCACTTTGGGAGGCCAAGGCAAGTGAATCACTTGAGGTTAGGAGTTCGAGATCAGCCTGGCCAACATGGTGAAACCCTGTCTCTACTAAAAGTACAAAAATTAGCCAGGCGTGGTCGCAGGCACCTGTAATCCCAGCTACTCTGGAGGCTGAAGCAGGAGAATCACTTGAACCAGGGAGGCAGAGGTTGCAGTGAGCTGAGATGGCGCCATTGCACTCCAGCCTGGGCAGCAAAAGCAAAACTCCTTCTCAAAAAAAAAAAAAAAAAAAAAATTCTCTTTATTAAAATGGTGTGCAGCCTGGCACGGTGGCTCACGCCTGTAATCCCAGCACTTTGGAAGGCCGAGGCGGGCAGATCACGAGGTAAGGAGATCAAGACAATCCTGGCTAACACGGTGAAACCCCGTCTCTACTAAAAATACAAAAATTTAGCCGGGCGTGGTGGTGGGTGCCTGTAGTCCCAGCTACTCGGGAGGCTGAGACAGGAGAATGGCGTGAACCCAGGAGGCGGAGCTTGCAGTGAGCCGAGATCGCACCACTGCACTCCAGCCTGGGTGACAGAGCAAGACACCATCTCAAAAAAAAAAAAAGTATGCAATGCCATTTCAAAAATTCATGTTGCTGTAAAGTAGCATAACATGTATGGGCTGCTATTACATAATTTCATACTATCATCAATGAGTCTGTGTTTCTCGAAGACATGCTATGATATCACTCTGTTAACTTGCAAACACTCTTCTAAGTTTTAGTCTCCAGGACTGGTACTCCACCTAAAATCAGAAATGTCCAGTTGGTTCTTCTAAGCACCAACACCAGCTGCACATGACAAAGAATTCCTAGCACTCTGGTACTAGGGAGGCACTACTCATCTGCCTGGGGCTCCACGCCCATGTTATTGTGTGGAGAGAGAGCTGCTGCTGGTAGCTTCCCTACCACCCCGAGTTTCCTGGAGTAGGCTGTGCAAAGTGCTGATGATAAAAGAGGGTAAGGAAAGGTGTGCTGGTTACTAGCTTAGGTTTCGGGGATGAAAAGAAGGGAGAAGGCCGGGCGTGATGGCTCATGACTCTAATCCCAGCACTTTGAGAGGCCAAGGCAGGTGGATCACTTGAGGTCAGGAGCTCAAGACCAGCCTGGCCAACATGGCAAAATCCTGTCTCTACAAAAATTAGCCAGGCGTGGTAGTGTGCATCTGTAGTCCCAGCTATTCAGGAGGCTGAGGCAGGAGAATCGCTTGAACCCAGGAGGCGGAGGTTGCGGTGAGCTGAGATCACACTACTGCACTCCAGCCTGGGAGACAGACTGAGACTCCATCTCAAAAAAAAAAGAAAGAAAAGGAAAAAAGAAGGGAGAAGAGAGTATCTTCATACAAGAATGAAGAATGACTGCCAGCCGCATAATATAGATCTCAGATCCTGCTTATTTCTGATACCTTGAACCATGCGAGACCCAGGATCCTTGCCTACAGGGGAACAGAAGTCATATTTCACCTTTAGGATACAAGCCATTGTCCTGGGTCTAGACCTCCCTGTTCTGATGCTGCAGCCCCCAACAGAAGATCAGATAACTGAGACCTACGGATTCCACCAAAATGAAAATGTTACACTTGGGTTGGGGGTGAAGGGGGGTGAAATTGGATGATCTATTTGTTTCATCATCTTGCTATCTTTAGCTGGGCATGGTGGTGGGTGTATGTAGTCCCAGCTATTCAGGAGGCTGAGGCGAGAGGATTGCTTGAGCCCAGGAGTTCAAGGTTGCAGTGAGTTGTGATCACACCACTGCACTCCAGCCTGGGCAACAAGGTGAAAAAACTTGCTATCTTTGTGTAGTAGGAAAGGGGGAAGGATGGAAGAGAATGAAAAGGTATGATTACCTCCAAATATAGTTTTGGTAAAAAGAGTTTGTACCAGAGAGGAATCCGTATGCCTAGTAGCCACAGCCCCAGGATGAGTGGCCGGAGGTAGTTCTTTCTATAAGTAACCTTGGCTCTGCTACTAGACTTGGCCACAAAAGACTGGCCCAGGAATTAACTCAGTTACCAAAGTCAAAAACATACAGGACACATCAGCCACACTGGAGGAGGTCTGGCATGAGAACTCCGAGTTAGACCATGACCAGGCACGCTCATCAGAGCCTGGTTCCGGAAGAGATTTAATTTGAGGCACACAGAGGGAAAGCTGGGGAGGCAGAAACTAAGCTCACCGAGAAATCAGAGAAGCTGGGGCCTGAGAATGACTGACTGAAAAGAAAGCAACAGAATAACAATATTCCAGTGACCCAGCAGCCGCTCCACTCTCCCCTTATGAGAGGAGTTGACCATTCTGCATAAAATAAACTGAGTGCTTCCATGAGGAGCTCTGCAGTAAACCCGACGTTATATGAGAGTGTCTTTAATTATTTTCATTGTCTATCCCGGAAAGCCATGGAACCATTTGAGAAGGGGGTTAAGAAGGGCTATAAGAAAGACCAGAACTATGCGCTTCATTCAGGACACAGGAAATGGAGAGATGAAGACCCGAAGAATATTGTAAATAAGTAAAAAAAAAAAAAAAAAAAAAAAAAAAAAAGAAAAGAATTGGTCTTCAAAGGACAGAAACCTGATAGAAAATATGGATAGAGGTGGCTATGGAGAAGAGAGGAAAGCGGACAGAATCCGAGACAGGAAGGAAAACACAACCTGCTGTTTCAGGCATAACCCGCAGAAGGCTGGTTGGCAAAATCACCTATAGTATGTGACAAGTGTCTTCCATCTCAGTGCTCCCTACACACATGGCCAGAGAGAGGAGGGGAATGATCCACAGCAAGGGAGGAAACTGCACATAGAATAGCAGTCAGCCGAGCGCGGTGGCTCACGCCTATAATCCCAACACTTTGGGAGGCCAAGGCGGGCAGATCACGAGGTCAAGAGATTGAGACCATCCTGGCCAACATGGTGAAACCCCATCTCTACTAAAAATACAAAAATTAGCTGGGCATGGTGGTGCACGCCTGTAGTCCCAGCTACTTGGGAGGCTGAAGCGGGAGAATCACTTGAACCCGGGAGGCGGATGTTGCAGTGAGCTGAGATCATGCCACTGCACTCCAGCCTGGTGACAGAGGGAGACTCTGTCTCAAAACAAACAAACAAACAAAAGAATAGCAGCCAGCCTTGCAGTGTTAAGCATGGGCCAATGGGGGAAAGGAAACGAGAAAACTGAGATCACATGGCTTAGGGTCTCCAGGACTAGGGTAAGCGTAGAGGCTGCTTTGGACGCTCAAAACCTCTGGAGAACCACAAAGCTGGAGCTGTATTTCGGTCTTTTGTTCATTCAACAGGTATTTACTGAGCCCTGACTGTGTGCCAGATCCTGTGTTAGATTCTGGGTGAATAGGCCAGGTGTGGTGGCTCATGCCTGTAATCCCAGCACTTGTTGGGAGGCCGAGAAGGGCAGATCACCTGAGGTCAGGAGTTCGAGCCCCGCCTGGCCAACATGATGAAAGCCCATCTCTACTAAAAATACAAAATTAGCCAGACATGGTGGTGCACGCCTGTAATCCCAGCTACTCAGGAGGCTGAGGCAGGAGAATCACTTCATCCCAGGAGGTGGAGGTTGCAGTGAGCTGAGATCACGCCATTACACTGCAGCCTGGGTGACAAGAGCGAAACTCTGTCTCAAAAAAAAAAAAGGATTCTAGGTAAATACAGGAGACAAAGGTGTTCTTGTTCTCAAGAAGCTAGCCAAGTGGTGGAAGAGCAGACACCACCAGTCATGTTACATTGTATCAGCTTCCTTCTGCTGCTGCAACAGGTTACCCCAAATTTGGTTGCTTAAAATGACAAAATTTATTATCTTTACATTTCTGAAGGTCAGAAGTCCAAAATGGGTCACACTGGGTTAAAATTAAGGTGTCAGCAGGGCTGTGTTCCTTCTTTCTCGCCAGGGGAGAGCCTGTATTCTTTTTTTTTTTTTTTTTTTTTAAGACAGGGTCTCGCTTTGTTGGCTAGGCTGGAGTGCAGTAGTGTGATCATGGCCCACTGCAGCCCCAATCTCCCAGTCTCAACAGATCCTCCTGCCTCAGCCTCCCAAGCAGCTAGGACTGGATGTAAGGGTAATATGACTGCAACTTCTGTCACCCCATTGATCACCAAGGTTGATTCGGCTAATCTGGCTGGCTAGGCGGGTGTCTCCTTCCTCCCTCACCTCTCCATAGGCGTCCCTCCTGAAGCTGTGCGCTCAGTTGAAGAAGATGACCGTCCCCGATAGAGGAGGACTGGTCTTTGGTCAAGGGTATACGAGTACTGTGCACCCCTGCTAGAACCTCCAAACAAGCTCCCAAGTAGCTAGGACCACAGGTGTGCACCACCATGCCCAGCTAATTTTTTATCCTTTGATCTTTTGTAGAGATGGCTTCTTGCTATGCTGCCTATGCTGGTGTTGAACTCCTGGCCTGAAGTGATCCTCCTGTCTCAGGCTTTCAAAGTGCTGAGATTACAGGTGTGAGCCACCATGCCTGGCCAGAGAATCTGTATTCTTGTCTTTTCCAGCTTCAAGAGGCTGCCGTCTTCCCTTGCCTGTGACCCCCTTCCATCTCCAAAGCCAGCAATGGCTGCCTGAGTCTTTCTCACATCACATCACTCTGACACTAACTCTCTTGCCCCTCTCAACATTTAAGGACCCTTGTGATTACACTGGGCCCACCTGGATAATCCAGGATAATGTCCCTACTTTATGGTCAGGCCAGGTGCAGTGGCTCAGATCTGTAATCTCAGCACTTTGGGAGGCCAAGGCAGGTGGATCACTTGAGCCCAGGAGTTTGAGACCGGCCTGGTTAACATGGGGAAACCCCGTCTCTATGAAAACTACAAAAATTAGCCAAGCATGGTGGTATGCACCTACAGTCCCAGCTACTTGGGAGGCTGAGGTGGAAGGATTGCTTGAGCCTGGGAGGTCAAGGCTAAAGTGAGCCATGACTGCACCATTGCATCCAACCTGGGCGACAGAGTAAGACCTTGTCTGAAAAAAAAAAGAAAGAAAGAAAGAAAATGATTTTAAGGTCAGCTGATTAGCAGCCTTAATTCCATCTGTAATTCTCCATTGCCACGTAACATAACATATTCACAGGCTCTGGAGATTCGGATATAGGCATCTTTGGGAGGGGAGCCATTTTCCTGCCTATCACAAACATGGGGCAAGTTATGGTAGAGAGAGCACTGTAGGAGATGGTTCCAGTCCAAGACTGCAAGCTGAATACCTGTCAGAGCCTCTCCCTCCCATCCCAAATGCTTAGAAATAGTAGTCCCACCTTACCCTCAGAGGGTTACTTTCTAAGACCTCCTCCACCACCAATTGGTGCCTGAAACCACAGATAGTACCAAACTCTCTATATACCATGTTTTCCCTACACCAAGGTGTCCAGTCTTTTGGCTTCCCTGGGCCACATTGGAAGAAGAAGAATTGTCTTGGGCCACACATAAAATACACTAACAATAATTGATGAACTTTAAAAAAAATTTCTTTTTTTTTTTTTTTTTGGACACAGAGTCTCACTCTGTTGCCCAGGCTGGAGTGCAATGGCATGATCACTGCTCACTTCAACCTCTGCCTCCCGGGTTCAAGCAATTCTCCTGCCTCAGCCTCCTGAGTATCTGGGATTACAGGCGTGCACCACCACACCCGGCTAATTTTGGATTTTTAGTAGAGACGGGGTTTCACCATGTTAGCCAGGCTGGTCTTGAACTCCTGACCTCAAGTGATCTGCCCGCCTTGGCCTCCCAAAGTGCTGGGATTACAGGTGTGAGCCACCGCGCCCGTCCCTCCTAATGTATTAAGAAAGTTTATGAATTTGTGTTAGGTTGCTTTCAAAGTCATCCTGGGCCACATATGGCCCATGGGCCGTGGGTCAGACAAGCTTGCCCTACACATAGAGACTATGATAAAGCTTACTTTATAAATTAGGCACAGTAGGCTGGGCGCGGTGGCTCAGTCCCGTAATCCCAGCACTTTGGGAGGCCTAGGCGGGCGGATCACCTGAGGTTGGGAGTTCGAGACCAGCCTGACCAACGTGGAGAAACCCGTCTCTACTAAAAATACAAAATTAGCCAGCTGTGGTGGCAGGCACCGATAATCCCAGCTACTCAGGAGGCTGAGGCAGGAGAATCGTTTGAACCTGGGAGGCAGAAGTTGCAGTAAGCCAAGATCGCGCCACTGCACTCCAGCCTGGTGACAGGGTGAGACACTGTCTCAAAAATAAATAAATACATAAAAATATAAATATAAATAGACACAGTAAAAGATTAACAACAATAACTAACAGTAAAATAGAACAATTATAACCATATGCTGTAATAAAAGTTATGTGGATGTGGTCTCTCTCTCAGATTACCTAATTGTACTATGCTCACCTATTTTCAGACCACAGTTGACCACGAGTAACTGAAACTGTCATGGTGTTCGAACCTGAGCGACTCCATCTTTGGTGAGGGCGAAGAAAATGAGGCTGGGACTTGCTGGGCTGCATTTCCAGAAACTTAGGTACTCCTAGCCTCTAGATGTTTACTAAACAGACCCAGATGTGGGAGTGTCCTAATATCCTGATTTTTTTTTTTTTTTTTTTTGAGACAGAGTCTCACTCTGTCACCCAGGCTGGAGTGCAGTGGCGGGATCTTGGCTCACTGCAAGCTCTGCCTCCCAGGTTCATGCCATTCTTCTGCCTCAGCCTCCCAAGTAGCTGGGGCTACAGGCACCCACCACCACGCCCAGCTAATTTTTGTATTTTTAGTAGAGATGGGGTTTCAGCATGTTAACCAGGATGGTCCCGATCTCCTGACCTTGTGATCTGCCCGCCTCAGCCTCCCAAAGTGCTGGGATTACAGGCGTGAGCCACCACGCCTGGCCTCATCCTGATGTTTTGAGAACAGAAGCATTTCTAATTTTGCTTTAAAAATAATAACATTGATTCTTGCAAAATATGTTGATTAAGAAAATTAATCCTTTATCAAAAACCCTTGTAGCAGAGCACATCTCTCCATGATCTTTTTTATCCTGTATATAAACAACTAATGTACCTAGGGTGGACACATTCCTCCTCTTACTTTTGGGAATGCCCGACTCTGTCTATGAAGGATCCGTACTCTCTTGCTCTTTTTATTGAGACAGGGTCGCCCAGGCTGGAGTGCAGTGGCACGATCTCGACTCACTGCAACCTCCACCTCCTAGGTTCAAGTGATTCTCCTGCCTCAGCCTCCCGAGTAGCTAAGATTGCAGGTGCACACCCAGCTAATTTTTGTATTTTTAGTAGAGATGGGGTTTCACCATGTTGGCCAGTCTGGTCTCGAACTCCCGGCCTCAACTGATCCACTCCCTTCAGCATCGCAAAGTGTTAGGATTACAGGTGTGAGCCACTGTGCCCAGCCACCACTTTACTTTCTTAATAAACTTATTTTGGTTTGCACTATGGCCTTGCCCTGAATTCTTTTTTGCATGAGATCCAAGAACCCTCTCTTAAAGGTCTGGATCAGGGCCCCTTTCCTGTGACATCTTTCTGGCAAACCATGGAAGGGGCAATACTGAAGAGATACCTGGCCCAAAGGAAAATCATCTGTGCACCAATTGACTGACTTTAGGTAAGTGGAGTTCATATACCTGGGTAAAGGATGGGATTGGGTTAGAGGCCCAACTTAGGGGAATTAGAATCTCTCCTAAGACAGAATGGGCTAGAAGGCCCTCTTAATAAAAGGGAAGGACACTTGACCAACTTTGGGTTAGAGGCCCAACTTAGGAAGGTTAAAGTCCCTTCTAAAATTGAAGGGGTTAGAGGTCCCTCTCAGTAACGTCCCTCTTGGCGAAGAATGGGTTTGGCACCACAGGATGTTAACTGCCATGCTCTTTGTATTAATCTGCCTTGTCCTATTCACTGCATGAATCAATTTATTGGTGCTGTCTCTGTTTCACTGTCATTTTCAGGAGACTTTATTTAACTGGTCTTAGGGATTTTAACATACTCTTCCCCTCCGTGCCTCCCAATATCCGTTCGTTTGCTTGTGAAACATTGGGAACAAGAAAGCATTGAAGCCTCCATCTCTAAAATTCCTGATTGAGACTGGGTATTTAATAGCTATGAGCAGTAAGATTAGACAGATGTGGTTATGTTTTAATGCCGCTATGCCTACTAGGTGTGATCTAGAAGCACTAGGATGGAAATCAGGGGACTTTTCTCCTTGCTGTTTTGTTTCATTTTGCACACTAAAAAAACACTTCTTTGCTTTCTTGGATTTGGCCAAACCAGCTTTGCTTGTCCAATCCACACTGCCACTATTGCCCAGAACCTGCTTGCTCTGGTCATTCCCATCGAAATCCTCTTTATTTCCTTTGCCTTGTTCAACATTTCTTTCGTCAGAGTCCATGTTGTGGTTTATCTAAGATTCATGGCTCAGCTCACTTATATTATCTGGATAGTTAAATAAGAGAATTCAATTTTTGGCAGGGATCCCCTCATTAATGGGGCTGGCTTTAAAAACCTCTGTTATCCTTTTTAGTGGAACTCAGCCAGTGGCAATACAATCCTGCAGGTTTGGAACTTTTCTTTCAACATCACCTGCCTCTTACATGGGCACCACGGCATCCATCCCAAAGGACTCCCCACTAGGATGTATTCTTGAACATTGGGACCAGTTTAAACTAAATGGGCTTAAGAAGAGAAAACTGGTGTTTCTATGTAATACTGTTTGACCTTGGTGTTATTTGGAAAAACAAGAGAAATGGCCTCCTACTGGTACTATGGCCTTTAAAACTATACTTCAACTCGATTTGTTATGTAAGCGGGAGGGAAAATGGGATGAAATACCATATGTTCAAGCATTTTTGCTGCTCAATCAGGATGAAACCCTGCAGCGGGTGCATGCGTGTTCGATGAGAGGAAAGGAAGAAAAAGAACTAGACATATTTGATGATCCTTTGACATAAGCCCTATCCCCAGTTCAGTGGGCATTTTTGGGTGGAGCAGAATCCCCTTCTATCAGCTCTGAAGGTTCAGGTTTTGTCCGTCCTTTCTCCCTCTAGTCCACCTGAAAGTTCTATTCAGAACCCTTGGTCCCCTCCTCCTGACCTGCCTAGTCCCACTCTATACCCACCACTCCCTGAGGAATTTGGCCCCTCGAGTACTACTCGTAGTGGAGCCTCTTATCAACCTCTGAAGGGAAACCTTTTCCCCTTAGAGAGGTGGCAAATGGGGAAGAAGGCACTGTGTGAGAGGATATGTCTCCTTTTCTATGTCTGAATTGGCTCTATGTAAAGAGAAGTTTGGTCATTTCTCTGAAGATTCAAGAAAATTCCTAGATGCGTTTGAGAAACTAACTTCGACCTATGGTGTAACTTAGCAGGAGCATGTTTCGTTGTCTCTGTGTTGCACAGTGGAAGAAAATCCATTGTGGGGACAGCTAGGACTCATGTGGATGAGGTATTGGCTCCAAACCCGAACCATAATGTATATCAGGCAGGAGGTATAGCAGTTCCAGATCAAGATCCAGAATGCGGCTGGGCACGGTGGCTCACGCCTGTAATCCCAGCACTTTGGGAGGCCGAGGTGGGCAGATCACCTGAGATCAGGAGTTCAAGACCAGCCTGGCCAACATGGCAAAACCCCATCTCTACTAAAAATACAAAAAAATTAGCTGGGCGTGGTGTGGGCACCTGTAATCCCAGCTACTTGAGAGGCTGAGGCAGGAGAATTGCTTGAACCCAGGAGATGGAGGTTGCAGTGGGCTGAGATCATGCCATTGCACTCCAGCCTGGGTGACAGAGTGAGATTCTGTCTCAAAAAAAAAAAAAAAAAAAAAAAAAAAAAGATCCAGAATGGAACTATCAAAGGAGCAGTGAGGACTTGGGGAGGAGAGATCATATGGTTACTTGTTTGTTGGAAGGGATGAAGAAATGTATAAAAAAGCCCGTTAACTGTGAAAAGGACACCAGGGCCTGTCAGGGGTGACGTGGGGAGGGAGAGGATTAGGACAAATACCTAATGCATGTGGGGCTTAAAACCTGGATGACAGGTTGATAGGTGCAGCAAACCACCATGGCACGTGTATACCTGTGTAACAAACCTGCACATTCTGCACATGTATCCCAGAACTTAAAGTAAAATTAAAAATAAATAAATAATAAATAAGTAAAATAAAATAAAAAATAAAAGGTTAAGGAAGTTTGTCAGGGTAAAGATGAGAATCCAGCTTTGTTTCAAGGGTGTTTCATTGAGGCAATTAGAAAATATACTAACACTGATCCTGCCTCCAAGGAAGGATAAACCCTTTTGGGAGTACATTTTATAGGCCAGTCTGCCCCTGATATCCGTAGGAAACTACAAAAAACAGCTATGGGTCCCCAGACTCCTATGGAACAGCTTTTGGATGTGGCATTTTTTAGTTTTTAATAACAGGGACAAAGCAGAGGAAGCAGAAAGAGCAGGAAGTACCTCCCACAAGGTGCAGTTCCTGGCTGTAGCCCTAAGCTCACCTTCCACATGGGGTTGCCCTCCTGGCTGTTGGCCTGAACAAGGGAAGCTGAAAGGTGGGAAGCCCAAAGCTGGGTGTCCGAGTCACCGTGCCTTGGGTGTAAATCAGTGTGCACACTGTAAGAAAACTGGCCATTGGAAGAAGAACTGCCAAGTGCTTCGACGGGAGCCGTCGGCACCTGAAACAATGATGGCTGGAACAGCCAGACCAGCTCAAGAGTGACGGGACCGGGGACCTTCTGCCACAGCCCCTGTCGGACAACTACATATATCTCCAGAGGAGCCTTGGGTAACCCTTGACGTGGCAGGTAAGAATATTAACTTCCTTTTGGATATGGGGGCTGCTTACTCTGTTTTGACCCATTGTAACGGGCCTCTGTCACCCCAAAACTGTATGGTCATGGGGATAGACGGACAAGCTTATAGACACCATTTTACCTATCCTTTAAGCTGCTCTTCAGGGACTTTGGTTTTCTCATATACTTTTCTTTTCATGCCCCACCCGCTTGTTGGGAAGGGATTTGTTTACTCAGCAGCAGTGGTATCTTTTGGTTTTTTTGTTTGTTTGTTTGAGACAGAGCCTTACTCTGTTGCCCAGGCTGGAGTGCAGTGGCGCCATCTCAGCTCACTGCAACCTCCACCTCCCAGGTTCAAGCGATTCTCCTGCCTCAGCCTCCCAAGTAGCTGGGACTACAGGTGAGCACCACCATGCCTGGCTAATTTTTATACTTTTAGTAGAGACAGGGTTTCACCATGTTGGCCAAGCTGGTCTCAAACTCCTGACCTCAGGTGATCCACCTGCCTTGGCCTCCCAAAGTGCTGGGATTACAGGTATGAGCCACCATGCCCGGCCACAATGGTATCTTTTGGAAACCACCAGGCAGACAAGGGATTGCTCTTTCTCCTTTCCTGTGATAAAGGAGGAAAAGCAATAGGGGACTTATCTACTTTACCTATTGAAGTAACCCCCCAAGTAAATCCTATACTATGAGACACTAAGATTCCAGGCAAAACGTTAAATGTTCCCCCAGTTTACATCCAACTTAGGCCTGGTGTCCCATACCCCTGGAAAAGACTTACTTAAAACAGTAAAGCAGGTAACTGAGGCCTGTGAACTATGTGCCTGGAATAACCCAAATAACCAATCTTTATCTCCTTCTTTAGTAAGGCCTGTTCAGCATAAGGGAATGTACCCTGGTGAAGATTGGCAAAGAGATTATACTAAGATGCCCCCATGTAAAAGGTTTAAATATTTATTAGTATTCATTGACACCTTTACTGGTTGGATTGAGGCTTTTCCTATGAGGTCCGAAAAGGCAATTGAGGTTTCTAAATTCCTATTAAAGGAAATAATTCCTAAATTTGGGCTGCCTAAGAGCTTGCAGAGGGATAATGATCCATCTTTCACAGCAATGATTACCCAAACATATCTTCAGCCCTAGTAATTCAGTACCGCCTTCACTTGGCATGGAGGCCACAATCTTCAGGGACAGTAGAAAGAGCCAATCAAACTCTAAAAAGGACTCTTCCTAAACTATGCCAAGAAACATCATAAACCTGGCTATCTTTATTTCCCATAGCCTTGTTACAGATTCCAGCAGCCCCCAAGGGAAAGTTGCAGCTCAGCCATATTGAAATAACATATAGAAGGCCTTTCTTAACTACAGACCTCCTAATAGACATAGATACTTTCAAGCTACAAAATTATGTAATCAACTTAGGACAAGTGCAAAATGCACTCCTTCAATATGGAAATCAAAGACTCCCTTCCCCCACTAAGGAAGAGACTCTAGTTACAACCCAGCCAGGAGATTGGGTTCTATAAACACTTGGAAGGAAGGATCCCCAGCAGATCAACTTTTCCCAAAATGGAAGGGACCCTATCAAGCTCTCCTTAGCACCCCAACTGCAGTTAAATGGGAATAAACAGCTGGGGCCATTTATCTCAAATTAAACCTGTCTCTTATAAAGTCCCACAGGCTGACAGAACACAAGAGACTGATCCCACTTATTCCTGTGAGCCAACCAGTGACCTCTGGCTCCTGTTCAGAAGAAAAGAAAGGGCTGGGTAACGTAAGGATATGGATTGGCATTCTGCTTTTGAGTACAAGTTGGAATCACGCAGAGTAACTTATTTATCGAGTGGGCACAGGCTTTAGCCTCTACATAATCAGACCAACTGTTGGGTACGTGGAGAATTGCCCCTTCCTTCCGCTTCCAGATTGCCCTGGCATATTCAACCGGCCAACCAAATTTATGGAGATTTTATTATGATTGGGAAACTGAATATTATAAACGTAGTCCCTCTTTTCCCATGTATCATAGCCACACAGGCCATAGCCCCTTCCCCTCCTGTGGAGAGACAAGAAGGCACCTTTTTAATCTAATTAGGAAACAGCTAAACTCCATCCCAACTTTAGGTTATGCTATACTTGATGAACTTGGGCAAATGACAGCTGTTCAAGTGCAGGTATTGAGCAAAGTGCCTCTGTGTTTTTTGTTTGTTTGTTTGTTTGTTTTTGAGACGGAGTCTCACTCTGTCGCCCAGGCTAGAGTGCAGTGGCACGATCTTGGCTCACTGCAACCTCTGCCTCCTGGGTTCAAGCCATTCTCCTGCCTCAGCCTCCCAAGTAGCTGGGACTACAGGTGCGTGCCACCACACCCGGCTAATTTTTTGTATTTTTAGTAGAGACAGGGTTTCACCGTGTTAGCCAGGATGGTCTCGATCTCCTGACCTCATGATCCACCTGCCTCAGCCTCCCAAAGTGCTGGGATTACAGGCATGAGCCACCGCACCCAGCCACACCTCTATGTTTTGAAAGGTGCAGTAATAGTCACCACCAGACTGGAACCCATGATACGGGATGGCTGCCACCTCAACAATGTAATCAGGCTGGAGTGCAGTGGTGCCATCAGGCTCACTGTAGTCTCGACCTCCCTGGCTTAAGCAATCATCCCACCTCAGCCTCCCAAGTAGCTGGGACTACAGGCATGCACCACCATGCCTGGCTAATTTTTTAAATTTTTATGCAGAAACAGGATCTTGGCATGTTGCCCAGACTGGTCTTGAATTCCTGGGCTCAAGCAACCTCCCTTAGCCTCCCCCAAATGCTGGGATTATAGGTGTGAGCCACTGCACCTGGCCAACAGAAATAATTTTGTCTCCTCAGGAAGTATGCTTGAGGAGTGGAGGAGAGGTAATATGATATAGTGGTGGATACATGGATTCTTATACCAGACTTGTGGAGTCCAAATCCTGGCTCCATCACTTACTAGGGATGTGACTCTGGATAGGTTTTTTCATTTTTGTTTTTGTTTTGAGATGGAGTCTCGCCCCGTCGCCCAGGCTGGAGTGCAATGGCACAATCTTGGCTCACTGCAACCTCTGACTCCCTAGTCCAAGCGATTCTCCTGCCTCAACCTCCCGAGTAGCTGGGATTACAGGCATGTGCCACCACGCCCAGCTAATTTTTGTATTTTTAGTAGAGACGGGGTTTCACCATGTTGGCCAGGATGGTCTCGATCTCCTGACCTCATGATCTGCCCACCTCAGCCTCCCAAAGTGCTGGGATTATAGGAGTGAGCCACTGCTCCCAGCTAGGTTATTTTATCTCTCTGTGCCTCAGTTTCCTCTACTGTGCAATAGGTATAATATGAGTGCCTACCTCAAATGGTTGTTACAAGGATTGCATGAGCTTTTAGTTCTAACATGCATAAGGCACATAGTGCTGTATAAGTGTTCAGTATATAAATAATAAAATTGCTGGGCACGGTGGCTCACACCTGTAATCCCAGCACTTTGGGAGGCAGAGGCAGGCAGATCATGAGGTCAGGAGATCGAGACCAGCCTGACCAATATGGTGAAACCCTGTCTCTACTAAAAATACAAAAATTAGCCGGGCCTGGTGGCGTGTGCCTGTAATCCCAGCTACTCAGGAAGCTGAGGCAGGAGAATCACTTGAACCCGGGAGGCAGAGGTTGCAGTGAGCCAAGCTTGCGCCACTGCACTCCAGCCTGCATGACAGAGTGAGACTCCATCTCAAATAATAATAACAATAATAATAATAATAAAATTAACAAAAGGATCTTATTTCTGGCTGGGTTTGGTGACTCACGCCTGTAATCTCAGAACTTTGGGAGGTCAAGGAAGGAGCATCATTTGAGACTATGAATTCAAGACCAGCCTGGGCAATATAACAAGCCCATCTCTACAAAAAAAAAATTAATAAATAAAATTAAATAATAGAATCTTATTTCTTTCAAGCGGAGGAATATAATTGCTAAGAAAATAAAGCTAATAGACTGGAAAATAAGGTCAAAACAAACTCGTAGAATATAAAGTAAAATAGTGGCAGCCCCATACACATGGCATGACACCATTCGTGGGGGGAGAAAAGACTTTTTCTACCAGATACGCACATGGGTGTCAACTCATGGAAATGTGTCTAGAAGGATACCTGCCTCTGTGGAGGGGACTAGAATTGGAAATAACGATCAAGGGGAACTTCAGTTTTATCTTTAATATTTGAATATCCACTGTGAGAATGTATCTCTTTGTGGCTTATGAAATCAAGAACAAGTAATTTTTTGAAATAAAAATTTTAAAACAGGCCAGGTGCAGTGGCTCAGGTCTGTAATCCCAGCACTTTGGGAGGCCGAGGCGGGCAGATCATGAGGTCAGGAGTTCGAGACCAGCCTGACCAACATGGTGAAACCTCATCTCTACTAAAAATACAAAACTTAGCCGGGCGTGATGGCACGCACCTGTAATCCCAGCTACTCAAGAGGCTGAGGCAGGAAAATCGCTTGACCTGGGAGGCGGAGGTTGCAGTGAGCCGGGATTGCGCCATTGTACTCCAGCCTGGGTGACAGAACGAGACTCTGTCTCAAAAAAAAATTAAAAAACAAAGTGCCCAGGAAGTAGTGAAGAAGGGGTGAAGAGCTTTGCCATCTGGGAGTGAAGGGGAGGATCACAGAAAACGTGACATCAGAATTGGATCTTAAAGGAAGCACTGAGGTAGGAGCACAGCCGCTCATGCCTGTAATCCCAGCACTTCGGAAGTTGAGATGTGAAGATTGCTTGAGTTCCAGGAGGTCAGAGCTGCAGTGAGCCAAGATCATGCCACTGCATTCCAGCCTGGGTGACAGAGCCAGACCCTGTCTTGAAACAAAACAAAACAGAAAAAAAAGAGGTGTTGCTAAAGACATGGGCCCTTGAGAAGAACATTTTGTATCTGGAATTTGTGTCACCAGAGTTTGGGTGATGTGTTGGGTGGGGAGAGGAAAGGAGGACTGGGTAGATCAGGCTGCAAGGAAAGGGTTAGAGTTGGTTATCAAGGGCTTTCCGACCACATGAAGGAGGCTGAACTTTGTGGAGACAATTTTTTAAGCCACCCTAAGTAACATGATCACATCAGAAAAATCCTGTGTCAGCCATGTTGAGGGTGGATGGAGGGCAGGGAGTGACTGGTTTAGGAGGCTGCTAAATTGCCCAATCAAGAATTGCAAAATAGTGTCTACGTAAGGAGAGACAAAGCGGTTGATTTGAAAGATACTTAGGAGGAACAACAAACAATACTTGCTTCTCAGTATCTACCCCACCTTTTTGTGGTAACTGTCCCCTGCTTTGGGGACATCACCTTTTTTCACTTTTAGCCCTTATGCTTTAGGCTCGAGGCTCTATGGGGAGGACAAGTGACCTAGGCTAAGGCATTAACGCAGGCCACCTTTCCTGGAGTAGCACATGACATTAATAAATCTAATCAGGCCATCAAGACCTGTCCTAGGACTTTTGTTTTGTTTTGCATTGTTTTAAATAGAGACAAGGTCTCGCTTTGTTGCCCAGGCTGGTCTTAAATTCCCGGCCTCATACAATTCTCCTGCCTTGGCCCCCCAAAGTGCTGGGATTACAAGCATGAGCCACTGTGCCTATCTTTGTCCCAGGACTTTTGTAAGTGAACTCCCTCCTGCCGGACCAAGCTGCATAATGATGGGAGCCTGTGCTGCCTGGAGTTGCCATGGACCCAGGATGGAGCTGATCTGGGGGGAACTAGAGCCTATAGATGGATCCTAGTAGCATCTTTTGAGCCCAGAATTGAGCCATACCTTAGCTAGCTGTGCCTGTGGATTTATCATGAGCCAATGAGCCAGTGCTGGTGAGTTTTAAAAACTTTTTTTTTTTTTTTTGAGAGGAAGTCTCAGTCTGTCACCCAGGCTGGAGTGCAGTAGCGCGAACTCTGCTCACTGCAAGCAAGCTCCGCCTCCTGAGTTCAAGTGATTCTCCTGCCTCATCCTCCCAAGTAGCTGGGATTATAGGCAAGTGCCACCATGCCCGGCTAATTTTCATATTTTCTGTAGAGATGGAGTCAGAACTCCTAACCTCAGGTGATCCGCCCACCTCAGCCTCCCAAAGTGCTGGGATTACAGGCGTGAGCCACCGCGCCTGGCTTAAATACACTTTTTGATCTAATCCAGTTGGAGCTGGGTTTTCTGTTTAAACTGACTCCAAACTAAGAGTATTCACAGTACGTCCCTAATGATTAGCATTGGGAACAGGGATCATCTTTGAAATTCACTGCTCTTGGGCTGGTGTCTTGATGAGGATAGAAAACAAAACGATGTCCGTAGCCACTGTGGAGCCCCTCTTAGGGATCTGTGAACATCTTTCCTAATTTGCTGCGTTAGCAGAATCTAGGTATTAGAGACCTTAGAAGGAGTGGCTCCGAACAGTGACTGTCAGACATTGGGATCTCACAGATTTCACAGGGCAACAAAATTCCAAAGAAAAATCTTACATTCCAAACTGGAATTGCCAAGTTTAAATTTTGTTGGGTAGAAATGCAAACAAACAAAACCACTACTTTCTACCCTCTTCATAACATCATGAAAGAGCTAACACTGTCACACACCCACAAGCAGAAAAGGTAATGGGTAGCATTGAAAGATAGCCTTTATAAAATGAATATATTTGGCTTTGTGAAAGACTCCCTCATACTCATTTTTCTCATTTTGTCTCAGACATGTGCACGCTTTTCACTTGCAATACCAATCTGCTAACTGGCCTCGTGGAGAATCCTGTACCCCTCAGTAATCTGCCCCCAGCCCTCAGCGCCCATCCTCATCCCTGGGACAGGGAGCATCTGGATAACACAGGGTTCTAGGGGGCCCCAGCAGGAAGAATGAAGAGCTGAAGCCTAGTAGGAAAATTGAAGATCCCAGGGAAAGACCTCACTGTTTGGGAAGGGAGGATCTAGCCAGAGAAGCCAGGCAGGGAGCACGTAGAACATAGACAGGCTTGGAAAAAACCTCCCCTTCCCACCACTGGCAGAGCCCAAGCAGCTGTCTCCCCAGCCCACTGCCTGAATAGGGATGCACAGAGCTCTGAGCACAGAGCGCTTCCAATGCTGAGTCAACACGAAGGTCCTGGGAGAGGCTGGGGACTGCAAACAAGCAGGTTTCCCCCTCCAGAACAGTGACAGCCTTCTGGGGGACTCAGTGTCAACAGAGACTGGGGCGTGTACAGGAGCACGTACATGGCTCTGAAGGCTCCTGTGCTGCAGGGAACAGTGGCTCATTCAGGTTAGCTCCGGTGGGGGAGGGGTGTTGGTGTAACTGTGACGGGATAGGATTCTTTCCCGCTGCACCGCTCACTGGAGCAGGCGCTTACCCTTCCACCCCATCAAGCCAGGCTGGTAGAAAGGAGTCTTTGACCAGTAAAAGACTCTGGTTAGATAAATACACACTGTAGTTGTGCAGTCAATATCAGAAAGTGCTCTCAAGTTCCAGTCTGATGGACCTGAACATCCCAGCCCTTCCCCTAAACACACACACACAAACACACACACACACACACACACACACACACGTGTTGGAGACTGGATGGAACCAGTGGCTGATAGCAGGGACCCTGGGGTGGAGCACAAGGATAACGAGACCCAGGGGGATAACAAGGAGAGTGAAAAAAGCAGGGAGGAAGGCCAGCGGAGAGGGGCTTCCCCATGCCCAAATCCGGAGGCAGAATGGACTGATAGGAAACGCAATGAAAAAAGAAAAGTGCTGTTTTGCACCATGTCCTGCATGCACAAATTCACAAAAGAGCTTTTCTATTTTCTGGCAATAGCCTCAGTCTTTCCACTCTTCTGATGCTAAGGGCTGAGTTAAGGGATTATGTAAACATGTACAGGTGACATCAAGGGAGACAAAGAGTTCATGAACTAGAATCCTACTGCAGGAGGCCTCACGGAGTCTACAGCAAGAGTCAGTGACGGATTCAAAGAAGGGCCTTTGGCAAAAGGAAATCCTCAGGTCTTTGGTCAGGTGATCTGTCTGACCTTAACACAACACCACCTCTTTGCCCTTGTTAATTTCTTTCTGATGCTGCCAACACATATATCTCTCCCTTACATCCCACCCAAGCTTCCCAAGTAACTCCAAGGTCTGGCCAACTCTGGACAATTGTCTCAGTGGGACTCCAAAGGCCACAGTCTCTGGCCAGGCTACAAATCACCTGACCTCGGGCTAAGTGCCCATCAGCTGTGGCAGAGAATGGCAGGGGAGGGGACTTATGGCTGCCTTGGATGTGGTCATGTGAGTGCAGCAGTCTCCCTTAGGTGTGCAGGGCAGGCAACCTGATTGACATGTCTGGTTCAGCTTGCATGCGTCCAGCTCTGTCTCCAAGGTGGCTCTCCAAGGAGCTTGGAGCACTATTATGTCACCCCCAAGCGTTGTAGATTCCCAACCAATACACATCCAGTTATAGCTCTTGAACTTCATGTCTCTGAGGTCAAGTGTGGCTGAGTGACCTGAGATCTGACAGTCCCATGCTCCTGGGGGCCCAACTCCATATCAGAGAAGCTGGAGAACATATGTCAAGTCATATGCACTGTGTTCTTTATTGAGATAGAAGTGGGGTGGGGAGGGTAGCCCATAGGCAGAGAAGTGAAAGGAGGGAGGAGTGGGAGCCATCTATTTCCCAACTCTGCCTTTCCTCCCAGCTGATGATGGTGGGGGCGTGGCCACCAGCCATGGGATTAAGAAGGAAGACCCCCCACCCTTAGATACAAGCACAGTGCTGCGTGAGAAGGTTGGGCACTGTCTCATACTTGAAAGAGTAACCTCCATCCGAGGTGGTGCGGACATGTAGGGGCCTCATGGTCCCTGGGAGAGCAGCACAGCAGGGCTGGGCCCCTGGCAGCAAGGAGTAGGGCTGGGCTGGGGTAGGGGGAGCCCCAGGGACTGGAAGGGACAGGTTTGGTGGGATGTGCAGCCCACAACCACCATGACAGTAGTGGAAGATGAAACTGGGAGGGTACACGATCCACCGTTCCCAGCCCAGCTCCTGGAAGGAGATGTTCAGTGCTACTCTGTGGCAGTTGGCATGGGCAGCCGGTTCCTCCGGAGGCCTCTGCAGCAGGCGCAGAGCAGAGGGAGACCAAGGCCAGGACATCAGGGGAGTTGAGCGTCGGGCTCTCTCCCCTCCACTGGGTGGTCTGGTCCGAGTGTGGGCCACCAGGAAGGGCGTGGCCTCAGGCCGGGCTGAGCAGGTACAGAGGGGACAGCGCAGCAGCAGCACCAGGACGGGGTGGGTCAGCAGAGAGAGAGCAGAGGTGGCCAGGTGCAGCACGGCCCAGTGAGGGGGAGCATGGCCCAAAGACATGGGCACAGCCACGGGTCCTCCCGGTGACAGTGCCAGCAGGCCTAGCAGGGGCTCAGAGCTATTGGAGGCTGCTGTGCCCTGCCTGTCCAGCCCGGTGTGGAACCACAGCTGGGCTGAAGTCACCTGGCGGCTGCGTGTATGCTGGGATGGCCGGAACATGTATCTGAAGAGGCCCTCCTCAGCCTCCTGGGCCAGCCCTCTGGCAGCTGACTTGTCCTCACAGCTGGCATCTGCAGGAGACAGAAGAAAAGGGAGAGGGCAGCCCTGACTGGCAGGACCTGGCACCCCTCCTCTTCAGCAGGAGGGATGTGGCCACCAGTCATGAGCCAATGATGGGCTGCACTCTGCTCCACGCCCTCCGGGACGTGGGGACTCTCCTGAGTTTTGGGAGAGCTTCTGTAGGCTTCCCATTTTTTAATTTCATCATGAAGGGACTTAAAAAAATAGAAGACATTGCCAACTTCTCTCTGAAGTGGTTTTACCAATTAACATGCCCATCAGCAGTGTGTAAGAGGCCCTCTCTCCACTTCACCAGCACTAAGACTTTGTATTAGACTTCAATGCTTACTCACCAGATAGTGTGAAACAGTATCCTGAATGGTGTCTACATGGATGGTTGTTATATTCTTTTTTTTTTTTTTTTTTGAGACAGAGTCTTACTGTGTCACCCAGGCTGGAGTGCAGTGGCATGATCACGGCTCACTGCAGCGTCTACCTCCTGGGCTCAAGCAATCCTCCCACCTCAGCCTCCTGAGTAACTGAGACCACAGGCGTGTGCTACCACACCTAGCTAACTTTTGTGGGTTTTGTAGAGACAGGGTCTCGCTATGTTGCCCAGGCTGATCTCAAACTCCTGAGCTCAAGCAATCTGCCTGCCTTCACCTTCCAAAGTGCTGGGATTATAGGCGTGAGCCATCACACCCAGCCATATTACCATTTTTTTTTTTTTTTTGAGATGGAGTCTAGCTCTGTCGCCCAGGCTGGAGTGCAGTGGCGCCATCTCGGCTCACTGCAACCTCTGCCTTCCGCTCCGCCTCCCACGTTCAAGCAATTCTCCTGCCTCAGCTTCCCGAGTAGCTGGTGCCACCATGCCTGGCTAATTTTTTGTATTTTTAGTAGAGACGGGGTTCACCATGTTAGCCAGGATAGTCTCGATCTCTTGACCTTGTGATCCTCCTGCCTTGGCCTCCCAAAGTGCTGGGAGTACAGACGTGAGCCACCGCGCCCGGCCTATATTACTCTTTATATCTTTGGCATGTCAGGAATATTGTAGGATAAATTCTTTAAAATAATTCCATTTTTAAAAGACAGGTTTACACCAAAAAAAAAAAAAAAAGAAGAAGGAGGGAAAGGCAAGTGGGAAAGGGAAGAAAATGGAGAACAAGGAAGAGGGGGAAGAGAAGGAGGAGGGCTGTAACTCAGAACAGAGGGCAGTCCTTTCAAGAATGTGTAGTTAGCATCCTCACACTGACACACTCATAGACTATACTAATCATCCTGGAGCAGCACTCGTTCATGGACTGGCAATTGGAACTATACTGTTACATGGCTTCTCTCATTATCTAGTCACAATTGGTCCATTTTGCAGATAAGGAAACTGAGGCTTAGAGAGGTGAAATGACGTTCAACGACTAAGTGGCCAGGCTTGGATTTTGCCTGATCCCAAAGCCATCCTTCTCCCCACTGTGCTGCGAACGGACTGAAGTGAGGGAGGCAGGGGTCCTCTCTAAGAGAAAGGTGGACCAGATGACAAGAAAGCCCACCCACAGGAGGGCTTATCCATTCAGTCAGTGGAACAAGGGGGCACATATATGTTGAGACAGGAACTCAAGAGAAGATAGACTAGTTTTCCAGAAAAGTTTCCCAACTAATCTTTTGCCTGTATCTCTGATAGCTTCTCAGTGTCAGCTACCTGGGAGTAAAGAAACAGGGTTTGGAGCAGCGAGCAGAGGCAGAGATAGGAGGAAAGGTGGCAGGAAGGGGCTCAAGCCCAAATATCTCCATCTTTAGAGACCCCCGGTCTCCCAGCGCATACTTCCCAAATGCCTCCCACCTGCCATGCACTCTAGGTACAGCCTCTCACTTAATCCTGAGAGGTGGGCATTAGCCCATTTTACAGATGGGGAGACAGAAGCATAAGGAAGTTTAGTAACTGGCCTATTGCTGCAAAGCAACTGAGTAGCAGGACTAGGATTCAAACCCAGGTCCGCCTGGCCTGCAAACCCATGCTGTGCCTTGCTTTTTCTCAAAGTCATCCTGCCGGTTCCCCCACCCTCGTTACCTGTGGCTGGGAAAAGGATGGCTTGGGAGACATCCTCCTCTTCCTCGGGCTCAGAGCCCCTGTGTGTGAAGCCCCCCAGGGCATGTCTTCGGGGCAGCCGCCTGACTCCAGGGTCCCCACCTTCCCTGGTCACCGCGGGGGGCCCCAAGGCATCCAAGAACAGGGCCCTCACCTTGGCCAGAACAAGTTCCCGGGCCAGCTCCAGCCCCTGGCAGCTGTGCCCACCCTGTGGGGTCAGCAGCAAGAAGAGCAGTAGGTGCAGCACCATAGCTCACCTGGCCCTGCTAGTGGGGAACTCACACCCTGCCCCGTGCCCCTTCTGCCAGGGTCTGCCCAGGGCCTTTCCACTCTCCCCTCCCCATCCCACACCCACCCTCTTCTACCCTTCTCATCCAGTCTTCCCCAGTCCTTTCCACGCCCCACAGTCCGAGTTGCCCCTGCCCGTGGCATTGAGACCTCCTATCTCTGACGCAGATGTCTGTGGCCATGAGCCTTATCTCCCACTCCCGCCAGGGATGTGGGGGAGGGGCTGGGAAGGATTTCGCCTCAAGCGACCTGACTCACACATGCAAACATACAACACCTTCTCCCTACACACACACACACTCACACACACACTCACACACACACTCACACACACACAAATTCTCACACACACACACTCTCTCACACACACACACACAGACACATCCAGAGGTGACATCAGGTGGGACAGGAGCCTGGGAGCTGTAGCCGGCCAGCCCCAGAAAGTGTTATTTGTCAGGGAGACAAAGTGCATCACCCCTCAGACCTTCTGGGGCCCCTTTCAATAAGCAGCTGCTGGCCGGCCAGCCCTTGGGGGCAGGGCTGGAACCGGGGCTAGAACCGGGGCTAGGGCCGGGGGCAGGTGGTCCTGCCTGCTCTATACTTAGACCAGTGGAGCCAGTCTGGGCTCTTGTCCTCCAGCTGTGTCATCAGAGAATATTTTTGGGATTGGCAGCTGCAGGCGCCTCTGCCACTCAGGCCCAAGCCTGGCGGGCGGCTGGGGACCTGGCGGCTGGAGGTGGGAGGGAGGAGGGGGAAGAGGCCCAAGCTGTGGGAGGGGGCTGGGAAGAGAGGCTCCTAAGAGCAGGAAGCCAGGCAGCGGGCAGGGGAGGCTGCGGGGCCACTCGCTGGAGAGGCAAACAGGAAGGACTGCCCCCTGAGCGCCAGGCTTCGGGCCCGGGAATCGCCGCCGCCGCCGCCGCAGAGCTGCAGCTCGGGGCCGAGGGTAAGGAGGCGAGCCGGGAGCGGGAGGCCCGGGAGAGCTCCGCGGGTCCCCGCGCCCAGTCCCCAGCCGCGCCCCGACCCCGCCGCCCCGGGCCTCGGCTCGCCCTCCGCACCCCCCCCTGCCCCCCCACCGTTCGCCGCTGCAGGCGGTCGGCCGCCGCGATGAAGGCGAGCTCGGGGGATCAGGGGAGCCCCCCGTGCTTCCTGCGCTTCCCGCGGCCTGTGCGGGTGGTAAGTGGCGCCGAGGCCGAGCTCAAGTGCGTGGTCCTGGGGGAGCCGCCGCCTGTAGTGGTGTGGGAGAAGGGCGGGCAGCAGCTGGCGGCCTCGGAACGCCTGAGCTTCCCGGCGGACGGCGCGGAGCACGGCCTGCTGCTGACCGCCGCACTGCCCACCGACGCGGGGGTCTACGTGTGCCGCGCCCGCAACGCGGCCGGCGAGGCCTACGCGGCGGCCGCCGTCACCGTGCTGGAGCCGCCGGCCTCCGACCCCGAGCTGCAGCCCGCCGAGCGCCCGCTGCCATCGCCGGGGTCCGGGGAGGGCGCCCCGGTCTTCCTCACGGGGCCTCGATCCCAGTGGGTGCTGCGGGGGGCGGAGGTGGTGCTGACGTGCCGGGCGGGGGGCCTCCCCGAGCCCACACTGTACTGGGAGAAGGACGGGATGGCCCTGGACGAAGTGTGGGACAGCAGCCACTTCGCGCTCCAGCCGGGCCGCGCCGAGGACGGCCCCGGCGCGAGCCTGGCACTGCGCATCCTGGCGGCTCGGCTGCCGGATTCCGGCGTCTACGTGTGCCACGCCCGCAACGCGCACGGCCACGCGCAGGCGGGGGCGCTGCTCCAGGTGCACCAGCCCCCCGAGAGCCCGCCCGCGGACCCCGACGAGGCCCCCGCGCCGGTGGTGGAGCCGCTCAAGTGCGCGCCTAAGACCTTCTGGGTGAACGAGGGCAAGCACGCCAAGTTCCGCTGCTACGTGATGGGCAAGCCCGAGCCCGAGATCGAATGGCACTGGGAGGGCCGCCCGCTGCTCCCGGACCGCCGCCGCCTCATGTACCGCGACCGCGACGGCGGCTTCGTGCTCAAGGTGCTTTACTGCCAGGCCAAGGATCGTGGGCTCTACGTCTGCGCCGCGCGCAACTCGGCGGGCCAGACGCTCAGTGCCGTGCAGCTGCACGTGAAAGGTACGGCGGAGCCCGGGACCTAGGGAGGGGCCTCGAGTGTCCTCCGAGGCCCTCCGAACTCCAGCCCTCCTCGGTGCCCAGCGCTGCCCCCAAGACTGGAGGAGAGGTGGTCCGCGGGAATATTAAAATACCAAACCCGCCCGCCTCTCACTCCCCAGGGATTCGGATTTAGTAGGTCTCCAGGGTACTCAGGAACTTCTTAGCAAACTCCTTAAATGATTCCGAGGCAGATGGTGGAACACCACTAAGGAGTGATTGATGTACAAATCCGGAGGGCCCTAGAACTCTTCTTCCCTAGTGGTTTTCAACGTCTTTGTTATTTTACTCCTCCTTCCCCCACTGAATTCACAACCAGAGCCCCAATATATGAGACAGATAAAGGAGTAGTTTATGGGCGTAAATTGCTGAGTCTACGTATATAACAGGTACTTCTAAACCATCAGTGAGAATAAGGAGGCTATTTTATTGAATACAGGAATTTGAATTAAAGGCTGCATTCATGAGACCAGGCTCTGAACCCTGTGGGGACGGCCTGGCTGCATCTGTCACCTTGAGAAACAAGTGATTCAGTGGAAAGCTAGACTTGAGGGAGGACAAATGTCCTGCGTGTTTTTACTATTCTTTGATTAAACTGCTCCCCACGTTTGCAAGAAGAGGAAGGTGAAGGAGAGAAGGTTTATATTTCAAAGTTGAATCACCAACAATATCCAATAAATGGTTACATTCTCATAAACAGAAAATTCCAAAGGAAAAAAAAGCACACCCCAAACTCACCAGAAGGTAACGCTCCCCATAATAGGATTTCATCACAACGCAAAAGAGTACACCTTCACTAGTTATTGTCCAGTTTTTTCTCTTAGAGGAAAAAAAGTTGGTAAATTCTCCTGAGTCCTTCCTAGCATGCAGTCAAGCATGTTGCCCCCAGGCTGCGGTGGTGGCCTCACTGTTACAGTTCAATGCTCACAGATTCATCAGGTTGGTGCTGATCTGGACCTCCATCAGGAAAGAAAAGCCCGGAGGGAAGGCTAGAGGAGCTTCCCCGAGTTGCATACACACACGCACACAAAAACTTGCTTCTCCAGCAGCCCTAGTTAATCCTCTGATTTCCAACATCCTGTTTTCTTTTCTTTTCTTTTTTTTTTTTTGAAATACACTTTTGAAAAGGGTTAAAATAGCTAGGCACAGTGGCTCACCCTGTAATCCCAGCACTTTGGGAGACTAAGGTGGGCGGATCATTTGAGGTCAGGAGTTCGAGAACAGCCTGGCCAACATGGCAAAACCCCATCTCTACTAAAAATACAAAATCATTAGCCAGGCGTGGTGGCGCCTGCCTGTAATCCCAGCTCTACTTGAGAGGCTGAGGCACCAGAATTGCTTGAACCCAGGAGGTGGAGGTTGCAGTGAGCCGAGATTGCGCGACTGCACTCCAGCCTGGGCAACAGAGCGAGACTCCATCTCAAAAAAAAAAAGAGTTAAAATATTTTAAATTCTACTCAGACCCTTGCAGAATATGTGAAATGACTGGGGCGGGGGGAGCCAGGGAACAGTTTGGAAATCACCAATCTAGGGCCTGGAGGACCCCAGGGAACAGTTTGGAAATCATCAATCTGGTCCAACCCCTTCTCTCCCTTTCCCCATTTTACAAGTAAGGAGACTGAGGCCCAGAAGCATTGAAATGGACTTGCTTAAGGTGATGTGGCTAGTGTCAGGGCTGGATGAGAACTCAGGTCATCTTAGGAACCACCACTTCCCTTCTGGTAGTTTTCTGTGATTCCACAGTGCCCGCTGGCTCTGCATGAAGAGCACACAGCATGAGCTAATGCGCTTCTAGGTATCCTACTCCTAGTCTGGGCCTTCTCCAGAGCCCTCTCTTGTCTCTCTCTCCCCTCTCCACAGAGCCCCGCCTCCGGTTCACACGGCCCCTGCAGGACGTGGAGGGCCGTGAGCACGGGATTGCCGTGCTGGAATGTAAAGTACCCAACTCCCGCATCCCCACGGCCTGGTTCCGTGAGGACCAGCGGCTGCTGCCCTGCCGCAAGTACGAGCAGATCGAAGAGGGCACTGTCCGGCGCCTCATCATCCACAGGCTGAAGGCAGACGATGATGGTATCTACCTGTGCGAGATGCGGGGCCGGGTGCGCACCGTGGCCAACGTCACAGTCAAAGGTCAGCTGGCCCGTGGGGAAGAGGCTGAGGCGGAGGCAGGCAGGTGCTCAGATTCCAGGTTGATGGATTCCTGTCCGCATCTCAGGGCCCATCCTGAAGCGCCTGCCCCGGAAGCTCGACGTCCTGGAAGGAGAGAATGCTGTGCTGCTAGTGGAAACTCTAGAGGCCGGGGTCGAGGGACGCTGGAGCCGTGATGGGGAGGAGCTGCCGGTCATCTGCCAGAGCAGCTCAGGCCACATGCATGCCCTGGTCCTTCCAGGGGTCACCCGAGAGGATGCTGGCGAGGTCACCTTTAGCCTGGGCAACTCCCGTACCACTACGCTTCTCAGAGTAAAATGTGAGGGCAGGAAGGCCTCTGGACAGGCGAGGCAGGGCAGGAGGTTGGCCAGATGCCGGAGCTGGGTTGGTGAAGTAGATTTAAGGTGGAAGGGCTGTGGAGGCCCAAGCAAGGCCGGAACACATCCCTGCCTTGGTCTCAGGTGTCAAGCACAGTCCCCCAGGACCCCCCATATTGGCAGAGATGTTCAAGGGCCACAAGAACACGGTCCTGTTGACCTGGAAGCCTCCCGAGCCAGCTCCCGAGACCCCATTCATCTACCGGCTGGAGCGGCAGGAAGTGGGCTCTGAAGACTGGATTCAGTGCTTCAGCATCGAGAAAGCCGGAGCCGTGGAGGTGCCGGGCGACTGTGTGCCCTCCGAGGGTGACTACCGCTTCCGCATCTGCACAGTCAGCGGACATGGCCGTAGTCCCCACGTGGTGTTCCACGGTTCTGCTCACCTTGGTGAGTTGGTCCTGCCAGACCCACCCATCACTTCTCCTCCCTTCCCCAGCCCTCAGTGCTGGTCCTCTCACAGGCTTGCCATCCGCCAGCCTCTGCCCTCTGCCACACCTTCTAGTTCTGACAGCTGCACTCTGTCCCTGCCTCAGTGCCCACAGCTCGCCTGGTGGCAGGTCTGGAGGATGTGCAGGTATACGACGGGGAAGATGCCGTCTTCTCCCTCGATCTCTCCACCATCATCCAGGGTACCTGGTTCCTTAATGGGGAAGAGCTCAAGAGTAACGAGCCGGAGGGCCAGGTGGAACCTGGGGCCCTGCGGTACCGTATAGAGCAGAAGGGTCTGCAGCACAGACTCATCCTGCATGCCGTCAAGCACCAGGACAGCGGTGCCCTGGTCGGCTTCAGCTGCCCCGGCGTGCAGGACTCAGCTGCCCTCACAATCCAAGGTTGGTGCCAGTGGGGACCTGAGTGGGCAGAAAGGGTCAAGACACAGAAGTCCTGTTGGCAAAACGAGGCAGATGCTGTTTTTATTTCTTGTATCTGGGCCAGGAGAGCAAGGAGCATCCATGATGGGCTGAGGTTGAGGGCTCAGAGGTCCGGAAGGCCAATTTCAACCCACATGCAACATCCAGGGCACCCCTTGTTATCTTGATATATGTCAGCATCATATCCCAATTCTCTGGAGTGCTTTGTGGTTTACAGAATCCTGTCAGATTTGTCATCTCATTTGAAAGACACAGACCCTGGCTGCTAGTCCCTGCCTGCCTCCTGCCATGTTGTCTAATTGTTGACATTGTCATCGCAACTTTCTACGTGCCAGGCGCAGTCCTAATCACCTTACATACATTAACACAATCTTCTCAATGGCCCTATAAGATAGGTTCTTTTTTTTTTTTTGAGATAGAGTCTCACTCTGTCGCCCAGGCTGGAGTGCAATGGCGCGATCTCGGCTCACTGCAACCTCCACCTTGTGGGTTCAAGAGATTCTCCTGCCTCAGCCTCCCGAGTAGCTGGGACTACAGACATGCATCACCATGCCCGGCTTGTTTTTGTATTTTAGTAGAGATGGGGCTTCGCCATGTTGGCCAGGCTTATCTCAAACTTAAGATAGGTTCTTTTGACATTCCCATTTTATAGCTGGGGAAACAGGCAGATACGTTAAGTGACTTGCTCAAAGTACGGAGCTAATGAGCACAGGTGCTGAATTATGAACCCAGGCAGTCGGGCTCCTGATCACACTGTGCCACCTGTTGAAAGGGGGAAGGAGGGGAATGAGGCATCCCTGAGGAGAACAGCTGGAGGTGGGGCGCTCAAAGTTCAAGGATCACGCTAGCATTTGCCATGTCACCATTGCTGGAGTTTGTAAGACCAATCAAGGAATCTGTCGGCACCCATGCACGGGGTCTTGGGGTGATTCACTGTCAGCATCGCAGGCAGAGGGGCCAGGTGAGACCTGACCAGCAACCAGAGCAGCATTTCCAAAATGGGATCCCAGTTCACTGACATCAGAACCACCTGGAGGGCTGGTTTATAATGCAGATTTCCTGGCCCCTGCGTGCTTGGGAATCCAAGAATTCTGCATTTTTAGCAGGCTCCCTAGGAATTCTTATGCACAGCCAAAGCACTGCTCTTAAGGGTTGGTGTGGAAGCCTAAGCCTATTTTTAAAAACCCCAACAACAGCAGTTGTTCCCTCTGATGCATCCGACACTGAGCCCATGCACCGGAGGGAGGGGTGCTTATCTGTACTTCTCCCCACACAGAGAGCCCGGTGCACATCCTGAGCCCCCAGGACAGGGTGTCGTTGACCTTCACAACCTCAGAGCGGGTGGTGCTGACTTGTGAGCTCTCAAGGGTGGACTTCCCGGCAACCTGGTACAAGGATGGGCAGAAGGTGGAGGAGAGCGAGTTGCTGGTGGTGAAGATGGATGGGCGCAAACACCGTCTGATCCTGCCTGAGGCCAAAGTCCAGGACAGTGGCGAGTTTGAGTGCAGGACAGAAGGGGTCTCGGCCTTCTTCGGCGTCACTGTCCAAGGTCAGGAAGCATGCCAGCCTGGGCTCCTCCAGCCAAGGCTGATTGTGGGGCCGCATAAGCCATGCCCTCTGGTCTGCTGCCTACTTGGGGGAGTCCTTTACAGGGAGAGTCCAGTGGCCCAGGGGACATGTTTCAGATAACTCTGCACTTGCTTTTTTGTTTCTTGTTTTTTTTGGAGACAGGCTCTCACTCTGTTGCCCTGGCTGGAGGGCAGTGGCGTGATCTCAGCTCATTGCAACCTCCGCCTCCTGGGTTAAAGCGATTCTCTCACCTCAGCCTCCCAAGTAGCTGGGACTACAGGTGCGCGCCACCACGCCCAGCTAATTTTTTTATTATTTGGTAGAGACGGTTTCACTATGTTGGTTAGGTCACCCCTGACCTCAAATGATCTGCCCGCCTCAGCCTTCTAAAATGCTGGGATTATAGGTATGAGCCACCATGCCTGGCTTTCTTTCTTTCTTTCTTTTTTTAAGATGAGGGTCTCACTGTTGCCCAGGCTGGCCTTGAACTCCTGTGCTCAAACGATCCTCCTTCCTCAGCCTCCTGAGCAGCTGGGATTATAGGTGTGTGCCACGCACAGCGTGCCTTTGCCTCCTAAACCCCTGATACACTAACACTGTCTCGCTGTCCACATAGCCTCTGCTGGGTTGGGTGGGGGAACAAAATGCAATTAAGGGGAGGAGAGATGGGAGCAAACACTTTTTGGACACTTACTCTGAGCCAAGCACTATGCTAAGTATTTTCAATATACACTCTTTCATTTAATCTTCACAACTCGATGAGGGGCAATATATCTCCAGTTCACAGGCAAAGAAATGGAGGCTGTAAGAGGTTATGTGACCTCCGTCACACCATAGCTTGGCGACACACACAGGATTGTTCTGTTCCTGCTGCCTCAGATAGAGTCAAACAGAAGCATCGAGTGCAGTCACCCCGTGGTTCTCACAAGGCAGTCCGTAGGCTGGCTGCTTTAGGAAGCTCCTGGAAGCTGGTTATAAATCCCTGGACTGTCCAGAGCCCCAGTATCCAGGGTGGAGCCTGAAGATCCTTTCCTAACAAGTGCAGACTCTCTGAGAGAGCAGCTTGGGAACCATGGATCCCACTCATCTCACTGAGTGGGAGTCCTGTTTTCCACACTGTGGCCCCTGCCTGAATGCACCCAGTGACAGGGAACCCACTACCTGGAGAGTGGCTGTCTCACTGTTGCCACTTGTTGGATCATCCTTCACCTCCTGCCCACCCTGGGGTCTTTCTCGTAATAGAGGCAGTAAGCATGGCCCTGATGTGACTTGTGACAGTGACCTCCCTTCAGCCTAGACAAATGGTGGCTGCCACTCTGTGAACTCTCTGTGCTTCCTTCTCTCTATGTACTCACCCCGCCACCTCTGATCCTTTGGGGACCTACAGAGCACTCTGGTGCCACATGATCTCCTGCCATGCCTCACCTGCCATGCCCTCAGCATTCCTTGTCATTGTCCCTGAGTCCCTACACAGCAGGACCTTAGCCCTCCTCCAGTGTCCTCTTGTGCAGAAACAGTGTCTCCTGGCCACACAGCTAGTTTGGACTCATTGTGCGGGGGTGTCTGTGCAATGCCATCTCTGCTTCCCACCCAGATCCTCCCGTGCACATCGTGGACCCCCGAGAACATGTGTTCGTGCATGCCATAACTTCCGAGTGTGTCATGCTGGCCTGTGAGGTGGACCGAGAGGACGCCCCTGTGCGTTGGTACAAGGACGGGCAGGAGGTGGAGGAGAGTGACTTCGTGGTGCTGGAGAATGAGGGGCCCCATCGCCGCCTGGTGCTGCCCGCCACCCAGCCCTCAGACGGGGGCGAGTTTCAGTGCGTCGCTGGAGATGAGTGTGCCTACTTCACTGTCACCATCACAGGTGGGGGGCCAGGTGGGCCTCGGAGGCACAGGGGAAGGTGCCCCTGCTCCCACTGGAACAGCTGCCACACCTTCACTCCCAGGCCACTGTTCCCCGCCCCTACTGCCCTCCCCCTGGCAGATCGGACCTCCTCCCTTTCTCCTCAAGCTATGGTCTAGTCACATTCAGGAAACGTGTTATCATAAGCACATTGGTCTTGGCTAAGGAAGCCTGGCTTTCTCTATTCTCCTGAAAACCTGTACCAAGGGAAATCTCTGGGGACAGTGAGTCTATTGCAGGGTAGGGCAGAGTCTAGGGCTGGTGGTCTCAGGCACTAGGGGGGCAAAAACATCTTGGAGGAGGAGACCCCCAGCTCCTCCCCCCAACCCTCCTCTCATCAGTTCCACCCTTCATACCGTCCCTGTCCCAACCCAGAGAATGTGGAGCGTTTCTACAGCCGAGGCTGACCCCGTGGTCCCCTCTGTGCAGCTCCTGCGCAGCAGAAAGTCTGCTGTGCTTTTGTGACAGCTGTATTCGTGTGTCTCTAGCTGTGAGTAACTGTCAGCTGCTGTGAGATTTGGTCTCAGGAAGGTCCCTCTTCAACACATGGCCTACTTTCCAGGGGTAGGGAACACAACGGGGTCAGGGAGGACGGCAGGGCACACCCCTCATGCCCGGCAGTGGCTGTCCCTGTCCTCCAGACGTCTCCTCGTGGATCGTGTATCCCAGCGGCAAGGTGTATGTGGCAGCCGTGCGCCTGGAGCGTGTGGTGCTGACCTGTGAGCTATGCCGGCCCTGGGCAGAGGTGCGCTGGACCAAGGATGGAGAGGAGGTGGTGGAGAGCCCCGCGCTGCTCCTGCAGAAGGAAGACACTGTCCGCCGCCTGGTGCTGCCCGCTGTCCAGCTCGAGGACTCCGGCGAGTACTTGTGTGAAATTGACGATGAGTCGGCCTCCTTCACTGTCACCGTCACAGGTGTGGGCCCAGCCCAGCTCCCCGGGGTCACAGAGACAGCCCTGAGCCCTGGAGGAGCTGGCCACATAGCCCCAGCTAGCACCCCGGGGAGGAGGGAGGTGTGGGCTGCAGGTGCATGTGCCAGGGTTCTTGCTGAGATGAGCCCAGGGCCCCTATTCAAGGAAACAAGCCCCTCCCCGGTGCCCAAGGCCAGGCCTAGCTCTGCTCCACAGCTCATTTACTGAGCACTTTCCCTGAATCAGGCACTGGGAGTAGCAGGTGAGTAATGCAAATACGGTCCCTATTCTGAATGAGCTGCCAGGCTAGGTGAGGAGGCAGCTGTTAACCAGGGGTCGCAAACGGGTAGTCCTGGGGCCCTGCGCATTCCACACATGTGCTTTGTTTGGTCTGCAGAGTCTTACCAAAGTCAGGACAGTTCAAATAACAATCCGGAGTTATGCGTCCTCTTGAAAAAGCCGAAGACCCGGCGGCTCTGGTCCCGCTTCCCCCCATGGCGACGAACAGCTGGCACTGAGTAGCAGCTGCCCCCATAGTTTGGGGCCCACATTCCTCTGTCCCACCTCCCTGCCATTGCTTTTTGCCTCTCCCCAGACTGCTTCAGCCGCTAACCTAACCTGGCCCCTGTGGGCATTTGAGTTTGCGACCCCTGTGTTAAACCAATAAACATGCAAATAAATGTACAGTGACACCTGGTGATAAGTACTGTGAGGGCCAAGGGCAGAGGGCTCAAGAGCACAGAGCAGGAGGGTCAGGGAGGCCTGGGAGAAAGTCACCCTTCCACACACGGGAGCCAGCAGCACGCAGACACGGCCGCTTCCCTCTAGGACTGCACAGCCTGGCAGGAAAGCCAGACGCATTCCAGGATCTTAGAGCATGGGTTGTTGAGGGCCAGTCTAGGGACCCTGGGGCTGGGAGCCACCACCCTGGCCAGGCAACAGGAAGTGCTTTCAAAGCTGATACTGGAGCTAAGTGGGGTGGGGTGTGGGGGAATATTCAAAGCGGGAGAAGCACAGGACAACTGTGGAAGTGACGGAGGTTCAGTGCCGGAGACCTCGGGGTGACGGCTCACAGCGCCCAGCCCAGTGTGTGTCTGGGGCTGGGGGTCCATAGGGCTAGGCAGCTCTGGGGGGCACAGAACCCCAGTGGCTGCACTGGAGCCCCCATCCTACTGCGGCCACAGTCCTGTCCTCTCCCAGCCCTGCCCTGAAAGTCACGCCCCATGCAGAGCTGTTTAGGGCCCCCCTGCTCCTTGCACCCCAGCTAATGCACTCTACACACACAAGCCCACAATGCCTAAGAGGCCTTCTGCACATATTCTGCCCTGTCGTAATCATCTTCACCCTCTCCCACCCAGCCATGGCCAGACAGAATGGCCACAGCCACACAAACTCCAGCCCATGCTCAGGCTCCCCACAAACACCAGTCTCTTCACAGGGAAGTTCACACAAACACCACCTCTGCTCTAGGCCAGAGCGAATCAAGTCTGACACCAAGCTGAGGTCCCGGGGCTGGGCAGCCACCCGGTCCCATCACTGCACCCTGTCCTCACCCCACTGCCCTCATCACCTTCCCCACTCCTCAGGCAGCTGCATTCTGGTCTCTCCTGGCCTTGCTCGGCCCCAGAGGACCAGCCTGCATCCCCCAGACCCTTAGAGCAAGCAAGCCCATGGGGGAGGTGGGTTGTGTGGCTCAAGGCAGGAGTCTCCGTGGAGGCTGGGGGGCTGAGTGGGAGCTTGTGGTTACCTCGGCCCATGCATGCCCCTATAAACCACCCCCAGCCCCCACCCCCCCAACCCTGGCCCCTGATTGGGAAGCTAGCAGTTCCTCAGCCCAGCCACCAGGGGGCCAGAGGCTAATGGAGCAGTAGTCGCCCCAAAACTTGAAGATTCTGGGGGGACCTGGGGGCAGCAGGGGTGTGGGCAGGCCTGGGCTCCATGCGCTGGTCACCTCTAATATTGACATGGTTCCCTTTCTGCAGAGGAGTGACCAGAACTTGGAGATGAGCTCCCAGAATCAGCATTTAGCACCCCTGGGGAACTCTCAGACAGACGTTGAATGCAAAAAGCATTACTGAGTTCCTGCAAGCCTTGGCTTGGAATTCCTGCCACTACCTGTGGGGTCTGAGCCTCCCTTTAACAGAGGGTATTTCCTCCTCCTGCCCCAGAGTGGGTGTAGCCAGCTGTGACCTTAAGGAAGTTGTATAATCACTCTGTGCCCAGTCCCTTATATGGAAAATGGGGACAAAACACTACCTTCCTCTTAGGATTGCCGTGAGAGTTAAATGTTTCAAGTGCTTGGGACTGTTCCTGGACCTTAGGAAGTGTCATATCAATGTTTGCTATTGTAGATCCACCATCCCTTATCCATGGTTCCAAAATTCCAAAACTCTCAAAATCAAAAGGCTTTTTGTAAGTTTTGTATTCCAAGTCATTTCAGGAAAACCTGAGCTTGATTGCTCTGAAGCTATTTCTATGCTTTAATTATCCTGCTGAGGGTGAATATAGCTATAGCTGTATATCTATAAGATATGAGTGTCTTATAGATATATGCTTGTATCTGTAAGATTCTGTATCTTTCAATCTATCCTGCTTAGGGTGAATGTAGTATGTGTTATACCACAGACATGTTAACGTGACCGATGAAGGGGGAGGCTCCCGTGGGGGCTGAGGAAGGTATGTGATAGATGAGAAACGCATCATTTCTGGAATCCAAAGCATTCTGGATTCTGTAACACCCTCTGGCCCCAGGGATTTCAGAGAACAAACTGTGGACCTATTATTGCTTATTATTATTTTACTTATTATTCTCATTATTATGTGGGTGATAGGGACTTCATGCTGCCGAATGGCTCCAGAGAGGCTGACGGTGAGCTTGTGACAGGCTGTGGTTGTCCCCACCCTGCAGAACCCCCAGTGCGGATCATATACCCTCGCGATGAGGTGACCTTGATCGCCGTGACCTTGGAGTGTGTGGTGCTGATGTGTGAACTGTCTCGGGAGGATGCCCCTGTGCGCTGGTACAAGGATGGGCTGGAAGTGGAGGAGAGCGAGGCCCTGGTGCTGGAGAGGGATGGGCCACGCTGCCGCCTGGTGCTACCTGCTGCTCAGCCCGAGGACGGGGGCGAGTTTGTATGTGATGCTGGAGATGACTCGGCCTTCTTCACTGTCACTGTCACAGGTGGGCAGTCTCTGCAGCACAGAGAGGAGGTAGAGAGGTAGGGGGCTAAGGGACAGACACCCACCTAGCCCCACCTCCCCCACCCCATCCCCAGCCTTCCCCTTATCCAGCTTCCTCATGTTTGGCCATCAGAATCCTGCTTAGCCACATCAGGTCAGGACCAGAGGCCTGGTGGGAGGGTGCCCAGCAATTAGAACCATTCGTTCATTCATCCATTCGTTCAATACTCATTGAGCAACTACTATGTGCTTGGCACTGTTTTAGATGCTGGGGATACAGCAGTGAACCAATAAGACTAAACCTCTTGTCTTCACAGAGTTTAAACTCTGGTGAGGGTGGACAGACAAAAAATAAAAGAGATGGTTTGTCAGGTGGTAACAAGTGCATCAGAGGCAAGGCAGGGAAAGGGGATAGGAAGTGGGGATGGGTGTGGAGTGGGGTGTGTAGATCTGGGTGTGAGTCTAGATCTGCCTCTTTCTGTCTGTGTGACCTTAGGCAAGTCAGTTTCTTCTAAAGAGGCCTCAGGTCCTCAGCCATGAAGTGCAGCCAGCAGCTGTGCACCTCTTGAGGGTGGTCAGAGTAACTGATTGAAAAAACACAGGGTTCTTAGGACAGTGCCTGGCACACAGCAGCTGCTCCATGGACTGCAGCTGGCACTGTTCTCAAGAGCTGTGCTGCCAGTGGGGAGGGCTGAGGATCTGGCGGGTGAGGCAGGAGAGGCCTGCTGGCCAAGCCTATGTGCCCCTCTCCATGCCCACCCACCAGCCCCACCAGAGAGGATTGTGCACCCGGCAGCCCGCTCCCTGGATCTGCATTTTGGGGCTCCAGGGCGCGTGGAGCTGCGCTGTGAGGTGGCCCCAGCTGGGTCTCAGGTGCGCTGGTACAAGGACGGGCTGGAAGTGGAGGCATCAGATGCCCTGCAGCTGGGTGCCGAGGGGCCCACCCGCACCCTGACCCTGCCCCACGCCCAGCCTGAGGACGCCGGGGAGTATGTGTGTGAGACCCGGCATGAGGCCATCACCTTCAATGTCATCCTGGCTGGTGGGTGCTCCTGGCCAACCCAGGGCAGGGAGGCAAGGGCAAGCATGGGATGACACCTTCCTCTCTTCTCCAGAGCCTCCAGTGCAGTTCCTTGCTCTAGAGACAACTCCAAGCCCGCTCTGTGTGGCCCCTGGGGAGCCAGTGGTGCTGAGCTGTGAACTGTCCCGGGCTGGCGCCCCCGTGGTCTGGAGCCACAATGGGAGGCCCGTGCAGGAGGGCGAGGGCCTAGAGCTCCATGCCGAGGGCCCCCGCCGAGTCCTCTGCATCCAGGCTGCAGGCCCAGCCCATGCAGGGCTCTACACCTGCCAGTCTGGAGCAGCCCCCGGAGCCCCAAGCCTCAGCTTCACCGTCCAGGTGGCTGGTGAGTACAGCCTGGGCATTAAGCCTGAGAGTGGCACCAAGCCTGAGAGTGGCACCCCAAACTCTGCGGGATTCCTGCTTTTCCAGCATGCCTTGCCCATCCCTGGCCCCACTTCTCTCAGTACCTTCCCCGTCATGCCTCCCCGTGCCCTCCTCAAAGCCCTGAGCCTCTCCCTCCCAGTGACCTCCAGCTCTGACTCCACAGAGCCCCCTGTGCGGGTGGTAGCTCCCGAGGCAGCCCAGACGAGGGTTCGGAGCACCCCAGGCGGGGACCTAGAGCTGGTGGTGCACCTCTCCGGGCCAGGGGGCCCTGTACGCTGGTACAAGGACGGGGAGCGACTGGCAAGCCAGGGGCGGGTGCAGCTGGAGCAGGCCGGGGCCAGGCAGGTGCTGCGGGTGCAGGGGGCACGGAGCGGGGACGCTGGGGAGTACCTGTGCGATGCGCCCCAGGACAGCCGCATCTTCCTTGTCAGCGTGGAAGGTAACAGTGTACCCCTCACACCCTGTGGGCTGTGGCACCCCAAGGACCATCTGCCACTTTCTAGGGCCCCCTTACTCCTCCACCCCCGCTTTGCTGCTTCTGGCTCCAACCAGTGCGTGCATGACCATCACTTGGATAGGGGCTCAGGGCTCCTCTTTCCAGAAACCCTCATGTTGAGAGCAGCATAAACCAGTGGTTAAAAGCAGGGGCTCTAGAGTCCACCCAGCCAGGTTCCAGCCTAGATTCTGTGCCCCAGTAGCTGTGTGACATTGGCCAAGTTGTTCAACCTGTCTGAGCCCCGGCTCTGAAAAGAGGGGATAGTGCTTTTCTTATAGGCCTGTTGTGACAAGTAAATGCTGTAAATAGGGTCCCTGGTAATTGATATTATTAGGGTGCCACCAAGGTGGGGTGCTAGGCTAGGATTATGAGGAACTGACTAAAAGGAGTGGCAGGGAGCTGGCATCTTGTCCTTTGGGCCATCGGTGTGGTCGATACATAGTAGGTCCTCACAGAAGGTCTGTTAAATGACTGGGGACGAGGGCCTGCATCCTGAGGAGGGGATGAAAAGGAGAGAGAAGAAAAGACTCAGCCCAGCTCACTGCCTTACCGTGCCCCTTAGAGCCACTGCTGGTGAAGCTGGTCTCGGAGCTGACACCACTCACTGTCCACGAGGGCGATGATGCCACGTTCCGGTGTGAAGTCTCCCCACCAGATGCCGATGTCACCTGGCTGCGCAATGGGGCCGTCGTCACTCCAGGGCCCCAGGTGGAGATGGCCCAGAATGGTTCAAGCCGCATCTTAACCTTGCGAGGCTGCCAACTGGGGGATGCAGGGACCGTGACTTTGCGGGCAGGGAGCACGGCCACAAGTGCCCGGCTCCATGTTCGAGGTTAGGTCCTGATGAGGATGAGATACTCTGTGTCCCGTGCCTGTACTCCCAACCAGGATTCCAGCAGCCTTGCCTCTCCACCTAGGGACAGACCAGTGGGATGGAGCAAGGGGCCAGCCTCCAACCCCACCAGACTCCATGGCCTCCTTCTTCCCCACCAGAGACAGAGCTGCTGTTCCTACGGCGGTTGCAGGATGTGCGGGCAGAGGAAGGCCAGGATGTGTGTCTCGAAGTGGAGACAGGCCGAGTGGGTGCAGCGGGGGCCGTGCGCTGGGTGCGAGGTGGGCAGCCCCTGCCCCACGACTCTCGCCTGTCCATGGCCCAGGATGGGCACATCCACCGCCTCTTCATCCATGGTGTCATACTGGCCGACCAGGGCACCTACGGCTGCGAGAGCCACCACGATCGCACCCTGGCCAGGCTCAGCGTGAGGCGTGAGTGCCCCGTCCTCTCTTAATGCATTACCCACCCTACACCACAGCCTTTTCTGGCTGTCCTGGAGTCCCTCAGGCCCCCACCAAAGTGCCCCTCATCGCTGAGAAAAGTCACCCATGGCCGTCCCAGCAGCAGCTTGCCCAAAGCAAAACTTTTCTTTTTCTAATATTTTTTATTTACCTTAGAAGTCCATGTGGATTTTGCATTCCATTGCATATTTCCAAGTCGGCTTTGCTATAAACACAAATATTCTCCAGAAAGACTTGCCATGGGCATCCTTCAGGCATGTATTCTAGGGATACACATACCCACTTAAGTAGCAGGGATGGCTGTCAAACAGCACCCCACACCTCCCACCCAAAGCTGGAGCCCTCTGTTTCCTATGTGACCTCATGCAAGTTAACCTCTTTGAGCCAAGTCTCCTTAAAAATGGGGCTGAGACCAGGTGCAGTGGCTCACGCCTATAATCCTAACACTTTGGGAGGCCAAGGCAGGAGGATCCCTTGAGGCCAGGAGTTCGAGGCCATCCTGGGCAACATAGCAAGAACCCATCTCCACAAAAAAAAATAAAAATTAGCCGGGCATGGTAGTTACTAGGGAGGCTGAGGCAGAAGGATTGCTTGAACCCAGGAGGTTGAGGCTATAGTGAGCTATGATCATGTCACGGCATTCCAGCCTGGGTGACAGCAAGACCCTGTCTCAAATTTTAAAAATGGGGTTGATCCCCGTCTCAAGTGTCTCTGGGAACATTAACTGAGATAACATGAAAATTCTTACACAGAGCTTGGTGAATGGTTGTCATTTGTGACACATCTCTTCTAACTTATTTCATTCAAGAAATCATCACAATAAACCTGTGTCCCAATGTTATTCACCTTGTACAGCTGGGGCAACTGGGGTCCAGAGAGGTCAGGCCATTTGCCAAAGATCACATAGCACACAAACTATGTGGTAGAGCGAGGTTCCATTCCTAGTGTGTCTGACTCCAAATTCCGTGCTCCTTCAAGTGTCACAGCACCCCTCACCCAGACTCCACGACCCCCTAACCACACTTCTCCCCCTTCCTGTGCCCTCATCTCCTAACCCTGATACAGCCCTCCCCCCGCCAAATCTGTCCACCGTGCTCCTTTCTTCCTGCACCCTGGTTCCGAACTTTTTTGGTCAGGACCTTAGGTTGGGTGTTCAGGGGTGTAGGCAGGGCCAAGGGATGAGGATTGACTGCAACCCCTGCCCAGAGCTGGAGGCCTCATCCTCCCTCTCTCCATCTCCCCCGGCCAGCGAGGCAGCTGAGGGTGCTGCGGCCTCTGGAGGACGTGACCATCAGTGAGGGGGGCAGTGCCACCTTCCAGCTGGAGCTGTCCCAGGAAGGTGTGACCGGGGAGTGGGCCCGGGGTGGAGTACAGCTGTATCCAGGACCCAAGTGTCACATCCACTCGGACGGCCACCGTCACCGACTGGTACTCAATGGCCTGGGCCTGGCCGACTCAGGCTGTGTCTCCTTCACAGCGGATTCCCTGCGCTGCGCAGCCAGACTCATTGTGAGAGGTGTGGCCTCCAGGACCACAGCCTGCCTGCTGACCTGTGTGGCCCTACTTACCCCAGGCATGAATACTGACCCCCAACTCGTGTGACCCCCACTGACCATGCCTGTCTCAGTGTGGCCCTCATTGACATCCCTGCCAGAGTGTGATCCCCCTGACTCATAGGCCCTGTGTGGCCCCAGAGTCCTCTGCCTGGGTGTGGCCCCTGACTGCCCAAGGCTCAGCCAACCACTGACTCTGCTACCAAGAGCATGCCTTTGCCATTGTGGTCACTGCTGTCTGCCCGCCTGCACACCACCCCACTGACCACTCTAACTGTGACCCTACTGGCTACACTGTCTGCCGTGGCTCCCTCTGCCCGCCTAAGTGTGGGCCCCGTGACCACTCCAGTCCCTTGAATCCACTGACTGCCTACGGGCGACATCACTAGCAAGTCTGCTTGAGTGTCCCCCATTTTTACTTCCAGTCCCAGGATGTTCCCACTGACCACTCCACTGGCATCTCTGCTTGTTTCCCCATTGCCCTCTGGCCCCCAGCTTCTCCCCCACTGACCACCTTAAAGTGTGACTCCCAGTTGGCCACTCCTAACCCATTGGCCCTGTGGCCCTGCCCACCTACATCCCCCCCACCCCCACCACTGACAGATCCTTCTTGGACCACTTGTCCCAGCTCGAACCCCACTCGCTAGTGTCCTCTACTGCCTGTTGTGCCCAAGTGTATGTCCTCCTTGTCCCTGCAAGATGGGTCCCCATCCTGCTCCCTCTGCACTGTCCTCCCTCTCCCACCCCCAGAGGTCCCAGTGACCATCGTGCGGGGGCCACACGACCTAGAGGTGACCGAGGGCGACACAGCTACGTTCGAGTGCGAGCTTTCCCAAGCTTTGGCTGATGTTACCTGGGAGAAGGTCAGATCCCAGCCCCAGCCAAGCCCACTTCAGTGTAACACCAACGATAATAATGCCCCAGACAGAAACAGCTAATATTCCTTGAGCGGATGTGCCTGGCACTGTGCTAAGATTTGCATTATATTTAATCCCTTACTCCAAGGACAACTCTAGGAGGTAGGTCTTGTCACTGTAATACCTATCAGGAAACTGATGCTCAGTGGGAAAAATTACCTACCCAAGGGCAGACAACAGGTAGAGCCCATATTCGAATCCAGGTTTGCCTAACTCCAGAATCCGTGCCCATGTCCCCTGTGATCGATACCTGGCTCTGGGCTTCCCGAGTGCCTTGGCGGCCCTAAGGTCCCCAAAGGGTGACGCTTTTTCAAAGAGGCTCCTGGCACGACCCCAAAGGCTTGGGGACAGTCCGACCCCAGCCTGGGAACACGAGACACGCATAAACGCGCCTCGAGACCGCTTGGCATCAACAAAGGGTGCGCCGCCTGCCAGGGCCGGGGTCGCCTGTGCCCAGCCGGGCTCGCCCCGACCCTCTGCAACTCCCGCCCCTAGGACGGGAACGCGCTTACGCCTAGCCCGCGGCTCCGGCTCCAGGCCCTCGGCACGCGCCGCCTTCTCCAGCTGCGACGCTGCGGCCCCTCGGACGCCGGGACCTACAGCTGCGCGGTGGGGACGGCCCGCGCCGGACCGGTCCGCCTGACCGTGCGCGGTGGGTACGGGGTGATGTGGAGGCTGGGCACTGCTTTGGGCGCGAGACTTGCGGAGCTGTCTTCCCCGGACCCTGATGACCGCGCGTGCTTCTAGAAAGGGGGCGTGGAGGGGGCGTGACCGGTAACTGCCCTCTGCCCCGCCCCGCTCACGCCCCGGGCTCCGCCCCAGAGCGTACTGTGGCGGTACTCTCCGAGCTGCGGTCGGTGAGCGCCCGCGAAGGCGACGGCGCTACGTTCGAGTGCACCGTGTCGGAGGTCGAGACCACGGGGCGCTGGGAGCTCGGAGGCCGCCCGCTGAGACCCGGAGCCCGCGTCCGCATCCGACAGGAAGGTCTGCCCGCCTGGTTACCCTTTCGGGCCCCTCGCTGCCCCGCCCAGGCTCGAACAGATCCCGCCCCACCGGGACAAGCCCCGCCCCTGGCTCCGACGGGCCCCGCCCCACGGCCCTGTGAGCCTCGTCCCTGTTCTTTCCCCCGCCCCCAGCCCCTAGTCCCGGACCTCTAGGCTTCCCGCTCCGCATCCCTGTTCCGCCCACCCTAGCATACACTAACGGCGTCCGAACCGACCCAGGGGCCTGCTGGGCCCCCACCTTCGTCCCCAACGCTCCTCAGAGGTGGCTCCGGCCTCGCTAGCGACCCCCTCACCCCCAGGGAAGAAACACATTCTGGTGCTTAGCGAGCTGCGCGCCGAGGACGCCGGTGAAGTCCGCTTCCAGGCGGGGCCCGCCCAGTCCCTGGCTCTACTGGAAGTGGAGGGTAAGCACCTGGGGTGGGAGCGACAGAGAGTGTACATCCTGTCTCTCCTGCCATGGGACTGACGGACTTGGGGCTGGCCCCAAGAACGCTGCCTCTCTCTTCCCTTCCCCCCGAGGGGCTCTCCTGGGCCGGGTCACAGAGGGCAGCGCGTTTCCCCGGCAAGAGGAGACTTTGGGTCTGAGGTGCAAGGGAACGGACTGGTGGCATAGAGGGCTAAGGCCAGGAGTGGAGACTTCAGGGAGGGAAGATGCATCTCTCCTCCTGGGGGCCATGCGTGTCCCTATTAACTTAAGCCCCCGCCCCCTACCCCCAGCATTGCCTCTCCAGATGTGCCGCCACCCCCCTCGCGAGAAGACCGTTCTGGTGGGCCGCCGGGCGGTGCTGGAGGTGACTGTGTCCCGCTCGGGGGGCCACGTGTGCTGGCTGCGGGAGGGGGCCGAGCTGTGCCCGGGAGATAAGTATGAGATGCGCAGCCACGGCCCCACCCACAGCCTGGTCATCCATGACGTTCGACCTGAGGACCAAGGCACTTACTGCTGCCAGGCCGGCCAGGACAGCACCCACACACGGCTGCTGGTAGAGGGTGAGTAAAGCCAACTGGGCAGCGGCAGGAGGGTGAGGGCGCCTGGGAGCTGATGGGTTAAGCCACACCTATGGGAGGCTTTCCAGAACTTGGGGTGGCAACGGGTCCTGGGATACGTAGGAGGTGGGGATGGGGGAGGGGAGGGGTAGAGCACACCCAGGGCTGGAAAGCCCTGGAACTGCTTGGCTCAGATCAGCTGCTCCTGGTCAGCTGTTCCCACCTTTCTACGCCCCTTCTTGCCAGGCTTCTCCTCTCTCCTGCCACTGGACCATGTTTGTCTCTCTTGAACAGCCCTGTTTCTACCAGTTCCTTTCCTCCCCACTTCACCAACACTGCCTTCCTCCAGCCTGTCCCTCCTCCTTCCTGCCCTCTGCCCAGCTTGCCTCTGCCCATCTCAGCAAGTTCCATGTCAGCCTTGGCAGAAGCCTCTTTCTTTCCTCTTCCCCATAAGAGACATCCCACCTTCTATCCCAAATCCCAGCATTCCCTTCAGGTGCCGCGCTGTGCCCCACCCCTAGCTGACCCCCACCTTCCTGCCGCCAAGACAGCCCTAACCAAGGCCCAGAAAGGGTAGGGCAGAACCTGGGGGCCCAGCTCTTTGTGTACTGGTGTCCAGGCTCTGCCAGGGGAGAGGAAGGTGGTACCCCCTTCTCTCCCCAGCCCCATGTGGAGTCATTCCTCTGCAGGCAACTAGGAGAACCTAACCAGGCCAGGCGGGTGCCCTTGGACAGCTTGGAAGGCGTTTGCCCTTACCCTGGGCAGGGGTAGAGAGACAAGGAACAATAAAAGTGCTACAGCTCATTTCCTTGCCTCTCTGAGTGATGTGGGGGGGCAGACCTTGCCTGGAGCCCCTGTGCAGTGAGCGACACTGGGGACCGAGGGCTGTAGTGCTTGTACCTGGCCCATGAAAGTGCCAGCCACCAAAGACCACCATTCCTGGCAGAGGCCACACAGTTTGGCACATTTATAAAAGATGTAAAACAGAGTGGGGTGGGGGAGACAGAAGCATGAGGTGTCTAGGTTGGCATGACAGACACCAGACATGCACCGTGCATTTAAACCCCTCCCCAACTCCCTTCCCAACCCAGCCCAGAGCAGCACCCCCCCACCCCCATCTCCTGCCACTGCCCTCAGGCTGGTGGCTTTACAGAGGCCAGGGGACCAGGGTGAGGGATGCTACAGTTTGCCCCATAGACAAGGACAAGAACCCTTAGATGAGTCTGGCTGCGAGGCAGGGCGATGGGAAGGAAGGTAGCCCCTCCGCGGAGACATGCAGGAGGTGGCCCATGGGACCTTGGCAGGGAGTGAAGAGGTGGGGCTGAGCCTGGAGAAACCCTACCAGTCAGAAATCTAAGGCAAGGGTCCCAGCGTCCCCTCCAAGCCTGCCCACCCCCACACACATACACACAGACACACGGGCAACACACTCACAACCCTGAGCACACCCCAATGGGGTTCACACCCCGAGTTCCTCAGGAGCCTCTTGGGAGCTTGGGAGGGGGCTTTCCTCTCAGGCCAAGACTCGCCTGAGACAATCCTCCCTTCTAGTGACCAGGCCAGCCCTCTCCAGGCTGGGGAGAGGGACAGCCAAAGCCAGGAGGCTGAGTGGCAGCCTAGCAGGCCTCCTCGAGCTGGCAGAGCTGGTGACTGCAGAGTCTAGACAGACAGATATGGCTATACCCGCACTGGGGGGCCTGAGCAGGCTGTCAGAGGTCCCCGGGACCCATACTCATAGTCCGCATCTGTGGGTGAGGCCATGAAGGAGCTCAGGGAGCTCCCGGTCTGCCGGTCTCGGAAGCTCTGGATATAGCTCTGTGGGGGAGCAAACATAGGTGTGAGTCCCACCGCAGAATCCTGCCCTAAAAGCCACCTCTTCCTGAATTCCCACAAGCCTGACACTTCTATAGACTGCCATAGACCCAGAGTCCACAGCCCTGAGACCCCACCACATACCATATCCCACTTAAAACCCATACTCAGGAACCTTTCCCCCAATTCCCCCACCAGCTGGACCCGCCAAGCCCCTGGTGCATGGGCTCCGATGCATGGACAAACAGTTCATGGACAAACAGGCCTTCTAGATAGCAACCAGCCCGTGGGGAAAGCCCAGTCCTGTTTGGAAAGAGTTTCCACACTTCCTTCTCATTCTGGCTGGATGGGCTCAGGGAGCTCACCGGGGAGAGGACGTCTCCATTGAAGCGTTTGATGGGCACTGGCCTGCGCCGATAAGCAGGGTCTGGTGGCCCAGGCCTGGGAGGAGCCCGGGGACCTCTGAGGGGAGCCCGAGGAGGTCTCTTTTTCCGCCTTTTCTCCTTGCGATCTTCCTGCTGCCGAATCCGCATCAGTTGCACGCGTCGGCGCTGCCGGCTGATGACCACTGTGGTGGGATGGGTAGAGAAGGAGCTCAGAGGACGGTGCGCCTTGTTTCCCTTGAGCCCTCCCTCTCTCATCCCACCTGTGGCTCTAGGCTTCCAGATTCCTCTTGTCCATAACCCCTTACTCCCACCCTGTCACTTCCTTTCCTGGTCTCCTACCTCTCAGAGGAGACTTCCCGCTGTTGTTCTTTTCTTCCATAGGTCTTTATGGAAGGTTGCTAGGCTTCCAGGTACCCCCTTCCAGGCTGTCATCCCTCTCCCAATCACCTAGGCCAGCCATCATCATCTTTCCACTGGACAATCACAGCTGCTTCTTCACTGGTTTCCCCCTACACTTGCTCCCTCCAATGCTTTCTACACTCGGCAGCAGAATGAGCATCCCAAAAGCTAAATTAGATTCTATCCTCCCCTACTTTAAACTCTCCAGTGGTTTAAAGTCTTATTGCCCTTCTAATAAAATGTGGAGTGCTTCTTATGACCCAGAGGGTCCACGCAATCACTCTGGCTCCCACACCTCACCTCCCATACTCCTGCCCCACTTCCTCAAGCAAGCTGAGCTCATTCCTTCTCAGGGCCCTCGCCCTTGCTGTTCCCTCTTCTCTAGCTCTTTGCATGGCTGGCCCCTTAGCCTTCAAGTGCCTGCTTACATATCACCTCCTTCAAGCAGCCTTCCCTGACCACCCTAACTCTAATAGCTTCCATAGGTCATTCTTTCACATTATCCTGCACAATGTCTCTGTCATATCACTCTACACAACTGGAATCATGTTTGTTTGCATCTCTGTTATCTGTCTCCTGCCTGCCTTGAATCCATAAGGACAGGAACCTTGTCTGTGTTATCTCTGCTGTATCCCTGGTGCCTGGAATGGGGTTGGTGCGGAGCCAGCACTCCATATGTTGTTGTGGAATGAATGATGGCACCTGGGTGCTATCCTCCCAGACCCTGAGCAAGTCAGCTCTCTACCGCCATCGAGGCCTTCTGCTGCTGTCCCCCACTCCCCAGTCACTTGGCCCCCAACCCATCCCTGGCCACCCACTCCTCTCATGTCCACCTTGGCCTGTGCCCCCTTACCTTCCGTGTGGGAGTCCCCCTCAGCTGTCACCCTCCACTGCACCAGAACGCCCATCAGGCTGAGCAGGGGCCAGAGTGCCAGCAGGGCCCAGCTTCGCCAGCAGAGTGGGGGCACAGGAGCAGCCCGGAGTCGCTCCACCACGTAGCGCCCCAGCAGTAGCAGCTCGGCGAAGTAGTCAGCGGCAGTGGCGATCAGCGCAGCACCAGTCACGGCGGTGGCCAGGGTGGTGAGTGGGCGGGGCCAGCGCAGAGTGAGCAGGGCACAGAGCAGGCCGCCCCCCAGCAACAGCCCCAGTGGACCCCACACGGAGCCTGGCTGGTAGTAGGGTGCGGAGCCCAGCAGGGCAGCAGCTGCGAGCAGCAGGCCGAGCAGCAGCCCCACCAGGAAGAGGCCCACGCTGCGCACTAGCATGGCCACCAGCCCGCAGAGCAGCCCGATGCCCAGAGCGATGCCCGCGCTCGCCCCAGCACTCAGCTGTGTCTCTAGCACCCGCTCTCGGTAGCAGAGGAGGAAGATGACCACCGAGCCAAACAGCAACCCAGTGAGAAAGAGCACTGCCTTGAAGCAGCGGTAACCTGGAGGGGAACAGGGGCTAGTGAGGGGCCAAGATGAGGGCACCAGGCTGGAGGGAGCAGGTCCAAGGGGTCAAGGACATGGGATCCCAGGGGAACCAGAGACAAAGACACTAAGATCAGAGAATTGAGGGTCACTGGAGTCATGACGGCATCAGTGATGGGGCCATTGAGGTCAGGGGAGGTTAGAGAGATATGGCTGTTGGTGGTCAATGGGAAGGCAAACATAACCATTGAGATCATGAGGGTTGATGTATTTGAGGATCACAGGAGTTAGGATAAATCTTTTGAGTCAAGAGTGAATTCGTGCATTGGTGTCTTTGGGATCATAGGAGTCAGAGAGAGAAGTCACTGGGGTCCCAAGGGGATCAGAAAAAGAGTCATTGGGGTCTTTGAGAAGGGATTGCTCACAGAGATGAGGTATTTGGAAATCATAATAAACTCGAGGGCCGGGCGTGGTGGCAGCACTATGGGAGGCCAAGGCGGGTGAATCATGAGGTCAGGAGTTTGAGACCAGCCTGACCAACGCGGTGAAACCCCGTCTCTACTAAAAATACGAAAAATTAGCCGGGCATGGTGGCACGCACCTGTAATCCCAGCTACTCAGGAGGCTGAGGCAGGAGAATCGCTTGAACCCAGGAGGCAGAGGTTGCAGTGCACCAAGATCGCACCATTGCATTCCAGCCTGGGTGACAGAGCGAGACTCTTGTCTCAAAAAAAAAAAAAAAAAGAAACTTGAGAGGTGAGGGTCACACAGGTTCAGAAAGATGAGTCTTTGGGGGTCACAGGGCTTCAGAGATAATGGCACCACTGAAAGGTTACAAAGAGGACAGAGTAGCAGCATTACTGGGGAGTTGTCCCAGAAAATGAGGTATTTGTAGGTTAGGGAGATTGACAGAAATAGAATCATCGAGAGTATAAAACGATTTCCAAGAGAGAGGAACACTGAGACCAAAACAAGGAATTACTGGGATCACAGTATGGGGAGGGGTGATCAGATAATGAGGTTATGGGAATTAGAGAGGAGTAACCAGGGATCAAGACTAGGAGTAATAGAGGGGGTCAGAGGGATGGAAGGTAATGACATAACTGGAGGTGAGAGGAGGTGGAGGTCACTAAGGCTTACATGAGGTCACACAGAATCAAAGAGAAGGAAACAGTGTTTGTGGAGTTTCAGAAATAAGGAGGTTATAGGGCCATTAGGCCCATTAGAGATACTTGAAAGGGTGAGGGAAGTGGAGATTCTGAATAGTTGGAAAGATGGAAATCAGAGATGGGGGTCAAGGAGTCAGAGAGAGCCAAAAAGAAAGATAACAGAGGAGAGTCACTTCCAGGAGTGGGGGGAAGTATGAGAGTCCAGGAGGCTCGTGATCAGAGAGAGGAGTAGGGCGTGGACAAGGGCTCAGAGTCCATGAGCCTGGGCGTAGTGACATCCAAGAGGGGTAGGATGTCAGGAAGCCCAGGAGAGGGAATATGAGGCTGCATTGAGCAACATGCAGAGGGAGTGGGTACAGATATGGAGGGGGTGAGGTGATACAGAATCCTTGGAGGCCCAGAACGTGTCCTGAACCCTTGCGGGGGGCACTTCCTCCTGCCTACTCTTCAGTTGTTCAGCCCAGAGTTTGGGGGAGGAATGGGAGGGACCATCTGGCTCCCAACCCTGTCTACCCACCCATTGCAGGGGGAGGCTGCAGAACACAAGTCTTGCACTACCTCTGCTCAACCTGGAACCCCAGCCCCCAAGACTCATTTGCCCCCACTGGTCCCACTCACCTACAATTCTCCTGGAGGCTTTCTTTGGGCCCCCAGCCCATAGAGCTCACTCTCCTCTCTGAAGTTCTGTAACTCTTGCTGCAAAGCCACTGGTCACTTACTCCCATTATACTGGGCCACTAGCCCATCTGGCACCTTTATGCATATTAGAAAAAGGTGTGCCTTTCTCTAGGCAAAGCAGCTTTGTGCCAAGGCCCAGAGTTTGTCAGAGCATGAGCTGGACTTTAGCCCCCACTTGCCCACTCAGCTGAGCTCCCTTATTTAGTACCCGTCCTGTACAAGTATTCACAGCAGCTCTGATTACCGGAGCCTGCCTTGTAGGCTGGATGGATGTGTGTGACCACCATCCAGCCCACTCTAATATGTATCCCAGGTGTAAATGCTCCAGGGAGTCTCCTCCCTGTCAGACAATATGCCCTGTGGTAAGGGACCATGTGTAATAACCCTGCTAAGTGTTTTCAGTGGCTACCTAGCACAGTTAGCCAAACACATCCTCACAATAGCTACAATTTATTGAATGCTTACTAATTCTTACAACACTACATGAGACAAATATTGTGATCATTGTTCAGATGAGAAAACTGAGGCTCAGACAGATTAATGTGCCCAAGACATCACAATTAGTAACTGCAAAGCTAAGTAAATTCACACTCAGGTGTGCCTAATCCAAAAACCTGTTTTTCCTATAATCTAGAGTCTAGACAATCTATAAATGTGTGGGATGAAAGAAAAGGAAGAATTATTCATGATGGTAGAGGGATTCAGAGAAGACTTGGGGGCCCAGAAAAAGAACTCGGGGAAACACTGGGGAGCCCAGGTGAGGGATGAGATGGGGATCTCACCGAAGAAGCAGTAGACGACTCCAAACAAACAGCACATGATGCAGACGAGGGCCGGCAGTGCCTGGTACCTGCGCTCCAGGGGCTGTTCACAAGGTGCACCCCAGAAGGCATCATCTGGCTCAGGGGGCAGCAGCTGGAACCGCAGTGTTGCCACAGTCCCCGGCATAGTGCTGGGAATAGAAGGGAGTCACCCTCCCAAGTTAACCTGACAGAGGGAAAGTTGGGGTCACGGAGGAGTCCTGGGTCCCCACCAGGATGGGGGTGGGAGAGGGATTGGGAGAACTCAGCAAGGACAGTGGACAAAGGAATAGTATCCACATTTGTGCAGCTCCGGAAGCATCTCTGGAGTGGGGAGCAAAGACAAAGGGAAACAAAAGTGCCTGGCTAGTGGAGGCTGGGATGAAGTTAAAAGAGGGACGGGAGTCGGGGGGATGAAGGGAGCGTGCTGCCAGTGAGAAGGAGGCAGCCAAGAGATTCATCTGTGGGCGGCTCAATATGGGATTGTCCAAGATTTACCTGGGCTGGAGGCGACCTGAGCTTCTGAGTGAAAGAGGCTGTGCAGAGGCCCGAGGGGCCGGGGTTGCGGGGCGCCAGAGGCTCCAACTGACTGGGGTCCAGGGAAAGTCCGTCGTGCGAGGAAGGGGGCTGCTGGGCCGGAGAGAATGGTGTCGGCGCGGTGGCGGCGCCGCTCCACGTCCAACACCGGCTGGCACTCCAGTCCCGCGGCGTCCGGGAACTCGGGCTGGGCCTGAGGAAGGGGAAGGCGCAGGAGCCGGGGCTCGGGCCGCCCCAGAACCGCGGCCCCATGCCCTGAGCCCGCCCGCGGCCTTTGGTGCTGATGGACAGCTCCGGCCTCTGCTCCTGACGTCACTCAGGGCGCACCATCCAGGCAGGGGCGGGCTGCTTCTGACGTCACATGGGACGCACCAACCACGCCGCGGGAGGCAGGGGACTCCGCCCCCGGCGTCTCCCTCTCCCGCACTGAGGAGGGGGCACTTCCGGGGGTCCTTCCCCTTTAACCTCCCCCTTCTCCTCCCTCTCCGGTAGCGAGAGCCCGAGACCCCACCCCGGGGGCGGGGCCCTTGCAGTGACACGTCGGACAGCTGCGGCCGCGGCTGAGGCTCCAGTGCCGAGCGCAAGAACCCTGCGCAGCCCAGAGCAGCTGCTGGAGGGGAATCGAGGCGCGGCTCCGGGGATTCGGCTCGGGCCGCTGGCTCTGCTCTGCGGGGAGGGAGCGGGCCCGCCCGCGGGGCCCGAGCCCTCCGGATCCGCCCCCTCCCCGGTCCCGCCCCCTCGGAGACTCCTCTGGCTGCTCTGGGGGTTCGCCGGGGCCGGGGACCCGCGGTCCGGGCGCCATGCGGGCATCGCTGCTGCTGTCGGTGCTGCGGCCCGCAGGGCCCGTGGCCGTGGGCATCTCCCTGGGCTTCACCCTGAGCCTGCTCAGCGTCACCTGGGTGGAGGAGCCGTGCGGCCCAGGCCCGCCCCAACCTGGAGACTCTGAGCTGCCGCCGCGCGGCAACACCAACGCGGCGCGCCGGCCCAACTCGGTGCAGCCCGGAGCGGAGCGCGAGAAGCCCGGGGCCGGCGAAGGCGCCGGGGAGAATTGGGAGCCGCGCGTCTTGCCCTACCACCCTGCACAGCCCGGCCAGGCCGCCAAAAAGGCCGTCAGGTAGTGATCGGCTGCGCCCGCTCTACCCCCTGGGCAGCGGCCGGGAAGCGCGCGGGGAGGTCGCCCGGGCCCGGGTCAGGCTCCGGAAGGAAGGGGCTGGCGAGCCAGGAAGTCTTTGGGCCCCGATAACTTCCGATGGCCCTGCCTTCCCGAGAGCCGTGGGGCCAGTCCGAGACTTTCTCTGGGCCCTATCCCGGCCTGGGCTGAACTTACTGGACTGTGTCCTAAACCGGCTCGACCCGATGGCGCCCCAGAGATCCTACTAGCTCCCTGGCTGGGCTGCTGGTGTTAGAGAAATGACTTATATATAGGGTGAGTGTATAGAGACAGGGGAAGAGAAAGGAGAGAACTAGGATTTACCTGGATCTCTTGTTCCTGAGTGGGTTACAAGGGCCACCTCAGGGTGAGATGGGGGAGGGAGGAATGTACCTATCTCATTAATGTCTCTGCTGATGAGTTGAAATAACTTCTAAGTAACATTGGGTTCAAATGCTGGTTCTGCAATTTACCTTCTGCCTTACCAAAAGGTAAGTTCCTAGAGCCCCTGAGTGCAGTTTGCCCCTCCCCGCAAAAACACTCAGTACACCCCTATGCCAAACGTTCCTTTATGTCATTTATGTGAGGCATTTGTGGCATAATGGCATATTTATATAGAAATGAGTAGATACATGGTGTGTCCAGCGTTTGGCTGGGTGCTTTAAACAGATATAATCAGTCCCATTTTACAGATGGCTCAGGTTAAATAACATGCTCAAGGACATAACTACTAAGTAGCGAACCCCGGAGTCAGACCCACAATATCTCTCTCCTATCTGGGTGGGTATTGCCATCTCCCAAATGCAAAGCACTACCTGTTTAAGACCATTTCGTTTAAATCCTCATGACCCCTGGGAGAGAGGGTTTATTTTTAACCTATTCATAGGTGAGAGAACAGATACAGAGAAGACGTGACCTGCCAGGGTCTGTGCTGACCACCTCCCCCCCACCCCCCGCCCCGTTGTCCTTTTGATAAGCTTGTGCCATCTCCTCCCCTAGGACCCGCTACATCAGCACGGAGCTGGGCATCAGGCAGAGGCTGCTGGTGGCGGTGCTGACCTCTCAGACCACGCTGCCCACGCTGGGCGTGGCCGTGAACCGCACGCTGGGGCACCGGCTGGAGCGTGTGGTGTTCCTGACGGGCGCACGGGGCCGCCGGGCCCCACCTGGCATGGCAGTGGTGACGCTAGGCGAGGAGCGACCCATTGGACACCTGCACCTGGCGCTGCGCCACCTGCTGGAGCAGCACGGCGACGACTTTGACTGGTTCTTCCTGGTGCCTGACACCACCTACACCGAGGCGCACGGCCTGGCACGCCTAACTGGCCACCTCAGCCTGGCCTCCGCCGCCCACCTGTACCTGGGCCGGCCCCAGGACTTCATCGGCGGAGAGCCCACCCCCGGCCGCTACTGCCACGGAGGCTTTGGGGTGCTGCTGTCGCGCATGCTGCTGCAACAACTGCGCCCCCACCTGGAAGGCTGCCGCAACGACATCGTCAGTGCGCGCCCTGACGAGTGGCTGGGTCGCTGCATTCTCGATGCCACCGGGGTGGGCTGCACTGGTGACCACGAGGTGGGATGATAAGCTATCCCACTGATACCTCCTTGTCATGTTCAAATCCCTCTGAGAGGCAAAGGGATGTTGGAGATACAGGTCTGCTTTTCCATGCCAATTCGGACATTTATTTTCTATCTCTGTGACCCCCAGTAAATTACTAAATATCCTGGGCTTCAGTATCTTCCTTTGTGCCAATGGAAATAATTATTGCTCGGGGTTGTTACAAGGATTAGAAAAAATCAGGGAGCCTTGTACATAATAGGCATTTGATGTTAGTTATTATTTTAGCCCTTGGACAGCTCTGAGACAGGACGCATGCCCATTTCGCAGATGAGCTAGCGGAGGCATGCTGAAGGTCACACAGACTCACAACTGGTCAAGGTAGACTTAAACCCTCAGACTGCAAGTCCACAACAGGTCATAGGCTGAGGAGATGAGACACTTACTATGAGACAACGGAAGACAATGCCAGCTCATCACAGATCCCTTCCCTTCCTCTCCCCAGGGGGTGCACTATAGCCATCTGGAGCTGAGCCCTGGGGAGCCAGTGCAGGAGGGGGACCCTCATTTCCGAAGTGCCCTGACAGCCCACCCTGTGCGTGACCCTGTGCACATGTACCAGCTGCACAAAGCTTTCGCCCGAGCTGAACTGGAACGCACGTACCAGGAGATCCAGGAGTTACAGGTATGGTCTAGGTCTGGGGGTGGCAGAGTGACGGGGACAGGATCTGAGAAGTCACAGAGAGCCCAGAGAAATGACAAGTTAGCACTAGAATCACAGAACAAAACTACTTCCCAGCCCCTGCCTGTTTCTACATTCTCTGATGAGCCTCTTGGCTGTCTATGCTGGGGAAATGATAGGTATGGGCAGAGGTTGGCAGGGGATGAGGGGCCCATCCTGAGTGGCACCTACTGCCTACCCAGTCCCCCAGCTGTGTGCTGCTCCCTGTAATCTGTCCCTTGCTGATGGCCTGTTTCTCTGATCCAGTGGGAGATCCAGAATACCAGCCATCTGGCCGTTGATGGGGACCAGGCAGCTGCTTGGCCCGTGGGTATTCCAGCACCATCCCGCCCGGCCTCCCGCTTTGAGGTGCTGCGCTGGGACTACTTCACGGAGCAGCACGCTTTCTCCTGCGCCGATGGCTCACCCCGCTGCCCACTGCGTGGGGCTGACCGGGCTGATGTGGCCGATGTTCTGGGGACAGCTCTAGAGGAGCTGAACCGCCGCTACCACCCGGCCTTGCGGCTCCAGAAGCAGCAGCTGGTGAATGGCTACCGACGCTTTGATCCGGCCCGGGGTATGGAATACACGCTGGACTTGCAGCTGGAGGCACTGACCCCCCAGGGAGGCCGCCGGCCCCTCACTCGCCGAGTGCAGCTGCTCCGGCCGCTGAGCCGCGTGGAGATCTTGCCTGTGCCCTATGTCACTGAGGCCTCACGTCTCACTGTGCTGCTGCCTCTAGCTGCGGCTGAGCGTGACCTGGCCCCTGGCTTCTTGGAGGCCTTTGCCACTGCAGCACTGGAGCCTGGTGATGCTGCGGCAGCCCTGACCCTGCTGCTACTGTATGAGCCGCGCCAGGCCCAGCGCGTGGCCCATGCAGATGTCTTCGCACCTGTCAAGGCCCACGTGGCAGAGCTGGAGCGGCGTTTCCCCGGTGCCCGGGTGCCATGGCTCAGTGTGCAGACAGCCGCACCCTCACCACTGCGCCTCATGGATCTACTCTCCAAGAAGCACCCGCTGGACACACTGTTCCTGCTGGCCGGGCCAGACACGGTGCTCACGCCTGACTTCCTGAACCGCTGCCGCATGCATGCCATCTCCGGCTGGCAGGCCTTCTTTCCCATGCATTTCCAAGCCTTCCACCCAGCTGTGGCCCCACCACAAGGGCCTGGGCCCCCAGAGCTGGGCCGTGACACTGGCCGCTTTGATCGCCAGGCAGCCAGCGAGGCCTGCTTCTACAACTCCGACTATGTGGCAGCCCGTGGGCGCCTGGCGGCAGCCTCAGAACAAGAAGAGGAGCTGCTGGAGAGCCTGGATGTGTACGAGCTGTTCCTCCACTTCTCCAGTCTGCATGTGCTGCGGGCGGTGGAGCCGGCGCTGCTGCAGCGCTACCGGGCCCAGACGTGCAGCGCGAGGCTCAGTGAGGACCTGTACCACCGCTGCCTCCAGAGCGTGCTTGAGGGCCTCGGCTCCCGAACCCAGCTGGCCATGCTACTCTTTGAACAGGAGCAGGGCAACAGCACCTGACCCCACCCTGTCCCCGTGGGCCGTGGCATGGCCACACCCCACCCCACTTCTCCCCCAAAACCAGAGCCACCTGCCAGCCTCGCTGGGCAGGGCTGGCCGTAGCCAGACCCCAAGCTGGCCCACTGGTCCCCTCTCTGGCTCTGTGGGTCCCTGGGCTCTGGACAAGCACTGGGGGACGTGCCCCCAGAGCCACCCACTTCTCATCCCAAACCCAGTTTCCCTGCCCCCTGACGCTGCTGATTCGGGCTGTGGCCTCCACGTATTTATGCAGTACAGTCTGCCTGACGCCAGCCCTGCCTCTGGGCCCTGGGGGCTGGGCTGTAGAAGAGTTGTTGGGGAAGGAGGGAGCTGAGGAGGGGGCATCTCCCAACTTCTCCCTTTTGGACCCTGCCGAAGCTCCCTGCCTTTAATAAACTGGCCAAGTGTGGACTTGTGATTCAGAGGTTTTGAAAAGGTAGGCAGGCGTGGGGGAGGGAGGACTGGCTGAGCACCACAGGCTCCCCTGCCCCTGCTGGGGCCTGCCTTTCCTTTCACCCGGGACCAAGTCATGCATGTGCCCAGCCTCACCCCGGCCCCCAGTGCGTGCTTGGTCACACATACACACAGAGAATTCTTTATGCCTCTTTATTCCCAATCTCGTCAGCACTTTATAAAATCAGACTGGAGGGAGAGAGGACTGAGAAGGCTCCCTTCCCACCCTCCAAGCTCAGCCGAAGTCTGGAAGGTCTCCTGCCCCCTCCCTATAGAAGGGACTCTAGGGGTGGGGCTGGTGCAGGGGGAACTGGGAGCTGGGCCAGGCCTGCTGGGCCATCCTCTCCCCCTGCCAAGAGGGGAGCTGGGCCTGGAGAGGGGCAGGAAGTAGGACCAGCCCAGCACTCCTGAGTCCTGGGGCTCTCCCTATCCTGCTGACATTGGGGCTGGGACCCTGGCTGTCCCTAAATCACCCACCCCTGTAGCCCTACCCACCTTCTACATCTGTATCCCCTCCCCCCACCCGGCTTTCCCTAAATATTTACAAATGTACAGAGGGCTCCCCCTCCCCGGCTGGGATGGGCTCTATCCTCCCCCTCCCTCTCCTTCCTTCCCTTCCTCTCCGTGAGGGCCCATGGCCTGGTCTCCAGCCCTCCCGGGGCACCAGCCTGGGGATAAGGGGTGTGGACAAGAAGGACCTTTGTGCAAAGCAGCTGACATCAGGGCAGGGGAGGATGAGAGCAGGAACTGAGTCCTGGCCCTCCCAGTGAGCACCGCCCCCAGGCCTCTCCCAGGAGCAGGAGAATGTGCTGGGGATCCCAGGAGGGGTCCCAGACTCCTGGGTCCTTTCAGTCACAGCACCGTCCTAGCAAGCAAAATCTTCAAAGAGACCTCCTGGGGGACCGTGGGGGTGGTGGTGATTGGGGAGCAGACTGCTGACCCCCCCACCCTCCACTCGGCCCCGGCTCGGGCAGGGACTCTGCAGGAGAAAGAAAAGAGAGAGTGGGACCGGGAGAGCTCAAGTGGTGCCCCCAGGGCTCACACCGCCAGCCTTTCCTTGTCACCTCGGGCAGAGGCTCCAGGGCCCCCTCCACAGGCTGGTTCAGAAACAATGGATGTATTCAGTCCTGGGGAGGTGTGGCTGCATGCTGCAGGCATTTAGAGCTTGTCCTCACCTGTTCCTTCAGCTCCTGAAGCCCCAAAGTGGAGATGCCCCCAGTGGAGGTCCGCAGGGGGGTCTTGGGACGCCTCCATACCCGCTTCAGTCGATCCCAGGACACCTTGGGGTTCAGGGTCGGGGACAGCAGTGGGCTCAGGAAATTTGGTTGAGGAGAAGCGTGAGCCTTACCATGCCCAGCTGCCCACAGGACTTACTGCCACAGCAAACTCCCAGTAGGACACCCTCCTCCTCCTCACCCATCCCCTTCTCCTGACTCTGAGCCCTCAGGCCTGCCAGCCAGTCAGGGGACCCTGGCAGAGAACCCTGAACCTGACTTTCCAGCCAGGCCAGCTCCACCAGGCACCCCGCACTGCCCCCTTCTGCTTTGCCCACGGCCCCCACTCCCACCCTGCCTTCTCCAGGGCCCTTGCCTCATAGATGTAGTCGAGGATCTCCAGCAACGTGAGGATGCTGGCCCCAATGAACAGGCCCATCTGTCCCCCGAGGTCTCCTGGGAAGCAGGAGAGCAGTGTCAGAGGGAGCGGCCGGGCCGATCCACCCCCACACAAGCTGGGGGCAGGGACACCAGTCTCACCCAGCAGGGCTGACAGGCCATAGGCTGCTCGCTGCTCCATGGCTTCAGAGGTCAGGGCCTCAAAGAAGACATCTAGGACCAGGAAGTTCTCCCTGTGGAGACAGGAAGCAGGGTATCCGTGTGGGCCTCTCTTCCTGAGAAGGCTGGCAGGGGCATCCTGGATCCAGCAGATCCTGATCAGAGATCACTACATGGGGAAGTCAGTGACTACCCCCCGGACTCCCCAAGGCTGTGAGGGGAGGCAGTCCCGGATGTGTGTTAGCTTCATCTTTTGAGGGGTAGCAAAGGGCCTGGGAGAGCAAAACACAACTCCTGGACCTGAAGGAAACACTCCTCCCTCCTCTAAAGCAGCCAGTGGTGTTGCCTTTGCCTCCTCCTTACGCCTCTGCGGACCCTTCAGTGACCCCTGTTGCCCGTCAGTCCACTCCACAATGCCCCTTCTCGGTGTCCTGGGCAGCCGGTGGCCTGTCCCCGGCACCTTCCTCCCCAGCCGCCGTCTTTTCTGCTTCCTCCACACAGCTGCCTATGGCTCAGGCTCCCCGCCACACCACCCCACCGCCCCACGTCCTGTCACTGGACGCCTCCCCATTGCCTCCTCTCTCAGACCCCAAACCCAGGGCCCTCAGAGGCCGGCTCACGCCTCCCCAGCTTCACTCCCCGACTGGGGCCTGAGAATCAGTCCTACATGATCAAACGTGGGCTCATTGACAAATTGTGGCATGAGTTTTGTGTCATAATCATCTGTCCCCACAGAACCCAGCACTGAGCCTGGCACCCAGACCACGCTCCACAAGTGTAGACTGGCTGGAGGGGACCAGACCCAAGCCTCAGGGCGGTCCCTCCTGCCTCCCCCTGCAGGGTACTGTGTTCCTCTCCTGTCTCATCCTGTCCCTCTCCCTCCGTGCAGGGAAGAAAGATGCATAAGCAAAGCACTCTGAAATGTGGCATATGTGTAATGACAGAGATCTGTACGGGTGCTGGGAACTCAGATGAAAGGTGTTTGGACCTGGAAGCACTTCCCTGGAGGTGGAGACACTGAACGTGACTTGAGCAATGAGTGGGGCTACTTAGAAGAGAAGGGCTGTGGCCAGGCAAGGTGGCTCACACCTGTAATCCCAGCACTTTGGGAGACCAAGGACGGCAGATCACTTGAGGTCAGGAGTTTAAGACCAGCCTGGCCAACATGGTGAAACCCCATCTCTACTAAAAAGACAAAAATTAGCTGGGTATGGCTGTGGGTGCCTATAATCCCAGCTATTTGGGAGGCTGAGGGAGAAGAATCGCTTGAACCTGGGAGGTCGAGGTTGCAGTGAGCCAAGATTGTGCCACTGCACTCCAGCCTGGGCGACAGAGCAAGACTCTGTCTCAAAAAAAAAAAAAAAAAAGAAGGAGAAGAATAGAGCTATGAAGGGCATTCCCGGTAGAAGACTCATCATAGAGATGCGGCCCACTCCCTGCCTCCACCATGCCCAGCGCCTGTTGAGGGCAGCCTCCACCACACACACACACGCACACAGACCCACACAGACATAGACACATTCTCTCACACACATACCCATTCACAGATACATACACTCATAAGTGTGCATGCACACACACATCACACACTCACACACCCACAAGACACACATACATGCCCCCCACACAGACACACACACACATGCATGTACACACCCACATACACCCCACACACATACACACCCACACCCACATACACACAAACACATACACACATACACTCACACACACGTACACACAGAGTCACACAGCCACCCCCCACACACACGTACACACAGAGTCACACAGCCACCCCCCACACACACACACACATACCGTATGTAGGTCTCGTTGCGGTTGTACTTCCTCGCCAGGTACCGGGCTGAGCCCCTGTTGGGGATCCTGACCATGGAGATCTCTTTCCCATAGCGTGTCAGGTTGCAGGGGGTGGGGCAGAAGCACGGGCCCTCAGGGCCCCCACCCAGGGAGTCTGCAACACAGAGGTAGCAGCTACAGTGGGAGTTGGAGAAGGGTGGTCCAGTGGCCCACCAGCTGCAGAGAGGAGGCCCAGGGGCCGTCCTGAGGCAGGCACACCCACACTGAGGGCCTTTACTGGCCAGCCCCAGTGCTTCCTAGAGGGGACTGGCTGCAGGTCCCCGCCTGAACCAGCTTCAGACTGCTCCAGAGAGCAGATATAAGCAGAACCCCCCAGCACCCTCCCAACCCCCTGGGACTGGGGGGGGGTCCTCGTGGCCCAGAGGGAGAACACAGCCCATCCACCAGAGCTAATCAACTATGTGAGGCCTCAGACACACAAGGAGGTGTGGAGAGGATGCTGGGATGCATGCATGGATGGATGGATGGATGGATGGATGGATGGATGGATGGATGGATGGCAGATGGCCAGATCGACGGATGGGCGAACAGAAGAACAAATAGACCGACAAGCTTCCCAGGATCAATGTGCTGGGCTTTCTCTGCCTGCCCCTTCAGATCCACTCTCCACTCTTCAACCTTGCTCTGCACCCTATGAGGCTGATCTCCCCCAAATGCATCAACTAAACTCCCTTGTCCTCTGGCTTTGGGTTCAGTTTGGCCAACAGGAGGCCCCAGCAGAAACAGAAGGTGAGAGGGAAGAGATGCCAGGGTATTTCTCCCGCCTGGCTTTCTCACTGCCAGGCCGTAGGTGGCAGAGGCTGTGCTCCTCCAGCCATGCTGCTGTCAGTCAGCCCTCTCGGACAGCCACAGGTCTCTCTCTCCTCCTGCAGGCCTGGTGGGAATGAAGGCTCCCCATGTTGCTAGCTCTGTGGTCTACCGCTGTGCCTTGCAGGCACCTTACTCCTGATCACATATCTGTTCCTTCACTAAACATCTCCAATCACCCCTGTGACAGATGCAGGTGGTGTGGGGGACAGAGAAGGGCTGGATGTGTGTGGCTGCCCAGTGTCTCAAACCCAGCCCCAAGGCCCCAGGTGTCTGGATTACTGCAGCCAGCTTCGCCAGTCCCTGGCTTTGAGTCTCCTCCCCTCCTATCTCATTGGACTCACCTGGCATTCCTGCCTTGCCACAGGCCTTTGTTGGCTTCCTAGAGCCTCCCTCCTCTTTTTTTTTTTTTTTTTTTTTTTTTTTGAGACAGGGTAACTCTGTAGCTCAGACTAGAGTGCAATGGTGTGATCCCAGCTCACCGCAGCCTCAACCTCCCAGGCTCAAGCCTATCCTCTTGCCTCAGCCTCCCGAATAGGTGGGACTATAGATGTGCACCACCACACCCAGTTCACTTTTTTATTTTTTGCAGAGACAGGGTCTCACCATGTTGCCCAGGCTGGTCTTGAACTACTGGGCTCAAGTGATCCACAGACCCTGGCCTCCCAAAGTGCTGGGTCTACACTTGTGAGCCACCGTGCCTGGCCTCCCTCCTCTACTCTTTCTACTCCCTCCCCTGTTCTCTGCCCTGCAGCCACACAGACCTTTCAGTGCCCCGGACACAGCATGCTCTTTCTGGCCACAGGTCTTCAGTGTATGTCCCCCTTTGCACCTGACTCTTATACACCCATCAAGCCTCAGCTAATGTGTCCCTTCCTCTAGGAATCCTCCCTACCTTCCCAGGCTAGGGCTGCACACCCCTCCTTGGGGCCTTGCAGCACACCCGAGGCTCCCCTCTCCAGGAGTTGACGGGCTGTGTGGGAATGGCTGTCCACAGCCCTGCCGGGGTGTAAGCTCTCCAAGGGCAGGGCTGTCGCCCCCACTCTCACCTCCAGTACCCAGCACAGGCTGTAAAGGTCTGGAGAATGCGCGAATCGATGAATGGATGGATAGATGGATGAACTGCAGATCAGGCAAGATCTGTGGACAGATGGGGTTTGCCTTACCCACACCGATAGCCAGCAATGCATTTTTCCTGAGACCAAGAGAGAAGTCATTTCACTTTCTCAAAGTGGGTGAGCTCATTGGCTGAACCAAGATGAGAAGCCCAGACCTTCACTCCCAGTCCTGGCTTCTCTGCAACCCCCCACCCTGCTGCCTCCACTTACCCAAGTGTCTGTACCTGCAGAGGTCCGCAGACCTCTCCCCAACCCCACTGAAGTATGGGCTAAGGCTCAACCCCCAGGAAGAACCCTCCAGGAAGAGATTGGGAGGGGAGGATCCAAGACAGTGAGGAGAAGAGTGGACAGAGACATGAAGAGGCTGATGGAGAGGTAGGAAAGGGTAGGCAGCACGGACCCAGTGTGTGGTCTGCACACTCGATGTAGATATTTGGTGGGCAGATGGTCTCATTGCCTGAAAGGAGAGAAGATTATTCCTGGAATCTACGATCACTTCCCCTGTCCCCCACACGCCCAAATGTAAGCACATACATGCATGCACACACATATGCACACATTTGCATAAATGTGCTTGAACACCACACACACAACCCCCACAAATACGCAACCACGGATATAAATGAGCATGCACGTACACAAATACATATTAACATGCACACAGGCATCTGCATGCCGGCATTCCCACATGCATATGTGAAACCATGTTTAAAAATCCCAAACACTCACACTCACACGGGTACAGACACATACACATGTTGTATACATGCACCTGCCTGTGCACATGAGCAGTGCCTTGCCCCGGGAGGCTCTGGAGCCTAGCAGGGTGGCATGGAGGGCTGGCTGGGGGTGGGGTGCCCACCTGGCATGTGCACCATCCGGCAGTGGCAGCGCTGAAGCACGGCCTCCTTTTCACAGCGCAGCCGGCAGGCAGACACACTGTAGGCCGAGTAGCCCTGAAGCTCAGGCTCCCTGAGCTCACTCTCTGCGCGGCAGTTGCCCCAGGGCTGGGGCAGGTAGGTCAGCTGCAGAGGTGGGGCATGATGAGGTCATGCTCAGGAATCCCACCCAGTCCTCCAGTGCCCACAGCCCCAGCAAAGTCAACACAGCTGGCAGGCTCTGAGCTTCTAGAGGGCAGGTTTGCTCCACATCCCCTCTGAGCCCAAAGGCGAGCCCTGTGCCCAATCCAGGGCCTAGCAGGAGATGCTCACCCGCTGTTCCTGGCAGGACACAAAGGTCTGGAAGCCTGGGGACACCCCGAACCCCAGCTGGTGGATGTAGGGCGGCTCCTCCTGGCTGTGGATCTGCACCCGAATACCTGCCTCAAACGACGTCTCATCTGCACAGCAGAGATGGGGACCTTTGGAAACCCATCCCAGGCAGAGGGCCCAGGCCCCAGTCCCCAAGGTGGCCCTTGTCCCTTTCCGGCCTGCGTACTTGTCTCCCTCCAGATGGGCAGGTACTCCTCCTGCTGGATGTCCAGCATGATCTCCAGGCCACTGCCCATGCCCCCTGCCCGGCTGGGCAGCGAGCTCCGCGGGTCCGCGTTGAAGGTGTAACACTTCCCATAGCGAGTATAGACCTGGGAGGTGGGGTGAGAGAGCAGGAGGGGAGATGAAAGGAGTGGCCAAGGCAACTCCGAAGTTCCCTGCTCCCTGCTGAGGGCCACCAGATCTGCTTGGACACTCCAGTCCCGTATCCTAGCAAGCAATGTACAGCCCAGCCTCTCCAATCAGCGCCAACTTTTCTACTGATGGCCTCCCTTAGATGATTAGAAAGCATCTCCAACCCAACAGCACATCAACACCTTCCCAAACCCTGCCTTCCCCCCACCGTTTTCCTCCACCCTAGTAAACCACCCCACTATATCCACCCAGTTTCTCAAGTCGGAATTTCTGAAATCTCCCCTTCCATCACTCCTGCATCCAAGCCAACAGCTAGTCCTGGGACACTTCTTTCTCTTCTTTTTTTTTTGAGATATGGTCTTGCTCTGTTGCCCAGGCTGGTGTGCAGTGGCACGATCTCGGCTCACAGCAGCCTCAACCTTCCAGACTCAAGCCATCCTCCTGCTTCAGCCTGACAAGCAGCTGGGATTACAAGCATATGCCACCAAGCCCAGCTAATTTTTTTTTTTTTACTTTTTATTTTATTTTTGTAGAGACAGGGTCTTTCTATGTTGCCCAGGCTGGTCTTGAACTCTTGGGCCCAAGCAATCCTTCTGCTTTGGCTTCCCAAAGTGCTGGGATTACAAGCATGAGCCACCACATCCAGCCTCCAGCCCACTTCTGAAATACATTTAGAATCCATCCACTTTCCTTCCTTCTCCAGCAACCCTCATTTTGCCATCTCCTCCTAACTGCTCTCCCACCTTGGTCCACCCTTGCCCCTCCCTACCGGAAGCCATGGTGCCCAGTCCACAGTGCTCAGATCCAATGAAACCACTAACTGACTTACCCAACAATAGCTTCCCATTTCCCACATAATGAAGTCATGCTCCTTCCCTAACCCAAAAGTGCCCATGTGATGTGGCCCTTGCCTGCCTCTCCCACCACCTCCCCCACATGTCTGTGACAAGTTCAGACACCTGGACTCCTTTTCTCCTCGGGCTTTTGTTGTTGTTGTCCCCTCTCCTGGAATGCCCCCGCACACACACTCATGGTATGGCTAGCTGCCCATCACTGAAGCCTCAGCATGTCACACTCCTACATCACACGGCCACATTCAGTGTCACCGTCCATGCATCCACATGTCTGTTGGTTTGCTCAAGGTACTTATCAAGACCTGAGATGATCTTGTTCATCTACTTGTCTCCTGTCCATTGTCCATCTCCCTCAATGAGCATGTATGCCGCACAGGAGCAGGAGCCTGTCTGGTGTCCCCAGCCTCTGGCCCAGTGCAGGGCACAAGGGACACTTGAATGAGCAGTCTCTGCCGCACAGAAGCCCGGCTCCCTTTTCCTCTGCGGAGAGTTCTCCTGCATGGACAGCAGATGGCGCTGGCGCCCCGGAGATGGAAGCCCAGGCTCCCGCTGGGGATTTAGCTGCCACCAGGAGCTGCGCAGCGGCAGGGGTGGAGAACAGGCTGAGGGAGAGGCGGGTTCTAGTTCCCCCCTGCCAGGCTTCCCTAACAGAGCCGAGCCCCTGGGTCAAACCCATCACAGGCAGCACCTTCCCTGAGGGCAAGGGGTCGGCGCACTCAATCACTCTCTCCCGCTCCCCCTCCCCTCTCCTTGGGAACATTTCCCACTGGTAAAAGCTGGAAGAAATGGCAGGAAGCGGTGTGGAAGGAAAAAGAGATCCTGAATGCCTGGCTACACAGGGGGAGTGCAGAAGGGAGAGAGGCTGGGTGGAGGGCAGCGAACCAACTGAGAGTCCTCCTGAGACCTCCTAGGGGGCAGGGTGAAGTCCCCATGCCTGAGAAGTAGACCACCCTGCTGCAGTGCTCTGGGAGTCGCAGCCCTGATCCTCCCCTCTCCCACAGTTCTTCTACCACCCAACCACCCTGCCTCCCGTTCCCGAAACAAAAACGTGTGCACCACAAACAAAGCACCCTGAGTTTACAGAACACAGTGCCGTCTACCGTTGCACACATCCCCTCAGTACCAGCTAGGTGTAGTTATCCCAACTACTTCAGATGAGGACATCACAGCTCAGAGAAGTGAAGTGACGTCCAAAGTCACACAGCTGGGAAGAAGGAGAGGTGCACCTCATCGAGGGGCGAGGCTCCAGCTGCTCCTGCAAACCATTGCTGGCACCCCCCACTCCAAGCCTAGCCTACCTCGGGATCCAGCTCCTGCCCCAGCCCCATCCAGGTAGATGAGACAGGAATGGGCCCCAGTCCCGTCCCTTTCTCTTCTCCCATTCCTCGTTCCCTCCTGCATCGTTCCTCTGTACCTTCCTCACCCTTTCTTCTCCATATCGGCTTCTCTTCAATTCCTTTCCTGTCCCCCAAGTCCTCTCCTTCCCTCAACATCCCCCACACACCTTTACCAGCTCCCAGATTCAAGTCCTTGACCCCACAGGTATCACCCCTGCCCTCCTCCCTGCTATGTATCCATCTGTGGGGCAGGAGTGGGTGTCATGGACAGCTCAGGAGCACTCAGTATGCCCCATGCACTGTGCTAAACGCTTCACATGTTCTATCTGGATGAATCCTCACAACTACCCTGTGAGGTGGGTACTATTATCTCCCCATTCTACAGAGAAAGAAATGGAGGCTCAGAGAATTCAACTGGTTTCCCAAGATTTTCAAGCCCAGGGCTTAAACACTATTGTGCACACAAATCAGGGGGATCTTTTTAAAGTGCAGAGTCTGGTAGAACAGATGTGGGGAGGGAGCTGGACAAGGCTGAGAGTCCATGGGCCACACTGTGAGTAGAAAGGCACTAGGTAAAGGAGGAGAACCCAGCAAGACAGCCCGACTCTAGACCTGTGCTCTTATCGCAAGTCACTGGAGGTGGAGGAACTCTGAAATGGGCCTGGTGCAAGATTCCTCTATCCCATCCAGGTGCAGTGGCTCACACCTGTAATCCCAGCACTTTGGGAGACCAAGGAGGGCAGAACACTTGAGGTCAGGAGTTCAAGACCAGCCTGACCAACATGGTGAAACCACATCTCTACTAAAAATACAAAAATTAGCTGGGTGTCATGGTGGGCACCTGTAATCCCAGCTACTCAGGAGGCTGAGGTAGGAGAATCGCTTCAACTCAGGAGGTGGAGGTTGCAGTGAGCTGAGATCACACCACCGCACTCCAGCCTGGGCAACAGAGTGAGACTCCATCTCAAAAAACAACAACAACAACAACAACAAAAAGTCCAGACCCCAGGACTCACGCATGTAATCCCAACACTAACACTTGGGAGGCTGAGGAGGGCAGATCACAAGGTCAGGAGTTTGAGACCAGCCTGGCCAATATGGTGAAACTCCCGTCTCTACTAAAAATACAAAAATAAGCTGGGTGTGGTGGCGGGCTCCTGTAGTTCCAGCTACTCAGGGGGCTGAGATAGGAGAATCGCTTGAACCCAGGAGGCAGAGGTTGCAGTGAGCTGAGATCACGCCACTGCACTCCAGCCTGGGTGACAGAGCAGGACTCTGTCTCAAAAAAACAGAAAAACAAAATTCCTGGGTCCTGGTGGTGTGGGAAATGCTGATGGGAGGCATATATTAGTATTTGTAGAAATCTGAAAGTACTCAACCTCTTCCTATTTCAAACCAAGAAGATGCTAGAATCAGCTCTTGCTGACACAGCCAGTTTTGCGTATATGCTCCAGTTGAAAGGCTAAAGAAGGCATGGGCGACGTGGGGTACCCACGTTATGAGCTCCTCACTCATGTCCCTCAGCATTCAGCACCACCTCGGCGGAGCCCTGACTGCCAGGCACCGTTGTGGTGTCTCTGAAGCTCAGCCTCACCCATGGGACCATGAACTCCATGTGACCAGGAGTCCTGTTTCCCTCTTGGCATCCCCAGAGCCCAGCGAGATTTGCAGAAGGAGGTATGAGGTGGGAGGAAGGAAAGCAAACACTATCAAACATCCCGACTTTGTACCAAGTCCTGTGATAGGTGCTTTTGATCTATTTTCTCCTTTGAGTCTCCAAGAAACCCATATGAGCTAAGTATTTTTGCCCCCATTTAATGATTAGGTACCTGAAGCTCAGAGAAGGAAAGTGACTTGGCTAAGGGCACACAGCAAATAAATGACAGCCGAGATTCAAACAGAACTGAACCCCAGGTCAAAGCACAGTAGGTGCTTATAGAACACCTGGTGGGTGTTCAGTGAATGAATGGCTCTTGGAGGCTCCTGACTCTCGGAGGGGCTGGGGCAGCGTCCCTACCTGGTACCTCCAACAGACACACACAGACACATGCTACATGGAACCGAGCCCACCCTACACAGGGCAGAACGAATGCCCAGCTGGCGAGGGTGGTGGTTCCTTGGCACACAAACCCTCAAGGTGGCTGTGCAGAGTCGGGGTGACAAAGGGAGATGGGTGGAAGTTGTCTGGGTCTCAGGGATACTCTGCAGGGAACGGACTGGCCAGACTGGCAGGAGGAGGCCACCTGCACAGCCCGGGTCAGTCCTGACTGCTGGTCAGAGCACAGCGTTGCCCAGGAGACAGTCCCTGGGCCAGGCAGGCAGGGGTGGGTGGAGCCATCAGCTCCTAAGTGGCAGAACTCTGGTGGCAGCACAGCCCACAGCTTCTTCCATGGAGACGGCACGGCAGCTCTGCCACAAGGTCCCACAGGTTGTCCACTGCTCCCTCCCCATGGACTGGCCCAGGAAGAGGGGGCAGTATGCAAAGGAGTTGAGAGTCCAGGGTCCGGTCACGGAAAGGGGAAGGTCGTGGGCCAGGGAGTGTCCTGATGGCAGAGGGGCTATCTCCAGATCACCAGCTCTCAGCCTCTGGGCCGTGTCCCCATCTCAGACCCCCATGTCCTCCTTTGGTCTGGCCCTCCCTCTCTCTCTGCCTTAGCTCCAGGTCCACGCTCCTGGCCCTAGCTGGGGCATGTGTCCTCCCAAAGCCCCTCCCGGCCTTGGCTGACAGCTCCTAGACAGGACTATGTCTGTGCTGTACACTGACACTCAGGTCCCCTCCCCCACCTTCCTTCTGGCCAGCACCTGCCTGTCCTTCTCTGATCACCTCCCCTTTAGTGTTGGCCTGAACCCCAGCCTGGGTCTGTCTGCCTCGCTAGCCTCTGTTTCCTGATCTCAGTCTGTCTCTCGAGTCCTTCTCTATCCGCCTGACCCGTCTGTCCCTGCCCCTGATCAGTTATCCACTTGGACTCTGTTTCTCTGCCCCTGCCCTCTGTTGACCTGTCCATCCCCTTGGCCTCTTTCTCTCCCATTGTCCTGGATGCCCCCTGACCTTTTTGTCCCTTGCCCACTGCACTCTCTATCCTATTTGCTTTCTTCTCTATCCATCCCTTAGTCTGGCTGTCGAGTCTCAGCCTCTTGTCTTCCTCCTAGACTTTTCCCTGGGCCTGAGGCTCCCCACCCTGACCCAACATGCCAGGAACCCCTCTCCAGGTGCCCTCCACCTCCTTCTCCCTGGCCCCTCTCTCTCAGGGTCTGCCTGAGACAGTGATGAGGGGTTGGGAGAGAGTTGTCCAGAGCTTGCTCCTCCTGAGAGCAGTGGCTTCTCTCAGCCCTCGGAACTCTATCTATTCACAGCTTCCGTTTCTCCAGAAAGCTCTCTCCCTGGCTGGCTTGCTTGCATCCTCCCTCCCTCGCAGAGCCCACAGGGTTAACAGGCAATTAGCGGGGCCAGGGCTCAGAGCTGTGGCAGGGGGAGGGCCCTGGGCCTCCAGGAGATAAGAAGCAGCCAGGAGATGCTGAGGCCAGGCTAATCCCAGAGCTAATCTTCGGCCTGGGCTTTATCTCCACTGCCTTCTGGGCACCCTGCCTCTGGTCCCGGCACTTCCCCTGACATTCTTCCATGGTATCCCTTCCCCCAAATTCTATCAGCTCTCCCCTTGATGGGGTCCACCCCCATGCCTCTCTCTTAGGTACCCCTGGAATGAATTCTTCTGCCCCTAGGTCCAGAGAGGGCCAGTGGAATGGGGTGCATCTTCATCTGCCCTGGACTGTGACCAGCACCCTGGGGTGGAACAGCTCCCAGGGCCTAGCTTTATTCAGGGGTGGCCCAGTATCCAGGTTCAAAGCCTCTTCCTTCCCTATCCTTTCCAGGTGCAGAGGAAGGAAGATGGCACCAACCAAAATGCCTGAGGTGTCTGCGCTGCTCAGAACTTCGAGGTCACTCAGTCCAATCACTCATTGTACAAAGGCAGAAACAAGCCTAGAGACGGCAAGGTTCAGATCCAAGGGCATGCAGAAAACAGGTGCAGATTCAGAAGTGGACCCCAGGTTCACGGGCCAACATCACCTCCCTGGGAGTCAGCAGGCCCTGGTTTCAGCTCCAGCTCCATCACAGATAGCCTGTGTGACTTAGGTTAGTAAAGTGATTTATCAACTTCTCTGGGCCTCAGTTTCTTCATGTGTCAAGTAGAGACAGAAATCCCTGCTTATTTCACAGATTAGTTGTACATCTCAAAAGAGAGGAAGTATGTGAAAGGCATTTGCAAAGTGCAGTCATATACGTGCACCAGTAATAAAGGTTTTGTAGAGACCAGCATGAACCAAGCTAGGGCAGAGATTGATCACTATGTGGTGCTGGAAATGGATACACAGGAGGCTCATAACATGGGGAAAGGGGCATATATTTTGTAGGCTGACAGAACAGGGTTCAAATCCAGCCTCTCCCACCAACTTTGGACAAACAACCTCAGATGTGTGATTAAACCTCTCTGAGCCTCGGTTTGCTCATCTGTAAAAGGGGAATGGTAATTCCTCCTCCTAAAGTTACATGAGAGGATTAGAGATCAATTCAGTGATTCCTGGCAGGTGCTCAAGGGAGGGGTGAGGCCCTTTGGGGAATGGAGCTTCCTGCCAGGACAGTGCAGCCATTTTGATCTTGGATCCCCACTGGGCGCAACCTCACAGGGCATCAAGCACCTTGCAGGCTCTCTCTGCAATTTGGGAGCGGCTTAGAGGATGGAGCTCTGTCACAGCGAAACCCCCAGGCTCTGAGATATGGCTCTCCTACCAGATGGAAAGCCCAACCTAGTTTACATCTGGGCCTTGCCCTTAGTTAAGTCTGTGGGATTCAGATTCAATCAATTAACCTCTCTGATCCTCCATTTTTCATCTGTAAAATGGCAGTAACAACAGGCGCCCTTCAAAGGTGTTATGAGGAAAGACAGAATGTACGTAAATCATAGCAACCACTAATATTTACTTAGTGCTTACCTCTGTGCCAGGCACAGTTCTAAGCACTTTATATAGATTAACCCCTTAACCCTCACAAAACTCCTATATGGCAGTAGTCCTATCGTTTTCATTTTACAGACAGGGTAACGGAGGTACAGAGAGGATAAGGAAGCTGACAGGGGACCAGGCAGTCTGGCCCTGGAGTCCACCCATAGCCACTGTGTGACATACACTTGGCACACAGTACCTACAAATAGTAGGCGCTCAAGAACTGGTGAATGTTCAAACAACACTTACTTTGTCCAACACTATTCATTGAGCCTGTGCTCAACAGTGTCAGGCACTGTGTGCTTGGTGCTGGACATGCAACAGAGAACAAAACAGACAGCCTCTGCCCTCAAGGAGCTTGCTGTCTGGCTGCAGAGACATTCATTCATTCAAAGTACTTATGGGCTAGGCACGGTGGCTCACACTTGTAATCCCGGCACTTTAGGAGGCCAAGGTAGGAGGATCGATTGAGCCCAAGAATTTGAGACCAATCTAGGCAACATAGCGAGACCTCGTCTCTACAAATAATAATAAATTAGCCAGGCATGGTGGCTCACACATGTAGTCCCAGCTACTCAGGAGGCTGAGGTGGGAGGATCTCTTGAGTCTGGGAGGTTGAGGCTGCAGGGAGCCACCGTGATGGCACCACTGCACTCCAGCCTGGGCAACAGAGCGTGACCCTGTCTCAAAAAAAAAAAAAAGTGCTTATGGGGCACTTACAACATAAACACTTTGAACTGCACCAGGCATGTTCACAAATCCACCAGTCACACAAATGGATAAATTGTTACTAGTTGTGATCCTTGTAGTGATGGGGTGACCTAGCCAAGGTCACCACGGTGGAACAGGAGCTCAATTTGGCTTGCAGGGTCAGGAAAAACTTCTCTAAACAAGCCACCTGGCTCACCCAGGAGGGGCATCAGACAATGCCACACTCAAGAAAGAGGAAGACACAGCGCCCTCAGCAGGCTTAGTTCTACACGTGCATACAGGGACCCCCCACCTCCACCGCCACCCATGAGCTTTTCAGGGCCACTTCCTCCCTACAGTGGATCTAGGAGGCAATGGCTGAGGTGTTTGTTCAAATGTAAATGTGTGAGCTGTGGTGGAAGGGACAGGGGAGCCCTAGGAGCCAGGGAGGGCTGGGGGCCGTGGAAGAAGGCTGTGGTCCCCGGCGGGCGCCGCGCTTCCACGGGAGAGGAGAACGGGAGGATGAAGGCCTCCGGGACCCAGGTAAACGGTCAAAACCATTCCCCAGGCAGCGACCGCTTAGGCCTTACACCCTAGAAAGTCAGTTTTTAATTGGTGAATTGGTAAGTAAGTCCTTCCCTGACATTCCCGCCCCTCGATGCAAAGTTCCTCGTCAAGAGTTTTGCTTATACAGTGGAGCACACTCCCACAGCCAGGCGGGAGTTCAGGAGACAAGACAGAAAGAGGCGGCGGGGACGGTGGGTGGGTGGGTGTGCGCCTGCCAGGATCCCTGGCCCCCCGCCCTCTCCCGCACACACAGCCTGGCCGCCCAGGCCTGGCCCACCCGCACCCAGAGGGCCGCACCCACCGGCTCGCGCGCCTCGCCGCCCTCCGCTCCCTCCCGCGGGCCAGGCATCCATCACGGCTCCCGAGCGCCCTCCCTCCCATCTCCTGCGGGCTCCTCCGCTCTCCTCCCTGGGTCTGCCTCATTTGCATTCCCCCGGCTCCCGGCTCCTCGGCAAAGTGACCTCCGCACACAGCAGCGCCAGAGGCTTCCACCGCGGAGGGAAACACCGCCGCCCGCCCCCGCGGCGGCCGGGGAGGGGGCGACGGGGGCGGGGGTCCCGAGGAGATGGATGCGGAGCTGGGCCTGGCTGGCGGGCCTGAAGCGGCCAAAAGGCCCGGGGCCGGGGGCACTGAGGGACTTGGGTGCTCGGGTGGGATTTGAACCCGCGACCTCAGATCCCCAGCCAGGCGGGAGTGAGACATGATCAGCACGAGGCCCGGGAGGCTGCGACCAGAAACGGAACCCCTACTGGGAACCTGGGGCTCCCCAACGTCCCGTTTCCTTCCCCCGTGAGCCCCCACTGGGGAGGGGCCGACCCCACCGGGCAGTCGCCCAGGGGTTCCCAGCCCTCCCCGGGGACCTGCCCAGCCCCCACCCCACCCTCCGGGCCCGCCGAGCCGCCTCCCCTCCCCCCGTTTGGTATTTACACCTTCCACACATTTGTAAGCTATTATCCTGTCCACGCTTAGTCACCGCTGAGCCAAGCGCCACGGATTTAGCTCCTTTAATCTTTCCTCCTAAATCAATCCTCCATTTCCCCTTAATCATCCCGTGGCTCCTCTCTGAACTCTTGCTGCCGCCTCGGCTGCTGCAGCCCGTGCCTATCTCTCTGGAACTGCTCCCCCTCCAACCCAACACCCACGGGTGTCCCAAGGGCATGGTGAGCATTTGAGGGGTGGGTTGGATTTCCAGCGCTGCCAGCCCCAGCCTAGGAGCCAGGGGAAGAAGTGCAGACCCCTGCCCACCTCTTCCTAGAAAACACACCACTGAACCTTCCCATCTCCACTCTCAGGATCTCTGCCCCTCTGTCCTCCTCCTGCCTTCCCATCCTCACTCATCCTTCTGAAGACCCTAAGTTTCCACCATGATTTGCAAAAAAATTAAAAAACAAACAAACGTGGCAGATCTTCTCCCCTCGGGCCTCCTGCCCCCAGTGCTGGCCGTTCCCACCTCCTCTTCCCAGCTGCTCAAAGGAGGTGGGCTGCAGGGCCAGCCTGGAAGGGCAAGGAATACTTATAACTCAGGAATACTTATAACTTATAACTCAGAGGCAGCCTGAGGCCGGCCTCTGTCCCCTCCTGCAGGGTGGCTGTCCATCTCTCCTGGACCACCTCAGGCTCCACCCCCTTCACTCCCTCCTGCCTGCCCATGGGACCCACTGACGACTCGGGGACTGAGTAGCTTGGGTCTTGGCATTCCAATGCTCCCTGTAGTGCTTCCTGGGTGCCCCTGCCTCTCCATTCCTGATCCTTCCTGCCCCCTGCCTGGACCTAGCAGAGGCAGCCCTGCCGCCAGCCACAAGAGGGAGCAGATTCCTCCCAAGAAGCAGAAGGGCAGGGGTGGGGGTCCAGGAAGGAGTGCGGGCAGGGGAGACAGAGGGAGGATCAGAGGGGGACAGGACGTGGGGCCATTTCTTCAAACGCTAATCAGCATCTTCCGGCAGTGTCTGAGAAGCTGAGCTGATAATGAGCCCAGCTCGGGGCTGATTCCTGATTAATGAAGAGGCCACGGGGCTGCTGAGTGGGGCTGGGTGGGGCATGTCCCTCATGGCCCTCCCACTGCCCTTGAAGACCAGCCCTCTGAGACAGTAACAGTCACTGCCCTTCCCTGCCAGGCCACACCACTTACATCCCCTCCACCCACTCCACTGCCCAAGCAGGCAGGCTGACAGCACCCCTCCAGGAGGGTCTGAGCCGCAGCTGGTGTGGGGTGGAAGGTGGGGAGGGTGGGTGCACCTGGTTCTGCAATCTGAGGGGTTGGCAGCCCTCAGTATTTTTTAAATCAGTTACTGTTCTATTAAAATAATCACGATTTGGAGCTGCTTTTGACAGACTGGAAGACCCAGCCATGCTGGGCTCCTCACACAGGGCAACAGTTAGCTAGGGCTGAGAAGCAGCTGCGTCCTTCAAGACTAAGTGGTCTTCAGTTCTCCTCAGACCCCACCCTTCCCTACTGTATCCCCCCACCCCAACCTGACCTGCCTGGCTCCTGAGGGCAGGATCAGCCCTGAACCAGATGTTGAACTAAATGTGCTTAAGGCTCATGCCTCAGGAGAAGCTGGGACCACAGGGAACAGAGGGCTGGACAGGCAGGGGGAGTCAGAGGCAAGCCTGTGCGGTAGATAAGAGGCTTGAACCCACCTCAGTGGGCACCCTCTCCCTTCCACAGCCAACGGGGCAAGGGGCAGCCCTTGGAACCTCCAACCCAGTGGCAAAGATGTAGAGTTGGGATGGAGTGTGGAGTAGCTCCTCCCAGGGCCAAGTGTAGGGGGTGGAGGGCAGAGACTGTCAGTAGTGGCCTGACCACACACTGGGAAGAGAAGGAGCTAAGGAGGTCGCTGGGACAGAAGGAGTGGGTGCTAAGGAGCCCGAAACTGGGTCCTGGGACAGCCAGAGAGAGAGAGGGCTTGCATGCTTTCTGTGCCTCAGAGCTGTCCTGGCTGGCGGCTGGGTGGGGCAGGGAGAGGAGAGAGGAGGGCAGGGGAGGGACTGCCCAGCTGGAAGAGGCCTTGTCTAATTGTGCCTGATTAGTAGAGAGGAAGAGAACAGGGCGAGTGATTAATAGTCATGGCAGTCACCAGCATGTGGAGAAGGAGGGTCGGGAGGGGGAGGGAGACCGGAGAGCCCATAGGGGATGGAGATAGTGAGGCGCCCACAGGGCCCCAGGCTCCTGGCCCCCCGGGGCTGCCTGGACCCTTGAGGACCCTGAGGAGTGGGGCTGGCTCCTACCCATGCCTCCTCAGGGTTTCTTCGCCTCCCCCAGCCTCAATTTTCCAGACAGTAGCGTGGAAAAGACCAAGGTCATGTCCTGCACCTGGGAAGAAAGCACCTTTGCTCACGTGGTGTCTCCAGACACCCCACTGCCCCCAGCCCCCAGCCCCCAGACACAGGCCCTATCCTCAGCTCCACCTGAGATCACAGCCCACAGAGTAGATGGCCCGACTTCCAGTCACAGCCCGCAGCTACCCTTTATATCCTGTGGTCCCAGTTGTAATCCCAGCCCTGCCCTACCCAGACAATCTCATTCCTAGGGCCATCCAGAGCTGCGCTGTCCAACACGGCAGCCTATAGCCACGTATGGCTATTTGAATGTAAAATTCATTTTCTCTGTCGCACTAATCGCATTTCAAGTGCTCAACAGCCACATGTGGCTAGTGACTACCAAGTTGGACAAGCACAGGTGCAGAGCGTGTCCATCACCACAGAATGTTCTATTGGCAGCACTGATCTAGACAGTGTGTGCGCACTCCTGCACCTATGCACACGTGCATGCATATTTTGGAGGGCTGGATAGAATGGAAATGCTAGTACAGGGCAGAGGAGGGTGTGGGCCAGAGGGTCAAAAGCGGGGCGATGACTAGGTAATGGAGAGTAATGAAGATGCCAGCACATGGGTCGGAAACCAGTAGGTGGTGCTGACAACAGTCAGGTTAAAGATAGCCAGCAGTTGGGGTGGCGGCATTTATAACAGCTGACGCTTACACAGAGTATACGATGTGTGTGCCAGGTAGTGTGCTAAGCTCTTTAGGAGCATCTCTTTAATCCTCACAACAACCCCCAATTTTTAGGTTCTAATATCCTATTTAAAGAATACACCCAGCACTTTGGGAGGCCAAGGCGGGCGGATCACGAGGTCAGGAGATCGAGACCATCCTGGCTAACACAGTGAAACCCCATCTGTACTAAAATTACAAAAAATTAGCCGGGCGAGGTGGCGGGCACCTGTAGTCCCAGCTACTCAGGAGGCTGAGGCAAGAGAATGGCATGAACCCCGGGGGGCGGAGCCTGTAGTGAGCCGAGATCGCGCCGCTGCACTCCAGCCTGGGCAACAACGAGACTCTGTCTCAAAAAAACAAACAAAAAAAAGAATACACAAACCGATGCTCACAGAAGCTTTTTGGCTTCCCCACGGCCACACAGCTTAATGCGTAGAGCCGAGGTTCGAATCCTGGTGGTCCCCAGGTGAGAGGAGATGCTGAATTTTAGAGCCACCCTTGCATTTTACAGCTCAAGAAATGAAGCCTAGGGAGAAAGAGTGATTTCTGCCTTTTAGTAAGAGGGCAGGCTGAGAGCAGGCCGCAGTGGGGAAGGTAGAACTGGGGCTTGGAGGAAGGGGGTGTGGGTAGCAGATGGCGGCAGGAATCAGGGAGGAAGGGAGAGCTGTCTACAAGGCTGGGGGTGGGGGACATACAGGTGGTAGAATGGGCGGGAGTGAGATGGTATGAGACTGAGTGAAGAGGGGAGGGAGAAGAGAGGAGCAGAGGTAAACTAGCTGGAGCTAGCCACCATGCAGAGCAAACATACGGGGCCCACCTCCCAGGGCCCTCTCCTCTTTCCTCTCTTCCCTCTTCTCCAAACTGCCCAGCCTGCCTCATCCCCTAGGCCCTCCCAGCTCTCCTCCACCCAGAATGGCCTCTCCTTCTCTGAACTCGACCTCTTACTACCCATGCACCTCGTCTGGCAATTGATCCTGGCACCTTATGACACCACTTGCATGGCTGATTAACTCTTGCATGGTTGCTTAAACTTCTGAGTGTCCCTGTCCCCACTCTACGAGACTATAGGCTGCTTGAGGACAGGGACTGGGGACAGGGCTTCCCATCTTTGCTGTCCTCCACAGCTCTGAGCAGGGAGCCCAACACATAGTAGGCACCCAGAACTCCATGTTGATTGATTGACTGACTGATTGGGAGTGCATGAAGGGATATTAGGGAGCGTGGGGGGAGAGCGATTGCAGTGGTAACAGAAGCAAGAGCAGCAGCAGAGGGGACTGGGGGAGGGCACATTACCCGGAGTAAAAATAGGCTGGAAAATGTGACATTTATTAACTTGGATTCCAGAGGAAAGGTCACAGCAGAGTGGGGAGTGGGAAGGAGGAAACAGGGAAAGCAACAGAAAACACATAACAGCCCCTTGGTGAAGCCTGTCCCTGTCTCTGACCATCTCACCACCCATACCCCGGCAGGCTCCCCACCAACCAGCTCACATACCCATCTCCCCACCATAGACCCCAAATCCCCATCATTGACTCCAGGTCCTCACCACAGAGCTGATTATGGACCTCACGTCCTTTTTGGAGACCCCATATCTTCATCTCCATGCCCATTCTCCAGTCTTTCCCCTGTAATACACCCCATCTTCCCCACTACCATGGATCATGGGCCCCCAGCCCAATCTGTAATTCCAGACCCTGGTGAATCTGCAGCAGACTCAGCCCTTGAATGCCAGACCCAAGACAGAGTTACACTCAGCAGACGGGGGATGCAGTATGTGCAGAAGAGTAGGAGGCTGGGCTGGAGACAGGGGAAATGGAAATCCCAAAGGGGAATTCCTGTCCCCCAATGCTAGCTATGCCCTCTACCCCCACTGTCCTGCACCAGGGCCAGAACCTCAGCCCACGGACTTCTACCATCCTCCTTTCTCCAGCCCCAGGGTACCAGAGGGCCTGTGGGAAATCCACCCACACTCCTCCAGGCCATCCCCAGGATTCCGGGGACTCACCAGCCTTGATCAGAGGATCCCCGTTCCTGTATCCTCCAGGCACCGCCTCCTAGCCTGGAGACCAAGCAGAACCCTCTGCCTCCCTCCCCTTACTTCCTCACCCCCTCCAGCTCTTCCTCTCCTTTCCTCTCACTGAGGTCTCATCACCCTTCCCCTTTCCTGCCCACCCCCAACTCCCGCTCGGGGACACAAAGATCCCATTGATTTCTGTCCCAACAGCACCTGCTAAGACTGAGCTCTGCCCAGCTCCCAATACGGAGTGGTGAGGATTGAGGACAGCAGAGCCCTATGGATCCCAAAGGCCACACTCACCCTCCATATCCCACCTCCTCCTCGGGGACTCTACCAACCCTTGCTTTGGGGAGCAGTGCTTTTCCCTAGGAAAGGGGGTGTACAGCCGGACAACAGGCCAATGCCCCCGACTCTTCTCCCTGCACAATGCTCCTGCTCCTGTCCCTCTATTTCTACCTAACTCCCCTGCCCAATGGCGGGAGGCCCCAGACACTGCAGGCATGGTGGGGGCCAGGAACCTCGTTGGCTGGAGCATGTTTCCTGGTGATCCTGAGGCAGCGGGTGAGTGAGAACCTGGCGGGGGTCCCTATCACTGGGGCTGGCTGCTGGAGGCTGGGCTGGAGTGGGCACCATGTTGACGCCAAACATTTGCATATGCACTGGGCAGTGGCAACGAGGATGAAACATACACGCATGCACACACAATGCTGGGAGCAAACTGTGGACTAGGGACAAGCATCTCGAGCGCCATGAATACTAGATACCCTGTGACTATGGGTGAATGGAGCCCTGACAGACAGGCAGTGTACAAGACACGCCCACCCCCTCACATACCTGACTGTGGGAGGCGTGCATGGCAGAGCAGCCCAAGCTCACACCCCTCTCCCGGAGAGGGTGCTTGTGTTTGTGCTCACACGTAGGTGACAGATGGCGCCAGCAGTCTCCAAATGGGGAGCAGCGGTTGGGATAGATGGGGGTGGGGGTGTCATGAGAAGGGATGGCATCCACAGTGGGACCCTGTCCTTGGCAGCTAAGCGAGAGCTGGGAGCTAGACATGGAGATGAGTAGCTCTCTGGGTGTGGGTGTGCAGGTGTGCATGTGAGTGTAGTGACAGGGACAGTGAGTGAGAGAGGGAGTGTGCAGGAAACTGTGTCCCCCAGCAGTGCGTGTGCGTGTGTGCGTGTGCATGTGTGCATGCACCCGTGCTGGGGCAGCAGTGAGGGTGAGTTATGCACATAAGAGTGAACCAGTGATTCCCAGTGTAAGAGCCAGAGCTGGGCATGGGAGCCGCTAGAACAGGAGACAGAGGGGGACTGGACCCCAGGAGGGCTGGAGGGCAGAATGAAAGAGGGATGTGTGAGGGAGTCTGTGAGGCAGGCATGTGAGAGACACACAGAGATCCAGAAGAGACACTGGCACCCAGTGTCCTGAAGACCGGGTCTCTCCAGCCTGCCCACCAGGCCAGCTCCCCAGGAGGCCACCCGGGGTCCTTCCCTAGATGGAGCCCCCCAAACCTCCCCTCCCTATCTCCTTCGTTTGGTGGGAAGAATCCAGTAGCCTCAGAAGAAAAAGGGAGCAAGAGAAAAGTGAGAGTCAGTTGGTCTGGCCTTGGGATGGTGCGTGCGTTCCCTGCAAGCCAGCCAGCTCCAGGACACCTGGGCCCATGCCTAGGAACCCCCACCCCAACTCCCAGACCTGGGCACTGCAGCAGCAGCAAAACCAAGAAGAGGAGCAGCAGGCGCCCCAGGGTAAGCCCCTATGAGCGGCCACTGCTCCATGGCTGGGAAGCCAGAGGGAGACGCCAGGCTTGGGGAAACACGAGGCCAGCCTCTGGTGGTGGAATGAAGGGAAGCCCTGTTGAGGATGCCCCTGTACACCACTGCCACCACTCCTCCCCACTCCCCAGCCTCCGGCCATCCAAGGCCAGGCAGCCCAGCTGGCAGAACTCACCACAGAGAAGTTGCTGGCGGAGCAGTGATGCCCACTGAAGTTGCAGCTCTTAAGCATGTCGGCGAGCTGGTGGCCAGTGCGGTTGAGGATGTCTACCATGTCAGGCTCTGGGTAGCGCAGGCCAGCCGCACGGTGCCCATCCCGGTCTTTGGGGGGCAGCCCTGTCAGATTGGCCAGGTGGAAGATGTCGGCATCGCTGAGTGCCGAATGCCGGAAGCGGTTGATATTGCAGAGGGTGACAGCCGGGAAGCCCGCCACTGGGGCTGGGGCAGCGGGGTCCATTGCCACCAGGTGAGGCCGGGTCAGGTAGCCCCGGGCCAGGCCAGCCGCCTGGTACAGGAAGGCAGCCAGCGAGGTGAGTAGGGCCAGTGCCCACAGGGTTCTGCGCAGTCCGTGGGGGCCTGGGCCACAGGCCCGGCCCAGTCCATGCAGGGTGCTGGTGCTGGCAAAGGTGGCCAGGTCTCGGGGGGCTGCTCCAGGGGCAACAGCCCCGAGGAGGCTCTGCTCATCCCCTGCCTCCTTCTCCTTGGGTTTCGCATCCTCCTCAGCAAATTTGATTTTGCACACAATCTCGATCGGCATCTGTCCCCGGCTGCTGGGACTGGCCAGAGCCTCCCTGCCCTGTCCCTCCCTAGCCAGCAGCCCTGGTGCCCTCCCGAGTGGCAGTGGTGGCAGCGGCTGCTCTTCTAAACTCAGGGCAAGCGGGAAGAGGACAGGGACAGGGTGGGGGCCCGAGGTGGGGGAGTCACTCCCACTCCCAGCAGCTCCGCAGCCCTGGTGCTGCCTCTGCCGCTGCTGCCTCTGCTGCCGCTTGTCTCTCTCCTCGATCGTCTCCTTGTGGCTTCCCTTATCAGCACCAGCACAGCTGTCAGCCCCTGCGTGTGTCCCTGCGAGCGAGCGAGTGAGCGAGGGAGCGAGCGCTGCTCCGCCACGCCGCGCAGCCCCAGCCGCTCCGCTCAGCATGTGCTCCGGAGCCCTCCCCACGCTTAATAATTCAGGACATGTCAACAGCGTTTCACCGGCAGCACGGGCGTCAGGAGCCAGGCCAGGGGAGGGGGCAGTCCCCAGCCCAGGACAGAGATCCCAAGACTGGGGCTATCCCCCAAACTCCTGCTGCACCCTAGCCGCTCACTGGGTCCCCAGATCTCCCCACTTCCTGGCCACCCAGGGAAGGGTGCCGTGCCCAGGGTCCTCAGCTCATTCTTTGCCACTTTCCTGGCCCACACCCCATGAAGGGTCAGCCAACTCTATCCCCCCACCTCCTGGCCTCTGAGACTCCTGACTCCAGCACCCAGCCACCACCTGATCCCACTACCCGACTCACAGCAGCTTCCAGAAACTCCTTGAGAGAGCCACTTGTTTGAATGACGGAGGGAGGGGGGCAGAGGAGGGCAGGCTAGACAGACCAGGGGACAACTGTGACTTCAAGATTCTCAGCTTCCCTGGAGCTTTGCTCCAGACTTCAACACCCACCATGCCCCTGCCCCCTCTGGGAGGCTGGCTGCCCTCACCCTCATTTTGCCCCCAACCCCAATCTCAGTCATTCATATGTCTGGGACAGACAGCACCCTGGCCAGCTTGCATATCTGTGGCCACTTTGCTTCCCCAAATGTTCCCCAAATCCCTTGCCACAACCAGGCTTCGGGGGAGGGCTGTTGGGTAAGCAAGCCAGGGAGCAAAGGGGAGGTGTGCTTCCGGGGTGCTCTATATGTAGGGGGACAGGGCATGCAATGGAGGGAGAGGAAGAGCCCCAGTGGGGGCGTGGAAGGGAGCAGGAAGATGTGCTGGGCGTCAATGGGAGCGAATGCTCTCCTAAAGAAAGGGGTTTGAGGGGTGCCTGGCAGAGTGGGGCAGGAGAGCCCTAAGGGGTCTGCTGTGTTCTCGTGGAGGGGAACAGGCATGTGGGCCATCATCATAGGTGGGGGTGGGAGCCTCAGTTGACTGGCCAGGAGGGGATGCATCCATGCCCCCAGGGTGGGGGTGGCAAGAATCAGTGCTTGTGCTCTGGGGCCCCATCCGACAGCATGTGCCCTCACGGGGGAGGAAGCCCTTGTCCCCGGGAGGAAAGGGGGGCTGATTAATCGGGGCGCTAATGAGCAGCAGGGAGAGGAAGCGTGGACGGGCGGGGGGAGGTGGCTCCATCGATCCAAGCCGCAGAACCAGCAGCTGAGAAAAAAAGTGAGAAAGGAATCGATCTGAGGGAAACGGCAGCTGCTGGGGATTAGAGCCCGAGGTCCACCCGCTGCCCAACGGCCACCCCGCCCCCTGCGTCAGGCCTGGCCCCGCAGCCTCTGCCTGGCCCCAGGGGAGGGGCCTAGGGATGGCTCCCTTAGCAGCTGGAAGCCACTTTGCCCACCCTGGCTGCAAGGCCAGGTCAGGCCCCATCAGGGTCACCCCAGCATGGAGCCTGCCCACACACCCAGCCCTGACCATGCGTGGTGCCCTGCTTAGGTTGTCCCTAGCCTTTAGGCAAAGTGGCTTCCCCAGGGACCCCACAGCTGGGCTTCCCCACAAGCCTCCAATGAGTCTGGGTCAGCTGGTTCCCCAAGCTGGGAAGATAAGACCCCTGGGGCAGGGTGATGCATCTGGCTGGGACATAGTGTCCCAGAAGGGAAAGTGGGATTGGCATTGGACAAAGCCGCTGAGTTAGCACTGAAAGTGGCCAAGTGACCACAGACAGCCCCCTCTCTCTGTCCCATGCCCAGGCAGCCGCCTCCTATGCTCTCCCCTCCCTGGTAGACTTCCAAACCTTTCCAGAACTCCCCCCACTGTTCCTCCCCATCCTTCTCTCTCTTCTCCTTTCTCCTAATATTGATTTTTCTTTACTGTTTTTTTTAAAAGGTGATTTAATTGCTTTTTAAGGTTACTTTAGTCTGGGGCTTTGCCAAGAAAGCGGGAAACTGCCCCCCAAACTCTCCGCAGCACTCGTTGCTACCCTGGAGTGCATACATATCTCTAAATTCACCCACCATCTATTGAGATCTTGGGGTCACACTTCCCCGACAACATACTGGCCTCCATCATGAGACAAATCACATCCTCTTTCCTCCTGAGGGTAGGCAGGATGCCTTCAACCTCTATAAGGAAAGAAATCGGGTGGTAACTGGGTATAAGGGGCATGCGGGGGGTGCTGTGAGGGGAGCTCCAGGCTGCCAGGAAGTGGAGCAGCAATTAGCTGCATGCACACCCCCACCACTGCCCCACAGCCAGCTGTCTCCAATTGTCCCCAAGCCCCCAGCCTCCAGTCTCCCAGATCTCCAGGAATCTGGTGATGTTCTGAGGGAGTGCCCCCATACTTCCAGCTCATCTCTTGACCTTTCCCTCCGCTTCTCACCAGGCCCTCTGGCCCCCTCCCTGTCTCTCTATACCCCCTTTGCCTCTGGCCCCGTCCCCTCTCTCCTCCCTCTCCCCGCTTCCCTGCCTGCCTCCCTCTCTGCCCGGCTGCAGTTGGGTGATAATCTCCCTCATTTAGCCTCCCGGCTGCTTCCCCGGCTCATTGCCCAGCTGGTCCCTGGGGCCCGGCCCAGCTTCTTCCCCACCCCCACCCCGGCCCTGCGCCCAAGCTCCCCCACCCCTCCCTGCTTCCCCCACCCACTCCCGGGGGACCAGCTGCCCCTTGCAGTGAGGCATCAGGGACAAGTGTGGCTGGCCAGGCCCTGAGCTGGGTGTGAGCAAAGGGGGCAGGGCTGTTAGGGACCCTGGACTGGGAGTGCCGGGGAGCTGGGTGTTGCGGGGTCAGAATGTGAAGCCTCATCCCAGGTTCCTTTGCTCTCTGGTTGTCCCCATTCCTCAGATTTATTCCCAGTCCAATTCACCTGCCTCCGCCCCCCAGGGGATGAGCTTCCTGACAGTGAGAATGAGTGGTAGATGGACTGGGACGAGGTTTGGTAACAGGGCAGAATGTGGGGGGGGGGCAGTGCATGCAGTCGGGGGGAGAGACAGGGAGAGCAGTGGGTTTCTGGCTCAAGGTTCCTGGGAGGAGGCATGGAGATTTTGTTTGGGCAAAGTGCCCCAAAGGCAGACCCAGAGACCTCCCAGGATCCAACCTGGGGGGTTCCAAGGGTGCTTTCTCAAAGCACAGGAACCCCCAAGCTGATGCCCAGATTCCTTGCCTGGCTGGCCCCATTCAAAAATGCTGTGACCCCCTGAACTCCTAGACAGCATTCTCCAAAAGATGCCCAGCCTCCCTCCCCCTGCACCCAGAGGACACCCTCCCCAGCCCAGACACCTGGCCCTGGTGCGGACCAAGTGATGAGCCAGTGTGGGACAGATGTGGGCGGTAAGGGACAAGGATGGGGGGGCTGGGGCTGGGCTGGTCCAGGCCTGGCTGGTGAGCACACAGCGGTGACAAACGGGCTGTGCAGGGGCCGAGGGGCGGGGGGCGGACGGCGGCTGATTTATCTGGGTTATTTATGCCGCGGACGAGGCAGGAGAAGCGGTTAATGAGAGTCCCAGAGAAGGGGGGTGGGGAGTCCCGAACGTGATCTGAGGCGACTGAAGAGGGTTAGCGTCCCACCGCCAGGCCCTGCCCCCACTGTCCGCCAGTACTCCTTGCACCCCCACCCCATCTTTCTAGGGCCAACCCAGCCCAGCACCTTCTCCCGAGTTTCATACCAACACTTCCCATCTCCTTTCGGGTACTCCCAAGCCAAGGCAACGGGTCCCTGGGACTATAAGGACACCAGGTCCAAGATGGGATGGGGGCATCAGGAGGAAGTGGGGAAGACACCAGGAAAGGGAGGGCAGGAAGATGAAAAATCCTGGCTGGCCAGAAACTAACAAAGTCTGTGGGGCCTGCGGGGGAGGGCTGGGATGGACGCAGCCATCGTGGGAGTGGGTGTGCAGCCGACAACCTCGGAGCTGAGGCTGCAGAGGGCAAAGGGCATGGGGTACAGAGGCGGTGTCAGCCAGTAGCCACAGCGGGGGCCTGAGTGGCAGAGACAGGCTGGCCGGGAGGGGGTGCTGGTCAGAGAGCGGAGAGAGCTGAGGAAGGAGGGGGAGAGGGCTTTGCAGCAGCGAAAGCTGCTGGGAGCAGATAAGGCGGCACAGCAGCAGGAGGGATTAGAGCTCCGAGGGGCATGTGGGGAGCGGTGTGGGAATTGGGGGGTGGGGCAGGGAGGAGAAGGTTGAGGGCAAGACACTAGGGCCAAGGAGATAAGTGGGAAAAGTGAGGGCTGTGAAGACGGCAGGGTTTCATCAGGGGCCAAGAGGTGGTCATCGACGGGGAGAGGAGAGAAGGAATTCCTGATCCTTCTCTCCTCTGTCCTAGGAGAGGGGGACTTTTCTGCCATTGACAGAGCCCCCGCCCCCCACACCCCATGCATGTCAGGGGCAGCAGAGGGACGCACTACCGAGGATCGAGAACGGGCGGATTTGGGGGTGGGGGCAGTGGCAGGGGCCAACCCTAGCAGCTGAGCTGAAGGCTAGACTGAGAACACACAGCACCCCCTTGAGGTGGCCAGTGGAGCACAAGGGTGCCGCAGCGATCAGCGCTGGCACCGAGACCTTGTAGTGCCCAGGCTGTGGCAAAGATCAATTTCAGAGGGGGCTTCTTCATGGGGAGGGGTGTGGGCTTGGAAGGAGGGCAGATGGCTTCCCAGAGATCACCCCTTGAACTCAGACACCCCTCACCACCCCCTGCCCTCCTGCTCTCTGAGCCTCCCAGGATGTACTTGGGGTGTGTGAGGTCCCCCACTCCCTCCACACCAGAGCCCAGGGCAGTTCAGAGGTGGCCATGGCGGCAGAGGGGAGCCTCAGGGAAGGAAGGGGAGCAGGAGGGGCTGGGGAAGGGGAGCGGGGGTGGCAGGCGGGGCCGGGTAATTGCATGTTTGCCAGTTCTCCCGTCTCTGCACACGAGGGAGCGTGTGTCAGTGGGTGTAGCTTCGCCTCAAAGAGTATGTGTCTGTTGGCAGAGGTGTCAGTGTGTCTGTCTCAGGGGTCTGGGCTCTCCTTGGCCCCCACCCACCCCTTTCCACCCCCTTTGTGTTTTGGGGAGTGCAGCTCTGGGCACACCCAGCTGTGCTCCGTGCGGATGCAGCAGATGTGGTGGGGCCCCAGCTGTGCCTGCTTCCCAGAGAGGGGGAGGGGGCTGCAATCTGCTCCCCCGATAATGGCTGCTAAGTGCCAGGGGGAGGGGATTGAGATGGAGGTGGGACTGGGCCCCCTGGCAGCCTGGCCTAGGGGACTGGAGGGAGATGAGGGCTCTGCCCCCACCCCACCCTGTCCTGGCCAGCCTCCCCCAAGTCTGTGTTCTTGGCTCAGCCTTTCCCCCTCGGCTGGCTCCTGAAGCCCATCCAAATTTCTCTCCACACTCGGTCCCTGTCCCCGGCTCTCCTCCCCTGTCGCCCTATCCAGCTTGGTGCCAGGGACCCACCCCCCTCCCCGGCCCCCAGCTTGCTCCCCCTCGCTGATTTTACAGAATAATCTTTTTATGGAAACTGAAAAAAGCACTAATGGCAGGAGCGCACCCCTCCCCCGCATCCCTCCCCCGCTCATCCCCCACTTCCCACCCCAGTTCCCTCTTGTTTCTCCCTTCCCAGACCCTCCCCGGGCTGGCGCCCTCCTACCCCTAAACAGCCAATGATGGTTGGGCACAGGGTCCCAGCAGCGGTGGACAAAGGGGCCCCCTGCACCCCGTCCAGGGGCAGGTGCTCCATCTTGGGTCTCTCAGAGATGGATGGGACTTTAGGTCCCTCCCAGCACAGAAGTGGGTTGGGGAGGAGTGGGGGGGGCATGTCCTTCTTAGACCCCCCCCAACAATGGTGACTCCTTCAATCTCGGGGGCATGTTACAAAGACCTCTGGGGGGCATGTTACAAAGACCTCAGCTTTGCTAGCGGCACCCCCCTTCAAACACTGACCCTTTCCCCTTCCACTGCCTCTCCCCACCATGTCCCCACCCCCACTGGGTCTAGGAGGGGGATCCCGGGGGCCAGGGCCTGACACAGACTTATTGGATTTCACGGTGTTTTGCTGAGAAAATAATTAAATTATCATATTTATGATGGAGCTGCCATGGCCTCTGCCAACCACTCGGAACAGAAGGGTCAGGACTAGGGGGGAGGAGAGGGAAGGGACCTAGCCCCTGGTCCTATGGCCCACCCTCTCCCAGCCCCTTCCTTGGGGTGATGACCCCAGCCCAGAGTGGGGACCTGCAGCCCCCTCCCACTCCCATGAAGAGAGATAATGAAGGTCTGGGCTGGAGGCCAGGACAGGAGGAACTGAGGAACTAGGGACAGCTTATAGGTCAGGACTGCTAAACCCCACACTGTGTAGATCGTTCCCTACATGCTGGCACACAGCCCACGGGACCTGAGGGGCCTGGGAGGTCACATTTGGCCCAATCCCCAAGTCAACCTCAGTCCAGCTCCTGAGAAGGCGCAGCTTCCTAACTGCCAGGCTATGAAGCTATGAAACCCTGGGCTCTGTCCCAGAGCCTGGTGCTGATAACAAGGCCCCAGCACCCTGCTGCCTGCCACCCCTGCCTGCTGCCAGGACCCCCTCCTTTCTCCCACCCATGCCCTGCACCCCCCATTCTCTTCGGGTAATTAGATTCCTCTCAATTAGCAGATTACGATCATTACCAGCTCATCTGGCAACACAGCTCCACACCCACAGCTGGGGAAGGGGGGCACCAAGAGGGGCACATGGGGGTCATGGGCAAACATGAGAGATGGCTGGGAGAGGAGGGCTGAGACCTACCAAAGGGCAGGGCCAGGGGGACAGGAGGTGGTGAGGGCCTTCCCAGAACAGGGTACCTCCCACTGTGCTTCCGAAGAGAATGGCACCAGCTCAGGCCCACCCAGCCTGCCAGGGGAGTAGAAGACAGAGACATGAGGCCTCGGGCAGAGGCAAAACCCCCACCCTGCCAAAAGCCAAGCTGGGAGCAGATGGAGCTGGCAAAGCGGAAAACCGGCCAGGGCTGGGCTCAGCGGGAACCGAGCAGAGCGGGCTGTGGGGATCAGCCTCTAGGCCTGTGGCCCCAGTTCCTCTGCCTGCTGCCCAACCAAAATCCTTCACCCTTCCCTTCGGAATCCTTGCACATGGGGGCCTGAGCCAGGCCCGGTGAGGAGGAACAGGGAGGCAGGGAGGCAGGGGTGAAGGGGGGGACCAGGCTGGCAGGGGAGCCTAGAGGGCCTTCCTCCCGAGCAGCACGAGGCTGAGGCAGTGGGAGGGGGAGATTTACCAGGGCTCCAGATTCATTATTCATGAGCCCACAGCAACGACTCCAATTTAAATGCTAATGTGGGGGGGCCTGACTCAGCTGCCCCGCTTCCGCCCCCACCCCCAGCCCAGACATAAGTACAGTCTGTGCTGGCTCCAAGGTTCACGGGGTTTATTAGGGAGTCGGGAGGGAGAAAACCCAGGAGTCCCCAGGCCATCCACATTGCTCCCCGGCATGTGACGATCCAGCCTGGCTTTCTCTGGTCCTTTCTGGACAGAGGCTGGCCAAGCAGGCAGCAGCCTCAAGGGGAGTGGGTAGGAGCTGGGGGCCTTCTGGCAGCCCTACTCAGAGGATGATCTGGTTGGTGAAGCTTCGGCTCAGCTCCTTGTGTGGCAGAACAATCGAGTTCAGGATGAGCACCTCGGCAGGGATCCGGACTCGGCAGCCTGCAGCATGGATGAGGGCACCAGGGGAGGTCATGGGAGGGGAGACAGGGGCAGGGAGCTGGGGGCCACTGCCAGCAGGGAGGGAGCCCTCCTGCCCATCTGTGCCCCTGGTCTCATGCCCCCGGTGACTCACACAGGGCCTGGCACACAGCAGGCCCTTGGTAACTGTTTGCTAAAAGAAGAAACACGCGTGCACACAGAGGAACGAATGCTCCCCGGGGCCACTGGCCATCAGCTGAGGGGTTCCCCCAGCCCTGGCCCCCAGGAAGCCATACCCAGGATGGTGATAGCAGGCAGCAGCTTCCCGTCCTTGAAGAGGCTCTCACTGTCCATGCGGGCTCGGGGATCGTTGGGGTTAGGGTCACTGGGGGTACCCTCCACGCGGGCCCAGCGTCCCACGGTGCTCCCCCAGCCCACGATGCTATGCAGAACACACGTGTGCTCCTGCCAAAGAGGACAGTGAAAGGTAAGGGGAAGAGGCAGGAGGCAGCAGGAACCGGAGGGTGTGAGGTGTGGCCAGATGCAGAGCCCACGGCGTTCACCCTTCTCTGTTCTTGGGGGGATGCCTGGGCCCTCCCCGCAGCCTCTTGGGGTGTCACATGCTGCTGTGTATGCTGGTACCTACCTGCAAAGTGGCTCCATGGAGGACGATGCTCTCCCGGAGCCGCACACCCTCACCCACGGTCACCCCCTTCCCGATGGAGACGTTGGGGCCCAGCTGTGGAGAGAAGCACACACCATAAGCCCTGGAGGGACTTGGAGGATCCCCAAACCCAACTCCCTTCTAGAACAGATAAGGCATAAGTGACCTGCTCGAGGACACACAATAGGCTGTGACAAAGTGAAGAAACCGGCACCCAGAACTCAGGCAGCGTGGGCACCCTCCATCCATCCGACCACCACCCTTCCCTCCCTGGGGCTGGGACCAGTGCTCACCACAGCCGAGGGGGCCACCTTGGCGGTCGGGTGGATGTACACATTCCCTAGAAGCAGAAGAGAGGCCCTGGGGGCAAATATCCCAAACCGAATTTGATCAGGAAGGGGCAGGGATTGAGGCTTTAACTCTGGACTCGAGGTCAAGAATCCTGGTTCAGAGGGCTGGGGTGGAAGCCAAAGGTTAGGAATTGGGGCAGGCTGGGTACCTCGGATCCATGGGCCCCCTGGGGTGTGCTTGGCCAGCCGTTCTGGGTGAGTGTCCTGGTATCGGCTCAGGTAGAGGCGGGAGGCGTAGAGGGCTGAACTGGGGACCGCAAGGGGGACAGGGGCTCAGGGGTCAGCAGGGCCTGTGCCCACCACCCCAAAATTTCAATCCCCAGGGGACCCAGCCTTCCATACCCTGCGGACTTGATCTGACTCCAGATACCATCAGTGAGATGCACGTATATCTGGCCCTGCCCTGCCAGGGCTGAAAACACATCCTGCTCTAGGCGGATGGTACCTGCCCCTGGCCACAAGCCTGGTGAGTCCTCCCTGGCAGAGAGGAAGAATGCTGACATTAGTCCCCCAGCTGAGCCCCGACTGTGGGGCTAACACAGTCTCCCAGGGACAGGAGTAGGAGGATTCCCACCACCTCTCTAAGCCCCTCTCTCCAGGTCTGGTTCGGCCCTCTCTGGGATGTGGCTGCTCACATCCCAGGAACCTCTCCCACCCAGCCCCCACTTGGGTGGGTGCTATCACAAGGGAGCCCCAGGCAGAGGCCTGCTTCCCATCCCTGCCCCATTTCCATAAGGAGTTCCCCCCATTTTCACATTCTCATCCCCATTCAGCCCTTTACCCCCTCCAAGTTACCCTCCCCCTCATTGGATGGAATGAAACACAGACAGACTCACCCCAGAGCAAGGCAGCTGGTGAGGGCAGAGACAGTCACAGAAAGAAAGGGAGAGAGAGATGGTAGAGATGCCAGCTCAGCAGAGACAGAGACAGAGAGGCCAGGAGAGATGGAGAGGGAAGCAGAGACACGGGTGGGAGTGAGAAATGGCTATGAGCAGAGGAGGCCTTAGATGGGGCGGTGGGGGGTTAAGGCAAGGATCCCTAGAAGGGAACAGCTTCTAGCCCCAGGAGGGAAGACCCTGGGACTGGTGAGCAGGGCTCTGGTGCTATGTTCCAAGGGGAGCCTCAGCCTGAGAGTATGCATGTCTGTCTGTGTGTGCACGTGCACACGTCTGCACCCGAGCATGTGTGCGCCCAACTGTGTGTTGCTGTCTGTTCTGAAAGACGTCTCTGGGACACTCAGGGCTTAGGAGAAATGGACCAGAAGGGGAGTGGGCAGGCAGTGACAGAGGAGGAACTGGGATGGATAAGGAAGAGGGACAGAATGAGGTTAGAAGGGGAGGGACTCAGGAGGCTCTGCTGGAGATGGCAAGTGGAGAAGGGAGAGGGGAGGAGGAAGGTGAGCAAGTTGAGATGGAGCCTGCAGAGACTGGTATGTGTTGGGGTCCGTGACTGGGGGTACTTGGGGTCACAGGGCTATGGGGCCTGCCTCACAATTGCCCATCCTGCTGATTACGCTGGAAGACATCCCGAAGAGGCTTCAAGGCTTCAGGAGAAAAGAGGTAGATGCCGCAGTTGATGATGTCACTGATAAATGTGCTGGGTTTCTCCACATAGTGCAATACCTGAGGACAGAGCAGGCTGGGTTCAGTAGAAGAAGGGACTACCGCCACAGTCCCCTAAGACCCTCTGATTTCTAGGCCCTTCTTGCCTCTCCTCCCTGCTGCCAGGGTGGCCTGGCTAAAATGCAGTGCGCATCCGCATCCTACTGCTGCCTGGCTTTAAACCCTGAGATGACTGCCCTTCACCTGATTCAGCTTCAGATAAATCCAAAGTCCATGGCTTTCCCTGCCTGATCCTCCCCACCACCTACCTCTCAGACGCATTTCCACCCGACTGCATGCCTGTGCCTGGAATGGCCTTTCTCATCTCTTCATCTGGAAAGCCCACCTTTCCAAACCCAGTTGACACTGTCACTCTCTCTGTGCGTCCTCTCTTGCTGGCCCGAGTTAGCTGTTCATGCCTGGGCACTCCTGAACTCTGGCCACGCCTCACCCATGGCATTGTATCATTTGCAAAGGTTGCCTTTTGATTCTGTCACTCCTATTAGACTCACAGTAACCAAGAGGCAGGGACTGCACCCATTTGGCTCTGTTTCTCTCACAGCTACCTGGTGCTGAGCACAAAACTATATGTGTGTAGGTGTGTACATGCATGTGTGTGTGCGTGTTTATATGTATGTTTTATATTAAAGCACGAACAAATAAAAGGAGTATGTGACGCCAGGTATGGTGGTGGCTCATGCCTATAATCCTAGCACTTTGGAAGGCTGAAGTAGGTGGATCACTTGAGCTCCGGAGTTCGAGACCAGCCTGGGCAGTATGACGAAAGCCTGTCTCTACTAAAAATACAAAAATTAGCCTGGCACCTGCCTGTAATCCCAGCTACTCAGGAGGCTGAGGCAGGAGAACGGCATGAACCCAGGAGGCAGAGGCTGCAGTGAGCCAAGATCGCACCACTGCACTCCAGCCTGGGCAACAGAGTGAGACTCTGTCTCAAAAAAAAAAAAAAATCAGCTGGGCATGGTGGCTCATGCCTATAGTCCCAGCTACTTGAGGGGCTGAAGTGGGAGGATGGCTTAAACCTGGGAGGTCGAGGATGCAGTGACCCAAGATCATGCCACTGCACTCCAGCCTGGAAGACAAAGTGAGACTCTGTCTCAAAATAAATAAATAAACACATACATACATAAATAAATAAAGGAGGGAGGGTTATGTGAAAGTCAAGGGGCTTAGGAGAAGGGAGTTTCACAAAACAGGACAGAGCCCTGCTGCCCTGCCTATCATGCTCCTGCTTCTGGTATGTTACTTCCTGCCTCCAGGCCTTTATACCTGCCATTCCCTCTGCCTGTAGTACCTTCCTGTCTCCTTTGTCATCTAGACAAATGGGACTCTGCTCAGACCTTGCTTCCTCCAGGAAGCCCTCTCTACTCCCACCCCAGCAAGGCTGGGTTGGGGCCCCCTTGGTGTTCCCATCATGCACTGTGCATACATTTATTACAGCACCACCCCCAGGGAAATTAACCATTCCCCCCCTCCCCCTGGTCAATCTCTCTTAAAGGGATATAAGATGATTAATCGGGAGTGTCTCACCTGTCTGACAAGACTAGAGCCCACCCCATACTGTGCCAGCATTCTCTAGAGGCCTGAGGTAGAGGGGATGATGACACAGAGTAGGCACCCACCCAGCCCCCACTCTGCTCTCACCTCGTGTGTCTGTGGATTCTCAACGATGCAGCCGTAGTTGAGGGATTGCGTCCTGTTAGCCTGAAAGACAGACACACCCGAGACAGTGACCCGCCTGCTCCAGGGCAGCCACGTCTGTTTTTTCTTTCTTTCCCTCCGCTACAGCACCTGGCATGCAGCTCTGCCACTGACAGGCCTTCAGCAAGGGTGGAAACTGACAGCTGCCCTCCCCCTCCCTACTTCTGAACAGCCAGAGGGCTCGGGGTCTCCACTAACACCTCCATGCTGCCAGAGCAGCGCATCTCCCTCCTGACGCCAGCTCCCACACCAACTCCCGGGGCGCCCCTGCCTCCCCAACACCCTGAATTCCGGGAAGCTCTTGGGATCACCTCCTCTACACCCTCCAGCCCTCCTGACCCCCTCACCGTAGTGCCAAGGAGTAAGAAAGGGTGACGCTGGCGTCGGTGGGCTTCCAACATAGCACTCAAGGGGAAGTCGGAGCAGACATCAGCATTGAGCACGAAGAATGCCTCGGGGCTCCCAGCCAGGATCTGGTCTCGAAAATGGTAAAGACCACCCCCTGTGCCTAGGGGGGCAAATTCCTGCAGGTACCTGTCCCCAGGGACCCGAGAGCCAGCTCAGTGGATCTTAGGAAACAGATACCATGAGCCAGGGCACCTGACCGCCACCGCTTGCTCCCAGGACTACTCCTGCCCAAGGCCCACAGAGAAACTCTATATACTCAGAGATTCATTGATGTCCAAACAAGAATCCTTCTAGTAGGCGAGGATGAACTCCAGCAAATGCTGACTCAACCCACTTCCAAGAACTCAGAGGCCTAGGGCATCCCCACCCCCCCATATACGAGTGTGTGCACAAACACCTGACTGGAAGGTTAAACTCCTGCTGGGCGGCTTCTAGGAACTGGGTGAGGGGCTCATCAGGTTGGTAGAAGCCAATGAGCAGAATCTCCTGCATTCCAGGGACCTGAGGACAAGGGAAGAGGCTGGGATGAAGAATATCTAATAGGAGGGGATGTTGGGGAAATCCTTGGTGCTGGCCCAAAGTCCAGAAACCAGTTTCAGTCTCAGCTGTGGGGCCCCAGGGCACTCACCACTCTGGGCTATTTTCTCCTCTGGACAATGAGGAATTTGGAGGAAGTCGGAGGCCTGATCTTTTTTCGTTTTGTTTTATTTTTGTGAAAAAGGGTCTCGCTCTGTTGCCCAGGCTGGAGTGCAGTGGCATGATTTTGGCTCACTGCAGCCTCCACGTCCTGGGCTCAAGCGATCCTCCCACCTCAGCCTCCTGAGTATTGAAGACTACAGCCATGTCACCACCTGCCTCAGCCTCTAGAGCAGCTAGGACTACAGCCAGGCCATCACATCTAGCTAATTTTTAAACTTTTTGTAGAGAAGGGGTCTCTTGATGTTGCCAAAGCTAGGCTAGAACTCCTGGCCTCAAGCGATCCTCCTGACTCGGCCTCAAAAAGCGTTGGGATTACAGACATGAGCTACCATGCCAGGCCTGATCTTTCAATCAATTATTACCCCCACCAACCTGAACTGGGACTCACTCTAAGAAAGACTTTGCCTACCAAGCTGCATTAATCCATTTCCACCCCGCCCCCTCCCCCCCGGCCATTTTTATTATCTGTCAGCCTAAGCTTGAGATCAGCATGAGGTAAGGGTACCATTTATCAAGGGTCTGCGTTGTACTAGGCATTTTACAAATATCATTTCTAAGCTTCACCACCCAACAAGGTAGGTCTAATCACCCCCATTTTACACATAAGGAAACTGAGTGTCAGAGAGGGTGTGTTATTTGTTGCAGACCTCACAGCAGGCAGAGACTGAATTCAAACCAAAACCTTGCCTGGCTCAATACGAAAAGCAATAAAGAAATGAGCAACAATGTGATCAAGGATATGAATTTGTGCTTGGTTATCATTAAGAGTCTCCATGCTACGGCTTTACATTGTCTCCAAGATCCTTGCCTGATCTCACATTCCACACTTTAAAAATAGGAGTGAAATCTGAGCAGGAAGAGGCCAGATGAGAAACTAGATTAGGGGAAGACAGCAGGGCAGCTGCACAGCATAACTTGAGGGGGCGCCATTCACATTGTCATCTGTGAATGATGGTCCTTGGAGTTATGCCTGGTGGGAAGAGTTCATGGTTGGGAAAGGGGGAAACAGCATGAAGATAAGCAGGAAGTGAGGTGAGAGAGGGGAGCCCCTGAGGTTACCTGGGCACAGGCTTCAATATGGTGTTGGATCATAGGGACCCCTGCCACAGGAAACAATGGTTTGGGCACCTCAAAAGACAAAGGTCTGAAGCGAGTTCCTGGGAGAGGAGAGAGGAGAACATTTCGGCCTCCTGCCTTCCTCTGCCCCCATCCCGCCTACCACTCCAGCCCAACCTCCTCCCCCCATTCCCCTGGCACCTCACCCTTTTGAGGGCCTCCAATCAGGATCACCGCTTTGAGCATAATGGTGACTGCTACCTAAACTTCAAATTCCAACAGAGAAATCAAGCTCAGATCTCCTACCCCAACCAAGCCCCAAAACCCAAATAGCAACACTTAGCCCTCTCCCAAGATGTAAACCCAAAGCTCAATATAGTCTCTGCCTGGACCCAACACCTCACAAATCCCACACATCTCAAATCCCAGCAGAGAAATCAAGCTCAGATCTCACACCCCAACCAAACCCCAAACCCCAAATAGCAGCACTTAGCCCTCCCCCAAGATGTAAACCCAAAGCTCAATATAGTCCCTGCCTGGACAGAACCTCACAAATCCCACACATCTCAAATCCCAACCCAGATTCCAGTCGGCCTTCAAACCTCACAGTGATTCCTCCCAAATTCTGAAATTCACACCCCACAATTTGATCTCTAAAAGACTTCCCTCTGGCCATGAACAAATTCTGCAAATTCAGAAACCTGGCAGAGACTCCCTTCTCAGACCCAAACCTCAAAATACTGAAGCCTCAAATTCCCAAAGTGTTGCGTCTTCATTCTAGATATTAAGCCCTGAACCCCAATAGTGAACCCTGAATATTGGACAGCAAACCCTGAGTGAGCCTCAGATATTTAACTTAAATCCTGAACGTAATCCCCAAGTACTGAACTAACACTGATCTGAATTTGAAGAACCCCTAATCCCAGCAAAAATCCTCTATATGCTAAACATGAATCCTAAAACTAACCTCTGTATGTTGAACCCCAAATCAAAAGACAGGTTCCCTTGGCATCTCAAACACTGAACCTATTGACCCCCCTCCAGTCCTAATACGGACGACTGGGTCTAAATCTCTGGATTCGGAGGATTGATTGATTGCTGACCCTCTGAACCCCACAACTGACTCTGTCCAATAAACCCTGGCCTCTCATTGCCAGGGATTGTGGGACCAACACAGGGGCGGGCGCACCGAGGGCCAGCCAGGACCTCGGAGCCCGCTCTCCGTCTAGAGGGTGTCCCCTGCCCCTTACCCCTGCCGCCACCCCTCCACCAGCTCCCTTTACCACTAGCTCCCTTCACTCCAGCTCTGCCGCCCGCTACTGCAAGCTCCTTCCGCGCACGTGTCTTCTCGCAAGTCGCGAGAACTCATTCGCAGGGTCTGCCGGGAATTGTAGTCTGACCCTTTACCCGCTTTCTAACTTTATGGGAGAGGAAAGAGGTGCTGAAGTCCAGGGGTGTGACCAAGGGATCGCGGGGCGGGGTTAAATGCGAAGAAGGGTGGGGCCTGAGAAGCCCAGCCTGGAACTTAAGACTGGGACCCGAGCTGTTGGGGAATCGGCCTCGGGGCAGCAGCCGAAGTGAGGAACTGGGTCCCACAGGAAAACGGGACTAAGGACAGCAGGGGTGTGTGGCCAGCCCTGGAAGGGGCGGGGCCAGGGGCAAACAGCCACAAGGGGCTGGGGCTGGAGGCGCTCAAAAGCGGAGAAGGCGGAGTCCCAGGCCCAGCCGGCGGTACCGCTGGGAAGTGAGGGCGCCTTGGACGGCGAGGGCAACTCTTATCAGTTTGACTGTCTGAAATGCAGCACGGCGCTAGGCGCTCTCCAGACCTCCCTGTGACTCCAACAGGCTGTGACCTTGGCGTGGGGGTCTGGAATACGTGTGGGCGCTGGTGCGGGGGAGAGGGAATGGCGACGCGGAAGAGCAGGACAGACGCGGAGGGTCAGAGAGCAGCTTTATTAAGCAAGCTGGTGGAGGGCTGTGGGTCCCACCACCCCCGGGCTCGGCGCCAGGGCGGAAGGTCCGGGGGTGCCGTTCAGGCCACGTCGACGCGAGCGAAGCTCTGGTCCATGCCCAGGCTGTTCTCCACGTACACCTCGTACTTGCCGCTGTCCTGAGGCGTGGCCCGGCGAATGGTCAGCGTCGTGGTGGTGCTGCCGATCTCGAAGAACACCCTGCGGAAGGGCGGCGGGGAGGAGGGCGGAGCCGTGGTCAGTACACGGGCGCACTGGGCGGGGCTCCTTAGCCAGCTCTGTTCCTCGCTGCCCAGTCCCCGCCCCCGTCACTCCAGCCAGATTTCTGGGCTCAGTCCCACCCAGGTTCCAGCCCCAGGCCCTGGCCGTGCCGCAGGTCCCGGCCCTCGCCTGTCATCCTCCTCGATGTCCTCCCCGTCCTTGGTCCAGCCTACGTCGGGCGCAGGCTCTCCCAGGATCTCCGCAGTCAGCGTCACGGTGGTGCCTTTGCGCGCCTTAGTGTTGTCGGGTCCCTTTTGAATCTTCGTCGGGACTAGCGGAAGGAAAGGGGAGCGAAACCCCGTGAAGGACCCGGAGATGAGGCAGGGCATCACCTCACCGGCTAATACCCGGCACTAAATACAGATGCATTTAAACTCGCAGTGTGACGTTGAGCAAATCATTAGCCTCTCTGGTTTCATCTCCTTGGCTGTTAAAGGGACTTATCCCTGCCTCTCCTACTTCTCGGGGTCGAATAGAGGATCAAGAGAGATAAGGCGGGCGAAAGCCCCTGAATGTTCACACATCTCGCGGTGCCTCAGAGACCGCTCCGGGTAGTGGAAATTGCCAGAGTTGGGAGCCAGAAGACCCGGGTCCAACCCTGGCTCTGCCTCTGGCTTGCTGTGTGACCTTGGGGACCCGGAGCCGCGTGATGGAAGTCCACAGCTGACTGCTCAGCCCGGGTGGAGCTGGATCCCGAGGTAGGGAAGGACGCACTTGGCTGGCGCGGCGATGCGCCCCAGGCCGTGCCCAGAGCTGGGCTGGCGGGGACCCTGTAGCTAGGCCCAGAGGTAAACACGCGCAGCTGGACCGGGCTGCGGGCTCTGGCTGAGTGGTGCTGGTCTGCGCCCTGGCGCTGCGCCCGGGGCGCGCGTACCTTCCACGAGGATGCGCGCCGAGTCGGAGCACTGGCCGAAGGGGTTGGTGACGTTGATGCTGTACTGGCCCAGGTCTGCCAGCTCGCCGTCGCGCACCACCAGTGCCACCACGTCAGGGTCCTCGAAGACGTAGCGGTACTTGGGACCGTCACGTAGCTCCTTGCCGTCCTTACTCCAGCGGATGAATGGGTCCGGGAAAGCCGAAATGCGGCAAGTGAGCTTGGCCGCGCTGCCTTCGATCAGCACCACGTCCTTCAGCGGCTCCAGCACCCGCGGCGGCCCCTTCTCGCGCAGCTCCTTCCGGGACCTACCCGCGGGCCGAGTCAGGGCCCAGAGTTCCTAAGACAGGCCCGGCCACAGCCCTTACCGCGAGCGCACCATCTCCTACCTGCCCCCTGGACCGGCCAGACCCCTAAACGTGTGGCTTGGTAGGGAAGAGGACTGCTCCTGAACTGCTGCCCTGATAGGATGATGCATTCCTCCCGGCCACTCCCCCATACCTCAGTAACGACCCTCCCCTGAGACCACTCATTCTAAAGGCTCCTGACGCTGCTCAGCGCTTACTCAAACCCTACTCAAGAGTGCGCTCTCTGCAGCTCCCTTCCTCCACAGGGCTCCGGGGTTCCCTCTCACCTGTGGCCCCGGTAAGAGGCCTGGATACGAATGGCCGCACTCTGGACCTGTGGGTCATTGATGTCCAGGGTACATCCAGGAGCTGGGGCCACAGCCACTGGCTTTTTGGCAGGAGCTGCTTTAGACATCTGGGGAGTGGGCGACAAATATGGGGGTCCAGGTTGAGACAGAGGCTCCCACCTTCAGCCCTTTTCCTCCCTGGTCAGAACATTCAGGGAGATGGAGGAATGGGGGTGTCTGCGGCTTCTCTGAGGATCAGACTCACCGTGGAGGGGTTGACCTAGGGACTTGAGTCGACTGGCTGGATTGCAGGCAGCACAGAGCCCTTCTGGATGGCACAGTAGGGGTGCAGGCAGGTGCTCAGCCCTGGGCCCGGTTTTATACATCGCTCCCCTCCTTGCCTTGTTTGGCGTGGTTGCCCCAAGCCCCCCGGGGCCCCATCCGCCTCCCTCTGACTCAGGCAGGCTCTTTATTTAGCCTGTGGATGCCTGGGATGCTGGCTCAGCCGCTGGGCTAGGCCCGTGGGGAGAAACCCGAGCAGCTCTGAGGTGCACCTTGCGTCAGCACCTGGACAGCTGGACAGCTGGATGCTGCCCTGTCCCCTCCCAGGGCAGGGGGTATCCATCCCACTCCCAGGAGGACCAGATTCAGCCCCTAGCTGACAAGAGATCCAGCTTCCTGCTGGGGCAGCTTTTCAATCAGGTTGGGCTCTGGATAGTCAGACAACACACCCTGTTGGTTAAGGGGTTTGAGTGTTTCTGGGGTTTCCCTGAATACAGCCAGAGTAGCATCGGACTTGGTCCTCAGGGCCCCTACAGCTAACGGCAACAGGGCCACGTGGCTGTCAAGACCAATCCAGAAGCTCCTTACTCTTCCCCTACCCCCAACCCCAGGAGTCCAGGGTTGTCACTTCCACACTGTGCCCCCTGGCGGTAAACTGAGATAAACCGGGAGGGGACGGGAAAGATTTTTGAGAATAGCAGCCCCTCCATGCCTTCCCCATCCCCACTCACTCCCCTCGATGTCACATGGTGGGGGCTGTTTAGACTGCACTGTCCTTGGAGATTAGCACCACTACTGGCCCCAACCCTAGGTCTGCCCAATTCCTTTTTGGGGGCATAAATTGGTGCATAGGGGCATCAGACCACCTGGGGTGAAGGGGTTCAGTTAACCCCTCTGGGGATTGCCTGGAGGCCAGTCTGCCCAGGCCGGGCACCGGGCAGAAGCATTGCTTCCATTCATTGGAACTACCCGCCCTAGTGTGGGGGCACTGTCACGTTTTGATCAGAGCAATTTTGACATAGCTCTGCTGACATAAATTACCTTTGCTCCTCCGGGTTTGGAACAAGCAGTTCACATGCCATTTCCAATGGAGATGGGAAGGGAGCTCAAGATCAGAGCGGGGACGGGAGAGGAATTTTACCATTTATCAAGATATGAGTTCAGGCACCTCATTTTTATACAAAACACTTGCAGTGTGTAGGGGATTGGAGATTCTTACAGGCAAACTGTATATCTTCATCGCTAAAATGACAGGTAGGCAAGGTGTCGTTCTGGTCCCTTCCAGCTGGCTTTAACATCCTGTTATTTTATGATGATGGGGCTTGCCTCTTCCCTGGGGTCCTGAGAAGCTAGAGAGGCTGGGCTGGGCTGGGCAAAAGGGTTGTCTGGGCTGGAGCCAAGGGGCCCTCAACCTCCATCAGCAACACAGCAGTGACAACTCTGTCTACCCTGGTCAGAGGCTTTGTTCCTTTTACTTTGCCAAGAACAGAATTTTGAAGGTGGGGATGAGGGAAACATTTCCTCTGGAGACAAGGAGGTCTGGGTCCCTGCCAACCCCCCAATCCCTCGTCCCCAACCTCAGGGCAGAGCAGCTCAGTCCTAGGTCCCAGTGACCATTCTATGGCACGGGTGTGGCTAGAATTGAGGTGCTTTAGCACCCAGCAGACCTCCTAACTTGCCATGTGGACAAGAAGGTCCAGGCTGGTGTGTCCCTCAGCCCTAGGAAAATGCTGGACACAGCAGACTAGAGCACTCCCAGCTGGTGCTCTCCATGTGCTCTGATATGTGCTGTGACATGGAGGGCAAGGGGTGTGAGCCTGTCCTAGTGTTTCTTTTTGAGATGGAGTCTCACTCTGTCATCCAGGCTGGAGCGCAGTGGTGCAATCTTGGCTCATTGCAACCTTCACCTCCCAGGTTTAAGCGATTCTCCTGCCTCAGCCTCCTGAGTAGCTGAGATCACAGGTGTGCACCACCACGCCTGGCTAATTTTTGTATTTTTAGTAGAGACGGGGTTTCATCATGTTGGCTAGGCTGGTCTTGAACTCCTGACCTCAGGTGATCCAGCCACCTTAGCCTCCCTGTCCTGGTTTCTTCTGCAGCTCCTCACACTACCTACTCTCACCAACCATCAGGATGAAACCCACTCTGCTCCAGGGGTCAGGACCAGAGCTCCTGCCTGTCTTCTGGGGAGAGTGAACAAGGCTGAGCCAGGATTGGGGTGAGGGCTGGCCTATTTCAGAGCCCAGCATCCCCCACATTGTGATGAGGGAACACGTGACAAGAGGTGGGGGCTACTAGAGCCTGGTTGCAGGGGTTCAGTGGATCTGCCAACATTCCGGAAACTGCAAGGGGAGAAGCAGACCACAGTCTCCCCTCCCTCCAGGAATAAGGAGAGGTGAGGGGCCAGGAGGGTCACGGGAGGGGGTTGGAAGGACCCAAAGTGCTAGCTGGTATATTCCTGAATGTGTGTGTTGGGGAATACCCAGAGAGGGCTAAATGCCCCTGTCCCGGACTCACCCCTCACCAGCCATCTTCCCCTCCAGCCATCCCTCCCAATAGACACACAGGTTATGCTGCTTGCCATTTTTATTTCCTTGTGGCAGACAGACAGACAGCTGGATGGCTGGGAGGGATGGTCAGGACAACATGGGCAGTAGGGATCGGATGGAAGGGGAAACTTCATAAAAGTCAATAAATAAATAAATATGAATGGGAAGAAGGCCAGAGGCCATGGAGGGGCAGTGGGGACATCCTTGGGCCAGCAGAGCGCCCAGGGCTGTATCCACTGGACAGGAGGACAGAGCGAGTGTGAGTGACTGCTGGCCTCCAGCTCTCCACATTTCTCCTCTGAGGGATGCTGACAGCTGACCCACCCCACCTCCACCTGAGTCCTCTCTTCTCCCTCTGCCGCCTCGCTGCCTTCTCTCATGTCCCAGCCCTGGGCCCCTGCCACTGTATCTGTGTCCTGCCCCCGCTTTGCCACACTGACTCCCAGCCTACTGCCCTGACACCTGGGGCTCCTTCCTTTTCCTCCTCTCCAGCCATGCCCACCTTCCTTGGTTCTCCCTGAGATGCACTGACCCCCAACCCAGAACCTTCCTAGAGCCTCCCCCTTCCTGTCCCTCGATTCCTTTTCCTCTCCACTTCTCCATTCCCCTCTTGTCCCTCTGCCTGTTCCCACCCTGCTGAGCCTGACCAATGGGTCTCCCACTCTGGCTTTGGCCTGGGGTGGCATCAGGTCCAGGCCCTGGGGTCTCTGTCCTTGAAGGTCTATGAGGTAAGAGCCCAGCCAGATGTTGCTGCTGGTGGTAACCGAAGCCCCAGGCCCGCCTGGCTCAGCGTGGGCCCTGGAATGTCCCGTGGCATTGGTGGGAACCCCAGTTGAAGCCCGAGGCCTGGCTGTGGTCCGTGCCTCTAGGGGCCGCCAGGGTAGGAGCGCAGCAGCACCTTGTGGCGGGTGGCAGCCTCAGCCCGGCGCCGCCGCTGCTCGCCCAGGAACTCCTTGAGCCGGTTGGTGGTGAAGGTGAGCGTCTGGCGGCGCAGCTTCATCAGGTAGGCGTCCTGCAACCATGGGTGGGCCAGGCAGTCCTGCAGGGAGGGCCGGCTCCTGCCAGGCAGAGCCAGGGATGATGAACCTGGAAGGAAGCTCTGGGAGCTGCCGGGGCTCTGTCCTCCCGCAGACCCATGTCCCAGTCCTGGATCCCACCCCTACATGTGTGATCTTGGGCAGCTCAAGAGCTCAGTTCCCCAGTCTCCGGAATGGGGACAGTGAGTCTGCCTTGCACGGGGCTGCCTCAGGCTTTAAATGGTGGGTAGTATGACCATTTAGTAGAAGCAGCAGACTTCTTCCTAGGAGCAGGGGAGGAGCTGGGAGATCTCTGGCACAGGCCAGGCCAGGGGCAGGTAACACTGGGGGATAGCAGGTGTGGGGCTCACTCACCAGGGATGTACAGAGAGAACCTTTCGCAAGAAGAGGGTGGCGCTCTGGGATGTATTGGGGTACAGCTGGAAGGCATCAAAGCGGCCCCCCACAATCCGAGCCTCCGTTTCCTGGGGGTCTGGCTCATAGAACGGGGAGCGTCCACTGAGCCTGTTGGGGAAGATAGCTTGATTGACGTATGCAGACCGGAGGCCAACACCCAGACCCAGAAGGACATTAGTGTCAGGTGCACAGTGCTCAGGGCCATGCTACTGTGCACCTGAGTGTGAGTGTGCAGTGTGGATGTGTGTACAGGGGAGGTGGGGCACGGGGGAGAGGGTGTTGGCAGAAGGTGAGTCCGGGAGCTCACTGTATGGGCAGAGAGGGCTGCGGTGGGGTAGGGGACACTCACATAATGTAAGTGAGCACACCCGCTCCCCAGATGTCCGTGGCAGAGCCGATGGGTTCTCCCTTCACCATCTCCGGAGCTGACAGGAGACAGAGGCCAAGCTGACCCAGCTTCCTGGTGGCAGGGAAGTGGGGGCGGGGGAGGTCCCTGGGTGCTTGAGCAGCAGGACAATGTCCTGGTCACCAGACCATGGGAATGTCCAGAGTGGCAGGCCCTGAAGGCCAGTAGGCAGGACAGAGGTGGTGGCATACCCCAAGAGACATATGGGTCACCTGAGGAATTAACCCAGGCACAAAATGGCGGGGTCCCCAGAACTCCAGAGGGGCTGAGAAGCAGGGTGACAAGCTCCCTTGGATCGGCTCCAAGGTATGGCTCCCATTCACAAAGAGTGTGGCTGACACCAAGATTAAAAGCCTTCAAAATCAGCCTGGCTGGCTCTAATCCCAGACCTGCCCCTTCTAGCTATGGGACCCTGGGCGATTTACTAAACCTGCCTGGCTCTCCACAGCCTCATCCGTAAAGTGTGGCCTGTAGAACCACACCAAGGAAGAGAGATCATGAACGTCAAGCATTTAGCAGGGTGCTCGATGGTAGCTGGTTCTCCTTATTTAAATAAAATAATAATTGATTCTCCTGTCTTTTTGGCTGTAGTGAATCCTGCCTCTAGCATTTATAATTGTCTGATTGCACAAATCCCTAACATCAGTACCCCTCAGTTTCCTCATCTGTAAAAGGGGGCTAATATTATGCCACACTCCAGGGTTATTGTAAAGATCAATCCACATACTTCGTTCATTGCTTGAATACAGTAATCACTCAATAAGTGGCACATATGTAAGTGAAGTGGGGTGAGCCCTGGCTGCTGCCTCTCTGGCAGGGCCCTGTCCCCACCCTGGCTGGCAGCTGGTCCCCTCACCCATGAACTCCAGCGTGCCCGTGCGGTGGCCAAGGGGCCTAAGGGCCTGGGGGTTGTAGGGCTGGGCACTGCCAAAGTCCACAATCTTGAGGGCATTGTCAGGGGCCAGCAGCAGGTTGTCTGGCTTGATGTCTAGGTGGAGCACGTGGTGGCCGTGGAGGTAGTCCAGGCCTTGTAGCAGCTGCACCATGTAAGTGGCCACGTCATCCTCAGAATACCGGAACCTGGGAGGGCAGGGATGGAGCAGATGATACCCGGCCCAGCCTCCCCTACCTCTTCCTCCCTACTCCCCTAGAATTCCCAGCTACCTGTCACTGAGCCCACAGAGGAGTTCCCGGTTGCCACAGCTCTCAGCAATGAGCACGAGGTACCGAGGGGTGATGTAGGCCTCGTGCAGGGACATGATCCGCTCGTGGTGCAGGGTCCGCAGCACCTCGTACTCCTGCAGGACCCGCCGCTTGCCCTCGGCAGCATAGGGCACGATCTTGGCCACGAACGTTCGCCCCGTGGCATTCTCCCGGCACGCTCGCACAACACCAAAGCGGCCCCTGTGTGTCGGGGGGAGGGACACCACCGGCTCAGAGGAGAGGAGGGGGACACTTCCATAGTGAGGGCTAACGGAGGAGAGCAGGGACCCCTAGGGGCAAGAATGCAGTGGTTCCAGTGTGGGCTCCAGAGTTCAATCCTAGAAACCAGGGTTCGAGTCCCACCTTCGCCACTCACTGGCTCTGTACCTTAGGTAAATCCCATAGCTTCTCTAACCTCAGCTTTGCCACCTGTGAAATGGGTGATGCTAATAGCGCAGTGTCTCTCAGAGTTGTGAAGATTTGATGAGATCATATGGCTAAAGCACGCAGTGCAGTGTCTGGCACATTTGAACGCAATCATTCTAATAACCCAGGTCTCAGCACCTCCCCCCACCCCAGCCAGGACAGTCTGGTCTTCTCTCCGAAGCCATGTGCTCCAGACATTTGGCCCACTCCCCTCTGTCCTCTTCCCTTCCCCAGCCCTGCTTGCCTGGCTTTCTCCTCCAGGAAGGTGTAGGGTTTCTGAGGGGGACCCTGTCGAAGAGTGGTACCCTCAGGCCTGGGAGAGCTTCGGGGACTGCTCCCAGGGGAGCTGACCACCTCCTTGGCCGGGCTGAGGCTCTGCACAGTCACCTTGGTAGGCTCAGGAGGGGGCTCAGGGGCTGGGGGCTCAGGGGCTGGTGGTGCAGACACAAAGGAAGTCACCACATACACAGGAGTAGAGGAAGACACTGGTTTAACCCCTTGAGGAGTGGAGGCTGGGATCGGGGTCCCAGTGTCAAGGACGAAAGGCTTGGGCTCACTTGGGGTGACGTGGGTACTGGGTAGGGTGGGCTCCGCTGGCCGGGCAGCCTGCAGGCCCCTGTGTCTTCGTGGAGGGGTTTGGGGTGGTGGACCCACAGCCTTGAGCGAGGACAAGGCCTGGCTAGGAGGTGTGGGGGGAGATGAGGGGCTGACAGTGACTGACGGGGGTGTGGGGGCAGCAGGAGCTAGGGGTGGGGCCAGTGAGGTAGGAGAGTCAGGAGGCCGGGCCCTGGCTGGCCTTGAGGTGACAGGGGCCTCTTGGTGGGCAGCAGATGGCACAGCTGAAGAATCTAAGAGAGAGAGAAAATCATCACCGTGGTGCCTTGGGGCAAGGCCATGGTGCTCCACAAGAACCCTAGGCTCAGAGCCCCCTTCCTCCTCCCACCCCATACCATTGCACTGACCTTGAGTACCCCTGACAAAGACCTTCTCAGAAGAGTTGCTGAAGGGCCCCTGCCCAGCACGGTTGGCACAGGCCACACGGAACCTCACAGTCACGCCAACTGGCAGGTGGGTCACGTTGTAGTAACAGTCGGGGATGCCTGAGCTCACAGGGTGCCACACAGACTCCCCTATAGGCAGTATGGGGGAGGGGCTGAGGTCACAGAAGCGGTGGCCCCAGCTCCCACGGTGCTATCTGTGGAGCCTGGGAGGGCACTGGCCTTACCAGACTCCTCTACCCTCCCCCTGCCGCTCCCCCAACCCTCCAGCTGCCCCATCCTCACCATCCACTCGCCGCTCCAGCGTATACGTGCAAGGTGCCCGGCTGTCTCCCGGCTTCCACAGCACCAGCGCCGTGTCCTGGTAGGTCTGGGGTACCTCTGGAGGAGCTAGCTTTCCTGGGACTCCTGGCAAGAGAAAGAAGAGTCCCAGTGAGCCCCTATACCCTAGCTAAGAACCCCTCAAGCCCTGTCCCACCATCCCCATCACTACCCCCCTGGGGCCCTGCCCCAGGCTCACGGGCCACAGCCACGGTACAGGAGCTGGTGATGCTGCCCAGTACGTTGGTGGCCGAGCACTCATAGAGACCGGCGTGCCGCTTGCCCGCCCGGGGGATGCTGAGCAGCTGCCGCCCATCTTTGCAGGACACGATGATCACTGAGGGCTCTGACCTCAAGGACTTCTTGTCTGGGGACAGGGAGGAGCAGGAGTTGCTGCTGAGTGAGGCAGCACATGTCCAGGCCCCCTCACTCACTCCCCACTCCAGCATCCCCCCTAACCGTGCTCAGTCCCCACTCCGGCCTAGCCCCTCCCATCCCCTGGGCTCAGGGCCACTTGCTGGCCTCCCTCTCTGTGGGAGACAGAGTCTCCTTACCTTTCATCCAGGAGATGTGCGGTGCAGGGCAGGCCGCTGGCAGGCAGAGCAGGGTGGCTGCCTCCCCCTCCAGCAGCACCTGGTCCTTGAGTTTGATGTGGAAGACTGGGGGGAAGTCTGGAGGAAAAGCAGAGACAGCCATCTATCTGTAGGGACCCTGGCCCACTTACTGCTGAGGGAGGGGTGGAGAAGGCCTGCAAACAGCCATCAGGAAGCAGCATGAAACTTTGTCTCTTCCCAGGCAGATGTGGAAAGTGGAACCCCACGCCATGCCTTCGATAATTTTCTTTGGGGCAAGCATCACTTTCCCCAGGCCCTCACTGTGTGCAGAACTGCTTTTTCCTTGCACTGACTGCTGACAATGCTACTTATGTCATGGGTTTGTAAATCACTTAGAGCAGGGCCTGGCACTAAGTAAGTGGTCTATAAGCATTTGTTAAATAAAATAAAAGCAAACAAATACTGAAAAACTATAATGGTTAAGATCCTGCAAGACCTACCCTCTCTGGGGCACCACAGGGCAAGTGAGAAGAGAATTGAGATGAGTTAGTGACCCGAGCTGAGATGGGACCAAATGAGGAATGTTCTATCAGAATGTGCAGTCTCAAAAGAGCTGCAGTCTAGGAAAACTGTGGGCAGACCCTGGAAGCGTGTCGGCTTCCTGGCCCCTCTTCCCACCTGCCATCGGGGGACAGGGTCGTAGGTCTTCTGTATACTCCTTCAGGTCAATTAAGTGGTGAGAGCTTTTGAAGGGGCAAGAGACAGTATCTGCCTGACCTTGGGCAAGTCATTTACTCTCTCAGAAGCTCCATTTCTAATCTGTAAATCAAGGAAAATAATCCCACGCCCACAGGATGCTTGCTGTGACAATTACGAGGCATGTAAAGTGTCTGCCATAGAGTAACTGATCATAAATACTAACTTCTCTTGTTGTTATCATTTTCTCAATAATATGGCCAGCAGAGAAGCCTGGAGCAGACAGACCCCCAGAGAAAGGCTGTTCCAGCAAAGCAGAGAAGCTGCCTTCACAGCTAGCTGGTGGCTGTGCACATGCAGGGCTAGGGATGCGACCAGTTTTCCTTCCTCCAATGTAGCCAGCCTGTGCCTCTTTAGTGCCCTGAGGATTTGAGTGCATGATCCCTGGGAATGTCCCTTTAGAAGAATCCCAGCTGGGCCATGGGGGTGGTGGGTGAAGGGTGGGGATAGGGGAGGACTTGGGGGTGGATTTTATTCACCTGGGAAGAGAAAGCTGAGGAGCCTTGTGAGCCCCAGCTGCTGCCTGTCTGAAGAATTGTGGGGGACTGGGAGTGGGGATGAGCCAGGCAGAAGAGGAGTACTCAGCAGGTGTGGTGATCAGGATGGCAGTGTGCCCCCTTCCCGCTGTACCCCACTGCTCCCCAAGGAGGGGTCCCACACTGAGGTTCCAACAAGGCAATGTGAACACAGTTTCTCAATGGCTGCCTCCAGGCCAAGTGAGGGTACTGGGTAGCAGGGAGAGAGAGAGAGAGGCCACCTCTCTCAGAGGTGAAAGTGACCCGGGCCCAGCCCTGCCAGCCCCGCCAGCCCCACCCCCATTCCTAGGTGCCAGCCCTGGTTGTTAAAGTAGCCTGGGACAGCCTTGTTTCTGCAGGGAACGGGGAGCGGATGAGGTAAGGGGACACTGCCTCAGCAGGAAATCAGCTGCATAAGCAAAACTGGGCCGGGAGGGAGGCCCCAGGTGGGAAGGGATCAGCTGTCCCCAGGCCTCTCTGCTGGCTGATCGCTTTCTTTCCCCCTCACTCTCCACCCTCCCCTCCCCACCAGCAGCCCTTCCCTCCATCCTTTTCTCTCACTGCAGCCCCCTTTGCCCTGGCCAAGGCTGGACACAATCCCTATAAGCCCAGCTGAGGCAAGACTCGACAGCCACTCTATTCTGAGTTTTACCAGGAAATGGGGGAAGAACAGGACTGGTGGCTCGTCAAGATCCTGCACACAGCCTGGCTTCATGGACTCGCTCCCTTCCTGCATGCTGGCCTGGAAAACCCAACCTCCCGAAGCCTTTGCTTGTCGTCCTTGAGTAATGCCCCTTTTTCAGGGGGGATGGGGTGACCCCACATGGGGAATGCCTCCCTATCTGGAGCTCCAGGACACTCAGGCAGAGAAACAGAAGAGGGCAAAGAGCTAGCAAAGAGCTCCAAAGGCTGCTTTTCTGTGCAGAAGGGTCAGGGAGGGGCAGTCAGGTGTTCGGAGCTGCAGAGCAATGGAGACTTAGGGGGCACAATCCAGGTCGTGGTCCTCTAGGCTGGAGAGAAAGTGAGTGTCTTTGGGTACACACCCAAGCACACACACATCTAAAGGGGGACTGTGGAGGCAGGAGGGCCCTATATCTTGAGCTCCTTGAAAAGTACAGCCAGTTACAGAAACATTCTAGGGTCTCCCAGGAGAGAGGAGGCCAGCCCGACAGACGTAAGTGGTGTCCTGAAGCCGTTTCAGGGACCTGGCTGCAGAAGGTCACACAGTCCAACTTCAGCTGCTCCACTTACTAGCCCTGTGACTTGGACAGATCCTTAGCATCACTAAGCCCGTTTCCTCACCTGTACAGTAGAGACAATGATACTAATATTTCCCAAACAGTGCTGCAGGATTGAATGAGGCAGTGCTTGTAAAGTGTTTAATAGAACACTCAGCTTATCTAATGAATGTCAGCTACTGCTATTGTTATAGTTGTCTGAGCAGACCCCTTCCACTAGGTTTGTCAAGGTGGCCCACCTCTCACCAGCCATGACTGCTCCCTGATGGGGGTAGGGGAGGGCAGGAGGGGAGGAGGGTCCTCACCCAGCAGGCCTCTTATTACCTGACTCACTGCGCACGTACTGGTGACCCAACTCCTCCTGGACGCTGGCAGAGAGGTTTGGTGGCGATAACCCCTTGTCCTTCCGCGGCCGAGAGAAGCCCCAGCGGAGCCGGCTTCGGCTTTCCCCTGGGGCTGTGAAGACTCAGGCCCGTGAGTATTTGTTCAGTCAGTACCAGCAAGTTCCCACCTCTCTGCAGCCCTCAGCCCAGAGAACCAGAAGGAACCCCTAGCCCACCCAGCCCTGCCGCCATTCCTGCTTTCCTCCCCTCCAGCCCTGCTGATTCCACCCTCGGGGCCTCAGCCTGCCCCTGGTGGGTGTCCCCAGCCCTCTGCTCCTCCCACAGCCTCTCTCCAGCGCACCCCACCCTCCTCTGCACCTGCTGCCCTACCCCTGCCCCTCCTCACCTGAGGAGCCCGACGTGGCGCTGGCCTCGGAGCCCAGGGACTCGGCGGAAGGCGTGGTGGCGCCGGCCTGGGCGGCCAACTGGTTGTGCGGAAGGCCAAGGCGCCGCAGACTCTCGCCCTCGGACGTGGCCCTGCGAAGCCGTCCGAACAGCGGCGTGCTGCGGCCCGACGCGCCCCCCGAGTCCTCGCTGCTGCCACTGCGCTGCAATCGGCTGGACAGCCGCTCCAGGGTGAAGCTCAGCCGCCTGCGCATCGCCAGCACCGGGGAGCCCCGCGCCGAGCTCCCGCCCTCCGAGCTCTCTCCGTCCCCGCCGCGGGCCTCCCAGGCCGGGTGGCGCTGCGCGGGAGGGGTCCGCCGCAGCCGCTGGGACAGTGACAGCGAGAGGCGGCGGACGAGGCCAGGCTCTCCGACAGCCCTGAGGTCCTGCACCGAGCGTGAGCGCTCAGGCCGTCGCACCAGCTCCAGCGGGGTCCCCGCCGGGCTGGGCCGGTATATGCCATCCTCCTCCTCGGCCCCACGGAAGGGGCCGCGCTCCTCCGAGCGCGAACGGCTCAGCAGCCGCAGCCCCAGCGACAGGGGCGACTCGCGGCTGCGCTTGAACTTGGCCTCGAACACGGCCTCCGACTCCAAGTTTTCGATGCTGCTACTGAGACTGCTGCCTGGCCTGGGGGGCACCGTGGGAACTCGGGCTTTCTCGGCTAGCACCGGGGGACCCCCGGCTGAGGGCACGCGCTTCTCGGGGGCTCCCGGAGGTGGGGAGGCCACCCTGGCAAAGACAGCAGCGTGGGGCTTGGGCTCTGAAGGCGGCGCGGCAGGGCCCTGCGAGGGGCCCTGGGCGTGGCCTGACAGCTGGAGGGACTGAATGATCTGAGCATAGGGTGTGAGGGGCAGCGCTAGGGTTTGCAGGGCCTGGGGGGGTGGTGCAGGCTTGGAGGCTCGGACTGGTTCTGGCCTGGGCTCTGGAGCCTTGTCTTGGGCAGGCTGGGGTGCGGGGGGCTGCGGAGCATCACTAGGTGTGGTGGCAGAAGGTTCTGCAGACTTAGGGGTACTGGGTTTGGGGGCGCTGGGCCGTGCAGGGCTGGATGGCTGGGCCTCGCTGAGGGCAGACAGGGAAGGAGACTCCTGTAGCCTACGGGCCCCAAGCCTGGCCACGGGGATCTCGAGGGGCGCCCCCGCTCGGCGGTGCCGGCCCCGGGGCTCCGCCTCACCCTGGGAGAAGCTGCTGCTCTTTTGCAGGCCCCGGTTCTCGAGTGGGGGCTGGTGGTGGGGCGCTGCCTCGCTGGAGGCAGCTCGTGCCATCCGGGGGTCCCGAGCACGGCCCCCCAGGCTCTCCAGCAGGGGACCCCTGAGGCCGCTGACCTTGCCATCCTCGGGGCCTCCCCGCAGCAGCCGCTGGCGCAGGGCCTGCAGCCTCTGGGCATACTCGCCCTCACCCAGGCCTCCCCGGGCCAGGCGGGTGGCTCCCGGGCTGGGGCTCCGGCGCTGCGGCAGCTCCACAGACGCCGCCTTGTGCAGGCCCCGGCCCAGCTCCCGCGGCCCGGCCCGGGGCAGGGCGCTCTCAGCCGAGCTGCCCCTGCGGAGCTCTCCCCGCCTGGGGCTAGCCCCAGCTGCGGGCTCCTGGCCTGGGGAGGGGAGGGCCTCTGGGCTGGGAGCCTCCTGGTCCTGAGAGGGAGCCCTTCCCTGCTCCTGCCAGTCCATGGGGGTGGCAGCCCCAGTCTCTGGGGTCCCCAGGGCCTCATCCTCAGTGGGAATGTCTGTGAGGGACACCCGGGAGCCAGAGAACTCGGGCTGCAGTGGGCGGGGCACTGAGGGCAGCTCTTCCAGCTCTTCCTCTTCAGAATCCGAGGAGGATGAGAGCCCCCCACTGGGGGGTGGCCTTCTGGGCATGGTCACCCACACCCGCTCTGGGGGGGCCCGCAGCAGCTCGGGGATGGGGCGCAGCACCAGGTGGCATTTGTAGCTGATCTGGGAGCGCTGGAGACAGGGTACTGGAGTCAGACCTGAGGGACCCCTGGGGCAGGATTGTCCCCCCCAGGCCCACCTCAGCCCTGGGGAAGAGGCCTGAGCATGCAGAGGGTCAGGGAACAGGCAGGAAGCTAGGCATGGAGCCAGTGAAAGCGAGAAGACAGGAGCAGGAGATGAAGGCCCACGGGAGGGGGAAGGCAGTGCTAGAGAAAAGGAGAAGGTGGAAAGCACAGAGGCTGGCCTGCCACACTTACCTGCCACCTCCGCCGGGAGAGGAATAGCTTCAGGTGATCCGTGCTCACCTCTGCGCCCTTTGCCTGAGTCTGCAAACCCAGGAAAGAGGGCTTGAGGGAAAGCTGTCAACCTAGACCCTCCAGGTTTGGCAACAGAGAGACAAAGTCCATGGGGCGGGGTGGCAGGAGAGAGTGGATCGAGCAGCACTGAGTCTGGGCTCCTGGGGGTCCCCTTCCCCCTGGGTCTGTCAGGACAATGCCTACAGCCAAGATGCACACCTAAAGACAAATCCCCTGAACCCCCCAGGGGAGAGGCAGGAAACTGGTGGCTCCCCTAGGTAGGCTTCTGAGCTTCCACCAGGGCTCATGGCCCTGTCCTGGTAAACCAGCTGCCCTGGGAGGCCTGTGATCTTAGGCCCTTTACCCGGGTCCTGGCTCCCCAGCTCCCCTCTGTCTCCATGTAGGGCCAACACCCCAGACATCTGGAGCCTTGGTGGTCCAGACCAAGACGGATGCTTCCCTCAGCTACCCACCCAGGCTCTCTCTTCTGGAGCTCATTTCCGGTCTGAGAAAGAAGGCTCTTAATTCAACTCCTGATACCCGAATGACCTCAGCCTTCAAGTGACCTGGCACAACCCTCCATGAACAGTTTATTCAGGCGCTCTTTCCAGACTCATTTGCTGAACCCCCCCTCCCAAATCCCCAAGACCCCATCAATGCCTGGCACTGTGCCCTGAGGCACTGGGGTTTGAAGATGAATGAGTGAGAACCGAGAACCTGCTCACATGAAGCTCATAACCAAGGGGCTGAGACTGCCTGGTCACCCCCAACGCTATTGTGTGGGACCAGTGCAGGACAGAGATGGACAGACAGAAGTCAGGAAGACCAGGGTCTGGTCTCAAGCATGGGGGAGAACTCCACTGAGGACGCCCAGGATGGAGAGGTCCAGACGTATGCCCTGGAGTCCAGTATGTATACCCCCAACTCCATCACTGATTAGAGCCTGTTTCCTTGTCAACAAAATGGGACTAATAATGCCTTCCTTTGCAAAGCTATTGTGAGGCTAATACGTCATATGTACATACAATGCCTAACGTGGTTACTGCACACAGTAGGTACTCAATAAATAGAGCTGTTAGTAACATTCTCTCTCCCTCCACCTTTTGTGCCACCACTTTGCAGACTAGACTCACTTTGAACCAAGGATGTTCTAGGGTCTCTTCTGCGGTAGGTCTCCTGTGAATGAATGAGGATTAAGAAGGGATTTATCGTTCAGTCATCAGTGAGTCAATAACTGAGCAAACAGGGCTCCTAAGGAGTTGGGGGCTTGCATGTCGAGGGGCAGGAGTTTGGGAGTAGCAGGCAGGTGGTATGAGGGTGACCCTGCAGGTGGGGGCTCCCAGGGCCTTGTACTCACAGCCGGTCCTGCACCAACACTTTGATGAGGAAGCCCCGGGCCTCCCTGCTCAGGCTCAGGAATGTGGTCTCCTCGAAGGCCACGTTGTAGTTTCGGATGTTCATCAATGTTGTCCGGTCATTTTCCCCAACAAACGGGGAGATTCCTGTCAGACTGCAGGGGTGAAGAGGGCTGTCATGAGGGGCAGGCGGGGACAAAGGGGAATGTCAGTGGGGGCACAGGGCTGGGGACAGATGGAGGCTCTGGGGTTGTGAGGATGACAGAGGCTGGGCAAATGTGGGTAAGAGGTGAGGCTGCGGACTCTCTCCTGCCCTGTCCCCTCCCCAGCCCCCCTGATGGGCAGGGAGGTGGTGCTGCCTTGGGGCCTAGTGGCCTGTGCTTTAGAGGACCTGTTCCATCCCTCCTCCAGTGTGGCCTCTCCATGAGTGAAGAGTCTGTGCCAAGGGGATGTGCCCACCCTGAGCTCCACTCCCATCTAGTCCAAGTTTTGGACACTCAGAGCCAAGGAGTTCCCTGCCTCCATGGCCCTGAGCCTGCGCTGGGCTCTCTCCATCTAGGGTGCCCACCTCTTATGGAGGGGTGTGGGGACAGGCAGAGTGTGGGCATGCAGACAGGGGTGTCCACCTTCATGCACATGAGGCTCCTTGCAGTGCAAGAAGGAGTGGGGGGTGCGGAAGAGAAGGGGGTGGGCTGCAGCCCTGCAAAGGTTAGGGGTAGACCTGCCAGGAGACTGCTGGGACATTGCAGAGGGGTCCTTACCAGAGGAAGGCAACAACACCCACAGGCCTGTGGGAAAAGGAGAGTGATAGGTAAGAGGACCGCCCCTCTCTGACTGGAAGGGAGCAGTTCTTTGCTACTGCTGACCTGAGTGAGCTGTTACCTCCCTGGGAACACTGCCATGGACAATGGGCACAGGAGTGGCTTCTTCAGGGAGGACCCTGAACCTACAGGTCCAGATATGCCTGGAGAAGTCCAGGGTCATGGCAGGGCTGGCCCAGGAAGCCCAGGGAAGCCTGGGAACCAATGGGACCATGCCTGCCTTACTGGAGGAGGCAGGCTGAATGCTGAGGGGAAGGCCCGGCTTCCAGGGGAGACAAGGAGTCAAGGACTAACAGGGCTGAGGCCTTGAGAGAATGGGGCAGCCCTGACTCACAAGGGGCAAGGAGTAACATGGGCAGGAGACCCTGCAAACAATGCCTCCAGCCCACCTTCAGGAGGAATTCAGGCTCGGTAAATCTCCCTGCCAGTGAGCGCGTCCCCAGCACAGCCCCAAGGGCAGCTGCCCTGGTCGGCCCAGCCCAGCATGCCAGCCTTACCAGATGTCAGTGACTCCAGACACGGGGCTCTGATTGACAATCTCGGGTGCTACAAACTCAGGTGTGCCATACTGGCAGTACTGGGGCTCTCCTGGAGTCAGCTCCTGGGCATTCCCAAAGTCACAGATCCGCACCTGCTGCTCGCCCGCAGCACCATCCCACACCAGCAGGTTCTCAGGCTGGAAGACACAAGGCGAGGTGTGCGGGCCAAATGAACAAGGAAGGATGCTTCACCTCCTGGCTCCCACAGGGGCTGTCTGCTCTCCAGTCCCCACCTCACCTTGACATCGAGGTGCAGCACGTGGCTCTGGTGCAGGTAGTGTATTCCCTCTAGCACCTGCCGCATATAGGCCCGGATCTGTGGAAATAGTGGGCCCAGAGTCTGAGGGGGAAGGGTGGTGTATGTCTGAACACCTCCAGGGCGGCAAGCGGTCCGGCTGTGCCTGTGGAGTAGCCTTCAGATGGCTCGTGGAAGGGGCTGAAACAGGTTTGGGGTTGCAAAGATCCAAGGCTACCATATGCACCGGAGGGTACAGCACAATTATAGGGAGGAGCCATTGCGTGGTAATAAGTAGAATTGTGCAGTGCACAACATGTACAGCCTGACGTGGCAGGACTGCAGTGAGATCAATAAAATCTAGGTGGGGCTCCTTCCAGGAGAAATGTTTGGGGGATGTTTATGTGATGAAGAGTGGGAAACAACAGTTAGGAGCTGGGGTGGGTTTGCTGAGATTTAGAGAGAATAGCACAAGTCTCAGATAGATGGGGGTCTGGTATCATTGGGTGGGGACTCTGCTGCCTACCTAACAGTGCTCTCCACCTCCACCCCTGGCTTCCTGTGGGCACAGATGGCACACTCAGGACCCATTTGTTGGTTCTCAAAGCTCAGGTGGGTGAAGGCTGGTGCCCAACCTGGCCCCTGCCACCCACTGCCCTCACCTCAGACTCACACACGGTGGGTTTCCTGGCGATTCGCTCCAGCAGCTCCTCTGTGCAGCTACATCCCAGATCAAGGAGAACAGTGCCCAGTGCCAACTGCCCGGCCCAGCCCAGCGCTCAGGGCAGGTCCCAGCTCAGCACGGGGTTCTCCTTCCCCTTACAGAATGCTTGATACTAGCCAGAGACTGCCTCTCCGCTCCTCCACGTGTACCCCCTCCCCACCTCCTGTCCTCTGAGGGCACAGGTGGGTCATCCCTGCTTGAACTCCCACTTTCTATGGGATCTCAGACAAGTCACTTCACTTCTCTGAGCCTAGGTTCTCCCAGGAGTAATATGGGAATAACATTTCCTTTCCTGCCCACCCTGTAAAGCATTTATAGGGATCAAATTACAGCAGAATTTTGTTGACTGTGGATGGAACTTCTTGACTCTATTTGAGAATGACCTAGAAGATCCATGACATGGAATAATTTGTCATTTTGCTGAGGTTTGAATTCAAACAGTGCAGGCAGGAGGCTCATGTGCAGGTTACGGTCACCCTGCTACTGGGGTGATGAGCCAATCACCCAGCATCCTTACCTCAATGTGCCTTTGCTTAACCACAGCCTTCATGAAAGGGTAAAATCTGTTCCTTATGAAAACAGCCTCTAAATAAAGCCAAGTATTGATCTGAAATGGGGTCACTACAAATATGCAGATGCATTGTACTGCATTTCATGATGAAAAGCATAGGCCATGTGCTAGCTCTGTGACCTTGGGCAAGTTATTTAACCTCTCCATGCCTGTCTCTTCATCTGTAAAATGGGGATAATACAAGTTAATAATAAAATTCCAGGAGATAGGAATATATGGGATTAAATAGGTTAATATTTGTAAAACTCTTAGAACACTGCCAGGCACACACATTAAATGCTATGAAAATTTAAGCTAACAATGGGCTTAAAACTGTTGGTTTTCATAGAAGTCTCCAGATGTATCCCTCCCAATTGTCAATTGGGACTACTTTGTAAACTGTAAAACATGTTGCCTATTGGATGTTACAAGGACCAGTCATTTAGGCATGGATCCCCCTAGCCCCCAGCCTGTCCCAGGATACAGCTCGGTGACAATGACCAGTCCCCGGCGCCTCTCGAAGGCCTCATGGAAGTAGAGGACACAGTCGTGCTGGAGCCTGGCCAGCAGCCGGGCCTCCCGACGCGCTGATGCCTTTGGCTTGGCCTGGCTGGGGATGAACTTGGCCGCAAACTCCAGGCCGGAGCTACGCTCCACTATGCGCCGCAAGTAGGAGAAAGCACCCCTGGTTGACACAGGGAGGGGGTCAGAGATCAGCCATCACTGTGGCCCTCTCCACCCCTCCCAACCCTCAGACCCAGCAGCCTCTCTCGGCCCCCACTGGCTTCCCTCCTAGCCCCACACCTGCCGATCTCCTGGTGGATGTCATAAAAGTCGCTGAGTCTCCTTCCTCGATGGTCCTCATCCTCCCCGACCCCCTCGACCTCCATAGCTGTCTGAGCTGGGGCAGAGATGTCATGGTGTTAGGTGGGAGGGGAAGAAAGCAAGCAGGCCAGAGACTGGGACAGGTGGACAGAAGAAGAAGAGAGAAGAGGTGCAAGAATGTTGGGGGCTCAAGGCGGGGTGCTGGGCTGGGGGTGTGGTGGCTCGAGTCCAGGGCTGGCTGCTTCCTGGGCAGAGCATGGAGGGTCACATCAGATTCCAGGGGGTGTGCGCTTTACCTTTCTCCGGAACTCCTGCCTACCTGAATGCACAGCCAACTCTGCTTTGCAGGAGACCTCACCCGCCAGGTTCTGGGCGGTGCAGGTGTAGACGCCTCCATCCTGGGCCCCCGTGCTGAGCACCACCAGGGAGCACTCATTCTCCTCGTACACGAAGCTCACATGGCTGCTCTCGGTCAGCAGCACCTCGTCCTGCAGAGTGGGGTCTCACCTTCAGCCTGGGCCTGGCCTCATCTCTACCTTGGGGCCAGGGCCTCATCTCCTACTCTGGGCAGCGCATCTCTCACCAGGACCCAGAGTCAGCTCCTCCCTTATCTCCCACAGAAAGCCCTGCACCCCTCAGCTAGTCAGTCCTCTGCAGCCCCTTTCCTCCTCCTAACCACGCCTCTGCCCGGGCTCCGCCCTCCTAAGGCCTTCCAGGACCCTCCCACGCCCCCAGGGAGCCCCTCCTCCCTCCCCCAGGCTCAGCCAGCAGCACACTCTGACCTTGTACCACATGATGTCCGGCAGTGGTTTTCCCTCGACCACCACCGCAAAGCGAGCAGTTTCCCCAGCCCCCACCTCCACGTCCTCCATGATGGACTCAAACCGAGGGGCCTCTGAAACACATGGGGATAGGGGTGGGAAGAGAAGGGGCTAGGGGCTGGCTTTACCCTGCCTCCTCAGCCCCTCCCAAGATCCCCCATCAGTGACTGGCTCAGTCAGAACGCTAGACCCCCGCCTCCCTGCAAGCCACCACCCCCCACCCCCACCAACTGGGACAACAGAGTTCCCTGCCTGGACCAAGCCCCGCCCCGCCCCGTAAATCCAAACGTGATGTTCTCCAAATCTGAGGAAACCTGGCACAAGGTGCAGGCTTGCTTTGTTTGACCTTCTGTATTAATTTGGCAGCTTTGAAATTAGGAGATTTTCACACACAAAAGAAATCTGGATTTCCTGCCTCTCTTGAAAAATCAGGACTGGCCATCCTGAGTCGCTCCCCTCGCTGCATGAATCCGCGGGAGAGGAGTGGCCCAATGCTGCCCCCTGTGGGTGGCCGCCCTTCTTCACAGGGCCACCCGCTGGCTTCTGACTACCTGAACTTGGCCCCTGCAGGTGGCTCAGCCTGTGACCCTGAATTAAGCTCATGGATGGCATTGCCTCTACCTTGAAGTTTTTTCACTGAATCTTTGAAAAATGTTTAGAGGGGCTTCTATTAATAGCATCTGGGAGATGGCAAGATGAACAAACAACCCCCAAATACTAACCAAACCATCTAGAAATGGACTCTCAGTATCTCCCACATGTGGTTGTGATTTCATTCTCCATACATATCACATGGTCATATGATTTCCTGGTAAAGCAGCTTCTAATTCTCATGATGGAATTAAATACACATTGCAATGTGCTTTGCAAAGGAGCCTGTGACTTCCAGGTGTCCCCCGCCAGCCCCCACCCCCCACCCCAGCGTGTTTGAGCATCTCAGACTGAGGAGAAGTAGGATGAGTCAGGCACTTGGGAAGGCAGGGCGGCCGGGTGTGGACCCCCACCCTTCACAGGCACACAGACAACGGGGGAGGCCATCCCGGGGGTGGGGAAGACACTGCAGTGAGGTTGACGTGGAGGAAGGGGGGCCACCACTCCACTTGCCCTGTCTGGGTGTGGCTGGGTGGGGTCTAGTGGAATAGGGGTGTCAGTGCAAGCCCCAGCCCCATCAGAGCCCTGACTGGCTGGGCTCAAATGGGGCTCCATCGGTCACTGTTCCAGCTAGGCTGTGCTGCAGGGCTCTCAGGGCCAGGGGCTCCCCAAACTTCAGGGCTCCTCCTATATCTGGGAAGAAAGGTGAGTCCTGAAGATGGACTGTCAAGGAGTAAAGTGGTGACTGAGTGGAGAGTGCTAGGGACAGGGCAGGCAAGGAGGGAGACACTTAAAAGAGCGCCCAGCACCCCCACCATCTTCACAGCACGGCCAGAAGCGTTCCCTGTCTCTTTGTTACACACCCTATTGCCACTTATCTTCCACTTCACAGACGCCTCCCCTCGCCTCTAGGAATCCTGTCCCCCATGGGCTGGGAGGTGGTGGGGGCAGTCTATGAAGGTCAAAGCACCGGAAAGTTTCAAGTGAGCTTCAATGGTTTTTTGAAAGCACCAGAAAATGTCCATTTACCCATGATAAGATTGCCTGTGCTAAGTAAAATGTCACTTTCTTTGCTTTTGGTTGGAATTGTATTTACTCAGCAGGTAACCCTGTTTAGCCCATGTTGATCAGGAGTTCTGAGTGGCGGTTACATATGTCTAGAGTTAATTAACAAATTAGAAAACCAAACAGTTACTACCTAATGCATTAGGTAGTAACTAGTTTGAGAAACTACATCTTTAAAGGAAAAATTATAAAAAGAATCCTAAGGCCCGAGGCGGTGGCTCACATCTATAATCTCAGCACTTTGGGAAGCCGAGGTGGACGGATTACTTGAGGCCAGGAGTTCCAGACCAGCCTGGCCAACATAGCAAAACCCCATCTCTACTAAAAAATACAAAAAATTTGCTGGGCGTGGTTGTGCAAGCCTGTAGTCCCAGCTACTTGGCAGCCTGAGGCACAAGAATCACTCGAACCTGGGAGGTGGAGGTTGCAGTGAGCCGAGATGGTGTGGGTGACAGAGTGAGATGACTGTCTCAAAAAAAAAAAAAAAAAAAAGAATCCTTGCTGCTGCAAACATTGGGAGGCTCTGTCAAACAGGCTTGTGCCGAAGGGCGGCCAGGATTCTCAGGGCTGGCAGTTCGGTGATAAGATGTGCCCATGGGTTTCTTTAAAAACCAACTTGGTCTTCCCATGTTTGTTATATCTGAGATACTATTTCCTATTATGTTTAACACAGGAGCTAGGAGTCAGGCAGCCACACTTGAACCCAGCTCCTGTACTTATTAGGTTCTGTGAACTTGGGCCAGTTACTCTTAGCCTCGGCCTCAGTCTCCTCATCTGTAAAATGGGGATAATAACCAACCCCAACTCACAAGGCTGATGTAAACATTAAATGAGGCAATACATGTAAAGTGCTTAGTACTGAGACTGGCACATACTAGGCTCAATACATCTTTTTTTTTTTTTTTTTTTGAGACAGAGTTTTGCTCTTGTTGCCCAGGCTAGCGTGCAATGGAGCAATCTCGGCTCACTGCAACCTCTGCCTCCCAGGTTCAAGTGATTCTCCTGCCTCAGCCTCCCAAGTAGCTGGGACTACAGGCACCTGCCGCCACACCCAGCTAATTTTTGTATTTTTAGTAGAGATGGGGTTTCACCATGTTGGCGAGGCTGGTCACGAACTCCTGACCTCAGGTAATCCACCTGTGTCGGCCTCCCAAAGTGCTGAGATTACAGGTGTGAGCCACCGCGTCTGGCCAATAAATCTTGTTAGTATGATTGTTGTCATTATTACTAATATGGTATTTGTATAGCCATGACATGGACAGGCCTGACCAGAGGACATGGGTTTGGATCTGCAGCAGTGTCAGGCAGGTTGTGTACCTGGGGGTGTGAGTAGAGAGCTTTGGGCCTTGGAGGGAGGCTAGGAAGAAGGCCCGCTGTCACCCACCTGCCAGCTCCAATGTGACCGAGCAGGTCTGTGTGCCGTGACGGTTTCGGGCGGTGCAGGTGAGGGCCCCCATGTCCCGGCGGCTCACCCGGCAGATCCGAAGACAGTACTGGTCATCATCTGGCTGGCTCAGCTCGTACACACCGGCCCGTGCCTCTAGGAGGGCCCCTCGGCAGCTAGGGGACACATGACAGGGAGGTCACCCAGATCTTGCCCCAGGGCATTCCGGCCAGGCTGGGCCAGACCTGGGCTGCCACATGTGGGAAAGGGGCCCACCTCCTCCAGACGACCTGGGCCTCCACATGGTTGAATGTGACGGTGACGCTGGCAGGCTGTCCCTCCACCACATACACGATGTCTGGTTTGTCCAGCATGGCAGGGGCCTCCTCCAGGGTTGGGCCTGGGAGGAGGAGAGCGCAGGCTCTGTGCTGGGCTTGACATCAGGTCCTCAGCACCCACCACTCCTCTAACACCCCTCATCAACACTTGAGTTCCGTTTTTACAGATGGGAAAGCTGAAGCTCAGAGAGGTTTAGCGATTTGTCAGGGGAACACAGCCAGAGAGCAGCAAAGCTGAGGTTGTGGGGTTGGACCCCAGCAGGCCCGATCCCAAAGCCTGAGCTTCAGCCACCGTGCCCTGCTGCTTTCAGGAGGGAGAAGGAAGTGTACAGATGGGCCAAGGTCCCGCCCGGCTAGGCTGCTCCTGCCAGTTACCATGTCCAGGCCATCCCTTGAGCCTCCACCACAGGGCCCCCATTCCCCATCCCAGCAGCTCCCACCCCCACCCGACAGGAGCACCCAGGCTCACCGTGCTCCAGCAGCTGCACAGGCTCAGAAGGGGGTGAGGGCTTGCTGCTGCTCTTGACAGTGGTGCTGAGGACCCGGAAGATGTGCTGGACCCCCTTACGCAGCCCTGTGGCTGCCCACCCTGGCTCCCGCAGGCCTGTGACCAGTGCCGTCCACTGGTCCGAGCCCAGCACCTGGTGCTGCACTGTGTACGTCAGGGAGTCCGGGTCTGGCGGGAGAGGAGCTACTAGAGGCTGCTGTTGCAGGAGCAGTAACCCCTCCCCATCCAGCTGGCCCGGGACCCTGGAACTCATCATTAGTCTGCTCTGATGACGTGCCTCAGTCTCTGCTGTTGCTTCCTGCCTGTCCCCCCATCTGCTCTTGCCCAGCCACTTCCCTGGGAGGTTAAGAGCCAACAAGGTACCAGTACAGGCACAGATGGGGCTGGAATTGAACTCTAATTCCTTGATACCTGAGGTAGGGAAACTGAGGCAGAGCGGGAGGAGATCCTGGACAAGACGAGGAGAGGGCATTTGCAAGTCCTGACCCAGGCACCCACTCTGAGGATGGGAAGGGAATGTGGCAGTGCCCCGTGCCTCCTCTCCTCACCCAGAGCAAGAGCCCCATGCAACGTGGAGAGAAGACGGGCAAAGCTGGTCCCACCAGCATTCCATCAGCTCCTGCCCCTGCCCATCCGCTTCTGGGGCCTGGCCCCCATGGTGTCCTGCCTGAGCCTGCCTTCTCCACACCCCTTCCCCACCCATGGCCCTGTGCAGCCCTGACCCACCGATGGCCATGTCCAGACTCCTGGGGGGGTTCCATGTGAGTGTGACCATCCTCCCCGTCACAGCCACCACCTGCGGGGCGCCATCTGGAGGGCCTGGGACCACATCTGAAAGCCGCAGTTCGAATGTCTGCTGGGTCCAAGGGCCCAACAGCCCCACAGGATCACCGAGCCTCAGGGCAGGAGGCTAGGGCCTGGGGGCTCAGCCGCAGGGGCAGGGGCAAGGCAAGAGGGTCCCCAGGGGATGGAGGGGAAGGGAGCTGGGTGGAGGCCCCTTTCCCTGAGCCCCCACGTAGTGCCAGAGGCCAGGCTGTGCGTGCAGCTGACCACGAGGGTGCCTGCCTCACCTGTGACATACAGGTGGGCATAGCAGGCAGCTTTGCCCAGCTTGTTGGCAATGACGCTCTTGTAGACACCGGCGTGCTGAGGCCCCACGGCAGGGAACACCAAGCGATGGACATCCCTGTCTGGGAGGGGAGGGACAGTGACACTGGGCCTGAGCCCGGAGGATACCTTGAGGGGTAGGCCCATGCCATCCCGGGCCTGGTCCCTCACCCCCATCCACTGCAGGGAGGAGGCGAGTGGGCAAGGATGGGGCAAGGATGGGGCAGGCAGCAAGAAGTGCATCCATGGTGCAGCAAAGTCTGGGTCTGGGCCCGGGCTGGCTTCCAAGTCTACATCTGCCCTGGCCCCTCTGGTCTGTCCCTCCAGTGTGTCAGGCCAGGCAACTTATCATCTTCTCTTCCTCCTACACTGGGCCACCCTCTGGGGTCCCTGCCTCTGTTGACTGGCCCCTCGTCTTCCCACCTCTGCATGGTCACAACCTCTATGTCAAAACTCGAACAAAGCTTTGTTCCCAAGGCCCCTCCCCTAAGCCCTTCTTCTCCATCCCCAAGGCCACTGCCATTCTGTCTCCAGCACAGCTGCAGGGAAGCCCTCCAGGAGGACAGCAAAGCCCTCAACCCAAACTCCCTGCCAGCCACGTCTCTGTTGCTCCTCTGCATCTTGATGCTGGCTAACTATCAGGCCCCTGAACGAGACACCGAGTTCCATCTGCAGGTCATTGCTCACAACATTCCTCCCTTGGGGAATGCTCTCCTCTTACCTAAGGCTTCCTTGTCCTTCAAGACATAGTTTAAGTGGGTACAGCCCATGAAGCCCCCCTGCCCCTGGCCCGCTCTCTACCCCTCATCCTCTGACTCCTCCCAGGACCCCAACCCTCTCGCCTGCACATCGATGGGCACTGGCCCACGCTGCTTTTCATGGGCGGGGGCTCTTCCTCTTGCATCAGTCATAGCTCCTGACCTGGTCTGCAAGCTCCTTAAAGAGAGGGCTGACGTTGTCAGATCTGCTTGTCCCACCAGACCCAGAACCTCACACACAGTAAGTACCAAATACATTCTATGATATATTACAAGAGTTGCCTGCTCTGTGCCCAGCCTATACCAGGTACCTGACATGCTTTCCCCCTCGTGAATCCTTGCAACAACTCTACAAAATTATCCCCATTTTACCAATGAGGTCAGAGATATTGACTTGTTCAAGGTCCCACGGCTAATAAATGATAGTTTGACCTTGGTACCATGTGATTCCAAAGCTCTTTCCCTACTCCCTGCTCCCTGGATGATAAGGAGGCTGTCTCTGGCGAAGACACAGAGAGGAGGCCTGCACTGTCCTCCTTCATGTCAGGGCTGTCCCTAGACACCCTTCCCTTCTCTTTGCAGTTATCTCTGCATAGAACAGTCACCCATTCATTTATCTCTGCTGACACTATTTATAAGAGAAGAGAAGCCAAGGGCTGCCAGTGACCCCAGATACAGGCAGAAGCGGAGACGCCAGCTTAGATCCTGAGACAGACACTCACCCAGGGCCTCAGAGCAGACTGGGAGACAGGGAGGCCTGCTGCTGAGAATGACAGTCATGGGAGGCTGTGGGCAGGGGTTGGAGCCGGGGTGGCATCACTGGAGATGGGCAGGCGGGTGGGCAGGGAGGATGCAGCATGGGTGACAGGGACATCCTGGTTAAGAGCTGGGCACCAGGGTCAGACAGTCCTTTCTTGCCTCTTGGCAGCTTCCTGTATCTCTCTAAGCCTCAGTTTCCCCATCTGTAAATGGGGCTAATAGTATCCGCCTTATAGGCCTGTGGCAAGGTAAGATGGTCCTTGTCATACCTTTAGCTCTCAGGACCTGGCACTTAGAAAGCACTTAATGAAAGTGATCTTTGTCATGTTGCAGCCATAAGAGGAAATCATCGTGGGTCAAAGAGTGGGCACTGTCTTATGGGAGGGGGGCAGACCTTCTCACACAAGACTCAGATTCCTTCAAGGATGGAACTGAGATGCTCCCATAAGAAAGTATCCCAGGCTAAGAGGACACCAACCCAAATACGTTCCTCTGTGTCTCCCCTGGCCCCTTCTTCGTTATTTGCTATTTGTTAGCAACCCTGGACAGAGCATCCCTTCCATGCCAGACACTGCCCACACCTGCTTTTTCATTGCAATGTCTCCAGGAAGTACCACCGCTGATGATAATGGCTACTAAAACAAGAATACTGAGACTTCACACCTCCCAGCTGCTTGCCAGGTGCCAGGCCCTGCTCTGGGGCTTATATGCATTAACTGATTTAGTCTCGTAACAACCCAATTACAGATGAGAAACTGAGGCACAGAGGGCTTCTGTAACTTGCTCATGGGCCCGATGCGGGTTAGTAGCAGGCAGTACTGCCTGCCCAGTCAGTGCTAACGGGCACTGAGGGGTGACTCAGCAGATGAGTGCTGTGTGGGCTTGCAGGGGAGGCAATGACCTCACAGTCCCTCCGGGTTCCCTTCCCCCAGGCACCCTGTCCCTGGTCAGGCTACAGAGGAAAGGCCTGGGGAGAGCTGGGGAGAGGGGCAGGGCATTGCAAGCCAAGTGGGTGCTGCAGGGGACACTCCCGGGGAACTTCCCAGACACGTACACTGTGTCATGCGCCGGTCGTCGCTGCTCTGGATGCGGTGGCCATTGTGGAACCAGCTGATGGTGGGGTAGGGCAGGCCGGTCACCTGGCACTCTAGCATGGCCTCCTTGGCCAGTCCCACCTCCAGGTCCTGCAGTGGCCGCAGGAAGTCAGGAATGGACAGCCGCTCCAGCTCACCCTGCTCTGGCTCCTCGGGAATGGATGGCATCTTCTCCAGCTTCGAGCTGCAAGACCACACAGCTGCCCACAGGCCCAGGGCCGTGCCTCCCACCCCAGGGCTGGGCTGGCCCCTCACAGGCAGCCCCAGCATCATTTGGGGCCCCGGTGGTACCTGGGGCCTGAGGCGGCTGTCCGGGGCTCTTCTACATACAGCTGGGCTGAGCAGTGGGCCTGGCCATGGGTGTTAACAGCACTGACCGCATAGAGCCCCTCGTCCTCGCTGCCCACATGGGCAATGTGCAGTGAGTGCAGACCCCCGTCCTGCCGCAGCCGCAAGTTCTCACTCTCCTCCATGGGGCAGCCTGCAGAAAGGAGGGGTGGGAATGCAGAGCAGGCACAGTGAGGGGCCCTGCCCTCTGGGTGCACCCCATCGCCGCCTGGGCCCTTGGGGGGGCCCTCAACACCTGCAGCACAGGGGCCGTACCAAAATGAGTCCAGGTAACAACAGGGGGCGGGGTGCCACTGATCTTGCAGTCGAAACGGGCAGCTCGGCCCTCCAACACCTCCACATCTTCCAGCAGCCGTGTGAACAGGGGTGCCAACGAGGGCCGCACGGTCAGCCGGGCACTGCAGGTCAGCTCATCTGTGGGGCAGGGGGCAGCTCAGAGATAGGGAAGGCTAAGGAGGCCCAGGCATCCCAACCCACCACTCCTGACCTAAGGCTGAGCAGGAAGCTGGAGCCTGGGCAGAGCCCAGCAAAGGCTCTGGGTACTCAGGGGAGGAAGTGGGCACAGATCCAGAGACTAGACCTCGAGAGGGTGGAGGTCAGCAAGGGTGGGTGCAGACTGCCATGGTGGGCTGGGGACTCCATAGGAGCCCAGGGCCTGAGCCCAGGGCCTGGCCCCAGCTCCCCCCTCCTCCCCTCACCCTGCCCACCCTGGATGAAGCACAGCCCAGCTCTGATAGGGTCCTAGAAGCCAAGCCCACCCCTCCTCCATCTACTTCTCAGAATTCTCCTCTGTGCTGGGGTCATGCCCATGCTCCTAGCCACCTTCCCCAGACCCAGAGCAGATGCCCCTTGGCCCCACCTACCAACCCTCAAAGAAGCTTCTGGAGGAGATAAGGGTCCCTTATGTTGACCCGATGCACCCTCCTGCTTCTAAAGCCCCTCCAGCTTCCGCTTAGGTCTTCATCACCCACAACGTAGCAAGGCAGGTGCCATAATCTCTGCCCTTCCATGTGGGCAGGCCCAGGTCAGAGATAGCATCAGTGGTAACAATGGCTGGCATTTATTAGGCAGGTGTGCCATTTGAAACCCATTTCTGGAATGCTCAGTGCCCTACCCTCTCCTGGAAAGGCCCTTTGACAGGCCCTGTGCTTTGTTCTTCACATAAACTATCTCATTAATCCTGCCAATCCCTCTACAGAGGAGGAATGATCACCATCCCTGTTCTACAGATGAACAGGCTAAAGCTCAGAGAGATGAAGTGACTTGTTCAAAGTTATATGGCTGGTGACTTGCAGGGCAGGCGTGGGAACCCACGTTCACCTCAGCAGATGCACTCCCTCCTAGGAACAGTTAACCCTGTTGCGGCCTTTCCTTTGTGCTATGCACTATTCTAAGTGCTTATTTTATTGAGGCCAAGGCAATGTACTAGCTCCCACCCTCCCCCGCTTCCCCTCGGGGTTGGAGCTCTGTTTCCCAGGCATCTTACTGTACACCCCCAGTCCCCTCCCTCCAGCTCTTGGGCACCCACGGCAGCCCAATGCCTGAGTGGGGAGTTACCTTTGGCCGTGCTGAGCTTGCAGGTGTAGACGCCACTGTCGTCCTCATGTACAGATGTAAGTAGCAGCTTGCATTTGCGGCCATCGAAATGCATCTTGCATTTGAGCAGTGCAGGCTGCAGCAGGCGGCCACGGCACAGCCAATCCACCTCCACGTCAGTGGGCCCCGCCACCAGGCACTCAAACAGCGCCATCTCCCCGGCCCCCACGTCCACGTCCTGCAGGGGGGCCAGCACGGCCAGGGACCGGCTTTCAGGGTGTGCTGAGGGGAAAGCAGCCACGGGGGCCACGCACAGAGCAGAGACACACAGGGTGAGGGAGACACACATACGCACGCACAGAGAGACAGACAGACACAGAGAGAGAGATGCATTTTGTTCTCTGGAGATGGGGAAAGCCCACCCACCTGGCCAGGACAGCAAGGCATGCCCAGACCTGGCTTTGAGATGGCAATCCAAGCTGGGCCAGGGAGGGTGATTCATGGAGGCAAGAGGGAACTGAGGGAGGGGAAACTGAGAGGGCCACGTGGTGGCAGAGACATCGGCGGGGGAAAAAAAAACACAACACACCAGATAGGTACAAACTGGACTTTATTTGAGTTAAGAAATAGGTGTTTCCAAATTTCTCCACGCTCACTACAGTGGCCCCCTGCCCCTGCTCCTGCACCAAACTTGGTTAACTCCCTCATTCCCAGACAGAGCACCCCAGCCCTGACAGAGAAGGAGGGGGCCCCAAATGGGCCCTAAACCTGCCAGGGCCAGGGCTCAGCCAGGCTGTTCATCAGCACAGAGCCTGGGGCCTCTGGCTTTTGGTCTTTTGTGAAATAGAAAGTGTTGTGCCATTCGAAACCCATTTCTAGAATGGTCAGTGTCCTAACCCTTCCTGGTAAGGCCTTTGTCAACAGCCCCTGCTCCTTGGGCCCCTCCATGCCATGCCGTAATCTCTCCCACTCTGTCTCACCCCACCTCAGCTCCGAGGCATCCTTCCCTGACTGTCACAGACACACAGACAGACAAACAGATAGACAGGCCTGTAGCAGCAGTAGCACATGCACTCGCCCGGTGCTCCCCTTCAGGGAGAGACTCGGGGGGTTGATACCCCTCGCAGCCGCCCCTTCCCAGCACTCAGTCCATCTGTGGGCCTCCTGGCCTGCACAGCCATGTGTCCACTTGGGGAGGGAGGGTCCACAGGGGCCCATGGGCTATCCCCCTGGGGGCTGCATGGGGTGGGGAGGGGAGGCTGGGACGGGTCCGGGCCGGCAGGCCTGGGTCTGTGGGCAGGAGGCAGTGAAACACAGCGAGGTCCGAGAGGTGCCTGAGACAGGGGCGCGGCTCGGAGGGTAGCGGGGGGAGCACAGGTGGCCCCCTGAGCTCACTCGCCTGTGTACAGACAAAAACCTCAGTCAGCAAGCGGCAGGTTAGTGCAGCATACGCGCACGCACGCGCACACACACACATGCACACACACGCATGCACACGCACACATGCACGCACACGTGCACGCACACGCGCGCACACACACACGCATGCACACACCCATACGCACACATGCACACGCACGCACACACGCACACACATGCACACACATGCATGCACATACACGCACGCATGCGCACGCACACGCACACATGCACGCACAGGCACGCAGACCTGGCTAGGGCCCTTCTGCATAGAGGGCTGCCTCTCACACCGTCAGGGCAGCACTGCCACTCTTGGCTCCCCCAAGGACAGCTCTGGGCTGCGAGGGCCGGCAGCTAGCCAGAGACTGGTTCCTCGGGGTTCCTGGGCAGGCAGAGACCCCGGGCAACCAGGCATTCATGGGATCAGGAGCACCCCAAAGCCTGGGGGTGTCGGAAGGAATCCCCAAGAGAAAGAAGCACCAAGACATGGGTTAATACAGAGAAGCGAGGCAGAGCCAGGCCCTGGAGAGAAAGCAGGCCGGGGAGGAGGGCTGAAGAATCTGGAGACCAAGGAAGTGGCAACTACAGGAACGGCAGGCACAGAGGAGGGGAACTGAGGCAGGGGGGCCAGCAGAGGGACCATGACTGTCAGGGTCTGAGCTCTGAGCCTTGGGGAAGGTCAGGGGCTGGGGGCTGAGTGAGAAGCGAGGAGAGGAAGCGAGGAGCCATTGAGGCGAAGGGTGAGGTGGAAGGCAAGATAAACGGTTGTGGCCTTTGGGGAGGAAAACCCATGGCCCTCGAGGGCCCCCTAGCCAGGGCCTGGCATTTCTGCTGCCTGAGAGGGCCCCTGCACATATGCCCCAGGCTCTGGGGGCCCAGGCCTCTTCACACGTCACAGCTGTGCTCACCCTGGCACCCTAGGGTCCCTGTGATGCTCCAAGCCTAAGCCACCCCAAGGGCCCCTCCGAACGGGTCCAGCCACCAGACTCTCCCCACCGCTACCTCACAGTAGCTTCTGCACAGCAATGGGATGGGAGGGTGGGCAAAGGGGCGAGAGGAGAGGGGGAGGGGGATGAGGGAGGGTCCTGGGCAGAGCAGGGTGACAAAGGCTCAGAAGAGTGTAGAGAGAGCTTGGCCAGTGGCAGGTGCAGGGTCTCTGGCTGCCGCCAGGGCTCCGTGATGGAGCAACAGGGAAGGTGGTGTTGTGTAGTAAGCTGAGCACGGAACAATGTGCTGTGCAGCTTTGGGCAGGTCACTTCCTGTCTCTGGGCTTTGGTTCACTCAACAATAATATAAGCAGCTGGACTAGGGGCCCCTTAAGGCCCTTTCAGTGGTGGCATCCTCTAACTGAGGCTGTGTGAGAGCAGACAGTGGGGGAAGGAAGGGGCCAGGGCCAGGTGGGCATTCATGGAGAAATCAGGTACTCACCTCGGACCTCCAAGCGGGCCTCGCACTGCCGAGCACCATACTCATTGACCGCTTTGCAAGTGTAGAAACCAGCATCGCCACGCTCTGCAGCCAGGATCCGCAGCCGGCACAGCCCACCCTCAGCCTCCTCCGCAAAGCGCCGCTGGTCTGGGCGCACGGGCTGGCGGTTTCTCAGCCTGTCAGAGGGGCAAGAACTCAGTCCCAGGGCCCAGGGGCCTGATGTGCGTGCACAGGAACTGGGGCTGCAGCACTGTGCAGGCCTCTCCTTCCCTGTGCAGTTTGCCCAGTCCCCAGATCTGTCCCACTGACCGTGGGCATCCCTGGTTTCCAGGGCTAGGTTTTTACCCCCACTCTGCCATCCCACCCACCTCTAGGAGCTTCCAGGTCACTTCTAACTGCCTGCAGCTCTCCCTTCTCGGAACCCTGCTGCATTCAGAGTGGAGCCGTGCTATTTAGCTCTTTTTTCTTGTCTTTTTTTTTTTTTTTTAAACAGGGTTTCCCTCTGTCACCCAGGCTGGAGTGCAGTGGCACAATCACAGCTCACTGCAGCTTCTACCTCCCCAGGCTCAAGCGATCTCCCCATCTCAGCCTCCTGAGTAGCTGGGACTACAGGCACACGCCACCATGCCCAGCTAATTTTTGTATTTTTTGTAGATACAGGGTTTCACCATGTTGTCCACGCTGGTCTTGAACTTCTGGGCTCAAATGATCCTCCTCTCTTGGCTTCCCAAAGTGCTGGGATTACAGACATTGAGCCCTCATGCCTGACCCTATTTAGCTCTTAATAATTCTTAAACTTCCCCATGTCTTATTTTTATTTATTTATAATGGACAGATAGCTTTCCCACTTCCCAAAAGGGATATGAAAAAACTTACAATGTTAAAAAAAAAAATCACAGTGGGGGCTGGGCACGGTGGTTCATGCCTGTAATCCCAGCACTTTGGGAGGCCGAGGTGGGTGGATCACCTGAGGTCAGGAGTTCGAGACCAGCCTGACCAGAAACCCTGCCTCTACAAAAAATACAAAATTAGCTGGGTGTGGTGGCACATGCCTGTAATCCCAGCTACTCAGGAGGCTGAGGCAGGAGAATCCCTTGAACCCAGGAGGCGGAGGTTGCAGTGAGCCCAGATCGCACCACTGCACTCCAGCCTGGGCGACAAAGAGTGAAACTCCAGCTAAAAAAAAAAAAAAAAAAAAAAAAAAAAAAAAAAAAAATCACAGTGGGGACCAGACAATCAATTAAAAATGAAAAACAGAATTCAAACCATAAAAAATTAGCAAGCTGAGTAATCCATCTTCCAGGCACCTGGGATGAGCGAGGCCCCTCTGCTTAGACCCACATTTAACTCGGGGCTGCTGGCAGCTCAGAAACAAATTGTTGCATGTCTTTTTTTTTTCAGCAATAGGGTCTTGCTATATTGTCCAGGCTGGAGTGCAGTGGTATGATCATAGCTCACTGCAACCTCAAACTCCTGGGCTCCAGTGATCCTCCTCCTCACCCTCATAAGTAGCTGGGTCTACAGGCATGTACTACCACGTCCAGCTAATTTAAAAAAAGTTTTTGTAGAGACAGAGTCTCACTATGTTGCCCAAGCTGGTCTTCAACTCCTTGGCTCAAGCAATCCTCCTTCCTTGGCCTCTGAAATGTCTTGCTCCTTGCTAATTTTGGGAAGGGGGTATTTTTATTTTTGAGACAGGGTCTCACTCTGTCACCCAGGCTGGAGTGCAATGGTGTGATCTCAGCTCACTACAGCTTCCACCTCCCAGGGTCAAGTAATCTTCTTGCCTCAGCCTCCCAAGTAGCTGGGATTACAAGCATGCACCACCACATCTGGCTAATTTTTTTGTATTTTTAGTAGAGACAGGGCTTCGCCATGCTGGCCAGGCTGGTCTCAAACTCCTGGCCTCAAGTGATCCATTCGCCTCACCTCTCAAAATGCTGGGATTACAGGCGTGAGCCACCGCACCCAGTCATTTATCCCAAATGGACAGACATGAGACCCAAACCCCTCCCCAGAAGGGGAAGCCCTAAATAAGCCTGGAACATGGGGCAAGGGACAGGGTGCCGGGGGGAGTACACTGCTGTCCCTGAGATGAGGCCCCTGAGGCAGATCATGGGGAAGCCCACCAAGATTCCATTTCCTTCCACCCAAAGCCAGACCTCCCAGAGCCAGGCCTGGCATAGAGTCGCTGGTGGGTGGTGGAAAGTGCGGCTACTCACCAGGAGACCACAGGCTTGGGCTCCCCCTGCACGCGGATGCTCATGATGACATCTTGGCCTTCTCTTACTGACTGGTCCATAAGTGAGACCTGAAGGGGGTACCCCAAAGTGTCAGGGGAAGACAGGGCAGAGCCTTGGGTCCTGGGGGCTGTGGAATCTGAGACGGAGGACTCTTCCACAGCCAGGCTGAGACTGGCTCTGGGTAAGAGGGTTTGAATGGGAGCAAAGTTCCAGGTCTTGATGTTGCCTAGGCATGGCCCCAAGAACAAGGGGGCACCCAAAGGAACGGGGGCACACAGGAGGCTAGGCCCCAGCCTCAGGGGTCTGACCTTGAAGGTGGGGGGTGCCTTGGAGCCAGTGTCAGAAGAACGGCGGTTCTGGCTGGGACTGGGCTTCATGGTGGGGGTTCGCGGCCAGGTCTCCCCAGGCTCTGGGAACTCCTCTGGGGGGCTCAGGTATTCCTCGTCGGAGGTGATGGGGCTGCTGAAAGGGGATGTAGACCCACCTGGAGAGAGACAGAGATAGCTACCAGGGAGGAAGGCGAGCAGAGAGCCTGGGAGAGCTGGCTGGAATGTCGCCCAGAGCCCAGGAGTTGCGGCAGCTCCCCGCAGGCCGGCCCTGCCCTGACTTCACCCCCAGGCTCCTGCGACCTCGCCCAGCTTCTTCCCCTCCCTGAGCCCCTGGAACCTCCTCTGCCACTGGCTCTGCCAACACCGACCCTGCTGATCCTCCCAGGAGGGGACACCATAGGGAAAGGCCTGGGGCAAAGGGTTCGGGCAGCAGAGGGGCCACTCCTGGGCCTGGTGGGAGAATTCCACTGGAGCAGGGCACCCACATTCCTGACATGGACTAGAGACCTAAACTACCAACTGCAGGCTCCAAAAGCAGGGGAAGCAGGTCTATGGAACCCTGGAGCAGCATGGCTAGGACGCCCATTTCTTGGGTGAGCTGGGCCTGGTGCAGAGGAACACACACCGCAGACAAGTCACATCCCGACCTCGGTCCAGGGCCAATGAGGCGGCACTATCTAGCCTGCCCCTCCCCCTTTCCCTTCTCAGCTTCCTGCCGTGCAAACCCCAGGGGCACCTGTTGGCCACAGCCCTACAGCTTGCACCCCCAAACGCTCGAGGGATAGGAAAGCAGAGCTGGAGTCATCCACCAAAAAGGGCAGCTCAGCCTGGGGGAAGAGGAGGGGGGCACCAGAGTCAGCCTTGGGGGAGGGGTGTCCCCAGGGCCCTGACGCCCTCCCCTGCAACTGGCCAGGGTCCCAGTCTCGCTGAGCTGGCTCCTATCCGACTGCCAAATACAGACATGAAACTGCCACAGCCCCCTAGGTTCTCCCCAGGGTCCCCCCACCCCAAGCCCCCAGCAGGGCTGTACCCCAACTCACCCCGAGGCTCTGCACACAGACCCCAGCCTGTGCCTGTCCTGAAGGCTCTGCCCTGGCACCAGGCCCTCCTGCTGCCTGCCCACTGCCCACCCCAGCGTGGCTCCCCAGGGAGCAGGAGCCCAGCCTGTCCAGCCTGCCCAGCCCCACTCACTCGGCTGACCCAGCTGAGGCCCTGCACGGAGAAGGCCCTGGGGGAGGGGAAGGCGCCTGAGGAGGGGAAGGAGGAGGTTGGATGGCAGGCCGGCAGGCAGCTGGCTAGGAAGGTGGTGCCTGCCGAGACCACAGGCAGCCTGGGCCCTGGTGTGGAGGGGGAGGAGAGGGGAGAGGGGAGGGAGGGCGGAGCGCGGCCGTCTGGATTTAGCCACTCTGCTCACTCCCAAGCCGCGGGATCTGCCTTTCTTCTCCTTACAGCTTCAGACCCTGACAAGAGCAAAGCCCGCTCTGCGGTGCCTTGACTCAAGGTGTGGGGCCTCCGTCCCCGAGCAAGACAGGGGAGGGGTGGCACTGCGCTGTGCCAATAGGGACACTTGCCCTGACCCATTTGTTCTGACACGTCCACCAAAGAAGGTGCCCGTGGGAAATGTTCCCTGTGTTGCCCCTTGCTCTGACGGAACCACCAAGATCCCTGACCGGGGAATGCGCTAACGAGCCTCAAATACTACAGAGCCAGGGCATACCTGTTTTCTTTGGCCCCGAAAATCGGAGAACTGTCAAGATCTTTGCCCTCCTTCACAGAGGTGGGGGAAGAATCTGAGGGGGCCCAGAATCCCACCTCTGCCCCCTCATCCCTGCCATGGAAGGTCTGGCCAGCAGCCACCACAGGGCCTAAGCCCACATCCAGCCTTCCTACCCAAACCGCCAGGGCACCTGTTGGCAACTTGCCCGCCACCCACCTTAGCCCCGCTAAAGAGGACAGCGGGGGCTGCCTCCCCCAAATGGCCCCTTATCATGAGAACCCATTTGTATCTGGGATGGGGAAAGGGTTTGGACACAGAACCTGAGAGAAGGGGGCTGTTGAGCAGGGGTCACATGTCCTTCTCCCTCTTCCTATCACCTCACCCCGCAACCCGGGGCCACATTCCCAAGCCATGACCTGTGTTTCCCAGCATGGCCAGTAAGGAAGGAGGGCTGGGGGCCGGGCAGAGGAGGGGCCCACGGTTCAGGCTGGCTGTCTTGAGGTAGGGTTGGGGAGGGAAGTCAGAATGGCATTTGGTGCTTAAGGCATTTGATGCTGAGATCACAGGCATGGCTCCGCAGGTGGGCGGTCCTACCCCTCTATGGAGCCTGGAGTCCTGCCCCAGGGTCACCTCCAGGCTGGACAGTACTGAGGAGGCTCACGGGCCCAGGGACTGGGAACGGAAGCAGAGCTGAAGGCCAGATGGTCAAGGTTTGCAGGGAGCCTCAGAGACCCCTGGTGGTGCCCAGGGGAACAGCATGCTGGAGGGCATCTAGCCATGAAGCAGACCCCCATCCTCAAGCCCCTTGGAGAGACAGACTGTCAGAGCAGCCCAGGCCTCTTCCAGACAAGGCAGTAGCCTCTGCCCCTCCATACCTCCAAAAGTGAGTGACCAAGGAAGCTGATCGAGGATTCCTGAGGCTCCATACCAGAATCCGGTGCCACCTAGTTTTTTCCCTGGCCACATAGCAAAAACCATCTTTGGAACCAGTCCCTGACATCCCAGCCCTGCTGCACCCACAAGCCCAACTCTCACTGTGGCAAACACAGTTACACCAGCCAGGAAGGAGGGGGCAGGTGCCCCCCTAAACCTAATAGGCACATACACTCAATGGCCCCGAACAACCCACCACGGAAGTACCGCCCCTTCACACTGGCTCCCAATCCCCCACGCTGACCCCATGCTCATGTCTGCCCTTTCAACATCACTCTCAGGTCAAACTCATTTGATGAAAATACTGGCGTTAGGAAGCACACAGGGAACTCCCTCTCCTCAGACCAGCACATCCACCGACCCCAACTGTTTCAGCGTCCCCTGATGTGTTCTCACAATAGACAGAGTTGCAGCCACCACTGCGAATTATCTAGTACATAAAAGGTGTCGCACACAGCCCTTTGCTTCAGGGCTTCTCAGAATGTTACTTGACCTACTCACATCAGGACCACCTCGGGCTTATTTAAAATATAGATTCCTCAACCTTACTCCAGCCTGCAGAATTAGATTTTCTGAAATGAGATGTCAGGAAACTGCATTTTAAAAAGCACCCCAGATGACTCTTAGGCACATGAAAGCTTAGGGACCACTGCTGATCTTTATGGGAGGAGGACAGCCCTAAGAGGTGGTATCACTAAGCCCCCTTCACTGGGCCATTCAACCTCAGAGCAGAGCTTTGAACCTAGGAGGTTTGGCTACACAGCCCATGTGCTTCCCCTGGCATGACCTGGTCTCCCATCTTGGGCACAATCTCTAACTCTATGGCAGTGGTTCTCAAGGTTTTCTGTGCATCGGAATCACCTGGAGGGCTCCTTAGACCATAGAGTGCTGGGCCCCACCCACGGAATTTCCGATTCAGTAGGTCGGGGCTGGGGCCAATAATCTGCATTTCTTAAGAGTGCAAAACGCTTATTGGGAAAAAAAAAAAAAGAAACTGCATTTCTAACACATACTCAGGTGATGCTGATGCTGCTGGTCTGGGGGCCTCACTCTGAGGACCACCGCTCCATGGTCTCTTTGCCAAGCTCCCCTCATAGGCAGAGCCTCATGACCCTTGTGGCTGGGTGTCATGCCTAGCCTCACCTCTGTGTGTCACCCACGTTGCTCAAGGGCTTGAAAAGTCATGGGGCTCTCTGCCTACTCACTGCCACCTCACATACAGCTCTGCAGTCCACACAGCCCCTAACTGTCCAGGAGGGCCCCCAGGCACAGCTGCCAGTGCTAAGGAGTGGCAAAGACATGGTCATGTCCTCAGGAGCCTTCTGGGTGGTGGGGAAGACAAACCAGATACACAAGTGACTACAAGAGCAAGCAGGAAGTATGAGGTAGCAAGAGAGCAGCAGGTAAGGGGCGTGGGAGTATAGAAGGCGGGAGATGACTTTTGGCCCAGGGAAAAAGAGAGAACTGAAGGAAGAGGCAGTATTGGAATTGCAGTTTGCAGGAAAAAGGGAAAAGTATTCCAGGCAGAGGAAAGTGCATGCGGAAAAGTTTGAAGCAAAAGCCATGTGTGCAGAGGACTATAGCTCAACTGTCTGTCTATAAACTGGGTAAAGAAGTAAGGAGTGGAGCATCCACTGTTCAAGCAGGTGCCTCCCACTGCCACCCGAGGGCCAGCCTCAGGCCTCTGGCTCCTTTTGCCCTATGGGTGCAGATGGTAGAGGCCACACAAAGGTGTGCAGCCTTTACTCTGTAGGCAAGGCGGACTCTTTACAATTCTTTTGTTTGTTTGTTTTTGCTTTTGTTTTGAGACAGTCTCAGTCTGTCATCCAGGCTGGAAAGCACTGGTGTAATCTCAGCTCACTGCAACCTCCACCTCCGAAGTTCAAGCGATTCTCCTGGCTCGGCCTCCCTCAGTAGCTGGGATTACAGGCTCCCACAACCACACCTGGCTAATTTTTGTATTCTTAGTAGAGACGGGGTTTCATTATGTTGGCCAGGCTGGTCTCAAACTCCTGGTCTCAAGTGTTCCACCTGCCTTGGCCTCCCAAAGTGCTAGGATTACAGGTGTGAGCCACGGCACCCAGTCCATAAACGGTTTTTCCTCCTTATGATTCTTGAGGAAGGGAGTGATAGGCTGCAGGTTAGCAAGCATTTGCCTGTGGCTTGGCCCTTCCCAGCTGGCCCTCCACATGTGCTGTTTCAGTAGGTCCTCCACAGGCAGTTCTTGAAATGTCTGCTGTGGTAACCCCACTGCGGAAAAGTCAGGGAAAGGGAGGACACGGCTGGCCAGGAGGTGGGCATTTCCACAGGGTGCTGACATGAATGTTTCCCCTTGGACTGAGAATGTTTCAGGCTTAGTTCAAAATGTACAAGCCAACAGATCATTTCACATGGTCAGCCTGACCTAGCCCCAGAAGTGATTAATTTTTCTTTTTTCTTTTCTTTTTTTTCTTTTTCTTTTCTTTTTTTTTTTTTTTTGAGACAGAGTCTCGCACTGTCGCCCAGGCCGGAGTGCAATGTTATGATCTCAGCTCACTGAGACCTCTGCCTCCCAGATTCAAGTGATTCTCCTGTCTCAGCCTCCCAAGTAGCTGGAATTAGAGACGTCCATCACCACACCCGGCTAATTTTTTGTATTTTTGGTAGAGACAGGGTTTCACTATGTTGGTCAGGCTGGTCTCATACTCCTGACCTCATGATCCACCCTGCTTGGCCTCCCAAAGTGCTGGGATTACAGGCGTGAGCCACCGCACCCGGTCATGATGAATTTCTTATATATGACTATGTTAGTTTGCTCCAGGTGAGGAAAAGTGGCTGCAACAACAGTAAATGAGCTCTCAATTCTTCTGACAGGCTGTGAGTGATGGCCCCCGTTCTAGGTACCAGCTTCGGGGAGGCCACCTGTCAGGCAGGCCTGTTTCTGGCAGACAGGAGGGTAGAGGAAGGGCTGAGTTTGGGCAAGGGGACCATGCCACACTGCTTTGTCTGGTGTTGTCCAAACCCCCATCGAGGACTGACGATGGGGGCCATGTGGCATCCTCCCCAACGGCAGCCACTGCCATCACAAGGGAGAATCTGCAACTATGCCACAGGTGGCCAGAGACCAGGGGCAAGAGAAGACAGGGACTGACATGGATGCTAAGGTTTTCTTCCTTGTTTTTGTTTTCATGGCCCCCAATAAACAACCTATTTTCTGCTGTGGTCATGTTGATTCTATGAGTGGGACCAGAATGGGCTTCGATGAGCTATATATCCTCTGTCCCAAGTGTCCAACTTGCCCTCCTCACAGACCCTCAGGAATCTCACCAAGTAGGTGGCCTGGCTGGTGTGAAGATCCTCACTTTACAGCCAAGAAAACCATGACCAGCTAAGGTACAATGAAGAGGCCAAGGTCTTGGCTGGAAAATGCAAGAATCCTGGGCTCAAATATAGGAGACCTGTAGTTGAGGGAAGGACTGGAGGTGGGGAGGATGAGGCCCAGGCCCATGGGGCCTCCCATACTCCCACTTCCTCCTGCCCAGCACCCAGAGGGCCTCCTCTCGGGGCGCACGGTGGGGAAGCTGGGTGTGCTCACATCAGGCATGCAAGGAAACAGAAGGACCACAGCTGTGCTGGAGGTGGGGAGTCAATAGAGGAAGAAGAGAAAGCCCCCAGTCGGACCCACCCACAGAGGGCATCACCAGTGCCCTCCCAGTGAGCTCATGAGCTCAGTTCTACCTCAACCTCGAACTTCTTCAGAGCAACAGGAAAGGGGGGTGGGATAGTGTCATGGTTAGGAGTGTAGGCTTGAGAGACCGAGACAGGGTTTCAAATCATAGCTCCAGCCTCCAGCTGGCCCTAAGCTCCTAGAGCTGACCATCCCAAGAAGGCAGCCACTAGCCACCTGAGACTATTTAAAAGCAGTTATTAAAATGAAATTAAATTTAAAATGCAGTTCCTCAGTCACCGCAGCTGCATTTCAAGTGCTCACTAACCACATGTAGCTAGGGCTACCATACTGGACCACACACATATAGAGCATCTCCATCATCACAGAAATGTCTATTGATCAATGCTGCTCCAGACAAAACTGCTGGGATTACAGGTGTCAGCCACTGTGTCCAGAGAGCAATTGGCTAAAGTTTTCCAAGTCTCAGTTTCCTCATTCGTAACATAGGCATAATAATAGAACCTACCTCATAAGGCTGGATTAAACAAAATAATCCAATCAACACAGGGCCTGGTATATATGAAGCACTCAATAAGTGCTACCTGGTCATGTATTTTTTATTTATTTATTTATTTATTTATTTTGAGACAGAGTCTCACTTTATCACCCAGGCTGGAGTGCAGTGGCACGATCTCGGCTTACTGCAACCTCGGCCTCCTGGGTTCAAGTGATTCTCCTGTTTCAGCCCCCAGAGTAGCTGGGATTATAGGCATATGCCACCACGCCTGGCTAATTTTTGTATTTTTAGTAGAGACAAGGTTTTGCCATGTTGGCCAGGCTGGTCTCGAACTCCTGACCTCAGGTGATCCACCCACCTCAGCCTCCCAAAGTGCTGGGATTACAAGTGTGATTCACCACACTCAGCCCAGTCATGTTACTTTTATTTGCACCCCACACTAAGTTTATTTGCTTCATGGGCAGTTATTTCCATCACCCTAAATCAGTTGTTGCTGAAAACATCCCTAGGCAGATGGCAAGTGCTAAATAAAGGCTGCTGGCCTGGTGCTAGCTCTACCTCACTTTTCAATTCACATTTTTGTCTTCTCATCCATAAAATGGGAATGTCCCCACCTGCCACACGTCCCTCCAAGGGATATGTATGGCACAATGTTATCGCCAGGGAAGAGACGTGAAAGGGCTTGGGAAAGTCTATGACACTGTCCAAACAGAAGAAACTGTTTAGAGAGCTGTAGCACTTGGCACCTGGTTGGCACTCAATAAATACTTGTGTGATGGATGTGGGCAGCGGTGGGGAATGCTTTGGTTAAGCACACTTCTCACACTCCCAAGCCACCTGCCCCCATCCACACATCCGCTTTGGGAGAATGGCTGTGGTCTCAACAGAATGATTCAGTGGGGTGGAAAGGGTGGGAGGGACCAGGGGAGCTGGTGAGGACCAGCTCCTTTCCGCACAGACCCTGCCCCTAAACCATGGTCCATGGGGCCGCATTCTCTAGTTATCCATTCCCTGGTTACCATGGCTCCCAACCAGGAATTGAGATCTGTGGGTCCTCAAAAGCAGGCCCTGTTGGGGTGGACCCCAAGAGGGAACTGGGCAGCCAGCCCTGGTTACCATAGCACTGGGCAGGGGCAGCATGAAGAGCAAGAGGGGGAGGGGAAGGAGCAAGAGAGGGCGGTGGCTGCACGCAGGCCTCTTCCCACAATACACTGCCCACTGCCTCCCTCTACCTGCTCCCCACCAGGCCTACGGGCAAACTGCTGGACTCCCTCCCCTGGCCCCACCCCTCACTGCCTGCAGACTCCAGGCCTGGGACCACCCCTTGCCAGATGTCTGTGCCATCCCCAGGTTCCACCCACTTTTGCTGCTCTCAAGTCCACTGGCCCCCATCCAGCCACTCTGGACTAAACAGTGCCTTGTAGGGTAAGAAAGTCAGCTTGCTCCACAACAGCCAGAGCCAAGTCTGGACCCACATGCCTGCCCCCCAGGCCCTGGGGCCCCCGAGCCAGCCTGACTTAAGGAGGTGGCTGTCTTGCTGTAATGCCTGATGCAACAGACTAATGCAATGAAGGCTTTCTGGCTCCCCAGGGCAGAGGTGCCGAGATGCTGTGATGAGCTGAGGACACAGGGGCTGGGAAATACAGAGGGTCTGCAGGATATGGGCCTTCCAAGGGGAGAGGTGGAGTCCCTAAGGCACAGATGGGCTGAAGAAAGGGACAGAGAAGGATAAGGCACTTCCCAGATCCTTGTAGAAACCTGAGCTCTTCTACACAACAGCACCCGTTAATAACGCTAACAACTAACATTTGTCTACAGCTTTACAGTTCATAAAGCTCGTTCACACATTCGCTTTCATCCGTGAGGACGGTGTCATTATCTCCGGTTTACAAATGAGGAAACTGAAGCTCAGGAGGTTCTATGCCGCAAATACAGAACTCTCAGTCAAGGGCTGACAACTGCCTCGCCCCAAGCTGCCTTTCCAACCATAAAAGGCTCCCAAATGGCCCTGAGCCAGTATCGGGGCACCCCCATCCCACCCCTCGCCAAATTTCAGCCCAAGCCAGGTATTGACTGGGGTCCTGGAGCCAGGCCTGGGCCCCCTCAGGGGAGCTGGGAGCTGAGTCAGAAGCCAGATCCCGGAGGTGATGGAAGGACAGAAGCATGTGGTGGAGGGACGGGCATGATTCAGCGGGGTAGGAGGGGTAGGAGGAGGAGAAAGCCTGGAAAATGGGCCCCGGGAGGGATATGCAGCTAAGGAGGATGAAGACCTGCAGTGGCACAAGCCAGACCGTGCAACCAAAGGCTCTACTGGAGCACGAGACTATGATCAGATGCATCAAGAACTCCCTCACTGCTCAGGTGCTGAGGCCCTGGGATGGGCACACAGGCTCTGCCATCTTGTCTCCTGCAGCACTTCATGGAAGGAAGGGACAGAACACCATGTGCTGTTCCCCCTCTTGGCATGTCCCGCCTTCCCCGTGCCGGTCTAAAATCCCAGCCTCCTTCAGGGCACCAACGTCTCTCAGCGCAGGCATCCCAGAACACTAAGCAACGGCTCGGATGTCCTCGGCACTAGATCCATCTGCTCCGCACTGTCCCCCAACCTAGGTCCTCTGATCCAGGTCTGGTCACCCAGTGGGAACCCCCTTGAGGGTTGAGTGTGTTTTCCTTCTGTAATACCCCCTGACCATCCTCACCTCCCCGAACCCCAGGCCCGGGGTCAGTGCATTGTCAGGCCCCGCAAGCTGAATGAGCTGAACTGGCCATGTACACCGACACTGATCCAGCTGAACCAGAAAGAAACTGGGCTGAATCCCAAAGAAAGTAGTCTGACACCAAGTAAGGGCTTTCACAAAAATAGAAAACAAGGCAGCCTCGGCACTGCCAGCCCAAGAAGTGCTCTTGGCTGTACCCTTTTTACAACTTTGGGTTCAAGAAAAGTAGGGGGGAAGTGGCTTGTGGCACTCGAAAGCATCTCTTTTTACTGGGAGGGGGGACTGTCTTACAGGGGAAATGACTTCAGAAGGCTTGTGGTGGCTCTTAAACCCTGTGAGCGGAGAGATTCTTCTTCTCGGAAACTCAAGGACAATTTGCTTTCCCCACAGGACCCTGTTCAGGGAAATGCCATGGGAGGATGGCATTTAGAGGATGGCTAAACACAAATTTCACTGACTTCATGAATTGGCCAGCCTTCTGTGCGCCTTGGGGATTTGGCCCCTGCCCTGAGGCCAGGGCCATTTAAAACGCTTTCACCAAAGCTGCCGACACCCAGAAGGGACTGCATGGACTAAGTATGCTGGCGGGGTGCCCAAGCTCAAGGCTGAGAGTGGGAAGGGAGGTGGACTGGGGCCTGGGCCAGGGGAGAGTCACGGCTTGCCCCCACCCAGCCCCAGGGTTGATGGGCTCCCTACCGGGTCTCACGGTCAGTGAGGCGGCACAGGTGGCCTGGCCCAGCTCGTTGGTGGCGGTGGCCATATAGCTCCCGGCATCTGCTGCCCTGGCCTCCCTGAGCAGCAGGGTGTGCCGCTCACCCTCAGCCCGGAGGAGGAGGCGGCCCTCGCTGCGCAGCGCTGACCCATCCTTGTGCCAGGACACTGTGGGGAGGCACAGGGACCCGGCTCGCCACGGCCCACAGGCGCCCACTGAGAATCTCTACTCCTACCCCACACACCACACAGGAGACCAAACCTCTCCTCTCAGCACCCCAGGGAATCTGGAAGAGTCCGCCCTCATTTTGGGAAGCTCAGGTTGCCCTCCCTTCTCTCGGGGGTCCTGAGAAATGTCCCTGAACACACACCCAAGTCAGGGCAGCCCCCGTGGAGGGGATAATTCCCCTCTTTCCCACCCCTCCCTTGGAGGAGTCCGGGGGAACCTCCCCTTCCCTTCTCACACACCCCCTCCCAACCTCGACCGCACCTTGGCCCAGTGCTGGAGCTCACCTTGGGGCGGGGGGTTGGCAGTGATGATACACTTGAGCAGCACATCTGCCCCTGGTGCCACCACCACATTCTGCAGGGGGATCTCAAACACAGGGGCCTCTAGGGGCTCTTCTCCAGCGGACACGTAGGAGTCATCCGAAGACTCTGCCGGACACAGGAATAACGGGGTAAGGGGCCATGATCCCTGCAGGGATGACAGCGGGAGAGAGAGTCCTGGTGGCCTGCATCCTAGAAAGCCAAACCCAGACAGAGGGGCTTCTAGAAAGCAGGGACTTGGGGAGAAGAGGGTCTGCCTCCTGAATGTCCTTAGGGAAAAAAGGAAGTCAGAAGGAGCATTCTCGAAACAGGTCAGGGCAGCCTTGACTCCATGTTAGTGTGGCCGTTCCTCAACTTCATCCACAATTAGAGCGTTGGCTTCTGGAGAAAGACAGGACTGCACTGTGTATGTCTTTAACACGTCAGCCATCATGTATGGCGTACCAGGCCCCATGCAAGGCACCTGGAGGGGCACAAGCTTTCAAACAGACAAAGAACAAGCTAAAAGCAACCCAAGACTTAAGCAATAACAGCGGTGTCACAGAGCAACACGAGGTGAATTGTCAAATGTGTGAAGCCGTCAGATTCAAAAGAGTGAATGGTAGGCAGTCTGAGAGGCCTACGAAGATCAGATTTGATTTCATCCGTTCACCAAATAGTGACCCTGTACTCCCGGCATACTGAGTACTGTATGGGTACCAAGAACACTAGAGGAAGGACCAGTGGTCCCTGCTTACAGGAAGCTCATACATACAGAGAGATGACAAACTCCACTGTCATGGGTCTCTGGGCATTCTCCAACTCTGACATTCCATAAGCTAGATAAAGGACAATGTACATAGCCAAAAAAGCAGTGAAAATCCCAATTCTGCTGTTTCCTAGCTACAAAACCTTGGGCAAATTAGCCTCTCTGAGCCTCAGTTTTGTTATCTGTAAGATGGAGGGGAAAAGACCCTCTGAAACTGACATATAGGCTGAAATGAAATAACATCTGTAAGGGCCTAGTTAACACAATGCTGGCACATAGTTGTGTGTTTGCAATAATGGTGTCCAGGAGGATGATGGACAGGGGCCTAATTATCTCTAAAGATTCTAAGGTGGTAATACTTAAATGCAAAATAATTTTGATGAAGAAAAATACAGTATGGTAAGTGCAATGAAAGAGATCCTGGCAGGGTCTCCCAGGAGCAGCAGGTAGAGGCATCTATTCTGGAGGAGCAGTGGAAGTGGGTCAAGGACGCCTTCCTCTGCCTCTCTCCAGGAGTGGGCCTCGAGTTGATGTGCAGGATGAGGGGTGGGGTGCAGAGCCATTCTCCTGTTGGTGGTGTTGGTCATCATCCATGGGAAGGTTGGGAGACAACACACAGGCAGGCATTGTGTAGGGACCACAGTGAGCTCAGCCATGCGGGGTGTAAGCCTGAGGTGAGGAGGCTAGAAGGGCAGGCTGGGTGGCCACACATGGGTCAGGGGATGGTGCCCGGGTGGGAGAGGCAGAGTAAAGAGTTATCTGGCACAAAGCGTGTCTGTAACAGGGATTTGAAAATTATTTCAGACCATCTACCATCTCTCCCCAACAGAGGGATTGGGGGTATGGAGGGGGGTCCTTAGGTTCCCACCAGTGCATCCCCCCAGTAGTGGTTCTTGATCCAACAGCCTAGCAGGCCACTGGACCCAGGGGAGCTATGGCGGGCATCTGGGCACCAGTCTTAGCTCACATCTCAGCCTCACCTAGCCTCCATCACAACACTCACGCTCTGCCTCACCAGTAGCAGTCCTAGCACAAGGACTTTGACAATCCTTCACTCAAAGTCGAGCCTGTGTCTGTGCCTTCTTTGGCAAACCCACCCTTGCAGCTGGCTAGCAGCCCCAGGCGAAACCCCCGACCCCCCGGCTCCTGCTGAGCAGTCTTGCTCTCCACAAACGCCCCCCGACGGGGGTTCAGGCACCTTGTCAGCCCTCCCTGAGGCCTTACCGAGCTCAGGGGAGGTGGGCCGGGCCCGGCGACCTTTGCCCTGGCTGCGGGCCCCTCGGCGGTCCCAGGGCCCCCAGGGACCGTCCTCCTCCGGCCCTCTGCGAAGCCTCTTCTCTGCCTCAGGCCCCGCCCTGTTCTTCTCCAAGGTCTGGGGTACAGCAGCGCCCTCCAGGCCCGGCGTGGCCCAGGGCAGGAAGCGCACGGCCTGCGCCGGGGGCTCCCGCTTCCGACCGGGGGGTGCTTTCGTCCTGGCCTCTGGGGGATCGGCGGCGGGGGGCGGCACAGGGCTCCTGCACTCCTGGATGGCTCTGCTCCGGGTCAGCGGGAATTGGTCCCGACGCCTAACCTCCTGCTGCGGGCCTTCCCCCGGCTCTGTCCTGCCCGCCGGCCCGCGGCTCCTGGGCCTCCCAGGCTCGTCCCCCGGCTTCTCCGCGCTGCTCGGAGAGGGCGGCTGGGCGGCGGCGGGGCTCACGGCCCGCGATGTCTTGGGGGTGGAGGGCCGAGAGAAGAGCGGGGGCTCGCCGGGCTCTCGAGGGGATGGGGCACGCTGCAGCGTGGCGCGCAGGGACTCGTGCGAGCGCACCAGCTCCTCCCGCGACGTGGAGCGGCGGATGCGGCCCAGCTCCTGGGCGAAGCGCAGCTCGAGGTCTGAGGCCGGGCTGCGCTGACGCGTGCGCTCGTCCAGCGAGGCCGCTTTCTGCTGGAACAGGCGGCGCCGCTCGGCCACGCTGCCTGGCGCCCGCAGTTCTTCCTGCGAGGCCCCGGGGGTGCCCCACGGTGCGCCGCGCTCCGACTTGGGCTGCTCCAGAGAGCGGGCCTTGCGCAGGGGCACCCAGGGCCGCAGGGGCGCCGGCGGCGAGTCGCTGCGCTCCAGGCTGCGCCGTCGCTCCTCGAAGAACTGCAGCTTGTCCAGGATGCGGGAGCCGGCGCGCACCAGCCTAGGCGATCGGCCCAACGCCGACAGGCGGCCTGAGGCCTCGCTCAGTGGCGTCTGGGGTCGGGATTCCGCGGTGCCCGCCAGGGAGGGCCCGGACGACTTGGACTTCTTCCCTCGCTTCTCTTCGGTGGTGGTGTCCTCGGGCAGCACAGGCTCCTGAGTGCGACGGTGGGGCGACGTGGGGGTGGCCGCGGGCTGGGCCGGGGGTCCCGGCGGGGACCGCTTCCCGACCCGAGGGGACGGTGGGGGGAGCAGCGCGGATTTGGAAGGAGGCGGCTGGGCAGGGCGGCGTGGGGCTTCGCTGGCCAGTTGAGGCTGAAGGTCGGGCTCCTCCCTGCGCAACCCGCTCTGAGGGACGCTGCTGCAGAACCAAGATGGAGAAGGGTAGAGGATTCAGGGGGCCTCCTCTCCTAGACCCTTAGCTTGTGACAGGAATTGGGTGGTGGGCATGCTGGGCAGGCTTGGGGGTGACATGGGCCAGATCCTCCTGCCCCCCACCCCCACCCCCACGAGGAGCGCACAGCCAGAGCAGGTGCTGGGGAGAGGCCGGCGGCTCTGGAACCACAAGATTGGGCTAATGGCTGGGTCTTGGTACAGACTCAGCCCCAGGACTCGGGCCAGCCTCCTCCCCCCAGCCCTGGAAGCCGAGAAACAGCGGAAACAGAACTGAGCATGAGGGAGAGAAAAGAATGAGGCTTAGGACCCAAAGGATGAAGTGGGGAGGGAAGACAAGAGGGTGGGGTGGGGAGGGGCGTTCTCAGGAATGCAGCCACCCACTCATTCCAGCCCCCAGCTGGCCCCCACACCCCTGCCCATCATCAGCAGGGCACACCCCTTCCTAGTGGTCCCTGGAAGCCAAGCAACAGCCTCCTGGACCAGGCACAAGCCTTTTGGGGGGCAGTGCCCCATCCCTAGGATTCCCTAGCTGCTGTGTAGACCTGAGCCTATACCTGCCGCCACCCCGAGCACTGATGGGACACAGCAGGTGGCAACGGGATGCCCAGGCTCCTACTCTCCTTGCTCAGTCTGCCCCCCGATAGGCCTTTGACTTGTGCTTCCCCTGGCAAAGCTACCTTGAGTCCTTAGAAATCCCCCCTGAGAAGTACAGAAGGCCCCCCCCCACAGGGATATGCTCTGAAATAACTCAGCTCAGAAATAGCTACTAAGTGGGCCTGAATAGGGAGTGTGGGAGAAAAGGAGGAGGGAAGGAGCCGGTCACCCCAGAGTATCCCTTTCACTTAACAGAGCTTTGGTGCCCAAGAGCTGGGTCTCAGTTTTCCCCATCTGGACCCTTGCGGGGAGGAGGGGGTGGGTGAGGGGGCACATCACACATAAAGATAAGCAAAAAAAAAAAAAAAAGGAATTAAATGTATTATCATACCTGACACATCAGAGAGAGCTTAATAAAAATCTGTAAAATGGCTCATTGAATATTTCCTGAGTGCCAGGCTTGTACCAAGTGCTTAAAATGCATTGAGTCATTTAATACTCACAACAGCCCTGTGAGGTAAGAACTGTGATCACCCCCATTTACAGATGAAGAAACTGAGGCATAAAAAAGATTAAATGCCTTACCAAGGTGACACAGCTGGGAAATGATTGGTGCTAGGATTGAAACCCAGGCAGTCAGAATCCTGAGCCCTTATTTCCTCCAAAGTGTCTGGGTTTCCAGGGGCACAGAAGGGAGGACAAGTAGTAGGGTGCCAGCCATGAGCAGTTCTAGGGGTCCCGAGTTAAGGATGTTTTAGCCTACCTGAGTCAGCCACCCACATGACAGACCCACCTCTGACTGGGGCTAAAAGGGGTGGTGGCAATGCAGAGTGGCCTGAGAGACAGAAACCCCAGCCAGCCACCTGCAGGGAGGAAGTGTCTTCTCTGGGGGAAGGGCCGCAGAGTCCCCAGGGAAGAGCCTCTGGGAAGTGGGTGAGGCCTGGAGAGAAATTGAGGACAGCAGAGGAGGCCTCTTGCCGGCAGCTCTGAGCTCCAGGCCAGTCTCTGTACCATAGACATCACTAAGGAAATGGGTTCCTCCGAAGTTGCCATAGCAACTCCAGGCTCTGGCTGGGGCCTGGTAAAGAAAGGCAGGAAGGGAAAGGCAAGTCCAGGGCACAGGAACACCGGGTAAGGCCAAGAAGATAAGCCAAGGGAGCCTCCCCCTGGCCGTGGCCCAGCCCTGGCCCTCTCCCCTGCCCACCGCTAGCCCTGCTCTAACCACCCTCAAAGCAGCCTCCCCCACCAGGCCCCTTCTTTCTCCTGCACGGTGGTAGCTGCCCCCACACCCATACCCATCACAAACCAGGCCCCCCTCAGCTCCCCAAATGCCCTAGTCCCTCTATTCTCAGCCACTCCCCTCTTCCACTATAGCACTCCCTCCTGTATCTGCGAGCCCCAAATCTCCAAAAATGGCTCCAGTGCCTCCAACACCTCCGCTCCTCACACCCCCTCCTGGGACAACCTTGAATCCCACCCTCAGGGACTTAGGGGTTTCCCATGAGAGAAATCATTGCAAGCCCCCTGCCACCATCACTCCCGCCCTCTCCCTCTGGCCTGGCCCCATTTCCAGCCCCTCCCTTTCCCAGCCCCCTGCCACCCCCAGCCCATGGCCTCCTGCTTTCACAGGCCCCTTGCCCCATCTGCCCCTGGCCACCTCACTCTCTTCTCTCTCCTGCTTGCTGGCTTGTTCCCCTGCTCTCTCCTGCTCTCCCGGGAGCTGCCGTGTGGAAAGGTTCTGTTCCTCCCAGAAAAAGGCCCACATGGGAACAGGAATGTGCAGAGAGATGAAAAGGCAGCAGCTGCTGAGACAGCAGGCACCAAGGGGGCCCCCGGGTCGGGGGAGGGATCCTGGGGACAACTGGAGCCCAAATGGGTGAGGCAAAAGAGGGCCCCTGAGAAACTGGAGATCTTGGAGGAGACAAGGAAGGGACAGCAGGGTCCAGGAGACCATGGAGATGGCATGGTGAGCCAGGACAGGTGGGAGCAGGGGGATGTGGGCGGTGATGGCTCAGGAGGAGGAGGGAGCAGTGTGGGAAGATGGAGTGGCAGCAGGGGGTGAAGAAATGCACAGAGAGATGGATGGGGCAGGGTGATGGGTGGAGGCTGACTGAGCAGTGAGGGCAGCGCAGGACAGCGTGGTGAGATGGGGCAGTTCAGGCCCAGGTAAGGCCGTTACTTACACGTGGATAGAGAGCGCCCGTCCTCTGTACAGGCTGAATGCGCTGCCGTACAGGTCACTGGCCACGGAAAGGCTATCCTCTGACCCCCAGCTTGCGCCCACCAGATTAGCTCGAGATGCCCGCACCAGCGGCTCCACCCCCAGGTGCCGTGGCCCGGCCCCGGTTGCCTGTGCTTGCCTTGGGCTGCCCGGGAGGCGGCGGGTGCCACCCCCACTGCCCGCTTCCTGCTCCAGGACCGTCTGCCCGCTGCCCCACCAGCTCACTTGCTCCTCTGAGGTGCCTGTCACGGAGGTCGGGGGTGTGTCCAGGGAGGTGCCCACCAGGGTGTCAGAACCCCCTAGAGAAAGGAGCACCGTGAGACTGAGGCACCCCTTATGGAAAACCCGCCTGCCTGCTCTTTGTACACCCCAGGAGCTCACCCGTGGGGGTGCTGAAGGCCCCGTCATCCCGAAGCTCCAGGCGCTGGGTTCCCTGCACATCGCTGATGTCATCCTCAGCCGTCTCTGAGTCTGGAGAAGAAGGGGTCTGTGTGGGCAGGGCCCTCCTCCCTCTGCCTCCAACTCTTCCCTATTGCCTTCTGCCTCCCTGCCAACAGCAGGCTCCATCTTATCACTGGCAGGGCTGCCAGCACCTCCTCTCTTTTGCTCCCCACATCCCCTGCCCAGCCTGGGCTGCTCAGGATAACCCCTCCCATGCCAGTGCCCTGGCTCCATCTCTGGGCCCCTGGTTACTCACGTTTACCTCCGTAGGGCCCTCCAAACTGCCACCCCCTCCCCGCCTGCCAATATCTTAATGGATTATCAGAGCCTCCTCCCTTCTCCCTCCTCCCCTTGTCAGTGAAAGCTTAAGCCCCTGTGCAGCCCCAAAATCATCAGGTCCTAGGTTCCAAGGCTCTAAAGTCTGGGTTCCAGTACCCCAGGAACAAAGAGGAGTCACCTCAGAGTCGTACTGCCAGGGCACTCGACCAACCGCGGGGCCAGCCTGTCCTCTACCCCAAACCAGCTGCAAGGCATCGGGTGCAGCTGAGGCAGGGTGAGGAGAGGCCGGGGCCGGGTGGGAAAGGGGGGGATGCGGGGGGCTAGAGCAGGAGCCAGTTTCCTACCGTAACTTTGCTTTCTGCAGGAGCGGAAAACTTCGCTTCCATAGGAGCAGCAGGAGAGAGACAGGGACAGACTGTTATCAGAGCGTTTGTGGGGCAGGGCATGGAGGGCAGTCAAGACAGAAGGGGCGTGAGGCACCCAGTCCCCAGAGGTGTCCTGTGGCAATGGGTGGGGAGGGAGATACCTGGGATGTGCCCAGCACTGGGGACCCCCATACTTGGGCTTGTTATTCCAGCTGCCCCAGTGGTTCTGGTATCCTTGGCACTTACTGGTGCTGCCACTGGCCACACACACACATGCACACACACACACACACACCTGCTTGTGTCCAGTCCAGCCGCAGACCTGGGCCTCCCATTAGGAGTCAGGCCCACCCTCTATTACAATATTTGCATTGTGCTTTGACCCCTCTTTGCAAACCAACCCCTTATCTGTCTGCATCATGATGTGACAGGCACCTTCCTCAAGGTCCCTCCCTTCTACTGTTGAATCGTCCTCAAAAATGCCCAGTGGTTAGGTTAGGAGAAAAGGTTCCTGGGAGTATTTTCAACTTTCCCAGATTCTAGCAGGTTCTGTGCCTCAGTTTCCCTCTGGCTGCCATGACAAGCAGGAGCCACGTACTGGTTGCCAAAGCATGGCAATGAACTCCTTCCCATTAGGCCTCACATGGAGAACAGGGCACCCAGTCCATGCAGGGGTGTGCTAGTGAGCCGCCCTCCCTTCTGCTGGGTCCTCTCTCAGCTGTAGGGCACAGGGGGCCTGGTCGGGTGGGTGGTAGATAAGTGTGGGGGTGAGTGGGAGGGTTCCACATCTCATGGGCTGTCTTCAGGAACTCGATGCCTCACAGAGGGACAGGGACCAAGAGGAGGAGTAGGCATGGGCTAGAGCAAGGACGCCCACGGTCCACGCACCATGGGTGAGTCGGCCAAAGGCCCGGCGGGAATGGCCGGTTTTCTGAAAGAGAAAAGCCAGAATGAGTAGTTGAGGGGGAGGCTTGTTCCTAAGGTCCCTGTGCCTCCCATCCAGACCTGCAACATCAAGCAGAAACTCATTCCCTGGCCAGTGTGTGTGTGAGAGGGGAGGTGGGCAGAGACCCAGAGTGACCAGCTTCCCCTGTAGGGAATGACTCCCCTGCCTTCTTCCAGGGTACCCAGCTGGGCTCTTGGGAGGAGCAGGGGAGGAAGGAGAGAACTGCAGGCTGCAGGTGGAAGCTGGAACATCCCACTGGACAGAGGCTCACAGCCCGGGACCAGGGCAACAGCCCGGGACCAGGGCAACAGCCCGAGAGAAAGAGGATAGAAGACGAGGTAGTCAGGCTCAGTGAGGAGAAGGAGAAGATGGGGATGCGGGGGGCGGGGTGCTTGAGTGACTGGGAGATGGAGGAACGAGGGCACAGATTCCTGCTGGGGGGAGGACAGAAACCTGGGTAGGTGTCAAGGGGGTGGGGGAGGGATGATGGGGGCAGAGGGCCAGAGCCTCACGAATGCAGGAGGCCCAGGTGCGCGGAGGACAGGGCAGGGCTTGGGGAATGTATTGAGCTCAGCGCGGATCCGTGTGCGTTGCTTTCAGGAGCTCCGGAAGATGGAAAGCTTCAGAGTGGGGGGCTGGGGCAGGCCGGGCGGGGGGCCGGGGCCCGGGGTTGAGGTTGGACAGAGGAGAGAGAAGATGTGGCAAAGAAGCAAGTGGGCGCTCCACGCCGAACGCTGCAGCGGGGGCCTTCCCCGGTGGTCGCGGGGATTGCGGGCGATCGGGGAGCGGGGGATCTGCCCTTCAGCGCGGGGAGGGGCCTGCGCGCTCAGGACACAGACCCGGGCGCCCCTAGATCGCGCCCGGCCCGCCGCCCTCGGCGGGGCTCGGGTGGGGCAGGCGCCGATCCAGCGCCCCCTCCACCGGGCCCAGCTGCGGTGACCCGCCCTCCCTCCGGGGCGCCCAGGCCTCCCTGCCCCCTCCCGGCGCCGCCCGCCCCCGGAGCCCTCACCTGGAAACGCTTCTTCACCCACAGCTTCTTCATGGCGGGGGAGGGGGCCGGGCCGGCGGCCGGGCGAGGAGGGGACGGGCGGGGGCGGGGCGGAGTCGGAGGCGGGGCCGGGGGCGAGCTGGGGAGCGGGCGGGAGCCGGCGCGGGTGGCGGAAGGAGCCTGGGGCCTCGGGAGCCGGGTGGGGGTAAGGCGGCGACGGCGGCGGCAGCAGCGGCGGCGGCGGCGCTGGAGTCCGCCCCTCCCTCGCCAGCCTGCACCCCACCTGGGGCCCCTTCCTTGTCCTGTCCCCCTACTTCCCCCGGGGAGGCCCTCACCTGCCTCCCTACACGACCACCGGTCACCTCCTAACGCCGAGAGCCACGGACCCCCACCCTGCATCTGCCTCCGGAGCCCTAGGCACATGAGGAAACTGAGGCACAGAAAGGGGTGCAATGGCCTCTAGCTCAGGCCACTTTCTGGCAGCCCAGCGCAGCCTCCTCCCACCCTCACCTCCTCCCGCGGGGCCTCTCTGGAAGGTCAGCAGCATCTCGACTTGCTCATTCCACAAACATGCGCGCACACACACTGTGCCAGGCAGAACCGAACTCGCCGAAGGGCACAGCGCCGGGTGGGGGCGCCTAGGTCAAACGCAGGGCAAGGGTCCTGGCGGGTGTGGACTGCGTGTTAACATGGACTCAGACTGTGAAAACCCTAAGGCTTCTCAAGAAAGCCAGAGAGGGCTTTATCTTGCCTTACCTCGCGATTGTCCCATGCGCGGCCCCCTACCCCCGTACATTCACACACACAAGCAAAGGTGCACAGAGGTACCCCCATTATTCACAAAGTTGGCCAGTGTTCTCAATCACAGGGAAGCACACTCACCAAATATTTTGTGTGTTCCACCCGATCCCTGCCCTATTCAGCACTATGCACACTTTGCATACACAAAATTCTATCCTCCCCATGACCATTATAGCTATGTTTGTTTAGCAGTTACTAAGTGCCAGGCACTTTACAAATGTTACCTCATTTACAATAACCCCATGAGCTGGAAACCCTTATGAATAATCCTATACCCATTTAACTGACAAGTGACTGAGTCTCAGAGAAGTCCTATCACTTAGTCAAAGCCATACAGGTTCTAGGACTCCATGTGTCCTGGAGATGGGAATTATCATCCCAGTGAGCACAGGTAGTGCCAATCCTGATTTCTGAGCTGTGACTACTAAGTAACTATTAACAGTTATTGCGTGTTTGGTATGTACCAGGCATTGTGCTAAGCACTCTATGTGAATGAGCTCATTTAATCCTCACGACAAGAGGAAGACTGAGACACAGAGAGGTTACTTGCCCAAGGTCACATGGCCAATAAATTGAGGGAGCCAGAATTCCAACCTAGGCAGATGCATGAGAATCACTTATGCCCAGGAGGCGAGGTTGTAGTGAGCAGAGATCGCACCACTGTACTCCAACCTGGGTGACAGAGCAAGACTCTGCTTTAAATAAATAAATAAATAAATAAATAAATAAATAAATAAATAAAATAAAATAAATACAGGGACAGACTGATGAGTTTTGTTCAGCCTGCACAATGTTTGGGCTGGAGCAATCATGCCTGAGCTCAGCGCACCTCCCTCATTTTCAGTTTCTACTTGACCCCTGCAGTTATTTGAGTCTGTGGCCCCTTTATCTTATTTTAGATTTCTTTATTGTTTTAGAGACTAGGTCTCACTCTGTTGTCCAGGCTAGAGTGCAGCGGTGCCATCATGGCTCACTGCAACCTTGACCACCTGGGCTCAAGAGATTCCCCCCACCTCAGCCCCCCTTGTACCTGAGACTACAGGTGCATGCCATCATGCCCAGCTAATTTTTAAAAAAATATTAAGTAGAGATGAAGTCTTATTATCTTACACAAGCTGGTCTCGAACTCCTGGGCTCAAGCTATTCTCCTGCCTCGGCATTCCAAAATGCTGGGATGATAGGCATGAGCCACCGCACCTGGCTGCTCTTTTATTCTAAAGTTTAGGTCATGTCTTGTACATTCTGGGTGCATACAGGTGTTCTTGTTTCCTAGAGCATCAAAGCAAATTACAAGTACAGACACATGCACAGGGACGTGTGCTGAGAGGGCACATATGTGTGTCCACACTCGTTCCAGCCAGAGGACCCTGGACACCCATGGGCACTTTCCATGTACACCCCTAAACACACCCACTCACAGATGGGGAGCTGAGTGATGAGAGGGGGTAACTTGAGCCCCTGTTCCCCAGGAGAATCCAAGGGGCTGGCACATTCCGTAGCAAAAATAACCAATGGGCAGCGGGCGTGAGTGACGGGACAGCTGGGCCCAGGAGGGGCCGGCAGGATTCTGTGTTCCTGCTCTGGGTCGGCACTGCTCACTCCTGAAGGGCTGGCCTGGAACATGCTCTCTGGGTGGGCCTCCCCAGCTGGCCCCAGATTGCCCCATTTTTCTCCCATAGCTGGGCAGCTGTGTCTCCCTGCCACTCCCCCAAACCCAGACTTCCAATTTCTGCACTGCCAGCATTTCCCTCCAACCAGAGAAAATCCAAATCTCCATCCTATGCCACAAGCTCCCACCCCACCTCCCTTTTGTCTCCTCTTTCCTGCCTCAGTTCAGTTTCTCCCTTCTCTCATTTACGACCCTGCTCTGTATTTCTGACATACTGTGTAATTTACCTATTTACTATGTTTATTGTGTATTGTCTGTCTCCCCTCACTAGAAAGTTATCCCCTGGAGGACATAAATTTTGGTCTCCCTCAACCCCCTGACTCGTGTATCAAAAGCACATAGTAGGCACTCAATAAATATGGGAGGGGGTGGCAGAGCTGCAGGTGGAGAGGGTAAGCAGTGATGGGAACGGGGACAGTAAATCTTCCTGCAACGGCTTCCACTCATCCAGCCTTCCCCCTTCTCTGTCCTAACCCATATTCTGTCCCCAGAGGTCTTTAGCCAGAAAAGTGACCATCTCTCATTCCACTCAGGATTCCCCTGGAGAGGGTCCCAGAGCTCCTCTCTGCTCCCACTCTGGCCTCTCCTCCGCTCACTGGTCAGCACTTGGCATGCATGCATGTTGACACTCCCCATACCCATTCCCAGCTCCATACTACTTTCCACCTGGCTTCTCTAGCCAGACATTCTAAATTCCAGGTGAAAAAGAATAACTGCAGAATATTCCTCAACACAGGTTCTGGTACATTCCTCTACCCTTTCCTTGCCTAAGTTGGCCCTCTCTCCCTATCTCTAAGCTCTCCTCTCCAAGCCTTTGAGTCCCCAGGATGGTTCATTACCATGTTTTGATCTTTGGCCCTTCTGATTAACACCAGAATCTTCCAGACCCTAGCTATGAAGCTCCAACTAACACACCATGTGAGCATCATCAGCTCACCTCTTCTCTCGGCTGTGCCTTCTCCTGCTTCCCCTCTGCCCTTTAGTGCAGGTCTGCTCTTCAGCCACACACGCACACCCACAGCTTTGAGGGTAGCACTTGCTGTGGTCTCTGGATTTGCATGTGGCTCCTCAGCCTGTGCAAGTGGGAGCCTGATATTTTGAAAAAGAAGAATGCCTGCCTATCTTGGAGACTAGGCCAGAGATGGATTTGGAGATATTGACGGAGAAAGATGGTGACGATGACAAATCCTTGACAGTCTTCCCACACTTCTCTTTCTGTGGACAAGCAGTATGGACCCAGACTCAGATACCTGGCTTTCAGACCTGGCTCTGGCACCTCACTAGCCATGGGAACTTAGGTAAATTTCCTCTTTGAACCCCAGTTTTTCTATATGAATAATGGTCATAACAGTAACCTAGGGTTTGGAAGATTAAATAATTAAATGAGACAGGGTACTTACGCATGTTAAGGATTCTACAAGTATCCTGCATTTCTGCTATCTTCACCTCCTTTGTTTCCGATTCTTCCCTCATTTCTACATCCCCCAAATCTCAGCACCACCACCCCCAGTTTCCCATCCTCCAAATTTTCCAGGCTGTAGCCCACTTGCCTTCTCATGACCCCAACTTTCCAGAGCCATGCCCAAATCCTTCCATCCTTGAGCTAACATATCCGGCTTCAGGAGTGCCAGGAACCTAGCATCACTTTGTCTTATTGAGCCAGCAATCCCAGCCAGGAAAGCATGTCCTTCCGTCTGCAGCCAGGTCCTTGCTTGGCTTCCTCGAGTACCCTGAAGTCCTCCTGCTGTTGTTTCCAACCAAGAAAGTTTTCCATGAGTAAGTCTGAGCAATGCCGAGCTGCTTGCCCGGCTGCCCTGGAGCAGGAGCTATCACTGGGCAGGGGCTGGTGGGGGTGGGCAACAGAAGGGATAGGAAGCCAGATTCACCCAGTCAGTCCCCCAGCATCACCAAAGCAAAGCCCCTCCCTCCTCCAAAGCATGTGGGATAGGTGTAATAGTTACACACATGGTTCTTTGCAGTGGGACAGACTGAGGCCTCCACCTGTTCTGCCACCTTCTATCTACACAATCAGGACATGTTCTCAAAGGTTATTTGCTGCAGCCCAGTCCTCTTCCTATTCTCATATGAATGTCAAAGGGCCCCTGATCCAGCCCCACAACACCCAGGGCCCTTTTCTTACCCCAAGCCTCTCAAGCCTGCTGTTCCACCAGAGCAGCCCAGCCTGCACACTGTCAGCCTGGCCTCTGTCTAGGTACGCCCAGCCAGGCTCAGCGCTGCTGACCACACCACCAAGACTGCAGAGAGGCTGAGCAAACAGCCCTGCTGGGGGCTCTCACACCTCATCACCACTTACCACTTTGAGGGACCAAGGCAGGCCAGGAGACATCCATCTTGAGAAATGCCAGGCCTGGGCCAATCATGTGACAGCTACTTTCCCAGTACTCTCCCTCCCTCTCTCGCTCTTTCCTCTCTCTCCAGAACTTCTTGAGGAGTACAAGGCCCCCAGAACCAAAACCAGGAGGACTGGGTTCTTAGTTCTGGGATGGCCATAACTAGCTATGTCTCTAACTAGACTAGTACGTCTTAGGCAGAGCTCCCTGATCTTTGGCCCACAGTGTCCTTGCCTGTGAAAGGATGTGTTTGGAGCTGCAGTTCTCTGTGGTCCTTTCCAACCTTAACTTATATTATGACTGTTACTCTCCTTGTCAGCTCTTTCGTTCCCTTCCCTAATCTCTCCCCCAGTCATATTCTCATCAACTCATCTATCTTACCCTTTGATCTATGTTCTATTTTCAGCCCTCTTTGCCCCTGGGGGGACCAGAGCTGAGATCCCCAAGGAGTCCACACCTTCCCCAGCTCCGAAGTCTGCTAGAATGCACCCCATCCCCTGATCCCAGGCTCGGGAGGCCTGTACTTGTCCAGGTGCTAGGCCAACCAGGAGACGCCAGCCTTGGCCCTCTCTGGCCCAGGCCTGGCCACAGAGACTCCAGGAAGGTGGGCAGAGCAGGGCTGGGGGGAGGAGATGCCGATGGAGGGAGGCCAGCCCGGCTCCCTCTCCTGACTTGGCTGTGTCCTAGAGACTTCTTGCCCACCTGCTGCTGAGGGCTTTCCTCCCTGTGCCTCCTCCCCAGCCTCCAAGGATTTACCCCTACACAGCAGCACCCAGGGGAGTGACATGTCCCTCTTAGAAACGTCCAAGGGAGTGAACCCCCAGCTCCTTGCCATCTCTCCCAGCTGTAGCCTACTTCCTCAGAATTCTGTTTCTCAAGGCGCAGCCTGCCCAAGGCTCTGCCTTTGGCTAGAGAAGTACCACTTGGCTTACTCAAGGACTGAGGAAATCAAAAAGGAAGCCCCCAAATGGATCCAAGGCTAACGGCCCTGGCCTGGCCTCCATGGTAGCCCCAGCTGGACCATGAGCACTGGGCCCAGCCTCTTGCCCTCCCCTTCTGCCTCAGACCCTCAGCCTTTTCTTCACACTGCACCTGGAAATCTATGGGCGGGGGACAAGCACTGGTCCATAGCATCCCCCTTCCATGCTCTGGAAACATCCACTCTGGAAGCTCAGGTAGACATGGTCCAGGAGCTTCCCATTCCAGCTCCACGTGCCCATACCTCACCTGTTTGCACCACCACACAGAATCCAGGGCCCTCCACAGCACCCATGCAGGCACACACCTGCATGTGGATTCTCAAGCACTCACCTCCATTCATGCCCATGGGGCCCTGGCTCGGGCTCCACCTCCTCCTACCCTGGACCCTGTTCACACGTGGCCAACCATAGGCCTCTTCCACACCCCACCTAGAGCTGACCACATCAACCCTGCCACGGCAATGGCCTGCAGGGAGCTCTGAGCCATCCCTTCAACAGTGCAGCCTGGACCAGAGGAGCTGGCCCCCTCCTTCGGACATGGACTCCCCTGTTAAGGAGCTGATCGGAGTGTCAATCTCAAGTTTAAATCATGGAACTGAAGGACACCCTTTCCCCCAGGAGGCTTTTCTCCACAGGAGGAGAAGAACTTCCACCCCAGAATTCCCTGAGAGGTGGGAGTGGGTCTCAGGCTTGGCTTATCAACCGCTTGCTGCCCCTTGACCTCTGACCTTCCTGTGGGGAGCCTCTCTACCTTGACACCCCATTCCCTGCACTTGGCTCTTCGTCTCACTTCTGGGGCCGGGCAGCCGAGAAGCCAGGGCACCTGGGAAGAAGGCGGCGGAACCAGTATCCAGTACCTTACCCGCGTGGCCTGGGCAGCCCTTTTCTACCTCTGAGCACCCCGCCCCTGCCGGGCGCGGCCCCCACCTGCCCTTTACCTCCGACCTCCAGCACTGTGAGCACCGCCTCGCAGGAGGCCCGGCCCCGCTCGTTCTGGGCCATGCAGCTGTACACGCCGGCGTCCTGCGCCCCGCAGCGCCGCAGCCACAGGCAGCTGGGCTCGGGGGCCGGCGCGGGCAGGAGCTGCCCATCCCGGAACCAGCGGAGGCTGGGCTGGGGCGTCCCGCTCACCACCACCCGCAGCCGCACGTCGCTGCCCGCGCACACCGCCGCGTTCTTCAGGGGCCGCAGGAAGACTGGCGCCCCGGCCACGGCCACAGGAGCCCCGCCGCCGGCCCCCACCTTGGCCCTTTTCGGGGGCACTCCGGGGCTGGGGGGTGCCCTCGTGCCCGCATCCTCGCCTCGCGTGCCCCGGGCTTTCTGCATGGCCACTGAGAGCTGGGCTGGGGGGACGCCGGAACTGGGCGGCCACGGGGGCACCCGCGGGACGGTGCCCTAGGAGACAAGTCTGGGGGGCCGGCGGCCTGCCTTCCTGCTGCCCGCCCGCCTTCGGCCTGTGCTACCCAGAAGGTCACCGGGGCGGCCGGCGATTGCGCCTGGGGGCTATTTTTAGGCCCCCCGGCTCGGGTTGCGAGGGAGCCGTGGAGGGAGGGGGCAGCAGGGGAGGGACTTGACTCCACTTGGCTCCTTCTCTCCCTCCAGGAGCCCCCATCGCCGGCCCGGCTTAAGGGAGTCCCTCGGTATTTGTTCCAGGCTTTCCCCTCCGTAGTGTGCCTGGCCCCCACACGACCCACTGCAGGGAGTCAGGTTACCCCTGGGCTCAATCCCATTTCCCTTCCTCCCTCATCTCAGACCCCTCATCCCTGCCCGGCTTCGCTGGGAGGGGAAGAAGAGGAACGGTCCTGGTGAGATGCCTGAGAGGTGGATGGGGAGGCAGGCCCAAGTGGAGGTGAGCAGACAGCTCCGAAGAGGGACCATGGCCTCCCCCAGCGCCTCCATTACAGCTGGCGAACAGTAAGACCAGGAGCCTGGGAGTCAGGTGGATTGGGGCCTCCACTGCGCCCTGCCCTTACTTGCTGGGTGACACCAAACCTCTCTCAACCTCCAAGTCCTCATCTGTAAGAATGGGTGGTGGAATAGGGTTGCAATAGGCAGAAAAGAGTGGGCAGGACATTCCAGGCAGAGGGAACGGCATGAACAAAATGAGCCTGATGAAAACAAAGGCGTCCTGGGAATTAGAGAGGTTTGGAGGGATTGAAGCGTAGTGGGTGGGGTGAGTGGAAGAAGGGAGGTGGGGCCTGGAGAAGGCTTTGTTTGCTAAGGCTTTGGTTTCTCTACCCTGAAAGCAGGGGGCGCCACTACACAGCTTTAAGCGGCAGAAAAAACACGGTGGGAGCTGTGTCTTAGGAGGATCCTCTTGGCGGCCACAAAGTGGAGGATGGATAGAAATGACGGCCAGTTCAAGTAAAGGCCAGATTCCCAGCCTCCTTGCCCCACACTGGTTCAGCAGCTGAGCTGGGAGGAATCTGCACATTTAACAAATGACTCAACTGATTCTGATGTGCCTAAGTGTTGCACGTTGAGAAACATCAAGAGTCCAGATGAGACCTTTGTGATAGAACAGTTCTGTATCTTGGCTGGGCGCGGTGGCTAACACCTGTAATTCCAGCACTTTGGGAGGCCGAGGTGGGTGGATCACTTGAACTCAGGAATTCAACACCAGCCTGGCCAACATGGTGAAACCTGTCTCTACTAAAAATACAAAAAATTAGCCAGGTGTAGTGGCTCATGCCTGTAGTCCCAGCTACTCAGGAGGCTGAGGCAGGAGAATCGCTTGAACCTGGGAGGTGGAGGTTGCAGTGAGCCTAGATGGCACCACTGCACTGCAGCCTGGGCAACAGAGTGAGACTCTGTCTCAAAAAACAAAACAAAACAAAAACAGAACAGTTCTGTATCTTGACAGTGGTAATGGTGGTGGTTATGTGGATCTACACAAGTGATAAAGTTGCATAGAACTAAATGTGCATTTGCACTTGTACGCAACACTAACAGTACATGTAACACTGGTAAAACTTGCAGAAGGTAGGTGGATTATACCAATGCCCCTTTCCTGGTTGTGATGCTGTACTATAGTCATACAAGATGTTACCCTAGGAGGAAACCAAGTGAAGGTAATTCAGGATCTCTCTGCATTATTTCTTATAATTGCCTGTGAATCTACAGTTATCATAAAGTAAAAAATTTTTTAAGAAGTCCAAGTAGGAGACCCAGGCCTGACCTTGAGCCCTGAGGGATGAAACCCAGGAAGGGCTGAGAGGAGCCATGAGTATTCAGAGGCAGAGAATGTTACTCTTACCCTTGCCTCCTCTTCCCCATCCTCATTCTGGGATACTGAAGTCAAAGAGAAAGAGAGAGAGCGCGAGAGACAGTGTGTAAAAGGTATAGGAGGAACCATTTAAACACTGAATTACATCCATAGAGGTTAAGAACCTTGAGGAATAATTTTTTTTACAGTTTGCATACATTAAAGTTTTTTTTTTTTTTGAGACGGAGTTTCACTCTTGTTGCCCAGGCCGGAGTGCAATGGTGTGATCTCGGCTCACCACAACCTCCTCCTCCCGGGTTCGAGCAATTCTCCTGCCTCAGCCTCCCGAGTAGCTGGGATTACAGGCATGCACCACCACACCCAGCTAATTTTGTATTTTTAGTAGAGACGGGGTTTCTCCATTTTGGTCGGGCTGGTCTCGAACTCCCGACCTCAGGTGATCTGCCTGCCTCAGCCTCCTAAAGCACTGGGATTACAGGTGTGAGCCACCGTGCCTGGCCTAAAGTTTATTTTTTTATGAGGTGCAGTTCTCTGGGTTTTGACAAATGCATAGAATCATGTATCTGCCACTCCAGGACCATACAGAGCAAACAATTCCATCACCCCAAATACTAGCTCATGTACCCCCTTCGGAGTCATAGACTCTACCATAGACCCCCTCCACCAACCTCTGGCAACCACTGATGATGAATCGAATTCTAAAGTGTAAATTGAATTCTAGAAGGTGACAATATGGGGGAAGTCATTGCAAACAGATGGTACATCAAGAAAAAAGGAATAGAGAGTATTTCGAAAAACAAATAACCCAAAGCCACCCAACACTGTGCCTCTAAATGTGTGTGGAATGCAGTGGGTAGACTGTAAATGTTGGCTGGTTAGTAAGTTGGTTGAATAAATGAACGATGCGATCTCAAGCAAGTTACCTAGCATCTCTAAGCCTCGGTTTCCTCATCTATAGAATGGAGGTAGCACAACTCAGGGTTTTAATTATTTATTCATCCATAATTTTTTTATTTATTCATCCACAAATATTTTTGAGTTTCTACTATGTACTGGCACTGTGCTAGGGACTAGGGATATAGCAGTGAACAGACAAAGATTTCTGCTCCCATGCTGCTTTTACTTGAGAAGAGAGATGAACAACAAATACAAAGAAATAGGCTGCGCACGGTGGCTCACGCCTGTAATCCCAGCACTTTGGGAGGCTGAGGCAGGAGGATCACCTGAGGTCAGAAGTTCAAGACCAGCCTGGCCAACATGGTGAAACCTCATCTCTACTAAAAATACAAAAATTAGCCAGGCCTGGTGGCACACACCTGTAATCTCAGCTACTTGGGAGGCTAAAGCAGGAGAATTGCTTGAACCCGGGTGGCAGAGGTTGCAGTGAGCCGAGATGGCACCACTGCACTCCAACCTGGGCAACAGAGTGAGACTCCATCTCAATAAGAAAGAAAGATAAGAAAGAGAAAGGAAGGAAGGAAGGAAGGAAGGAAGGAAGGAAGGAAGGAAGGAAGGAAGGAAGGAAGGAAAAGAAAGAACCTGTAAAGATTGTTACAAGGAGGTAAGCACTGTGGACAAAGCTTAAGGCAAATGTGAGTGTGGTGGGAGATTGCACTTTCAAATAGGGTGTGGCTGGAGTTGGCCCCACTGGGAACATTTGAGCCAATCTTGAGTAAGAAAGCAAATGATGCAAATGTCTGGGGAGGGCTGCTTCTGGCAGAGGTGGGAATATGCCTGGTGGGCTCCAAGACGAAGGCCAGAGAGGATGGAGGGAGCAAGGGGAGAGTGGAAGGAAATGGGTCAGACAGGCAGCAGAAGCCAGATGGCCTAGAATTTTGCAGGCCATGGCGCTTTTGTTCCTGGTGAAATGAGAAGTCATCTTAGGGCTTTGAGCAGAAGAATTACATGATCTGACTTACGTTGTAGTAATGACATTAAATTATTATATTAAATATTCAAATGAAGATTAACTATTTAAAAGGGCCTGGCACAGAGCCTGGAACATGACTTGCCTTCTGCCTTCCTAGATCCATAATTGGGGCATTCGTTGATTTGCGTGCAGGAGTCTGTGGGCCTGGGTAGGGAGGGCACAAGTCCATGCAAGTCACTGGTGCCCTCTTCTGGGAGGAGCCCACACTAGCTGTGACAGCTGGAAGCCGTCAGGCTCTGGCCAGGCCAGGCCAGGCACTTGGGACAGCTGGCTGCAAGTCACTCGTCTGTCCCTCAGCATGGGCCCCACAGTGCCCTGCAGCCTGGCGCCTAGCTGGGTGTGTGTGCTGCCAGTCTGCCCTGTCTTGCGATCACAAGCCTCTGGTGTCATGGAAAGAGATCTGAGCTCCAGAGGCCAGGGAGCCTGGAGCCCAGTCCTCCTTTGCTACAGACTGCTGTGTGACCTTTGCAGGTCACCCTACCTCTCTGGAGGTGCCACTGGGCACTTCTTAAGCCATAATGATGTACCACATGCCTGGCACATGGGAAAAATCTCAGTAAGTGTTCATTGAATCAGTGAATAAAGTGGGGGCCATCAGCCCTTCCTGGTGAATATTTAATTTAGAGAAAAGTAAGTAAAAGTGCGCAGTAGGTATTCATTCATTAAGTATTTAAATATTTAATGAGTACCTACTATTCTTCCAGGCATTCTTCTGGGCACTTGGGATACAATAGTGAATAAAATGGATTAAAATTCTACCCTTAGGTAGCTGACGTTTTAGGTGTTAAATCGAAGGTTATTGAAGCATTTGCAGATGTGCCTTGGGTGAGCTTGTGGTGAGAGGAAGGAGGGAGGGGGTGAATGAGTAGAATAGGACAGGGGCCTCAAGGGACGGGGGTGAAAATATACCTGGAGTGGACAGACAGGCAGGAAAATGTCTGCTGATCCATCAGTCCTGGCATATGGTGCCTGCCTCCATGATCCCTTCCATTACACCCTGTCTGCTGGGGTCAGAGCTGGTCTGGGCCTGATCCTTTGGGTCCGGTGGGAAGCCGATCAGCATTCTATGAGCCCTGTTACTTCTTGATGTTCAGAGTCTTGAAGGTTAAGACCCCAGAGCCCAAGGAGCAGGAAGAGGCTTTGCCGTGGAGGTGTTTTTTTTTTTTTTTTTTTTGAGACAGAGTCTCCCTCTGTTGCCCAGGCTGGAGTGCAGTGGCGCGATCTCGGCTCACTGCAAGCTCCGCCTCCCGGGTTCATGCCATTCTCCTGCCTCAGCCTCCTGAGTAGCTGGGACTACAGGCACCCACCACCACGCCCGGCTAATTTTTTTTTTTTTTTTTTTTTGTATTTTCAGTAGAGAGGGGTTTCACTGTGTTAGCCAGGCTGGTCTTGAACTCCTGACCTTGTGATCCACACGCCTCAGCCTCCCAAAGTGCTGGGATTACAGGTGTGAGCCACCGTGCCCCGCCCCTGTTGTTGGGTTTTTGTTTTGTTTTGTAGAGATCGGGTCTTGCAGTTTCCCAGGCTGGTCTCAAACTCCTGGGCTCAAGTGATCCTCCCACCTTGGCCTCCCAAAGTGCTGGGATTATAGATGTGAGCCACTGCAGCCGGTGGAAACCCAAATCTGTTTTGGTTTGTATTTGCCCATTCTCTGGGTTCCCTTGGTCACAGCTCAGCTCTTATGAAGAGAGGCAAAGATTAGAACCAGAATTTCTAGTTCCAGGCAGGCTGTGCTCAAAGAATCCTTCCCCACCTGGGGGATAGAGGGTGGCTCTGGGCCTTCTTTCTTCTCTGGGGACAAGTGGGTAGCAGTCACAGGAGACAGGTGTGCTGAGAAGGAAGAGCTTTATTTCAGAACTGTCCCCAGCTGGAAGGGGCCACCAAAGAAGCGGTGAGTTCTCGGGCTCTGGAGACATTCAGGCAGAGTTTGAGGAATGCTCATGAAGGATGTGGGGCAGGGCTGAGAAGGGGGTTTCTGCACCTCAAGGATCATTGCCTGGGAGCCTTCTGAGGTCTGACTCTGAGAGCCTGAGATTCCTACATTCCTTCCACCTTAGTGACTAGTCTATACCTAAGCATTTGGTGGGCTGGGGGGTGGGAGGGGAACTGCCTCCAAAACCTCCCCTAACCCATGTGTCCCTTTATCCTTTGTGGGACAGATAAGTGCACATAACTCATTCAGGGGAAAGAAGGATTCCAGAAACTACTCACAGATATACACACCCCCTCTAATCCACCTGAGCCCAGCCCTGTCCAGGTGTTTCCAACACAGAGAAGCTGGCTCAGACTCCAGGGCCCCCAACAGACTCAAGGATAAGAAGCCCCTTACCCATCCCTCCTCCTCCATCCCAGTACAAAGACATTGGAAATGGGACTTTCAATTTCATTTCCTGTGAGGGTCATTGTGGAGTTTCTCTACAGGTTGACTGGGGTAGTTCTGGGGCCTGTAGGGTTCACCCTATTTGAGGACTGAGGGGAATGAAATGACCATGAGTCACCAGTGGCAGAGGGAGGGGACATGGGGCTACACCCCAGGTCCTCCTGGGGCAAAGCTGAAGAATAAAACAGAGAAGGGGACTTCTTAGAGAGAGGGGTGACTTGTGAGCCAGGGCCACATTAAAGGAGGGGAAGAAAGAGACACCAGAGAGGCTTTTGGAAGTTTCTGGAAAAGTCAGTTTGGAAGGTCAGATTAAGGACCTTAAGACTAAAACCTCCTGAGGTTTATTTAACATACAAACTGTCTGAGCTTATTATCTTTGTGATCTCTACCCTCTTCCTGACTCCTTTAAAGGATAATCCCTGAAATCTCAGAGGAGAAACTTGAAGGCTGAGGCCTACATGGATCCATCGTTTCCTACATCTTTGATCCACTGGAATATTTTTAGAAGGAGTAAAAGAGAGACAGCCTTCACTCTGCCCCCTACCCCACCTCTTAGCTATCAAAGTGCTCCAAACCCTATACTGAATCATTAAGTTTTCCCCACAAATTCAAAATGCCTCCTTTAACATGTGTATGTCTCCTGTATGTGAGTCTTGTTCTAAACACACTATTTTGTTCATTAATATTTGTATATTTCCTCTTCATTAACAAATCTGTTAATTATCATAGCCTTCTAATATATTTTGATGTTCTTTCTATGATTTCCTAATTTTTTTCCTTTTTCTTTTTTTGAGACAGAGTCTCACTCTGTCACCCAGGCTGGAGTTAGTGGTACAATCTCAGCTCACTGAAGCCTCGACCTCCTGGGCTCAAGCTATCCTCCCACCACAGCCTCCCAAGTAGCTGGAACTACAGGCTCATACCACCATGCCAGGCTAATTTTTTATTTTTTGTAGAGTCAGGGTCTCGTTACATTGCCCAAGCTGGTCTCAAACTCCTGGGCTCAAGAGATCCTCCCACCTCAGCCTCCAAAAGTGCTGGGATTACAGGTGGAGTCACTGTGCCCAGCCTCCTAATTTTTTTCATACGTCTTACACTCCCCTCCCATCTTCTCCAATTCTCTTAAAATTTTTATTTGGTATTTTAATTGAGATTGCATGGCATTGAAATTATAGATGAATGGAAAATGAATTGACTTCTCTTCAGAGTATTGAACCTTCTTATCGAAGCACAGAACAGATCTTTCCATTTTTCCAAACATTATTTTTCCTGAATTGGCTCCTGTGTATAAAAATAGTATTGGAAGGAGTTAATAGAAAGAGGCCATTGGCTCACATCTGTAATCCCAACACTTTGGGAGGCTGAGGTAGCAGGAGGAGCAATTGAGCCCAGAAATTCAAGACCAGCCTCAGCAACACAGAAAGACCTTGTCTCTACAAAAAATAAAAAGCTAGCCAGGCATGGTGGTGTGAACCTGTGGTCCCAGCTACTTGGGAGGCTGAGGTGGGAGGATCGCTTGAGCTCAGGAAGTCCAGGCTGCAGTAAGCCGTGATCACACTGCTGCACTCCAGCCTGGGTGACACAGCAAGACTCCATCTCAAAAAGAAAAAAAGAGAGAGAGAAAAAAAAGGGGCTGTTGGCATCTTTGAAGAAGGGACTGGGGGAGCCCTACTTCAGAGCCAGTCAGTGGGGAGCAGCTACATCCTTCAAAAGGAATAGCAGGTGGTGTCCCCCAGCCTGGCTGACCTGAAGGTGTAGTAGAGAGCACAAGGGGTGCAGTCCTGGAACTGGGGCCTAACGAGAGGTATTTGTGGTTCCCCAACAAAAGCCCTGTCCAGCCCTCCCTGCCCCATACACTGCATACAGACATCAAGGCCAGGTGGCTCTGGGAACAGAAGTGGGCGCGAGGCCCTGGGGAAAGTCTGGCTGGGTAGAAGGTCAGTATAGTCCATCTCAGGGTGACAGGTTGTATCACAGGGCCCCAGGGGCCCCACAGGAGACCTGGCAGTCAAGACAACAGGGGCCAGCTTGGCTTGTGTGTGAATCTCTTTATTGTTTCTCTCCAGAGCCCCTGCAGCAGGGGAGGGGAGGGCGTGGGGAGGTGGGCGCCCCTCCCACCAGCCTGAGACCGCTCTCTGCCTCTCTCCTCTCCTCTCTTCTCCAGCATCTCACCCACTTTCTCTCCTTCTCAATCTCCTGCTCCCACCTCCAGCACCTTCGGGGATTCCCTCTTGTAGCCCCTGCTTTCTAAGTCCACCCTGGGCTGGGGAAAGGAAAGTAAGAGACCACGGGGACAATTTCAAGCCCCCCAGTCTCCACAGGGGCTAGTCCCCCTGGCTACCTGCCTGGCTTTCTCTCTCCTGGGCTAGGGGCTGGGGAGGTCTGCGGGGCTCAGTCCTGGCCCTGCAGTATCCCAACACCCTGCTCTGGGGCTGTCTCCAGAGCCAAAGGCTAGTGCCTGAGGTCACAGAGGTGGGAGGGACAGGGCCACCGCTCCCGCCTGGGCTCCATCCAGCACAAGAGCCAGGCTCACTCACTGCCAACAGCCAAGGCTCACAGCTGGGGTCCGCAGAGGTGGCCGGGGCATGCCCTGTGACCAGGCAGGGATGGGCTATGTCGCTGTTGGGGACCACGAGGGATGGCCAGTGAGGAGGGGTCAGAGGCTGTGAGGGGAGGACTGAGGCTGGGTGTGGTGTCCTGGGATGGAAGAAGGCTGGCTTCAGGGAGCAGTGAGGACAGGGGTGAGGACGGTCTCTGGTGGCAGAGGGTCTCTGTCTTTAGAGCACTTCATGCTGCTGCTGTGTGGCCTCACTGACGACCTGGGGAGGAAGAGAAGCCCAGTCCAACCATGTGCTAGCCAGAGAATGGAGCCTCAGCCCTGAGCCATCCCCACCCCAGGGCCGCAGGATCTCTCTTGCCCCACTAGCCAGGGACCTAGACCAGCACAGCTGGGTGGAAGACAGTCCCCCCAGACACATCCATAGCCCCCACCAAGGGTAAGGAGCCCAGACAGACCACTTACCTCCCCATCCCGTGTCTCGATGGTCTTGATCATCACCGTCTTCTTGGTATGGACCTCAGAACCCCTTTGCTCAGGGCTGGTTTCTGTAACAGGGTCCATCGCACACTCAGCCTGACCAAGTCCAGGCTGGGCTATACCAGGGGCTGGGAGTCCATCTGGGGCCACATTGGGCAGAGCCCTAGCAGACCCCAACCCCCCTCAAGACAGGCTTGTTACTTCTTCAAGACTTTAACACCTTTCCTTCAGCCCAGCACCCAGCAGGTGGTTCTGCAGTCCCCAGCGCCTGTCCCATAGTTTAGATGGTCTCAGGAGCCAACAGATTTGCTCCATGTGCAGGATGGTGCAGGAGGGTAGGGGACACCTGAGGCCCAGGCTGCACAGCACTGACATTCCCCATCCCTCCTAGTTCCTCTCCACCCCCAGGCCCCAGGAGAGCCCTGCACACATTTGTCTCCTGGGACTCCCCTTCTTCAAGATAGAACCCCAAAGCCCAGTCTCAAGACACTCTTTAGAGGACCTTACAGTACCTATCTCCCTTTAAGATTTCAGGGCCAGGTGCGGTGGCTCACATCTGTAATCCCAGTAGTTTGGGAGACCGAGGCAGGTGGATCATGAGGCCAGGAGTTCCAGACCACCCTGACCAACATGGTGAAACCCCGTCTCTACTAAAAATACAAAAATTAGGGGGGCGTGGTGGCACATGCCTGTAATCCCAGCTACTCAGGAGGCTGAGGCAGGAGAATTGCTTGAACCTGGGAGGCGGAGGTTGCGGTGAGCCGAGATTGCACCACTGCACTCCAGCCTGGGCGACAGAGCGAGACTCCGTTTCAAAAGAAAAAAAAAATTCAGATGAGCAACTTGATGTCTTAAAGTGAGACAGAGCAGGAATAAGGCACTGACTCATTGTGCTGATGCTCAGTCACTTGCCATTCTGTGCCTCAGTTTCCTCACTGAGGACACGGAGTGAAGTGGTACCAACCTTATCATGGCCACAAAGCTATTGATTTGGAAAAGCACTGTGCAATGTGGGTGGAGTTTTTTGTACTATGAAGTTTTAAATGCAAGACTCATACTTGGTGTCTGTATAAACAACTAACTGAAAAGAGAGGCTCTGAGTTGTGTAGGAAAGGTCAAATGGAGGTCCTTGGTATTATGAGTTTGGTGCTTACGAATTTCCTTAGCTAGCAACCAGCCTGTGATGAATGTTGTGACTCGCTGGAGCGCAGCGTGTTTTTTTTCCTGATGGAAATGTACATCGAAGATAGAAAAGGTTTGATCTAGGAAAGGAGAAGCTGCCAAGGACTCCGACTTGCTTTCCTAATGCATCATTATCGTGTGTTTCTCTGCTCTCTGGGGTTGGAAAGCCACCCGATCTGCGTATTACTAATGTCAAAATGGCAGAGTGCCCTAAGAGCTCGTTCTTTTCATTGTTTGGCTTTGCTAAGATTTGGCATTTTTTTCCAAACGTGCATCCAACATCTTGCTCCAGCAAACTGGAGGTGTTCGACAAGCAGCCAAGGTGGGGCTTGGCAATGTGCCAAACAGACAATGGGCTGTGGGTGTCTTAGAGGGCAGGTGGTATGAGATGCTCCTGAAGCCAGGTCCCCAAGGACACTCCTGCTTTCAGAGTTTGGGATTCAGAACAGAGGCTGCTTCCTGAGGCCCAATACTCCAAGAAGGTGCAGGGGACATGGTAAATACAATACAATATAATCACATAAAAAGCTCTCTCTGTCATAAGTTGCCTCATCCACCTCTACCTAAACTCCCCCACCTACCCGCAGTGGTCCCCTTTTTCTTCCCCAGACTCCAGGTCTGTCCCTAGCCCCAGGGTCCCATCCTCCCTCCTGGCTGGCCTTGGGCAGTGCCCATGCTGGACTCCTGGCCCCTGCAACTCCAGCCTCCGCCTGCCAGCAGACACTCACCTCGGAAGTTGAGGGCAGAGTAGGTCTGGATGGGGAGATTGATCCTAAAAGGGAAGAGACAAAACCTCCTAAGAGTTAAGAACCCTCCCATCGGCCGGGCCCAGCTGTAATCCCAGCACTTTGAAAGGCCGAGGCGGGCGGATCACCAGGTCAGGAGATCGAGACCATCCTGGCTAACACAGTGAAACCCCGTCTCTACTAAAAATACAAAAAATTAGCCGGGCATGGTGGCGGGCACCTGTAGTTCCAGATACTCAGGAGGGTGAGGCAGGAGAATGGTGCGAACCCAGGAGGTGGAGCTTGCAGTGAGCGGAGATTGCACCACTGCACTCCAGCCTGGGGGACAGAACAAGACCCTGTCTCAAAAAAAAAAAAAAAAGAACCCTCCCATCTTTCCCTGAGACCGCCCATCAAGGCTCACCCTGGTCCTTTCTAAACACCATCCTCAGCTGTCCCAGTCCCACGGACCCCAGCACTCCCACCACCCATACTGCTCAAGGAATGGGGTCGAAGGCCAGCTAGAGCTGTCCCAGGAATAGTCTCTTCTGGAAGGATCATTATTTCAACTGTGAACTGCTGGCACGACACTAGGATGTGCAACCCCACCGCGCCCTCCAGAGCACCAGGATTTCCTTCTTGCTCCTGGCACTGAAGTTGGTACTAGTAGCAGCTGTGGGTGATATCCATTGCTCATGCCCACCCTCCAGCCAGGCCAGTTCTGAGAGCTTACTATTTAGGCCTAATGCTGGGAAAATGCAACATGCCTTTAGCTACCTTCAAAGGCCATCATATGTAGACGTGATTTTACAAAATCTGAAGTTTCTCTTTATGTTTGTACCTGTATCTAAACATGTCTGCTCCTTTTTAAAAATTTCAGATATTATTTTTATGAGTATCAAGGGGTACCAGTTTTTGGAGTAACTGATCTGTTTTAAATTGAGGTTAAATTTACATACAGTGAAATGCACAGATCTTTAATGTACAATTCAATGAGTTTTGATCAATGTCCACGTCTGTGTAACTACCAGTCCAAATCAAGATATAGAACATTTCTAGGCCAGGCACAGTGGCTCATGCCTATAATCCCAGCACTTTGGGAGGCTGAGGCAGGCGAATTACTTGAGGTCAGGAGTTAGAGTCCAGCCTGACCAACATGGTGAAACCTCATCTCTACTAAAAATACAAAAAATCAGCTGAGTGTGTTGGCACACGCCTGTAATCCCAGCTACTAGGGAGGCTGAGACAGGAGAACCGCTTGAGCCTGGGAGGCAGAGGTTGCAGTGAGCTGAGATCACACCACTGCACTCCAGCCTGGGTGACAGAGCAAGACTCTGTCTCAAAAAAAAAAAAAAAAAAAGATATAGAACATTTCTGTTATCCCACAAGGTTCCCTGGTGTCCCTTTCCAGTTGTATGTTGTTTTCTGTGTCTAGAGGTGGGTTGCTCTGAGCATGACGTCTGTGTCTTTTCCTCCGAACATGTGCATATGCTGACATGTGTGCATGTGTGTGCAAACTCATGCCTTCTGTATGCATCTCTTTACCTTCTCTTAGCCTATCCCTGTGCAAGGCTTCTCTCCCTCCCTCTCTCTATTTGCCTCTATCTGCTCCCTCCGTTTCCCTCCTCATCACTCCCCATTCTGCTTTCATCTCTCCCTTGACTGGCAGTAATATTTTATTATTGGTTGCTGAATATGGTTTTTTTTGCTGCTGGTTCTTAATTCTGAAGGTGGATAAGGGAATACTTATATTTCTCTTTTTATAAATGCTGTTAATTAAATTGCTTTTTACCCAGGTGGCCTTGGTTAATTCTCTGCAATTAATAGAGCAGTGGCCTCTTGTATAAAATTGTTTCCACGCCGGGTGCGGTGGCTCACGCCTGTAATCCCAGTACTTTGGGAGGCTGAGGTAGGCAGATCACCTGAGGTCAGGAGTTCGAGACCAGCTGCCCAACATAGTGAAACCCCGTCTCTACTAAAAATACAAAAATTAGCCAGGCGTGGTGGTAGGCGCCTGTAATCCCAGCTGCTCGGGAAGCTGAGGCAGGAGAATTGCTTGAACCCAGGAGGCGGAGGTTGCAGTGAGCCAAGATGGTGCCATTGCACTCCAGACTGGGCGACAAGAGCGAAACTCCATCTCAAAAAAAAAAAAAATTGTTTCCAGGTCTTGTTGAGGTAATCAGTAATCTCGAGCCTCCTGGGGACAGAAATGGACCACCCAGCACCCCGCACCTCCCACTCGGGCTCCTGCCTGGCCCCTCACCGGCTCTCCTCTCCCTCCAGCAGCTTCCGGTAGGTGGCAATCTCCACATCCAGGGCCATCTTCACGTTGAGCAGGTCCTGGTACTCGCGCAGATGGCGGGCCATCTCATCCTTGAGGTGCCGGATTTCCTCCTCCAGGCGCGCAATGTTGTCCTGGTAGCCACTGGCCTCACTGGCAAATCGGTCCTCCAATTCCCGCATCTGCCTCATCAGGGAATCGTTCTGCAGGAGAGGGGGAACCCAGGTCAAGGAAGGGAAGAGGACACTAGCAGCCCAAAGAAAGCTTTGGGGCTGGCAGGCAACTCCAGATGGTCAGGTCCAGGCCATGTTGAACCCTGAACTCAAATTAAGTCTATATGTGAACACTCAGAATAAAATAGATACAAAGGAACATTGCATTCAGCCTCACAGTCCCCACATAGGTAGATGCCCAGGAACCCCTGATTCCTTAGCATCCAACTGGAATCCACTTGTCTGGTTTTACCCCTATTGTAGATTTAAGTAGATGAAGGCCCAGAGAGGATCTATGATGGGCCCAAGGTCACAAAGTGAGGGTGTGAACTGCAGACAGGAAGGGGCAGGGCCTGGCCAGGTGGGCAGGGACTCACAGTGCCCTTCAGGGCGTCAATCTCGCAGGTGTAGGACTGGATCTGGTGTCGGTATTCCATCATCTCCTGCTTGGCCTGGCGCAGGGCGTCGTTGTTCTTGTTGGCTGCCTGGGTCAGGTCTGACACCTAAGGGCAGAGAAAGGGGCCCAAAAATGAGAAGGATGCAGGGCACGGGTAGGGATGAGCAAGGGAGCATGAAGCCTCTGGGCTCTCCTCCCATGGATGGTACCACAGGCAGCACATCCAAGCTGGGATTCAGGGGGACGGAGATGCCAGTCCCCGGGCGAGGCCACCCACCTTCGACTTGTACCACTCCTCAGCTTCAGAAATGTTCTTAGCCGCGATGGTCTCATACTGAGCCCGGATGTCCCTGAGGGCGGCAGTGAGGTCTGGCTTAGACATGTCCATCTCCACCTGGACCTGCTGTTCCTGAAGCTGAGCCTGCAACTCACGGATCTCCTGTAGGGCATGACTGGGCTTCAGTCCCCTCTCAGGGCCCACACAGCACCCTCACACCCCTATTCCCAGCCAGAGCCTCACCCCAACCCCACTTTCCGGCTGCTTTCCCCATGGCCCAGTGACCCCAGGAAGAGGGGCCAAGGTATACCTCTTCATGCACTTTCTTAAGGAACGCGATCTCCTCGTTGAGAGATTCAATTCTGCGCTCCAGGTCAATGCGAGCTAGAGTAGCTGCATCCACGTCCTGGGAGAGGCCAAGCGAGAAGGACATGGTCACCGCCACCCAGGTGGGGCAGAGCAAGGCCAGAGGCCATGCAAGGGGAAAAGAAGGGCACTCACCGCTCGGAAGGCAGCCAAATTGTTCTCTGCTTCTTCCTTCAACTGAATCTCCTCCTGCAGCCTGGGTGGGACAGACAGAAAGACAGACAGTTGCGGGTGATAAAGCTGGCAGTGGAAACGACTGGCCGGGGGCTGACCAGGGGGTGGGTCCAGGACAGAGCGGGAGGGCCTGGCTGCTGGGTAGAGGCAGGAGAGACAGGGAGTGGAGAGGCCCCACCCACCCAGGGAGGGCACAGGAAGTGGCCCAATCTCTGCCCAGGAGCCACACCCTTGAAGTCTATGTCCCCACCAGACTGTGTGACCTCCCTGGGGTTAGAAACTGTGTCTATTTTATCCACCTCTGTGTTTCTGGTTCCCAGCTCCAGCCTGGCCAATATAGCTGCTCAATTAATATTTATGACTTTGGTGGCAGGAGGGTGACTGTGCTCACTTGGCCTGTCAGAAGTGGGACCAACAAATATGCTACACTTGCTGCCCTTTTCGTTCTTGGAGCCTGGTGAAGTCTACAGTCAGGTCCTCCCAAGCTCTCTGAGAGCTGTGACCCCCACCTACTCCCTTTTTCTCCAGCCTGTCCATTCACCTTGTAAAAAGACACAGTCTCGGCAAGGCCCCAGGGCCAAGCTCCCCCCTCCCCCCACCTCCCCCAGGGCCTCATCACAGCTGAGCTGAGAGCTGTTGCTTGGACTCTGGGCCCTTGCCCTGCTTTCCCTGTCTCCTATCAGCCTCCCTTCTCCCTCTGGCTACACTGCCCTCTGGGCCTCCTGCAGCCCTTCCTCTGCCCATCAACTACCTGACCCCATAAATATCGCCCCAGCATCTTAAAATGCTTTTTAACGGGGCTGTCCACAGGGCACCGGGTCCCCTAAATTCTCCCATATCCACCCCCTGATCTATGTCCCCAAGAAAACTCCTGTGCAAGATGGGATCGCAGGGGGAGAGACCTGGAGGTCACGGCCCCTTGAAACACACAGGTGGAGGACCCTTTCTCCACATGGGGCAGGAGAGGGTCCCGGGCCCCGGGAGAAGGCAGGTGCTGACAGCGGGACCCCAGACCCCAGGCCTAGCCTCCTGTGCCCTGCCCGCAGAAAGAGGAGTCTGGGGTGCCGGGCCCTCACTTGGCCTTGAGCCGCTGCAGGTCGTCGAGCAGGTTGTCGCGCTCGACGTCGACGCGCGCGCGCTGGTTAGTGAGCACCTCCACCTGGCGCCGCAGCTCCCGCAGCTCCTCCTCGTAGAGCTCGGCCACTCGCGTCGGCTCGCGGCCCTTGAGCCGGTTCACTTCGGCGGCGAGCGCCGCGTTCTGCTGCTCCAGGAAGCGCACCTTCTCGATGTAGTTGGCGAAGCGGTCATTGAGCTCCTGCAGCTCCACCTTCTCGTTGGTGCGCGTGGTCAGAAACTCCTGGTTCACCGCGTCGGCCAGTGAGAAGTCCAGCAGCTCGCCTGCGCCGTAGGAGGAGGGCGTGCGGGTGGTCCCCAGCCGGCTGGCCCGCAGCGACCCCAGGCCCCCGGCCCCGCCCGACGTGCGCGACACCTGGTACACGCGGGACGTCACCGAGCTGGAGGAGCCCTTAGAGCCGAAACCCGCCCGCGGGAACACGGGCGAACTCAGCGGGGAGCCGAGTGGGAAGCCCGGGGCCCCGCCGAAGGTGCGGCGGTAGGAGGACACGCGCTGGCTGGACGAGTAGGCCTGGCTCATGGTGACGGCGCGGGCGAGGCTGGCGGGCGCACGGAGGAGGCGGCGGGCAGGCGGCCGGCCGGAGAGTGGATGCGGCGAGGGGAGACAGGGCCCCCAGCCGTCGGCACTATTTGTATCCCTCCTGACATCAGCCCCCGCCTCCCCTCCCCTGACAGCTGCAAGATCCCGCTGTCCTGCCAGGAAAGGGCGGCCCGTGGCCGTGGGGGCGGGGAGGCCAGCTCCCCCGCAAGAGGCCTGCGCCCCTGAGTCAGCCAGCGGGGGTCCTGTGACGGGCAAGCCTGCCAATCCTTCGCCAGGGCAGGCAGCAAGCATGTCTGCAGCCCCCAGGCGGGCCTCTTTCAGCCCTGGTTATCTCCTCGTCCTGGGGTGGGGGGGAGTGGGGTCAGGGGAGACAGCAGAAGAGAGGCTTCCCTTTAGTTTGAGGGTCCCCTTTTTGGTCAAGGAGAGACTTTGGGTCATTTCTTAAAGGGTCAAGGCCTGTTCCCAGGAAAGGCCCTAAACCACCTTGTTCCTAAATATTCTCTTGAAGTCGAAGAGGTTTGGGTCTCAGGCAAAGACCAGCCAGGCTTGAGGGTGGGGGTCTCTAGGCAGGAAGGGAGGGCAGGGAGACGCCTGGCAGGCGGAGGGATCCTGGCCAAAGCCTGCCTGCCATGTATGTCTATGGGCGAGCTAGCCCTGAGCCTCAGTTTCCCTCTGGACTAGTGCAGGCCCTCTTCCTCCCCGGTACTGTCGAGGGTGGGGCCTCAAGTTTATAAACAGTGGGCTGATTTCCAGAAAGGGTCTGATAAGCTTTCAGTTTCCAATTGCTATGTGCGCTCCCACCCCCGCACAGACTTTGTGTGGCTCCTGCCCCCTGGGTCCCCCGCCCCCTCCCTGATTCATCCCCCTACTCACACCACCCACGCCCACACACACCAGGGGTTTGTGTTTTGTCAGGAGCCGCATGTCAACCCAACCATCTCCCTGGCAGCAACAGCTGCCAACCCCAAATACCAGAGCGGGTATTTATAGAGGAGAACGCATGGCTGGGAAACAAGGCACAGGAGAGGAGCTGTGGGGGGCAGGGGGTACCTGAGGAGGCATGGGTGGGCGTCAGATAAGGAAGGCTAGGGTGACAGCCCCAATCACTTCCCACCCCCTATAATGCTCCAGCCCCCACCCCCACAAAAATGGAGCCCCACAGAGGGCCTGCCCAACCTCCAAAGCCCCCTCCTTAGCACACGGCACTTGCTAACCCCTAAGGACATCCACCATTCTCCATGGGTACTGGCCGTGCCTCTACACCTCCACTTGGCACTCCAGGTCCCTCTTGGACCTGACCCTTTTGGAATGCAAACCCTGAAAATAGAGTGCTCGATTAGGAGCCAGTCACTGGTCCTACCCTAGACCTGCCATCACCAGCTGGAGGGGTTACTAGTAGGTGTGTCCTTGTCTGAGCCCCAGCTCAGGCACGTCCTCTCTGAGCCCCAGCTTGTCAGATATAAAGTGAGGATGGTTAGCCTTGCCATGCTACCCTATAAAGGTTTAAAGAGGCCCAGGCCCTACTAATGTATGTAGCAACAATAATACCTTACATGTACTGACCACCTAGTGTGGGCCAAGCTGCTGAGCACTTCACACCCATGACCCCCAATTCTCCAACCCTAGGAGGTAGACACTAGCATCATTCCCATTTTATAGCTCAGGAAGCTGAGACAGTGAGACCTCACAGCCTGTGGCTTTGGCCTCAGGATGGGTGTGAATGTGCCGGGTAAATTGTAAAGGGGGCTTTGTTACTGCACTCTTTTCAAAGCCCTTTCCCATTAAGTGTCTAATTTTCATCCAAGAGACAAGCTTCTGAAATAGATGGGGGAGTTCCAGATATTCTTATCCAGCCCTCGAGTCAGTGCAAGCTGTTGTGTTCTGGTTATTTTTGTGTCTCATCTCCCAGACTAGACTGTATGCTCCTGGAGGATTTTGGAGACCATGTGGATCCTTAACACACTCAGGCAGCACCGTCTTTCTCATTGTCATTCAAAGTAGCCTGCAAGCTTTCTTTTGCAATTTCCTTATTTTGATGACATGCTGTGCCTCCTCCCCATCCCTCCACCCCTAAAGACCCTGATTCCAGCCAGTCTTATTACTGCATCTCCCTGACTTCAGTGACTGGGTCAAGGAATGGGCCTGGGAATGAGCAGGGCCAATCAGAGACCTTCCCTGGAATTTATAGACGGAACTGGGATTCTTCAACTGGAACCTGTGGAAGCCATGTTTCCTGCCCCCTGGGGGAGTAGGAAGAAAGAGAGGTCAATATGTAAGAAGCAGAGGAGGCTGGAGAGGAGGAGCAGGCCAGCCCCTTGGTTCCTGCAGTGCTTCCCTCAACTTTGTGAGTTGAGCTCCCACACTGTCCTTCCTGGCCTTGGGCCAACAAACTTTCCGTTTTTTTTTTTTTTTTTTTTTTTAATTTAAGGCACTTGGTATTGCTTTGATCACTTACAGCCCAAAGAACCAGATTAATCTTCCTGAAGGGGACTCTACACCTATTTCTATGATGCTACTGGGACAACATTTCTGGAGCTCTTCTCTGTGAATGATCTCCAGACCACATAAGGAAATTGGCCTTTGGACCAGCCCAAGTCCTCAGTTCCTTGGTGAAAAGAGGCAGAAGACAAATAAATCATGCCATCTATTCTCTAGTCAAAATCAACAACCACCAGACTTGGCCCCGAACCACTTGGGACTGTTTTCAAAATTCAGTTCCACCCCTGAGGATTTGCTACCATGGAGGGCTGCAAATCAACACCCCGAGGCTTGGAAGGCAGGTGAAAGAGGAGCACTCCAAAACATGCTGTGAGCTGGGCAGCACCGCTGGAGGGAGAGTTCAGCCTCCCGAGAGGACCACTCAGGATGGGACACACTAAAAATACCGACAATTTATTTGGATGGGTAGTGTATATGGTACAAAATTCAAGATGTGCAAAAAGGCATAAAATGAAAAGTAAGTCTCCTTCCCACTTTGACACCCAGCCACCCCAAACACTGCTTCAGAGACAACCAGGTTTTGGTTGTTATCGGTTCCTTTCAGAGATACTTCATGTACACACAACCACATTTTCTTATGTGGAGCCCCCACTTCTGAATCAATCTTTTTTCAATGACATACAGCTTAGAGATGGTTCCATTTTAGTACATTGACAGCTGAGTCACTTTTACATTGTGATAAAATATACATAAAATAAAATTCACCATTTGAGCCATTTTTTAAGTATACAGTTCAGTGGCGTCAAGTACATTCACATTGTTGTACAACTATCCCCACCATCCATCTGCAGAACTTTTTCATTGTCCCAAGCTGAAACTCCATATGTATTAAAAATAACCCTCCACCTTCCCCTCCTCCCAGCCCCTGGTAAACATCATTCTACTTTCCGTTTCTACGAATTTGACTCTAGGTACTTCATGCAAGTGGAATCATACCATATTTGTCCTTTTGTGACTGGCTTACTTCCCTTAGCATAACGTCTTCAAGGTTCATCCATGTTGTGACATGGGTCAGAATTTCCTTTCTTTTTAAGGCTAAATAATATTCCATTGTATGTATACACCACACTTTGTTTATCTGTTGATGAATATTTGGGTTGTTTCCAACTTTTGGTTATTGTGAATAATGTCGCTATGAACTTTGGTGTACAAATATCTGTTCAAATACTTATGTTCAGTTCTTTTCTGTAGATACTCAGAAGTGGAACTGCTATGTTATATGGTAATGCTATGTCTAAATTTTTGAGGAACTGCCATGCTGTTTTCCGCAGCAGCTGCACTGTTTTACATTGCTACCAGCAGTGAACATGGGTTCCAATTTCTCCACATCCTGGCTAACACTTGCTATTTTCTATTTGTTTATTTGTTTTATAATATTAATAGTAGCCTTCCTAATGGATGTGAGGTGGTACCTCATTGTGGTTTGTTTGTTTTGTTTTGTTTTTTAGAGACAGGGCCTCTGTCACGCAGGCTGGAGTGCAATGGCACGATCATCACTCACTGCAGCCTCAAATTCCTGGACTGAAGTGATCCTCCTGCCTCAGCCTCCCAAGTACCTAGGACTACAGGTGCAAGCCACCATACCTGGCTAGTTTTTTTACTTTTCCATAGAGATGAGGTCTCCAAACCTATGTTGCCCAGGCTGGTCTCAAATTCCTGGGGTCAAGTGATGTTTCCACCTCAGCCTCTCACAGTGCTGGGATTATAGTTGTAAGCCTCCACACCCAGCCTTATTTCATTTTTTAAAGATAGGGTCTCACTCTGTTGCCCAGGCTGGAGTGCAATGGCATGATCATACCTCACTGAGGACTTAAACTCCTGGTCTCAAGCGATCTTCCTGCCTCAGTCTCCTAAAGTGCTGGGATTATGGAAGCAAGCCACCACACCTGGCTGCTCATTGTGGTTTTGATTTGCGTTTCCCTAATGATCAGTGATGTTGAGCATCTTTTCATGCGCTTACTGGTAATCTGTATATCTTCTTTGGCAAAATGTCTTCAAATCCTTTGCCCATTTTTGAATTGGGTTGTTTGGGGATTTTTTGTTGTTGAGTTGCAGGAGTTCTTTATATACTCTGGATATTAATCCCTTATCAGATATATGATTTGCAAATATTTTCTCCCATTCTGTGGTTTGCCTTTTCACTCTGTTGATAATGTCCTTTGATGAACAAAAGTTTGTAATTGTGATCAAGTCCTATTTATCTATTTTTTATTTTATTGCCTATGCTTTTGGTGTCATATTCAATAAATCATCGCCAAATCCAATGTCATGAAGATTTTCCTCTTTGTTTTCTTCTAAGAATTTTATATTTTAGCTCTTATGTTTAGGTATCATGTCTGTTTGTTGTTGTTGTTGTTGTTGAAACAGGGTCTTGCTCTGTTACCCAGGCTGGATTACAGTGGTGCCATCATAGCTCACTGCAACCTCAAACTCCTGGGATCAAGCGATCCTTCCACCTCGGTCTCCCAAAGTGCCAAAATTACAGGCATGAGCCAATGTGGGCCTGGCTGTTTTATCCATTTTGAGTTAATTTCTATGTATGGTATAAGGTAAGAGTCCAGCTTTGTTTTTTTGCATGTGGATATCCAGTTTCTCAGCACCATTTGTTGAAAAGACTACCCTTTCCCCCACTGAATGGTCTGGGCACCTGGGATGAAAATAATTTAACCACGTGTGAGGGTTTATTTCTGGGCTCTCTATTATATTCTGTTGGTCTGTATGTCTGTCTTTATGCTGGTACCACACACTGTTTTGATAACTGTACCTTTGTAGTAAATTTTGAGCTCAGAAAATGTGAGTTCTCCATCTTTGTTCTTTTTCAAAAATTTGTGGCTATTTGAGGTCTCTTGAAATTCCTTATGAATTTTAGGATGGATTTTTCTATTTCTGCAAAAATGTTGGTGAGATTTTGATAGGCATTATACTGAATCTATAGATCACTTTGAGTAGTAATGGTATTCTTAACAATATTAAGTGTTCCAGTTCATGAACATGAGATGTCTTTCCATTTATTTTTGTCTTCTTTGATTTATTTCAATAATATTTTATAATTTTCAGTGTACAAGTCTTGTGCCTCATTATTTATGTTTATTGCTAAGTATTTTATTATTTTTAATGCTATTATAAATGCAGTTGTTTTCATTTATCATTGAGATGATCATGTGGGGTTTTTCTTCATTCTGTCAATGTGAAGTATGACACTGATTGACTTTTATATATTGAACTATCCTTGCATTCCAGGAATAAATCCCACCTGATTATAGTGTGTAATCCTTTAAATTTGCTGCTGAATTTGGTTTGCTAGTATTTTGTTATGAGTTTTACATCAATATTTATAAGGGATATTGGTCTGTAGTTTTCCTGTAGTGTCTTTGTTTGGCTTTGGTATGAGGATAATGTTGGCCTCATAGAATGAGCTAGAAAGTGGCTGGGCACAGTAGCTCATGCCTGTAAACCCAGCACTTTGGGAGGCCGAGGGAGGCAGATCAGGAGGTCAAGAGTTCGAGACCAGCCTGACCAACATAGTGAAACCCCATCTCTACTAAAAATACAAAAATTAGCTGGGTGTAGTGGCACACGCCTGTAATCCCAGCTACTTGGGAGACTGGGGCAGGAGAATCACTTGAACCCGGGAGGCGGAGGTTGCAGTGAGCTGAGATCGTACCACTGCATTCCAGCCTGGGCGACAGGGCGAGACTCTGTCTCAAAAAAAAAAAAAAAAGAATGAGCTAGAAAGTATTCCTTTCTCTTCTAATTTTTGGAAGAGTTTGAGGACTGGTGTTAGGTTTTTTGTTTGTTTGTTTGTTTGTTTTGAGACAGTGTCTCACTCTGTCACCCAGGCTGAAGTGCAGTGGTGTGATCATGGCTTACTGTAGTCTCAACCTCCGGGGCTCAAGTAACCCTCTCACCCTCCCACCTCAGCCTCCCTAGTAGCTGGGACCAGAGGCGTGTGCCACCATACCTGGCAAACTTTGTAATTTTTTTGTAGACAGGGAGTCTCCCTATGTTGCCCCAGGCTGATCTCAAACTCTTGGGCTCAAGTGATCCTCCCACCTTGGCTTTTCAAACTGTTGGGATTACAGGTGTGAGCCACCATGCCCAGCCTGGTGTTAGTTCTTTGTTTCTTAGAACTCACCAGTTAAGCCATCTGGTCCTGCACTTTTCTTTGTTGTGGGGTTTTGAGTCATTTTTCTTAGTGTCTTTGTATTTCACTGTATAGACTTGGTATAATTTATTTGGCCAGTTCCTTATTGATAGACATTTATGTTGTTCCAGTGTTTTGCTATTATAAGCAATGCTGCTGTGAACATCTTCAGGACACCTTTGAACACAAATTTTGGTACTTTTTTTTTTTGAGACGGGTTTTGCTCTTGTTGCCCAGTCTGGAGTGTAATGTGCGATCTCGGCTTACCACAACCTCTGCCTCCCAGGTTCAAGCGATTCTCCTGCCTCAGCCTCCTGAGTAGCTGGGAATACAGGCATGCGCCATCACGCCCGGCTAATTTTGTATTTTTAGTAGAGATGGGGTTTCTCCATGTTGGTCAGGCTGGTCTTGAACTCCCGACCTCAGGTGATCCACCTGCCTCAGCCTCCCAAAGTGCTGGGATTGTAGGCGTGAGCCACCATGCCCGGCCACTTTTTTAAAAAAAAAACATAAAAGTCACAGTATTTAGTAGTCAGGCCTCTTCCTTAATTGATATTGGAAATGGAAAGGTCCACCAGGACAGATGATTTCATTCAGCATTTACCAGAAAAGGGGACAATTTATAAATTTGTGTATGTGGGATGGTGCCTTGCACAGTGGGTACTGACAATAACTTTTGTTAAATGAATTAAGGAAATAAGTTAGTCCTGCTCTCCGTTTGAAATATTTCCAGATTAAGCCGGGCGTGGTGGCTCACGCCTGTAATCCCAGCACTTTGGGAGGCCGAGGCAGGCGGATCACGAGGTCAGGAGCTCAAGACCATCCTGGCTAACACAGTGAATCCCCGTGTCTACTAAAAATAAAAAAATTAGCCAGACATGGTGGTGGGCACCTGTAGTCCCAGCTACTCGCGAGGCTGAGACAGGAGAATGGCATGAACCCGCGAGGCTGAGCTTGCAGTGAGCCGAGATTGCGCCACTGCACTCCAGTCTGGGTGACAGAGCGAGACTCCGTCTCAAAAAAAAAAACCAAAAAACAAAAAAGAAATATTTCCAGATTATTCAAACCTCAGAGTTTTAGAAGCTTACAGTTGGACCTCAGCAGGTCATGAGGCTGACCAGTCTCATGCTCCCACTTCTCACTGAAGTCCGAAGTCTTCTTTACTGTGGCTCCAGCAAGCACTTGATCAGCTTGAATCCCTCCAGTCCCTGGGAACTTACTGTCTCTGGGCAGCACATTCCATTCCCGAAGAGTCCCTGAGTACCTAACATGTCTGCACCGCAGCTCTGCTGTTAGAAAACCTTTCCTTGGCCGGGTGCGGTGGCTCACACCTGTAAACCTGACACTTTGGGAGGCCGAGGAGGGCGGATCACCTGAAGTCAGGAGTTTGAGACCAGCCTGGCCAACATGGCAAAACCCCGTCTCTACTAAAAATACAAAAATTAGCCAGGTGTAGTGGCACGGGCCTGTAATCCCAGCTACTTGAGAAGCTGAGGCAGGAGAATCACTTGAACCTGGCGGGTGGAGGTTGCAGAGAGCCGAGATCACACCACTTCACTCCATCCTGGGCTAAACAGCAAAACTCTGTGTCAAAATTAAAAAAAAAAAAGAAAAGAAAAGAAAAGAAAGAAAACGTTTCCTGATACTCAAAGCCAGATGACATGTCTCTGCTATGCCACATATTCTAACCTGGGAGCCAAGCAGAGCAAGAACCCCCCTTTCACAGATCTACCCTGCAAACATTTGGGGGCAGTGTTCATGCCTTTTGGAACGTTGCCTGTTTTGCCACTCCCAGCTTCTCTCCTTTCCCTGACCTATTGAACCAGCAAGACCCAAACTTGTCATGGCCTCTGAGGGCCCCACAGGACTGGCCCTGCCCACCTCGTCAACTGCAGGTCACTCACCTCTCCTTCAGACTCCCCTTGCTTCAGCCTCCTTTCTGTTGGGTGAGGCTGCCCAGCTCTCTCCAGCCTCCAGACCTTGGCCTTTGCTGTTCCCTGCTGTCCCCCGAGCGCAATGTCTGGAGGGCTTCAGGATGCCCCGGCAGATCTCTGAACCTCACAGAGGGCTCTCTGGAAAATAAGGGCCCTGGCTCTACCTAGGAGCCCCCAGATTTCATGAATGGCATGGATGGAGGACAGGTGGCTAGTATGGGCGGATAGCTGAGGTGGCTTGGCCAGCATAGGGCATTTGGATTAGGAAAAACTGAAAGAACTCAAAAAGGAGAGAACTGGCCCTTTACCCGGTCTGAGAGAGCCTCACTTGCCCTGGGATTCCAGGTATGAGGCAGTGTTAATTCCTCCTGCGGTGCACCCTCCCTCCGTGGACTAATACCCACCCACAGGGGCACCTTCCACTCCTTCCAGGGCCCCTCTTCTCTCTCTTTTTTTCCAGCTGGGGACCTCATGCTTCCACCCTGAGCTGGGTTGGGCCAGGAGGCAGCCATTGCATGAGAGAGCCTTGGGAACAGCATGGCAAGGATGAACTCTGGGGACCTAGGCCCTCATCATCAACTGTAGCACTGGGTCATTGACAGGGGGGTGAGAAGGTGGTGGCAAAAGGCACAAGCTTAGGGGTTGGGGGTAGAGTGGTCAATTGGAGGCGAAGATACAGGTGGACACCCTGGGGATTCACCAGCTGACCACCTGGGCTACCTGGGCAAGTCCCTGGCCTCGGCCCTGTTGTGATCCCAGTGTGAGGGGACAAGGCCAAGTCACCTCTGGAGTCCCCTCAACTTCTGACAGCCTGAGACTCTGGGCCCCAGCAGGGGGTGGTCTCAGCTGAGTTTTTTCCTGGGACTCACTGTCTAATGTCCCCTGGCCTCCCTGTCCAGAGCCCCTCCCTCCAGCAGCCCCCTCCCATGCATCCCCATCCCCTCCATCCACCTTCCCCCAGCTGGAGCAGCTGCTTGACCTCCACAGGCTGCTGAGGAGCTGGAGTGACTGTAAAAGGGAAGGAATGTCCAGAGGCGGCTGTTTCTCCCTGATATCACCCGGGGGGAGGCTGGAGAGTTGGGGGCCCAGCCGGGATGGCGTCAGGATTCTCCCTGAAACTCATCCCTCTCCTGCTGCGCTGCCTCCTCCCCAGGCTCAGCCAGCAATCCACCCCCCTCCCATCGGCCACGCTCCACATCTCTTTGGCTTAAGACATTCGGGCCATATCTTCCCTCTCCTAACTTTTTCCACCTCCAGCCCCCAGACCCTCTCCTGGGCCCCTTCCTTCACTGGCACCCCCACCCCAATTCTCATCAACCCCTCCTTCATCGTCCTCGTCACCCCCACACCCCGACCTTGCTCCTTCTCCAAGGAGGGCCCCACAGCCCCGACTCCTGCCCCTCCTGCCCCACGCTCCTTTTACAGACACAGAGTGCTGTGGACTTTCTGCCAAAGTAGGACAAGTCTGGGGCTAATCTCACCTCCTCCCCAGCCCCCAACTTCTCCCACCAAATAGGACAGCTCAGCCCAGGAAGGAGGCTAGGAGGAGAAGGAGGCTGGGCCTCAAGGGGGAAGAGCTCATGAGATGATGGAGATGAAAGGGCTTTGTGGACTCTCAGTACCCTGTAAACTTCAGGTGTTATTCACCCAGTAAGAGATGACAGGGAGGAGAGGATGGGACGGAAGGGTGGACGGAAGGGAAGGGGGCTTTGGTAGCATTAAGAAAGGTCCCAGGACAGCACAGTGGCTCATGCCTGTAATCCCAGCACTTTGGGAGGTTGAGGCAGAAACATTGCTTGAGCCCAAGAGTTCAAGATCAGCTTGGGCAACAAAGTGAGACCTTGTCTCTACAAATTTTTTTAAAACAATTAACCAGGTATGGTGCTGCATACCTGGAGTCCACTGCACAAGGGAGGCTGAGGCAGGAGGATTGCCTGAGCCCAGAAGGTCAAGGCTGCAGCGAGCTATGACTGAGCCACTGCTCTCCAGCCTGAGTGACAGAGAAAGATCCTGTCTCTAAAAGAAAAAAAAGAAAACACCTCAGGGAAGGCTTCCGGATGCATTGGGAGCACATGGCTGAACTGGGGACCTGTCCTGGACCAGCTCTGAGACAAGCTGTGTGACATTGGACTGGTCACCTCCCCGTTCTGGGTCTGGGTTTATCCTTGCTTAAAGTGAAATATCCTTGGACATACCTCCCTACTCTGACCCCAAAGAGAGGGGTGAAAGAGGTCTGTTTTCTTTTTTTTTTTTTCCCTTTTTTTCCTGAGACAAAGTTTCACTCTTGTTGCCCAGGCTGGAGTTCAATGTTGCAATCTCCGCTCACTGCAACCTCCACCTCCCAGGTTCAAGCGATTCTCTTGCCTCAGCCTCCCAAGTAGCTGGGATTACAGGTGCCCCCTCACCACACCCGGCTAATTTTTATATTTTAGTGGAGACAGGGTTTCACCATGTTGGCCAGGCTGGTCTGGAACTCCTGACCTCAAGTGATCTACCTGCCTCGGCCTCCCAAAGTGCTGGGATTACAGGCGTGAGCCACTGCACCTGGGCCCCTTCTTTCTTTTTTATATTTCAACCTAGATGAAGAAAAGGGGTTGCACCCCTTCCTTGGAATTCTCTGTTGGGATCTCAGTGCCATCACTCCATTCTCTCTTCTTCCTGATTCATCCCCATTCCTTTCATCTTGCCTCATAGGCTTTTTTGGTTCAGCCTCTCCAGTTTGGTCAGATCCCTGCCCTCCTGGGCCCCTTCCAGGTTTCCTACATCCCTCTGAGGCTGTGAGGCTTTAAACAGGGCCTGAGCAGGCTGGCAATGACCTCACAGGGCCACTATGCACAGCTTCTATTTATAGCCTTATAGGCTCATCCTCCTCTTCCTCCAACCAGCTGAGTCACGGTCAGCTTGGGGTCCACTCAGACCCCAGGGCCTTCTCTGCCACTCCAGATCCCAGTCCACCACGGCACCCTGAACTGTTCTTGCCGCTGTGCTGGATGCTTTATTCTCTGAACCATCCAAGTACACAATGAAGATGAGTGTTGGGTTCTACACAACACCCTTTTTTGGGCCCTCAGCATTGTATGTTCTTATAGCCCAGCCCATCATCCTTCTGTCTTCTCACGTCTGCCAGATAGGCAGCCCATGACCTCAATTCCACTGGACTCTGCAGAGGTGTGGGCAAGGGGAGGAATTTGAGAAGCATCTGATAGGCCATGGCCAGAGTTCAGATCCTGGATCTCCCACTCTTGGGTTAGTTTCCTCACCTCTCTGAGCCTGTTTCCTCACCTGTGAAATGGTAATTACAGCATAGGGTTGTTGGGAAGATTAAACGAGAAACTTGTCTGCAAAGCACTTAGCACAGTGCCCAGCACACTTCGAGTGCTCAGTAAGTGCCAGCCATCATGAGTATTTTTTGTATCCCCTTTTGACCAATAAGGAAACTGGTTCAGTGGGAGCCAAGGACTTGCTCAAGTCCTTGCTTCAGGTCAGCAGGTCAAGGCCAAGATTGAGAGCCAGGACTGCCTGACTCCAAAGCACTAGCTCTTCCTATGGGCTATGGTGCCTCTGAGAATAACACAGCCACCACTCACTGAGCATCTACTGTATACCAGGCACAGTATTATGGATAGCTACCACATGGAATCACTGTATCTCTAATCCTTACAACACTGAAGTAACTCTTATCCCCATTTTACAGCGGTGGATACTAGCCTCAGAGAGGTTAGGTAAGTTTCCTAAGGTTGCACAGCAAGTAAAAAGCAAAGCCTGGATTAACCCTAGTCAGTGTCTCCTAGAAGTCCTGCTTATTTCTCTGTGTGGTCTCCAAGGCCTTACCACATATTGATTTGGCAGACACAGCCCTCGGCTCATCCCCTTTTAACTCGGCCCCATCGGGGACTCTCCATGGAAAAAGCCCCTTGTCCAGCATTGGACAAGTCCCTCCTAACATTCTGCTCTGCTCCTCTTCCCAAAACCCTTGCCCTCCAGAAACGGTCTAGGCATGGAGGGGGAGGCTGTCAGGGAGTCAGGCCCCACTGACAGAGGAGTCCGAACTTTAGCCTACAGGAAAGGCGGGTGGGGAGGACACTGGAAATTTTTCATCTGAAGGATAAAGAATCCAGTGGGGGCCCTTCTGCCCCATGCCACTCACAGGCCAGCCAGGCACGGGGCTCCTCACAGGCTGCAGAGGCTCCCCTCAGTCCACCCTGGCCCCAGACTGCCCCCAACCGGCCTGGGAGCAGCCTCGCGTAGCAGCATCCACACCTCTGTCCTGGAGAGGCTGCCAGGAGGACTGAGACCAAAGTCCAGGCTTGATCTGTGGCCTCAAGTTTCCAAAAAGATTCCGGGGTCCACTGCCAGCCCCTGGGGATTCCCACTGCCCAAGCTCGTGAGTGCCAGATGCTCCCAGAGCGCATCAGGAGTGTCCCAGATACATTTCCCTTCCCAACTAAAGATCCCCAGAGTTACAATTTGCTGAAAGCAGAGTGCTGGCCTTCTTTCTTCCCACCCACAGCAGTCAGAACGGTATACCCCAACCATCCCAAAGGGCCCTCCTAATGCCCCCACCTCATCCGGCCTCAAAGAGATGGGGCAGGTGCTCCCTCTGCCCTCTCCCAGGTGCCCCAGCCACCCTGGATACCAGAATAGACCACTGACCGCCTGCCCTTGGGGCTGGGAGGGGCCACAGCCGGTGCTGCCACTCAGGCTGGGAGAGGGATCGGGCAGAGAGGAGCGGACAGGCTGGTGCTGGGACTGAGAGGGCGCTGGAGGGCCCCAGGCTGTTTCCAGCAGCTCCTCTGTGCTGTGCAGTGAGCTCTCCCACCAACACCCTACAAGCAAGAGTGCCCCCCACTCCCCAGCCAGAAAAGGGCTTGGAGCTCCAGACACCAGCTCAGAATTGGGCTGAATCTAGGCTCCAACTTCTCCCAAGCTCTCCTTTTCTCCTCTGGGGCTCCACCCCAGCCCCAGCCCCGTCTAAGTGAGGAGGCCCTTATTTGGTGACCCCACATTCTAGCTTTTTGGTGTTGAGAGGGCTTCCGGCCTGGACTAGGATCCCTGCCCCCACCCCTAGGTCCCAGGCTGCTTCTCCTGGTCTTCCAGCTGCTGGTCCTGGGCAGTTCCCTTCTTGGACACCTCTCCCAAGCCCAGGCCCGATTTAGCTCCTTTAATCTTGCCAGTAACCCAATCCGGCCATTTCCTGAGCACACGCTGCACTTCCCAAATGGCCCTTCCCTGGAGAGTGGCTGGGGCAGAGTGGCCTCAGCTCTTCCCTGGACTGAAGCACCCCCACCCTCCTGCCCCAACATTCTACTCCTCTCTTTTTCCCCACCCCTAGGAGGCCCCAGGGCGCTCTGGCTCTGCAAGACTCTGTTCTGCTGTCCCGGCCTCTAAGTAGCCCAGGCCTGAGGCCCGAGCCCCCATTTCCAAGCCCAGCCCAAATCCTCACCTGGTGCTTTCCCGCTTCCCAGCCTTTGCTGAGCTTTTCCTGTGCCTGGAACACCCTCACCTTCACAGGGCATTTCTTATTTTTTTTCAAGATGGAGTCTCGCTCTATTGCCCAGGCTGGAGTGCAGGGGCGCAATCTCAGCTCACTGCAACCTCTGCCTCCCGGGTTCAAGCAATTCTCCTGCCTCAGGCTACCTAGTAGTAGGGATTACTGCCACCCACGTCCAGCTAATTTTTATATTTTTGTAGAGACGGAGTTTTGCCATGCTGGCCAGGCTGGTCTCGAACTCCTGACCTTAGATGATCAGCCTGCCTCTGCCTCCCAAAGTGCTAGGATCACAGGCGTGAGCCACCGCGCCTGGCCTGCTCATGCTTTTCCCCTGCCTGGAACACCCTCACCTCCACAGGGCATTTCTTACCACAGTGCAACACTTACCGTCTCCCTCTCACGGCCAGCTCCAGCCTCATTTCCCAAGTTCTTCTCAGAGCCCAGAGTGGTTTGGAGCCCAGACTGGAAACAGACTACCAGAGACCCTGATCCCAGCTCTTCCTCACTGTGTGACCTTGGACAAATTGCCTTCCTCCTTGTGCCTCCATTTCCTCATCTGTAAATGAGGGTGATAATGCATTTCTCAGAGGGTGCCTGTGAGGATTCATTGAGTTCCTTGATGTAAAGTGCTTTGAATAGTTCTGGGGACATAGTAAGTGCTATTTAAATGTTAAATGAAAATTATCTTTCCCTGCCTTGTATTACTATGACTTTATTTCCTCCAAGTTAAGACACCATGAATTGTGAGACACTTCATTTATTTAATAACATCATTTCAAGGGAAAAAAGAAACATTACCATGTAATGTACAAATTGTAAGTCATCTTCCAATTTCAGAATGTGTAAATTGTTGAGGAACAATAATATTTGTGTGGTGTGTGCGTCTTCCTGCTTATAAGAGAGTCCTCATTTCAGCTTTGTGTGCACCTATTGCTTATGGTTGGTGCCCAAGGGCTTGAGTTCAAGTCCTTACTCCCAAATTTTATTTAGCTAAGCAATCTTGGGTAAGTACTTTGACTTCTTTAAGCCTTGATTTTTTTTTCCTAAATAGCCTAAGTAACTCACAACAATTGTAGTTAATATTAAGCAAGTTCATATATACACGCACACATATATATAAGGTGTTTAGCGCCATATTGGATGTTCAACACAAAAGCGCTATCTTTATAGTGATGATTTTGAAACGTTTGCTGAATTGAATCACACATTTCCAAAGACCTGGGACGCCGAGACGATCTGGTATTTCATGGTCCAAGTGCCCTCCAGTGGCCATAAGGAGAAGCTGCAGGCTTCCGATGCACTTCGGGGGAGGCCTTCCTTAGCCAGCCCGGGAAGTAATTCAGTCACGCCCACCCATAGTCAGGCTTATCCAGTTCTCCTGGAATTCTTCACATTAGATTTCCTTTAACAAAGACCTTAAAGGGCTTCTAAAAAGTAGGATAAGAGACTAAAAGGCAGAGCTTTATCCCAGGAAGGCTGCAGCCTGGCCATACACTCTCCCCAAAGCCTGTGGGCCCAGGGCCCCAGGCAGGCAGGCAGGATGGTAAAATGCCATGCGGAGCATCAGTTCTCCTCTGACCCAGACACTGTGGATCTGTATTGTGAGAGAACTCGTTTGTACACATCCAAAAATCCAGCAGAAAACAGCATTAGCCCATTCTAAGAATCTGCATCCGTGCTTTGACATATTTGTCATTTGTTTACCCATGCACTCCTTTCTTCCATTGTTCCTTCATCCATCAATATTTATTGAATACCAAGCTTGGCAGCCTCACGTCCTAGGTGCTGGGGGTTAAAAAGATCAATTTAACACAGACACAAACACAGCCACCAAGAGTTGTTCATAATGTCCCAGACACCACACGCAGAGTTAATCCTTGTATTCGAGTGTTTACAGCTTCTCTGTGTGGCTGAGGGGGAGGGCACAGGCAGAGAAATGAACATCAGATCCAGGCTGCCTGATTTCCCCCGACCAAACGTGTCCATAATGGGAGCTTTCTCTGGCTAGGTCAGGGAACTGACTTCCTCCTCCTGGGCCACACTGCTGCTCTGAAAAATCCTCCCTGATCTCAAACACTGACCAAACTCCCAGCTGCATCTATATCAGAATCCCTGATCTCTCCTTCCCCACCATTGCCCTTTACCCAGAGCCCAGAGCTGGCAGTCAGGGAGGAGAGATGTGTTTTTAACCCACCTTGCAATGGATGGCCTGGCCAAGGCTGTTACTTACCATGACTTAGCAGCCACATGCAGCTTAATGCCATCTCTGGCTCACTCCCCCTTGCCAAGGACTGAAATGAAGGAGGCTCACTCTAGAGCACTGCCAGGGGTGTGCAGGGGGTGGGTGGTGGGGGGGTGTCTGCAAGTGCCCAGGGTCTATCTTTCTGGAAGATGGCAGGAGGGAGAGGAAGACCTGGTGAACATCTATTACTGATTGTCCCTGGGACCCTGGTGGCCTCCCGGAACTGCCGCCTCCCTCCTTCCCTTCATGATCAAACTTTTCAACTGTCCTCCCCACACCCATCTTCAGTTTCCCCTTGCAGGTTCCTCATTGTCCCATTTCCTCAGAATTCTTGCAGCTGCAGTCACACAGGCTATTGGTGCCCTGCTGGGTCCTCTACTCCTAGACCAGTGCTGTCTCACAGAAATACAATGGAAGCCATGTATGTCATTTTGAATGTTCTAGTAGCTGCAATTTTAAAACGTAATAAAAACAGGTCGGGCGCAGTGGCTCACGCCTGTAATCCCAGCGCTTTGGGAGGCCGAGGCGGGTGGATCACTTGAGGTCAGGAGTTCGAGACCAGCCTGGCCAACATGGAGAAACCTCATCTCTACTAGAAATGCAAAAATTAGCCAAGCGTGGTGGCAGGCACCTATAATCCCAGCTACTCAGGAGGCTGAGGCAGGGGAATTGCTTGAACCCAGGAGGGGAAGATTGCAGTGAGCCAAGATGGTGCCACTGCACTCCAGCCTGGGTGACAGAGCGAGACTTTGTATCAAAAAAAAAAAAGTAATAAAAACAGGTGAAATTAATGTTACTAATATAGCAATGATAGTATATTTAACAATGTATCCAAAATGCTATCATTTTAACCTGTAAGCAATATCTTAAAATGGAGATATTTCATACATTTTGTACATAATCCAGTGGCACATTGTTTTATAGGTATAGCATTTCTCAATGTGAGAGGTACTTGAAGGTGTAGCCACATGTCAAGGGCTCAATAGCCCTGCATAGCTGGTGGCTGCTGTACTAGCCAGCACAGTTCTAGAGCCTTCATTCTCTACTTGGCATCCACGATTTTGCCGAGTCCAGTAATTATCCCATTCCCATGTGGCCTGTCTCCCTTGGGAGATTCGAAACCCCTCCTCCCCCAGGGGCAGAGTCCTCATTTTGCTCATCCCTCTGACTCCCAGGGCACCATCAAACTGTGCCCCACACCCAGGAGGCCCTCAAAGCATGTTTGTTGATGGGAGTGAGCGTTCGGGATTGATTTTTGTGGTTCAGTTATGGCTGTAAATGGTGTTTTATAGATTGCTTCTATAGAAGCACCCTGCTGCAATATTAGCAGAAACAAGCAGCAGTGGTTGTCAGCACAGGCAGAGGCCTCGGGGCAGATGGGGCTCCCTGAATCAGGCGGGGGAAATCCTGCTAGATGAGATACCATTGCTCTGGTTTAAGAGCCTGTCATTGCCACAGCGTGCTCCTCCAAGCAACCCCATCTCTGTTAGAGCTCAGAGATAGCCCCTGTCAGAGTGCATGACACAAAGGATGTGTCTCCAGCAACCCGCCACCAGGCTGGCAGCTTTCTCAGGGCAGAAATGGGAGTTATTCAGGTGGACAAGAGCCTGGCCCACAACAGATGCACCAGGCATGCATTTCGAATGAATAAATGAATGGATGACCAGAGTGAGTGAAGCCTCTCGTTCATGTCTTCATGCCCCAGAAAGTCTTTATCGAGCACTTACTATATCAGACACTGTGCTTGGTACTGGGACACAGCAGGGAACAAGGAAACAGGGAGGGTCGTGTCCTCCTGGAGCTCACATTCTGATGGGAGAGACAGATAATAAAAAAGTAAACACGGATAAGTGAAATAATTAGAGCACTGGCTGGCAGGAAGCAAACAAAGGGGCCAAAATAGAGAATGAGGGAGGAGTTCTTCAAGGAAAGAAGAAAGTCTCTATTCTTAGCCTCCCAGAATACAAGACACCCCTCCCCCAGGTCAGGTGTCAACATTTAGACGTTGGCCACCATACGTCAGCCTGTGGCTTGGGGTGCCCTGAGGATGTTACTGCTTCAAATTGCACTGGTGATGTCATAATGGGCTCTAGGGATGTCGGAGAGCCCTGCAAGTTGGGGCCCAAGGCAGGGGAAGGATCCGGCAAAAAAGGCACACGGTTCAGGCCTGTCCACTCCAGCCTTGGGAGGAGGTGAGCAGGTCACCATGGCTCGGAGCCTCTCCATCATGTTCGTCCCCAACAGCTGGCTCAATGGCTACCACAAGGTAACCGGGGCCTGTCTAGTTCTGTGGCCAGCCAGTGCAGACACGTTCCTAGGCACCAGCCTTCCATGAGCCACGCACTGGCTTAGGCATTATGGGGATAAAGAGATGAATGAAATAGGGTCCCCTGCTCTCAGTCTGCTAACAAACCAGACCTCGAGCAAGTGGCTTAACAGAATAATACTCATCATCATCTTGGCTAACTTTGGAGGATTTAATCTTTCCAAACAACCCTGTCTGGTGCCCTATTCTCTCCACGTTGCCCAACAACTGAGTTCAAGGGCAGCCCACCCATCGGCACAAGTGTTTTTTGATAATTTAGATTAGTGTTTCTCAGGGTGATCTAAAGATGGCAAAATTACTTGCAGCACCTGTTAAAAGTGGAGATCCCTGGGCCTCAGCCCAAATCTTCCAAATCAGGAGTTTCAGGTATGGGGCTCATGAATCTGCATTTTAAATAGCACTCCGGGGGATTCGCACCCTAAACACTGCCTTAGAGTTTAAACACCTGCCAGTTTCCAAGCCCCATGCCTGGTGGACCAGGGTGGGTCGGTTTCTGTTTGAGATAGGTGTTGGCCTTTGATATTTTTATTACTGATGAAAAGCCATGATTCATAAGCTGCTGGTGGCCAGCTGTCAGCTTGGAAAGGAGTCAGAGGCCACTGAGAACAGAATTGCCTATCTTTTCAACCCATCTATAAAATGCCTACCTGGGCAGACACTGTTTAAAGGCCATTAAAATAGCAGACACAGAATCACCCAGTCCCTGGAACTTCATAGACATATTTACTCAAACTTAAGTGCTTGCAAGGAGTAAATAAACGGGAAGCAAAATGAGTAAGCTTCCCTAGAAATACGAACTGAAAGTAAACAGCCCTGTTCACTAAAATAAACAAGACAAATCCAGCGAGGATTAAATGACCTCTAGTCAGGTTGAGAGCCAGAAATGCCCCATCTTGGCTCCCAGAGGAAGGCGAGGGCCTGTGCCTGCCACCTGGAGGGGGTGCATCAGAAGCTGCATTCCTTGGGGGCTCAGAGGTGGGCCTGCAAGGGCAGACATTACCCTTGGGTGGTAGGAGTGCACCCCAGACCCCCCTGGCATCCTGCCACAGGGCCTGAAAACCCTCATGTTTAAAGATTAAGAAGTATGTCCTAAAAGTCTTCTGAAAAAGTCCAGGTTTTCTAGAGACATATTACCCTAGTTACTTTTTTTTTTTTTGAGATGGAGTCTTGCTCTGTCGCCCAGGCTGGAGTGCAGTGGTGCAATCTCGGCTCACTGCAACCTCCATCTCCTGGGTTCAAGCGATTCTCCTGCCTCATCCTCCCAAGTAGCTAGGATTACAGGCATGTACCACCACACCCAGCTCATTTTTGTATTTTTAGTAGAGACAGGGTTTCACCATGTTGGCCAGACTGGCCTCGAACCCCTGACCTCAGGTGATCCACCCGCCTTGGCCTCCCAGAGTGCTGGGATTACAGGCGTGAGCCAACGCGCCCGGCCCCAAGTTACTATTATTTGCCATTTATTCACTAATTTAGTAAACATTCATTGAGAACCTACTACATGTCAGGCCAGGCACTAAAGATATCAAGATGATTAGCGCAGCGACCTGCCCTTAAGTTGCTCACGGTTCAAAATGAGAGATAATACTAGCTCACAAGTACTGCCCACTTAACTATTTGAAGAACTCAGTGATGAGCACCCTACGTGCATTATCCCATTTACTCCTCATAACATTATGAGGTTATGACTATCTTCCACCGGTTTACAGATGAGGAAGCTAAGGCTCTAAGTCTGTGGTGTGATGGTAGATGTTTAACAGCTAGCTCTCTGGGCCAGGTGTGATGGCTCACAACTGTAATCCTAACACTTTGGGAGGCCAAGATGGGAGGACTGCTTGAGCCCAGGTGTTTGCCGCCAGTGCGGGCAACATACTGAAACTCCATCTAAAATTAAAAATTAAAAAAAAAAGAAAAGCATCCAGGCACAGTGGCTCATGCCTGTAATCCCAGCACTTTGGGAGGCCGAGGCGGGTGAATCACTTGAGGTCAGGAGTTTAAGAACAGCCTGGCCAACATGGCAAAACCTTGTCTCTACTAAAAATACAAAAATTAGCCAGGCATGGTGGCACATGCCTGTAACCCTTGCTAATCTCCAATCTCATGACTTTAAATAGCATCTGTACCCCGATAATTGTCAAATTTACATACCCCCAGCCCAGATATCTCTTCTGAACTATATATAATCTCACATATCCAATTGTTTTTGCACAGTGTCCGTGTGGGCCTAATAGGAATCTCCAGTGTAATGTCTTAATCTGAACTCCTTGTTCCCCAAACCTATTCCACCCACATTCTTGATCATATGGAGGCTACTTGGAAGGCTGAAGCACGAGAATCACTTGAATCCAGGAGGCTGAAGTTGCAGTGAGCCAAGATCACGCCACTGTACTCCAGCCTGGGCAACAGAGCAAAACTCTGTCTCAAAAAATAAAACAAAACAAAACAAAAAACCAATTAGCTCTCTGGAAGAAAAAAAAAATGCCCTGATTTGTAGTGTTTGCCAGTCTCAGTGGTGTAAATACTTGCAGGCCTGTCTCAAGCTTCCTGTCTGATGTCTCTGAATGTGGAACAGGAAAGAGACGGGGGTGGGAGGGGAGGGGAGGGGGGCTGGCTCTGGCACAACACGGCAAATACGACCCACAGCTAATAAATGCAGGAGCCAGGATGTGAGCCCGGTGTGTGGATCCTGAGCCCACGCTCATAACCACTTTGTTATACTGTCACTAACTATACAAGAGCATTGACATTCAAGGGGGATACATCTTAAGACCTTTGTGAAGTGCCAGTTTTACAGTGTTCCATAAAACTTGCAAGGTTAGTAACCAGCACTTTCCTATACCTCTTTGTTTTCATCACTAACAGGAGCAGTTGGTTTTCCTTTGAGGGCCATTCTGAAAACCTTTTTATTTGGAAATAATTTTACCTTCCCAAGAGGTTGCAGAAATTGTACATGGAGGTCTGTGTGCCCTCCACTCAGTTTCCCCAGATGGTTACATCTTAGATAAGCACAGCACAGTATTACACTCAGGAAAGTGACACAGGTAAAATGTGTGTGCGTAGGGTTTGATGCTATTTTTTTCTAGGTTTGCCAGATTTAGCAAATGAAAATACAGGAAACTCAGTTAAATTTTGTTTTTAGTATAAGCATATCCCATGCAATATTTGGGACATACTTATACTGAAAAGATTATTCCTTATCTTTTTTTTTCTTTTTTTTTGAGATGGAGTCTTGCTCTGTTGCCCAGGCTAGAGTGTAGTGGTACGATCTCAGCTCACTTCAACCTCCACCTCCCAAGTTCATGCGATTCTCCTGCCTCAGCCTCCCTAGTAGCTGGGATTACAGGTGCCCGCTACCATGCCTGGCTAATTTTTGTATTTTTAGTAGAGATGGGGCTTCACCATGTTGGTAAGGCTGGTCTCGAACTCCTGACCTCAAGTGATCCGCCTGCCTTGGCCTCCCAAAGTGCTGGGATTAGAGGTGTAAGCCACCCACGCCCAGCCCTTGTTTATCTTAAATTCAAATTAAACTGGGCATTCTGTATTTCATTTGGCAACCCTAACTTTATCATGGTTAGAGTCATAACCACCATTATAATCAAGACATAGAACTATCCATCACCATCAAGATATTCCTGAGCTACTCCTTCATAGTCACACATCCCTCCCCAAATCCTCCCTAGCCCTGAGCAACCACTAATCTGTTCTCCATCTCTATAATTTTGTCATTTTTTTCACTCAGCATAAGGCACCTGAGATCCATCCACAGCGTTGCATTTAGCAACCACTCGTTCCTTTTTATCGCTGAGTATTATCCCATGAGGGCCCTTTTTCACAAAGAACAATTATTTTTCAAAATTTCTTTAATTCAGTAAGTGTTTATTGTATATCCACTACCTGCCAGGCACTGAGGATTGCAGCAGCAAAGTAAAATTGATTACATGTCACAGGCCAGCAGGTTACTTCCAGTTGACAGAGACTTCTTCCTGTGGATCCTAAGACAGGAGATGACACTGGCGCTAGGAGAGGAGGATTGGCCTCCCTAAGCACTTCCCTCTGGAGATGCTAGGGAAGGCTTTGTGAAGGAGCTTGGGAGGCAGGGTTTGCTGATGGATCTGACATGGGGTGCAAGAGAAAGAGATGCACCAAGGCTAACGCCAAGAGTTATGACCTGAAACTGGAAGGACAAAGTTGCCATTTACTGAATGTATGGCAGATGCACCTGACAGCAATAACTGAAGCACACCCTGAGAATGACCCTGAATGGCAGATATACTTGATGTGTGTTTGGAGTTCTGAGCTAAGAAATCCTGGAGTGGGCAACCTAGAGATCCTCATCTATGAGGAACCTCTGAGCCCCCTTCCCATCCTGTGGAACAAGGGCCATACAGGGGATCAAGGCGCTTTGTTTTGGGTTAAATGAAGGTTGCCAGGTAGAGGTTGTTAGGGAGCAGGTGTTGAGTGAAAATGCGTGCTTTCTGCAGGTGACAGTGGTTCTACTGTCCAGCTCGCCACCACTGGACCATCTTGTATGTAAGTTCTCCTCAATAGACCCCACGTCGGCCGGGCCCAGTGGCTCACGCCTGTGATCCCAGCACTTCGGGAGGCTGAGGAGGGCAGATTGCTTGAGGTCAGGAGTTCGAGACCAGCCTGGCCAACATAGTGAAACCCTGTCTCTACTAAAAATACAAAATTAGCTGGGCATGGTGGTGCATGTCTGTAATCCTCAGGAGGCTGAGGCAGGAGAATCACTTGAACACAGGAGGTGGAGGTTGCAGTGAACCGAGATCGCACCACTGCACTCCAGCCTGGGCAACAGAGTGAGACTCCCTCTCAAAAAAAAAAAAACCTTGTCTTGTTTGCTGGCTCTGGGTCTCTTCTTTGGCCTCTTGAACCTGGGGCCTTCCTTATTGGAGTGGACAGGGGTTCAGCACAACACTGAGATGGGAAGAATGTGGATGGAATAGGTTTGGGGAACAAGGAGTTCAGATTAAGACATATTACACTGGAGATTCCTATTAGGCACACATATGGAGACTGTGCAAAAACAATTGGATATATGAGAATATATATAGTTCAGAAGAGATATCTGGGCTAGGGATACATAAATTTGACAATTGTCAGGGTATGGATACTATTTAAAGTCATGAGATTGGACATTAGCAAGGGAGTGAGGGTAGAGAGATTTCTAAGCACTGAGCCCTGAGGCCTTCCATTTAAAGATGGGAGATGAGGCCAGGCACCGTGGCTCATGCCTGTAATCCCAGCAGTTTGGGAGCCCCAGGTAAGAGTATCGCTTGAGGTCAAAGTTGGAGGCCAGCCTGGCCAACAAAGTGAGACCTCATCTCTATTTTAAAAACATGAATATAATAAAATAATAACAACATTAAAGATGGGAGATGAGGAGGAGCCAGAAGAGACCCAAAGGAGTGGTGGTGAGGGTAGTAAGTGTCTGGAAGGCCAAGTGAAGAGAGTGTTCCCAGGAGAGCAAACGGCTATGTCAAATAGGACCCATGGGTCAACGACAATGGGGACTGAAAATCGACCATTGGGTTCAGCATTGTGGAGGTTGCTTTTGACCTTGACAAGAAAAGTTGCGGTGGAATGACAGCGGTAAAACCTCATTCTAGAGGATTTACAAGAGAATGGGAGGAGAGGAATCGGGAAAACATAAGACTAGATAGTTCTTTTTAAAAGAGATTTACATAAAGAGGAGAAGGAAAATGAGGCCACTGCTGGAGGGAGACTGGGGGTTAAGGGAGGATTATTTTTTCTTGGGAGAAATTATAGCACATGTATATGCTAATCAGCTTGACCCGCCAGAACTGTGGAGATTGATAATGCAGGAGAAAGGGAAGAAGAGTTGATATGGTGCCCTTACGTAAGCAAGAGGGGTGGAATCTTGTGCACAAGTGGAGAGGGTGGCCTTGGATAGGAGCACAGATGGTTCACCCACAGAAATGAGGACAGCAGAATATGGAGCTCAGATCCTGGTAGGAGCCTAGGCGTGGCAGCTTAAAACTTGCGGAAATTCTCTTTTGAAGGCTTCTATTTTCACAGTAAAATGGGAACCATGGTCCTCGGCTGAGAGTGGGGATGGAGGAAGACACTGGATGAAACTCTCCTCCAGGAAAGCAAAGAAGCAAATGGCCCAGGAGATGCAATAGGACCTCTGGGCAGTACAAAGAACACACTTAGGTTAGTGGTTGAGTTTAAAGCAAGCTTGTCCAGCTGGGTGTGGTGGCTCACACCTGTAATCCCAGCACTTTGGGAGGCCAAGGCAGATGGATCACTTGAGGTCAGGAGGTCGAGACCAGCCTGGCCAACATGGTGAAACCCTGTCTCTACTAAAAATACAGAAATTAGCCAGGCATGGTGGCTCATGCTTGTAATCACAGCTACTTGAGAGGCTGAGGCAGAAGAATCGCTTGAACCCAGGAGGCAGAGGTTGTGGTGAACTGAGATCATGCCACTGCACTCCAGCCTGGGCAACAGAGCAAGACTCTGTCTCAAAAAAACTAAAAAAAAAAGTAAGCTTGTCCAACCCACCACCTATGGACCACATGCAGCCCAGGACAGCTTTGAATGCAGCCCAACACATATTTGTAAACTTTCTTAAAACATTATGAGATTTTTTTGAAAGGTTTTTAGCTCATCAGTTATTGTTAGGGTTCGTGTATTTTATTTGTGGCCCAAGACTATTCTACTTCTTCCAATGTGGCCCAGGGAAGCCAAAAGACCGGACACCACTGGTTTAAAGTGAGACCAGGCAGCGCGGCTTGGATGTTTCTCCAGCCACACAGGTTGGAGCAGGGGAGGAGCTGGTTGCAGTCAGGGTTGGGGTTTTGCCAGGCAAGTCCGCAAATCTAGAGCAGGAACTTGAAGGTGTGTGCGAGGGAGTGAGCACAACAGTGGAATGTATGGCTCATCCTAGGTAGGAGAGTCATGAAGACAGGAGTGAGGAATAGGGAAAGGTAGGATCAATAGTTTGTAGTTCTAGGCTGGACGCGGTGGTTCACACGTGTAATCCCAGCACTTTGGGAGGCCAAGGTGGGTGGATCACCTGAGGTCAGGAGTTCAAGACCAGCCTGGCCAACATGGTGAAACCCTGTCTCTACTAAAAATACAAAAAATGAGCCAGGCATGGTGATGCGTGCTTGTAATCCCAGCTACTCAGGAGGCTGAGGCAGGAGAATCTCTGGAACCCAGGAAATGAAGGTTGCAGTAAGCCAAAATAGCGCCACTGCACTCCAGCCTGGACAACAGAGTGAGACTCCATCTCAAAAAAAAAAATTTAACTGGGTGTGGTAGAGGGCACCTATAATCCCAGCTACATGGGAGGCTGAGGCAGGAGAATCACTTGAACCCAGGAGGCGGAGATTGCAGTGAGCTGAGATGGTTGCCACTGCCCTCTAGCTTGGGCAACAGAGCGAGACTCCGTCTCAATAAAAAAAAAAAAAAAAGACATATGTATCTTATAAACTCACACTGAAGTGTATGTAACTGACTTCTATGTTCACGCAAAAGTATTTGCACTTTAATATGTGTTAAACCAAAAAGATGAATGAATAATGGTAGCATTGTAAACATCAGCCGAGATCTTCCAGGGAAGATTTTCTCAGAAGGCCAAGGGCAAGAACGATTCTCAGAAACTTTTTCTTTCTTGATCCCTAGTCATCCCTTGACTTTGCCACCTGAACTCCAAATCCATCACCATTCCCTTACCCAGAGGTGACCATTATCCTTCCAAACCTGTTTCTATCCATTTACATATGTATTTATATAACATCTAGAAATATAAATTTAGCTCATTGTGTGAGTTTTATCTAAAGGCCCTCACCTTACATTCTAGAAATTGCTTTTTTTTTTCACTCAACAGTATATTTGGAATTCTTTTCTGTAACAATTCCTAAAGACTGACCTTTTTTTTTTTTTTATGAACTGCTACACAGCACTTTAAAATACTGTGTCTCAAGCATTCAAATCATCTAGGAATCTTGTTAACATGCAGATGCTGATTCTATAACTCTAGGGTAAGCCCTGAGGTTCTGCATTTCTAAAAAGCTCCCAGATGTTATTGACATTGCTGGTCAACAGATCACACATTTAGTAGCAAAGATGTACAGTACGGGTGGAATAGTGTGCTGGGGCCAACTTGGACAAGCTCATGAGAACTGATTGTCAAATTTCCAGGAATTTGGTGAGCTTGTTGTTAAACACAGCAATCATTAAAAAAAACTAAATTATATACACTTACAATTAAATAAATTATATTACAGATAATGAAAACCAAAAATCCATCACCTTTCCAAACATTTTACTGCCTTCTTAAATCTATGCTGTTGATGTTATTTCTATCCATTGTGTCTGCATGGTGGAAATCTACATAATGGCATGCTTCCGCACAGCTCTTCCCAACTCCCTTCAGTGACATCATCTCGACAGCTTGAAATCGGCCACGGGGAACATTTACACCACAGAAATTTGGGTATAAAGGTCTGTGCAAACATACCCCCAAAGTTCAGGGAAGCTGAAAAGCCGACGAAAGAGGCTGACATATACAGTCTCTCAGAAAGAAACATTTCATAGGGACTTATGAATAGAGGCCATAGTTTCAGAGATGAAATGGTGGATTACCCTGCAAACCCAGGGCTTACATACCATAGGGAAACAATGTGTCAAACAATTGAAGTTGACCCCTCAGGCAAAGTCATGAATGCTATGTGAATCTGTCTAAGCGCAGGATTTATGGTAATAGTAGGTAAAGTAGAAAACTTAGAGTCATTCCTGGAACAGGTTGTTGAAAAGTCAACATGGCAGATTAGCTTCCCAGATGGAGTTGCTTTAGCCTCCAGAAAATGCTTGCATTACCCCAAGCCTTCTCCAACACTTGATATTACCCATCTTTTCCATTTTTGTTAATCTGCTCAATAAAAAGAAAAAGTATCTCATTTTTATTATTTATTAATTTTTTTTTTGAGTTGGAGTCTCGCACTTGTTGCCTGGGCTGGAGTGCAATGGCACGATCTCGGCTCACTGCAACCTCTGCCTCCCGGGTTCAAGCAGTTCTCCTGCCTCAGTCTCCTGAGTAGCTGGGATTACAAGTGCACACCACCATGTCCAGCTAATTTTTTGTATTTTTAGCCAGGCTAGTCTCAAACTCCTGACCTCGTGATCCACCCGCCTTTGCCTCCCAAAGTGCTGGGATTACAGGCATGAGCCACCACGCCCAACTGTTATCTCATTTTTAACTTGCATTTTCCTGTTTAAAGTGAGATTAGGTGTCTCATATGTTCATGACTAGAAATTTAACAATATTTCTTGCTCTTGTAAATATAGCCCTTTTACTTTTTTCTTTTTTACCCAAACCAAAAATGGTCAATAAGAACCTTTTTACTTTTATATTTTCTAGGTGATTATTGTACAAGAAAGTCAGTGTTTTTTAAATTAGGCTACCCTTCCTACCAGTTCTAATAATAGCTTGATCGTTTATTTTCTTGGGGATTCTAGATAATCATATAATCTATAAATAATGACCAATTTTACTTTTGCACATATAGAATTGTTAATTTTGTTTTGTGGTACTGGCTCTGACTACAGCTCCACATTGTCTAGCAGCAGTAATAGCTCATCAATGTCTCACTTCTGATTTGAATAGGAACACTTCTGTATTTCCCTCCCAAAATGCTGGGATGACAGGCGTGAGCCACCACTCCCGGCTCACTTTCTAAGTTATGCATTTTGGTGATGTTTGAATCTCTTACTCAAGCATGTACTCTTTTCTGTGATCAGAAAGAACATTAAAGGTGGTTCCTTATTCAGGTTGTCTCCTTCCCTTATACATTGTAGCCTTGTTTCGGCCCTTTCACTGTCCTCCTTGAATGTGTCCCCTCCCCAGGAGGTAGAGGACAAGAATGCTCTCTCCATGTCCTGCTCAGCATTGAGCTTTATACATAATTTTATTTATTTATTTATTGAGACAGAATCTCACTCTGTCGCCCAGGCTGGAGTGCAGTGGCACGATCTCAGCTCACTGCAACCTCCACCTCCCGGGTTCAAGCGATTCTCTTGCCTCAGCCTCCCAAGTAGCTGCTGGGATTACAGGCACGTGCCACTACACCCGGCTAATTTTTGTATTTTTTGTAGAGACGGGGTTTCACCATGTTGGTCAGACTGGTCACGAACTCCTGACCTCAAGTGATCTACCCGCCTCGGCCTCCCAAAGTGCTGGGATTACAGGCGTGAGCCACTGCGCCAGGCCCATAATGGTATTTCAACAAACGGTTAGGGAATGCCATGAATTTAAGCCAGCACCTAGTGGGTGAATTCTTGAAAACTCCCCTGCCATATCTACTAGTTTGAAGTGAGGGCTGCAGGACCTTTCCAGCCTCTCCCCATCCCACCCTGTCACTCCCCACCCCAGGTATATAAACGGCAGGTTGCTCCATAAACCTGTGATCTCTGGAATTTTGTTTGAACCCCTGGTAGCTGGGCCCTGTTTTGGATCTAGAGGCCACCAAGAGTCCTGATCAGTTCCTGCAGCTAGGAAGGTGCATGGGGTTTAAACGTGCTACTCACTACTCCTGACATGGGAATACTGGAACTGCCAATAATGTGGAATTTGTTTTTCTGTTGTTTTTAACAAATGGAAAGGGCACAGATATCAGAGTCAAATCCCAGATCCACCCAAACAGCTATGTGATCTTGGGCAAGTCAACTTCTGTGTCCCTTGTGGACCTCCCGTGTAACATAACACTTACCAAAGCGCATAGAAAAAGGTCCAGAAAAGATCTGAGAGAAGGCTGTAGGGTTGTTCCAGGCCTCTGCAATCAAACTGATGGAGTTCAAACCCCACCTGTGCCGTTTATTACCTCGACGGATCACTAGTCTCCGTATCTCAGCTTTCTCTGTTCATGCATAAACTGGGGACAGTAAGAGTACATAGTTGATGGGGCAGTTGTGAAGATTAAACGAGGTAACAGGCCAATCTTTATCATAAAGCTAAAGCTCACCGTGAGCGCCCCATGGACATTAGCCTTATTGCTTTTATTGTCACAAAGGTGGCTGTGGCGAGAGACAGCACTTTGTACCGTACCCGTCGGACCCGGTGAGCTGGAGGGGCGAGCTTTTTATTGGCCTCGAGGCCCGGGGCACGGGGAGGCGGGCCGTCCGCGGCTGTCCTAGCACCTCCGCGGCAGCAGAGGGCCCTGGCGGCGGCTGCGGGTCGCGCGGCGTGGGTGACGGGGGTGCAGGGCGGGGCCTAACGAGCAGCCCCCGCAGGGGCGGAGACGAGGGCGGGCCGGAGGCGGAGGCGCGGCCTGGAGAGGGATGGGGCGGAAGCGGGGCGGGCGGTGCAGCCTAGCGAGGGGCGGGGCGGACGAGGAAGCGTGACGAGCGGCGGGGCGGGTGGAGCAGCCTGGCGAGGAGCGGGGCGGGGTGGGCGGCACGGCCTGACAAGGGGCGGGGAGCGCAAGGAGGCCTGACGAAGGGCGGGGCGGAGCAAGGGCGGGGGCAGGGCGAGTAGTGGGGTACAGCGAGGGCCGGAGCGGATGGGGGAAACCTGGTGAGGGGCGGGACAAAGCGGGGAGGGCGGTGCAGCCTGGCGAGAGGCGGGGCGGACGAGGAAGCTTGACGAGGGGCGGGGCGGGCGGTGCAGCCCTGCGAGGGGCAGGGCGGGCGGTGCTTCCTGGCGAGGGGCGGGGCGGGGCGGGCGGTGCGGCCAAGCTAGGGGCGGGGCAAGGGCGGGGCAAGGCGGGTGGTGGTGCCCAGCGAGGGGCGGAGCGGACAGGGTAAGCCCGCCGAGGGGCGGGGCTGACCGAGGTGGGCGGGGCGGATGCCGAGGGGCGGGGAGAGGTGGGCGGGGAGGCCAAACATGGGGCGGGGCGGCGCGGCCGGGGAAGCGTGATGAAGGCCTACGAGTGCGGCGCGGCCTGAAGGGGCACGCGGGGGACCTGCAAAGCTAGTGAGGGGCGGGGCAGGCGGCGCGGTGGGGGCGGGCCGAGCCCGGAGGCCAGATGAGCGGACACAGCCCCACGCGCGGGGCCATGCAGGTAAGTGGCTCCCGACGGCCCCACTTGAATTTCGATCCCAGACCGGGTCCGGCGCCCTCCGGGGCCCAAGCTTAGCGCGGTGCTGCAGTGGGGCCGCCTGACCCAAAGCGAAACCGAAAGCCCCGCGGAGGGTGACCTGACGACTTTCCCGGGACTGGAAGGGGGAGTCCTGCGAGAGACTAGGTGGGTGCGAGAGAGGAGTCAGGGTGCTCCTTGGGGTACAGGGCTTTGGCTCCGGGCTGGGTACGCGCACGTGATGCAGGCCGCCTCAGAGTATGGGGCCCGCTTGGGATCCCGGAGTTTGGGAGCAGAACAGGATTTCCTAGCTGGGCAGGGACATGGGGGCGGGACTTAGGGAGTCGGGCTAAAGTTCGGATTAAGGGGCGGGCCTGGCTCATGATCCTGGGCCGGCGGGCTGAAGCTTTCAACGGAGTTTCAGCCCTGGGTTTGGGTCTCTCGGTGGGGACGGGCGGAAGCAGAGGTCTGTGCCTTAGAGTGGTCACTTCTGGGGGTGGGGATGGGAGAATCCTCGGAACCTGGGTGAAAGGTCAGGGGTCCCAGACCTTGTAAAAGTCTGAGCATCCCCCTCCCCTAGGTGGCCATGAACGGTAAGGCCCGCAAAGAGGCGGTGCAGACTGCGGCTAAGGAACTCCTCAAGTTCGTGAACCGGAGTCCCTCTCCTTTCCATGGTAAGCGGTGGCCAGGGCAAGGGAGGAGGGTGGAGGCTGATGCGCCCTTCACCAGCTTCCATCGCTGTGAGAGGGTGCTTTTCCCACAGCTGTGGCTGAATGCCGCAACCGCCTTCTCCAGGCTGGCTTCAGTGAACTCAAGGAGACTGAGAAATGGAATATTAAGCCCGAGAGCAAGGTACTGGGGGTGGGGTGGGGGTGGAAAGGCAGGTCCCTAGGCTGGTCTCCAAGCCCTGTGTGCCAGCTGAGTAATGCAACTCACACCCCTGTCTTTCCTCCCCTTCTCCTCAGTACTTCATGACCAGGAACTCCTCCACCATCATAGCTTTTGCTGTAGGGGGCCAGTACGTTCCTGGCAATGGCTTCAGCCTCATCGGGGCCCACACGGACAGCCCCTGCCTCCGGGTAAGGAACTCGGACGGTGTTGGGGTGGGAGGAGATGTCAGAGGGAGTACAGGGCAAAAGAGAACTAGGAGGTACAAACTGGGGCCTCTATCCCCTGGAGTAAGGGAGAAGGTAAACTTGTTGGCCCCTTCCTTCACACCTTGAGCCTTTCATGTGACACTAATATTCGCTGTCTGTTACTTATGAGTAGCCAAAGTCTCATCTCCACATATCGTCATGAAGCCTTCTCTGACTTCTCCATCTTTACACTCAGGTGAAACGTCGGTCTCGCCGCAGCCAGGTGGGCTTCCAGCAAGTCGGTGTGGAGACCTATGGTGGTGGGATCTGGAGCACCTGGTTTGACCGTGACCTGACTCTGGCTGGACGCGTCATTGTCAAGGTGGGAACCGAGGTTGGGGATGGCGGAGCCTCCTCAGAAGACTGACTGCCACACTCCTCAGGGTACCCGTGGGGAAGAGGGGTGGGGGCAGTCTGGTCAGAGGACCACCCTGCTTAGTCTGAGTGAAGTAAAGACTGACCACTGGGGTAGGAGGCACCCTGGGCTGACCTGGCCTGGCTGGCTGCAGTGCCCTACCTCAGGTCGGCTGGAGCAGCAGCTGGTGCACGTGGAGCGGCCCATTCTTCGCATCCCACACCTGGCCATCCATCTGCAGCGAAATATCAACGAGAACTTTGGGCCCAACACAGAGATGCATCTGTGAGACTGGGGCAGGGCTGCGGTGGCTGGGAGGGATGGAGAATGGTACCAGGTGATTATTACCTAATGGTAGCCATTAGGTCACATTTTACTCTTGGGACCCAGTTAATTTCTAAGGGTCCTCACAGCCTTGTGATTTGGGGAGTGGGCTGGGAATTGAAGGGCAGAGGCAGTTGCCCATCAGGAGGCACCTGAACTTATGGATGCCGCACTCAGCTGTGCCCTCCTCGCAATCCCCCCACAACCCACGTCTCCCCACAGAGTCCCCATTCTTGCCACAGCCATCCAGGAGGAGCTGGAGAAGGGGACTCCTGAGCCAGGGCCTCTCAATGCTGTGGTAAGAGAGTCTCCTGATCATGGGGAGGGCGGCAGAGTCCCCTGAGAAGTGGGGAGGAGAGGAGGAATGGACTCTTCCCAGCATCTTTCTGCTCTTCAGGATGAGCGGCACCATTCGGTCCTCATGTCCCTGCTCTGTGCCCATCTGGGGCTGAGCCCCAAGGACATAGTGGAGATGGAGCTCTGCCTTGCAGACACCCAGCCTGCGGTGAGGACTGGCTGTAGGAACCTGTGGGTGAAGGGCCTCCAGGATCCTGGCCACCCCTAGCCCGTCCTGCTGAAGCACCCATCACCTCCACCAAGCCCTCAGTAACTCTCATCCCCGTTTTTCCCAGTAGACACATCCCCCACTGCTTCTAGGGCGGTGGTTCTCAAAAAGACAAGTTCCCTACCCCAGACCTGCCCACTAGGACTATCTGGGAATTGGCCCTTTTTACAGATTCCCAAAGAGTTTCTTCTACAGGTGGGCCCTGTCTGCTTTGACCCACACTGACACTGAACTGCTTAGGGAAAGAGGCCTGGATGTGGCCATCTGTTCTCTGTCTCCCGGTTGCTGATGGTCAGAGATTGCTAAATCTTTGGATGCTGTGTCCTGCTTGAACACGTACTAAGTTTCTGTTTTTTGGCTGGTTTCCTCTGTTTACTTCTTTGGCCTTTTTGATGACAATTCAGCCCTTCCTTTTCTTGACCCACAGGAAGAGGTCAAGAGCTATTGGCCTCCACCCTTTTGTTCCTCAGCACCAACCCAGCCCCCTTCTCCAATCTCTGCTTGGTCCTGCCTAGCAAGGAATCCCAGCACTTTGGGAGGCTGAGGCGGGGGGAATCACATGAGGTCAGGAGTTCGAGACTAGCCTGACCACCATGGTGAAACCCTGTCTCTAATAAAAATACAAAAATTAGCTGGGCCTGGTGGTGCATGCCTGTAATCCCAGCTACTCAGGAGGCTGAGGCACGAGAATCCTTTGAACCCGGGAGGCGGAAGTTGCAGTGAGCCGAGATCGAGCCATTGCACTTCAGACTGGGCGACAAGAGCGAACCTTCATCTCAAAAAAAAGAAAAAACAAAATAGTGCCCTAAGCCAGGGGTCAGGGAGAGGTTGCGCAAGAAACCAAGGAGACCCTTGGGAGCAAAAGAAAGGTGAGTGGGGGTGGAGGGTTGAAGGTCGGGCTGACTGTCTTACCTCTCTAGGTCTTGGGTGGTGCCTATGATGAGTTCATCTTTGCTCCTCGGCTGGACAATCTGCACAGCTGCTTCTGTGCCCTGCAGGTGAGGAGCCGGGGCGCCCCAGGCAGCACATAACCACCAGCAGAGGTGGTATGTTTGGGGTCGGGGGAGCTGCCTAAAGCCCCAGCAGGTTGTGAGAGAGGGCCATTGTCTACCCGCTCAGTCTGCTGGTGCTGGATGGACCAGGAGGGGGCCCTAAATGTTGCAGCCTCAGCATCGCCACCTTTGGTCTCTGCCCTTGCACTATCAGGGTGTTGAGGCAAGAAGAAGGAGGAGAAGTTGTTTCAGGCACCATGGTCTCTTGTCCTAGCCTTGCTCCTGCTGCTTTTCCTGAAGTTAACAACCTCTGCCTCAGGGAAAGGCTTTATCATCCACAAGGCAGTATCATCCACCTCCTTCTGCTTCCTACGCCACTCCCCAGGCTTAAGACCCCAGCCTTCTCCCTGTTTCTTGGGATCTCAGTCAGGTAGCCTCTCTTCCTAGTCACCTTGATATTCCCCACCTTCTCTCCACCCTAGTCAGTTCCCTTTCTTTCTCTCCTCTTGCCCTTGATCTCCCTCTGCCTTTTTCTGCCTTTCCTTCCCTGTAATCCTGTGGCTGGAGATAGGCTTTGGGCTGTAATTGAGACCAGAGCTGGACCTGGGACCTGCATCTACTTCTGCAGGCAACCAGCCAGTCATGTCACCTTGATGGAGTCTGTCACCTCTTTGAACCTCAGTCTTTTCCCTGAGGCCAATCAGTTTATGTGATGTGTGTAGCCTTTTGGCTTTCCAGGACTCTCAGCTCTTCCTCTCTGTCCTCCACATCTTCTACTGCCTTTTGCATGGGAAGGTAGAGAACAACACCCAAAGGATGGTGTCTCCTGTCCCAGTTGAAAAGGTTTCTACCTAGCTATTGATCTGGCCAAAAAAAAAAAGAAAGAAAGAAAAAAAGAGAAAAAAAAGGTCCTCACCACACCTTAAAGGTTTCTACCTATGTAGCTATTTATTTGGCAAGAAAAAAAAGGTCCCCACCACACCCTCTGCCAGGCAGTGCCCTAATTGATAAAAGTCATGGCCATGGAAGGCAGACAGGGGAATGTGCACACCCAAGGTGCTGGTGGATGGGGGAGCGTGCACACCCAAGGTGCTGGTGGGCTGAGTTCCAGCAGAAGCAGGTTGGAGATGATGCTCTCATTTCCTTCCCTGAACCAGGCCTTGATAGATTCCTGTGCAGGCCCTGGCTCCCTGGCCACAGAGCCTCACGTGCGCATGGTCACACTCTATGACAACGAAGAGGTACGTGGAGGGTTCTGGGGAGGGTCACCTCTGCGGAGTCTTCCACAGCCAACTTGTTGTGCCAGGCATCCACCGTGAGCCAGGGCTCTTCTGGGGGCCCCAAGACAGGGGAGATGCTGCCTGTGCCTCCTTAGCACTTGGTGTCTCCTCTGACTCAACATAGATCTGCTTATTCGAGGGTGACCGTCTCTCCTGTATCTCTCTTTGTGCCACATGGTGAGCTTCTTCCTTTAGGACAGGGACTCTACCCAGCCCATCCTCGTAGCCCCAGGGCTCAGCACAGAGTAGGTCCTCATGATGCCTGCGTGTGTGAGGCTGCAGTCTCAGCTGCATAACAGAGCTTGAACAGCTAGTGCTCTCTCATGTAACAACCCAGGTCAGAGTTAGCAGTTTAGGAGGGGTCCCTGCCGTCCTGAACACATGACTTCCATTTCAGGATTCAGGGTGGCCGTTCCAGCTCTGGCCATCATGTCTACACTGAGTTAGTAGGAAGGGAAGAGAGGGCAAAGGGGCAGTAGACACCCCCTGGCTTTAAGGGCATGATCCAGAAGTGACATTCATCACTGCTTACATTCCACAGAACTTAGCTGCAGGGGAGCCTGGAAATGTCATCTCTAGCTGGGTAGTTAAGTGCTTAGCTACAACTTGGGTGTTCTAAAAGATATCATGGACAGTTAGCAGTCTCTGTCATACACATAAAAGAAAATTGACCAGTGTGGTGGGGCACCTGTGCTGAGCCCCAGATGTGAGGGTCACGAGAGGAGGAAGGGGAGCAGTGCAGGAAACCCACCAGTACTGTTAAGAATGTGAGTTAGTTTGGTCTCAGCCCACTGTCTGGTGTTCAGTGACGACCCCAGGTTAGGGGTGTTGCTAAGAACACCCAGTGACTCAGTGGGGTTTTGGGCCAGTTGGGCAATGGGCCCCTCTCACTGGCTTCCAAGATCAGGCCCCTAAGCCCAGATTCCCAGAGTCAGGACTCTACTGTCGCCAGGTGGGGTCTGAGAGTGCACAGGGAGCACAGTCACTGCTGACAGAGCTGGTGCTGCGGCGGATCTCAGCCTCGTGCCAGCACCCGACAGCCTTCGAGGAAGCCATACCCAAGTCCTTCATGATCAGCGCAGACATGGCCCATGCTGTGCATCCCAACTACCTGTGAGTCTCTAGTGCCAGTCACACAGTCTTCACATAGCTGGAGACCCAAGCATAACCTGCCTTGAGGCTCTGCCTTGGCCCCAGCCTCTTCCTTTCTCCCTTCTTCATTCTGCCGGGAGGTTCACGGGCACTTCCTTTTCACTACTGCGAGACCAACTTGGTCAAAGTCATGCAATGCCTAACCCAGGTGTGTGGAATACACCTTTGTCTACAAACTTGTTTCCATCTATTGCTAGAGGCTGCCCGGAACCCTGTGTGTGGAATGACTCTGAAGTCCCACTGGGCTGGGCGGGAAAGAGTGGTGATCTATTAGTGATGTCTGCCATGGGAGGGTGGTGAGTGTCGACAGGCCTGCTCCTGTTTGCTATGTCTGGCCCTTATCTGTCTCTTACAGGGACAAGCATGAGGAGAACCACCGGCCTTTATTCCACAAGGTGAGACGTGCCATTTCTCCCTAGGGACTTGGAGGTCTGGCTGTTCCGAGCGCCGACTCATTCCCTTTGGGCCTGTCATTACCTCTGCCTCACCTTGACTCTCCCCAGGGCCCCGTGATCAAGGTGAACAGCAAGCAACGCTATGCTTCAAACGCGGTGTCAGAGGCCCTGATCCGAGAGGTGGCCAACAAAGTCAAGGTCCCCCTGCAGGTGAGGGTGGGCCCTGCCTGGGAAGGTGTGATGGAGGGAGCTTGGTGGGGGCACAAACAGATGGGCCCCCCATGAACAGGGAACCTGGTAGATGGCCTTGAGTGGAGGGGGGTCCCAGTAGAGTGAGAAAAGCAGGGATTTTGGATACAGCTGGATTCCATGCTGGCTCTGCTGCAGTGCTAGCTGTGTGACCTTGGACTAGTCTCCTAACCTTTCTGAGTCTCAGTTTCCACATCTGTAGAATAGGGGTGATAGTGATGCCTACTTTGCTGGATTTCTATGAAGACTGAAGGTACAGTGTGCTCCTGGCACATGGTAGGCCTGTCTTTCCCTGCAGCACCCCCACTTCCCCTGTGTCTCCTACACACCCTGGGGGCTTCCACAGGGAAAGTTCAGGGCTGGGGAGTATGGAACTCCAACTACTCATTTTCTCTCTTGCCTGAGAAATTAGACATCTAGTCCTTTCTCCTCAGTGTGTGTGTGTGTGTGTGTACATATATATGTTGTATACATGTATGTATATAACACATGACAGTATTGTGTATACACATATACACACATATATACTGTCATGCATTGCTTAACAACAGGGATACATTCTGGGAAATGGCATCATTAGGCAATTTTGTCATTGTGTGAGCATCATGGAGTATATGTACACAAACCTAGACGGACAGCCTGCTGCACACCTAGGTTGTGTGGTGTAGCCCATTGCTCCTAGGCTACAAACCTGTACGGCTTCTTACTGTGCTGAAAACTGTAGGTAACTGTAACAAAATGGTCAGTGTATCTAAACATAGAAAAGGTACAGAAGGCCAGGCGTGTTGGCTCACACCTGTAATCCCAGCATTTTGGGAGGCCAAGACAGGCAGATCACTTGAGGTCAGGAGTTCAAAACCAGCCTGGCCAACATGGTGAAACCCCATCCTACCAAAAAATACAAAAATTAGGCAGGCGGAGTGGTGCATGCCTGTAGTCCCAGCTACTTGGGAGGCCTTCCCTACTTGGGAAGGATCTCTTGAGCCCGGGAGGTGGACGTTGCAGTGAGCCGAGATCGTGCCATTGCACTCCAGCCTGGGCGACAGAGTGAGACCCTGTCTCCAAAAAAACAAAACCAAAAAAAAAAAAAAAAGAAAAGAAAAAGAAAAGTTACAGGAAGCATATGGTATAAAAGATTTAAAATGGTCCACCTGTATAGGGCACTTAGGAATGGAGCTTACGGCACTCGAAGTTGCCCTGGGTGAGTGGTGAGTTAATGTGAAGGCCTAGGACATTACTGTACACTATTGCAGACTTTATCAATGCCGGACACTTAGGCTACACTACATTTATTTTGAAAATTGTATTTCTTCAACAATAAATTAGTTTACTGTAACTTTTTAACTTTATTTATTTATTTATTTATTTATTTATTTTTGAGATGGAGTCTCACTCTGTCACCCAGGCTGGAGTGCAGTGGCACGATCTCGGCTCACTGCAACCTCTGCCTCCCAGGTTCAAGCGATTCTGCCTCAGCCTCCTGAATAGCTGGGATTACAGGCACGCACCACCATGCCTGGCTAATTTTTGTATTTTTAGTAGAGACGGGGTTTCACCATGTTGGTCAGGCTGGTCTCGAACTCCTGACCTTGTGATCCGCCCGCCTCGGCCTCCCAAAGTGTTGGGATTACAGGTGTGAGCCACTGCACCCGGCCAACTTTTTTACTTTATAACCTTCCATTTTTAAAATTTTTGACTCCTTTGTAACAACAGTTGGCTTAAAACACAAACACATAGTACAGCTATTCAAAAGTATTTTCTTTTTTGTATCCTTATTCTGTAAGCTTTTTTCTATTTTTAAAATTTTTCGTTATTTTTAAAATTTTTAAACTTTTTGGTTAAAAACCAAGACACAAACATACACATTAGCCTAGGCCTATACAGGGTCAGGATTATCAATGTCCCTGTCTTCCACCTCCACATCTTGTCTCACTGGAAGGTCTTCAGGGAGAGTGACATGCAGGGAGCTGCTATCTACCATGATAACAATGTGCTCCTAAAGGACCTGCCTGAGGCTGTTTTACAGTTAACTTTTTTTTTTTTTTCTAATAAGTAGGAGTACATTCTAAAATAACAGTAGGCTGGGCATCGTGGCTCATGCCTGTAATCCCAGCACTTTGGGAGGCCGAGGCGGGTGGATCACTTGAGGTCAGGAGTTCAAAACCAGCTGGCCAACATGGTGAAACCCCGTCTCTACTGAAAATACAAAAATTATCTGGGCATGGTGGTGTGCGCCTGTAATCCCAGCTACTCAGGAGGCTGAGACAGGAGAATCGCTTGAACCCAAGAGGCAGAGGTTGCAGGGAGCCAAGATGGTGCCATTGCACTCCAGCCTGGGCGACAAGAGTGAAACTCCATCTCAAAATAAATAAATAACAATAAAAAGCATAATATAGTAAACACATAAACCATAACATAGTCATTTATTATTCTTAGGTATTGCATACTGTACATAATTGCACGTGTTATGCTTTTATACGACTGGCAGTAGATTTATTTACGCCGGCATCGCCACAAACAAGTGAGTCATGCATTATGCCACAACATCGCAACAGCTGTGATGTCACTAGGCGACAGGAATTTTTCAGCTCCATTATAATCTTACGGGACCACTGTCATATGTAGTCTATCTTTGACTGAAATGTCACCATGTAGTGCATGACTGTCTATTTCTATATTTATCTGTCTACCTCTCTATATCAGGGACTCAGGCATGGGCGGTCCAGTGACAATCATAGCAGGTGTAGAACCGTGGTATCCTGACTCCCAGCCCAGGGCTCTTTCTGCTGCACAGTGTTCACTCTTCCTTTCGGAAAGCTGAATTGTTCTGCCCCCAGGAAGCCTTCTCTGAGGACGTGATATTTGAGCTGAGACCTAACCACTGAGAAATAGGCAGCTATGGGAGGGTCCCAGCCAGAGGGCACAAGTAGAAAGGCCCCAAGGGGGGCCAGGAATGAGCTCGTCTTTTAGGAGGAGAGAAAGGCAGGATGGTAGAGCCAGGATGAGAGCAGGAGAGGGTTAGGGGAGAGGCCCAGCTCAGTGATGATACAGGAATACCTAGGCCATGGAAGGACATTTCAATTTTATTCTAAGGCAGTGAGAAGACATTGGGAGATTTTTCTTTAATAATTTACAGCAGAAGTAGGACACATGTATTTTAGAAAATTAGAAAATACAGATAGAGATGAGAAAATAAAACACTAATCTGCAGAAATTTGGTATAGTCTTCCAGATTTTTTTCTATGCATAAACTTCATATACACTTTTTTAAAATGATATTATATTGGATATATTTTTGTTGCCTCTTTTCACTCAGTCATCTTCACCTTTCTATTTGAGTTTGGTTTTTTTTTTTAATGTTTTTTTAAAATTAGAAACAGGGTCTTGCTTTGTCTCCCAGGCTGGAGTGCAGTGGCATGATCATAGCTCACTGCACCCTCAAACTCCTGAGCTCAGAAGATCTTCCTGCCTCAGTCTCCCAAGTAGCTGGGACTACAGATGCATGCCACCATGCTGGCTAATTTTCTATTTTTAGTAAAAATGGGGTTCTTGCTATGTTGCCCAGGCTGGTCTTGAACTCCTGGCTTCAAGCAGTCCTCCCACCTTGGCCTCCCAAAGTGCTAGGATTACAGGCATGAGCCACCATTCCCAACCCCATTTCAGGAAATTGTTGTTTCAGTAAACTTGTACCTCATCTAATGCACAGATCACTTTCCGTTTTCCCCAGTTATCCTCAAAATATTTTTTTTACAGGTATTTGGCCCACCCTAGTATCCAACTCAGGACAATGCGTTATATTTGGCTGATATGTTGCTTAAATGTCTTCCAGTGTAGCACAGTTCCCCCCACCCCTTTTTAAATAGCATTGGCTTATTCAAGAAACTTCTGGATATGTCTCCTTGCTGCCCCATGGTGTCATTTAGCTTGTCTGTAAGCCCCGTATTTCCTATCAACTGGAATTTCTAAAGACTTGATGGATTCAAGTTAAACTTTTTTTTTTTTTTTTTTTTTTTTTTTTGACAGAGTGAGAGTTTCACTCTGTCGCCCAGGCTGGAGTCTAATGGCGTGATCTCGGCTCATTGCAACCTCCGCCTCCCTGGTTCAAGTGATCCTTCTGTCTCAGCCTCCAAAGTAGCTGGGATTACAAGTGTGCACCACGATGCCCAGCTAATTTTTGTATTTTTAGTAGAGACAGGGTTTCACCATATTGGCCAGACTGGTCTTGAACTCCTGACCTCAAGTGGTCCGCCCACCTCAGCCTCCCAAAGTGCTGGGATTACAGGTGTGAGCCACCGTGCCTAGCCTCAAGTTAAACATTTTGGGCTAGAAGACATGGCTGGTGTATTCATATGGCATCACACACATGATATCTGGGTGGGCCACCCTTAGCCTTGCAAAGATTGACCACTGGACCAGGAATGGCCTCTTATCCTTTCATTATATAGTGCTTTTCCCCTATTGACCTGACAGTGACCCATACAAGTGATGAGTTCCCTATTAACCAGATACCTAATGGTTTTAACACTTACAATAATCCTTGTCTAAATCAGTAATTTCATTAGAATTTACCGAAAAATGCCCGCTTCCCCTGAATTCTTTCAGTCTTCCATTCTTCTGTGAAGTGGAACTTCTTCCCTCCAATCAACTAGGGTTCTTTGGTTATCATGGAATATCATTCCTATTGATTGGAAAGCAGGATAAATGCTAATTCTTTCTGTTATCCACTTTTCAAGGTGAAATGTCGTCTCAAATAGTGACAAAGAAAGATTTTTCCTTTTCCTTTTTTTTTCTTTTTCTTTTTTTTTTTTTAGACAGGGTCTCGCTCTGTTGCCCAGGCTGGAGTGTAGTGTCGCAATCTCAGCTCACTGCAACCTCCTCCCCACAGGTGCAAGAGAGTCTCATACCTCAGCCACCTGAGTAGCTGGGATTACAGGCATGCACCACCATGCCCGGCTGTTTCTTGTATTTTTAATAGATACAGGGTTTCACCATGTTGGCCAGGCTGGTCTTGAACTCCTGGAATCATGTGATCTGCACACCTTGGCCTCCCAAAGTGCTGGGATTACAGGCGTGAGCCAGCACACCTGGCCTGCTTTTCCCTTTCTGACTATCTTAGAATCATGGAATTTCATTTATTCAGTGTCCTCTATAATTATTATATTTGATTTGTGAATTGCCATGGCTTTGACCAGTGGGAGCCCCTTCAGCATAACTCCTGTGCCCTTTGACTCTTGGAAGTCTCCTTGCTTTTTGGCACAACAAAAATTGTAGACATGTCTTGTTCATTTCGCCCCCCAGACTTGGTAGTTTTTGGCAAGCAGTGGTATTAGAGACCATAGCCTGGCACTGCAAGTGTTCATTGTTCTTGGGGGAGGGGACGGTGCTTTGGGTCCATTTCCATGGACATAGCAAGAAAAAAGTACATATTTTAAAAATCATGAAGCCAGGTGTGGTAGCTCAGGCCTGTAATCCCAGCACTTTGAGAGGTAGTGGATCACTTGAAGTCAGAAGTTCGAGAACAGCCTGGCCAATATGGCAAAATCTCGTCTCTACTGAAAATACAATAATTAGCTGAACGTGGTGGTGCGTGCCTGTAATCCCAGCTACTTGGGAGGCTGAGACAGGAGAATCGCTTGAACCCAGGAGGCAGAGGTTGCAGCGAGCTGAGATTGCGCCACTGCACTCCAGCCTGGGCATCGCAGGGAGACTCCATCTCAAAATAAATAAATAAAATAAAATAAAAATTTTTAAATAAAAATCATGAGTTAATACTGTAATTCTTATTCATAAAATTATTCTTATTTAGTTAAATAGTTACTACCTATTTGATTTTGTAATTCTGTTTTCTCTTACACTGAAAACCTTGATATCTAGCATCATATTTTCATTTTCTTATTTTTTTACCATAATATAAAGAAAATCATTTCAAAATGTCAGTAGCAATATTTTTAAAGACACTGATACCACTGAGTGATTTTTTTCTGTGAGTGTGGATATTAAGCAAGAGGGTGACAAGGATGGATACTTTTAAAAATCCCCCTTCCTGCTGTGTGGAGAATGGATTGGAACTAGGGTGGTGGCAATGCAGATAGAATGGGACCAATTCAGAATATATTGTCCTTTGGGGTCTGCCATTTAGCATTGGCTTTGATTTTATGCTCCGAATGGACCATCTCCCAGGCCCCTTCCCACCCTGCAATTCTAAGATGGCGTCCTCCTTGGCTCTGATAAGCACACACTGCATGTTGCTCATGGGTCTCCTGCTCTCCCTAGGATCTCATGGTCCGGAATGACACCCCCTGTGGAACCACCATTGGACCTATCTTGGCTTCTCGGCTGGGGCTGCGGGTGCTGGATTTAGGCAGCCCCCAACTGGCCATGCACTCTATCCGGGAGATGGCCTGCACCACAGGAGTCCTCCAGACCCTCACCCTCTTCAAGGTAACACCCACCCCAGACCCTCTCTGGCAGCTGGGCTGCTTCCCCTCTAGTGCCTGGATTGGTTGCTGGGACAACATCGCCATCACAAAGTGACTGGCCTGAGTAATGGGGGCTGGTTGTCATGCTGGGGCCATGTAGGAAAACAAGGGTCCTGGCCAACCACAGTGGCTCATGCTATAATGACAACACTTGGGGAGGTGGGAGGATTGCTTGAGGCCAGGAGTTTGAGACCAGCCTGAGCAACATGGCAAGTCCATGTCTCTACAAAAGAGAAAAAAGAGATAAAACAACGGTCCTTATTCTTCTCAAGGCTCAGGGGCCCTGACCCAAAGAAATGGAAAATGAGGGGATGGGAAGAGGGGATCAGGGCTGAGAAGACTGGGGTGGCTGTCAAGAACAGATGAAACCTCGGTGCTTCTCTTGCTGGAACATATGTTGGTGGGAGGTGGGTGGCAGGACATCTCCATCTGGTCACTCACTAATTCCAAACTCCATGTTGCCTCCCATTATAGGGCTTCTTTGAGCTGTTCCCTTCTCTAAGCCATAATCTCTTAGTGGATTGAGCCCTCTTGGAAAGACTTCTCTGCCATCCCTTTGCACCTGAGAGGGGAAGTTCTCAGCTGAGCTGAAGCTGGATTATTAAAGTGGATTGTCACTCAGACTCTCCGTGCTACGCTTATTTGGAGACTAGAGGAGTGGGAGTTGAGCCTGGCTTGAACCTTTGGAACCAGAAAAGTTGGGGAGCAGGTGGAGGAGGCCACACTCCTGGGAGCTGATGGTTTTAAATCTGGTTTTAAATCTCTTCTCTGTCTCAAGTCCATGTCTGAAGTGGGTGAAGGGTGGACTGGATCCTCAAGCAGAAGGTCACTTCTCCCACCCCTAGTCCTCCACCTGGGAAATGGCCTCAACGGTCTTCCCTCTTTCCATCCCCAGAATGGGTGTCCCGCTCTGCCTTCAGAGATCCTGTTCTGCACTGGGCCACCTTCAGAGCTGCTCTGGGCAGACAAAGCTGTTTCTCACCCTCCCAAAATCCCTTCCCATCCCCTCTCAGGAGCTGCAAAGAGAAGGGCACAGTCTATACCTTATCACCCTTCATCATCCACTTCTCAGCAGTCCCTGGTATTACTTGATTGTGAACATATTATCAGGAAAAAAGATTATCATTGAAAAAATTGGAAAAGTCAAAGTCTGGCCGGGTGCAGCGGCTCACATCTGTATTCCCAGCATTTTGGGAGGCCAAGGCAGGTGGATCACTTGAGGTCAGAGTTCAAGACCAGCCTTGCCAACATGGTGAAACCCATCTCTACTTAAAAAAAAATACAAAAAAATTAGCCAGGCATGGTGGCACACACCTGTAATCTCAGCTATTCAGGAGACTGAGGCAGGAGAATAGCTTGAACCAAGGAGGCGTAGGTTGCAGTGAGCTGAGATGGAGCCACCACACTCCAGCCTGGGCAACAGAGCAAGGCTCTGTCTCAGAGAAAAAAGGCCAGGCGTGATGGGTCATGCCTGTAGTCCCAGCACTTTAGGAGGCTGAGGTGGGCGGATCACCTGAGGTCGGGAGTTCAAGACCAGCCTGACCAACATGGAGAAACCCTGTCCCTGCTAAAAATACAAAATTAGCCGGGCGTGGTGGCACATGCCTGTAATCTCAGCCACTCCGGAGGCTGAGGCAGGAGAATCGCTTGAACCCAGGAGGCGGAGGTTGTGGTGAGCCAAGATCCTGCCATTGCACTCTAGCCTGGGCAACAAGGGTGAAACTCTCTCAAAAAAAAAAAAAGAAAAAGAAAAAGTCAAAGCCTGCTTATAAACCAACCTCCTTCCTTCCACTAAAATAATTGTGCAAACTGGTGTCCTTCCAATCTTTTTGATACCTATATAAAAGTTTATTTCCATATAAATATTCCACTTCAGCTTTCTAAAAAACTTAATATAATATAGAGATATTTCTATATCAATACATATAAATTTAATTTAGCAATGGCAAAAAGTTAGAATTCATCTAAAGATTTCTCAGTAAAGGCAAGCCCAAATACACTATGAAATGTCCATTATAGGTAGCTATTGAGAAAAAGATAAATTGTATAGTGTGTGTACTAACATGAAGAGATTACAAAGACATTGTTGAGTAGAAAAGGCAGGTTGCAGAACTGGACACAGGACAAGGAGTACCTTCAAAACATTATATGGCCAGGCACGGTGGCTTATGCCTGTAATCCCAGCACTTTGGGAGGCCGAGGTGGGCAGATCACTTGAGGTCAGGAGTTCAAAACCAGCCTGGCCAACATGGTGAAAACCTCTCTACTAAAAATACAAAAAAAATTAGCCATGCGTGGTGGTGGGTGCCTGTAATCCCAGCTACTCGGGAGGCTGAGGCAGGAGAATAGCTTGAGCCAGGGAGGCAGAGGCTGCAGTGAGCCAAGATTGAGCCACTGCACTCCAGCCTGGGCGACAGAGCCAGACTCCGTCTCAAAAAAAAAATTATTATATATTTTTATGTGTATATAAATATGCACGTAGATGTATACATGTATAGAAAAAGCCTGGAAAAATGCACCTGAAACTTTTACAGTGATCTTCTGGGTTGGGAGTGACAAAAGGGCCTTAGCCTTTTTGTAATGGTTTCCTTTTGTATAACAGAATGTACCATGTATTACTTATGTAAAAAATTTTACCCTCACACTGTATTTACTCTTACAATTGGCGTACAGTATTTTATTGTATAGATGGTCATTATTTATTCAGTCTGTTAATAATGGTCATTTAAGTTTTTCTCCAGTTGACAACTCTAAATAACATTGAGATAAATGTACATATATCATTGTACATTTGCCTTGGTTTTTCCCATGGGATAAATTCTAGAAAATGCCAGCTGAACTATAGTGACAGCAGACCAGTGGTTGCTTGAATGTCAAGGATTGAGAGAGAGTTTGGTTGCAAAAGGGTGCAAGAAAACTTTTAAGAGGGTGATAGAAATGTTACCCCAGAGGTGGAAGAAAATCCACATATAAATGGACCTGTGCAGTTCAAATTCATCCACTTACATGTGGATTTGTCCCAATAAAAGTTATACCGGCCAGGTGCGGTGGCTCACACCTGTAATCCCAGCACTTTGGGAGGCTGAGGTGGGCGGATCATGAGGTCAGGAATTCGAGACCAGCCTGGCCAACATGGTGAAACCCCATCTCTACTAAAAATACAAAATTTAGCAGGTTGTGGTGGTGGGCGCCTGTAATCCCAGCTACTTGGGAGGCTGAGGCAACAGAACTGCTTGAACCTGGGAGGCGGGGGTTGCAGTGAGCGGAGATCGCACCACTGCACTCCAGCCTGGGCAACAGAGCAAGACTCCGTCTTGGAAAAAAAAAAAAGTTATACCAAGTATGCCTGGCTCTCCTGAACCCCCACCCCTGCTACCCCCTATTCTACCTCCTCCGCCTCTTCTCCCACTGTTGCCCCAACCAACCCTTCTCTTCCTCCTCCTTGGCCTACTCAACATGAAGACGACAAAGATGAAGACTTTATGATGATCCACTTCCACTTAATGAATAGTAAATACATTCTCTCCCCCCCCCACCTTTTTTTTTTTTTTCAGACAGTGTCTTGCTCTGTTGCCCAGGCTAGAGTGCAGTAGCAAGATCTTGGCTTAGTGCAACCTTCACCTCCCAGGTTCAAGCGATCCTCCCACTCAGCCTCCTGAATAGCTGGGACTACAGGTGCCCACCACCATACCCAGCTAATTTTTTAATTTTTTAAAGAGACAGGGTCTCACTACATTTCCCAGGATGGTCTTAAACTCCTGGCCTAAGCATTCCTCCTGCCTCAGCATCCCAAAGTACTGGGATTACAGGCATAACATTTTCTTTTCTCTAGCTTATTTTATTGTAAGAATACAGTGTGTAATACATAGAATATACTTCATATGTGGTAATCTGTTTATGTCATCAGTAAAGCTTCTGGTCAACAGTAATTAAGTTTACAGGGAGTTAAAAGTTATACATGAAGGCTGGGTGCAGTGGCTCATGCCTGTAATCCCAGCACTTTGGGAGGCCGGGGTGGGCGTGTCACCTGAGGTTCGGAGTTTGAGACCAGCCTGACCAACATGGAGGAACCCTGTCTCTACTAAAAATACAAAATTAGCCGGGCATGGTGGCACATGCCTGTAATCCCAGCTACTCGGGAGGCTGAGGCAGAAGAATCACTTGAACCCGGGAGGCAGAGGTTGTGGTGAGACAAGATTGTGCCATTGCACTGCAGCCTGGGCAACAAAAGCGAAACTCCATCTCAAAAAAAAAAAAAATTGGGGTATTATTTCCATATAATAAATTATACACTTAAAGTGTAAAATTCTATGAATTTTGACAGATATACCATATACACCTGGGAAACCACCACCACAATCAAGATACAGAACCTTTCCATCATCCTCTTGTACCCCTTTGCAATCAATCTCTCTCTCCACTCCTGACGTCCAAGCAACCATTGATCTGCTTTCTGTCACTATAGATTAGTTTACCTTTTTTAGAATTTTCTTTTCTTCTTTTCCTTTTTTCTTCTGAGACAGACTCTCATTCTGTCACCCAGGCTGGAGTGCAGTGACGCCATCTCGGCTCACTGCAACTTCTGCCTCCTGGGTTCAAGCCATTCTCCTGCCTCAGCCTCCTGAGTAGTGGGGATTACAGGTGCGTGTCACCACGCCCAGCTTTTTTTTTTTGTATTTTAGTAGAGGCGGGGTTTCATCATGTTTGCCAGGCTGGTCTCAAACTCCTGACCTCAGGTGATCTGCCCACCTCAGCCTCCCAAAGTGCTGGGATTATAGGCGTGAGCCACCACGCCCAGCCCCTTTTATCTTCTCTTCCTCTTTCTCCTTTTTTTTTCCTCCTCCTCCTCCTTCTTTCTCTTGTATTTGTCCATTCTCCTTTTTCCTTAACTTAGTCTATTCTGTGTATTTTCTAAGTACCAGGATTCTTATTTGTTTGTTAATGCTAAGTGTGGTGGTGGTAAACCCTGCATGCTGTAGTATGACAGTTACTAGACTTTGACTGAGTGGTGGCTGTCCTTTGTAGGCCAGGGTTCACAGTAGGGAATGCTACCAGAGAACTGAGCTCCCTGATGTTAATGGTGATAGTAGGACTTCAGAGTAACAGTGGCCAGGTGGCAACATTTTACCATCATAGTTTGTGGTGTTTTCTGTCTCCTAATTATGCTGTAAGCATGGATTGTGTGTGTGTGTGTGTGTGTGTGTGTGTTGTTTGTTTGTTTTGAGACAGTGTCTTGGTCTGTTGCCCAGGCTGGAGTGCAGTGATGCAATCTTGGCTCACTGCGGCCTCAACTTCCCAGGCTCAAGTGATCCTCCTGCCTCAGTCCCCCTGAGCAGCTGGGACTACAGGCATGCGCCCCCACACCCAGCTAATTTTTTTTAATTTTTAGTAGAGACACGGTCTCACTATGTTGCCCAGACTGGTCTTGAACTCCTGGACTCAACCAATTCCCCCCACCTTGGCCTGGTATTACAGGTGTGAGCCACCATGCTCAGCAATTATGTGTATTCTTCCCCTTCTTTCTCTCTTCATTGACAAAATGATTTTAGGAGCGTGTCTAGAAAGGCTGGACTTATGCAGCTGCCGTTATCCTATGGGGACTGCAAATGTTACTTGTTAATGCAGTAAAATGTTGAAGGGGTTTGTAGAAGACACTGTTGGCAACTTACCTGTATCCGTCACTTTTACCATTTCAGTGTACACACTACCGTTTTCAGCTGCCAGCATCTGCACTTCTTGCCTGAGGGCTTTCTTTGCTGCTTGACTACAGTTTTCCACTCCCATGGCAGTTGGAAGTGCTGGGGAATTCAAGCTCCATCCCACAGCAGCTCTAAACAATAACTGGCAAGACTCTGTGTCTGAATACCACAGCTCCCTCCCATCTGGGGTGAGAGAACTCTGAGGCATGTAGTTTACACTGGCTCCCAGAGTCCCCCCAGCAGAATTCTGCTCCAGAGATAAGCCTGATAACACATGCCTCTATTGGCCACCTTCCCTTCCTTGTCTCCCTTTCCCACTCCCCAACCAATGTTTTCCTTCACCTCCCAGTAAATTCCTGTACACAGATCCTTGTCTCCGGGTCTGCTTCTGGGAAAACTGAAACTAAGTTAGAATTCTTCTGAGATTTTTAGATAAGGATGTCTGCTATTCTATTACGATTCAGCATTTTACTCTAGGTCTTTAGCTATGTACTAAAACAAGAAAAGGAATGAAAGAAAGGTGGAAAGGGAGGAATAAAACTTTCTTTTTATATTATTTGTTATGTAGAAAATCCAAAAGTTATACTATTTGAATTAATAAGTTATTTATTTATTTATTTTTGAGACCGAGACTCGCTCTGTCACCCAGGCTGGAGTGCAGTGGTGTGATCTTGGTTCACTTCAACCTCTGCCTCCAAGGTTCAAGCCATTCTCCTGCCTCAGTCTCCCGAGTAGCTGGGACTACAGGTGCACACCACCACACCCAGGTAATTTTTGTACTTTTAGTAGAGACAGGGTTTCACCATGCTGGCCAGGATGGTCTTGATCTCCTGGCCTCGTGATCGGCCTGCCTCGGCCTCCAAAAGTGCTGGGATTACAGGTGTAAGCCACTGCACCCGGCCGTAATGAGAGAGTTTATCAATACAGCTGGCTGAAAAATCAACATACAAATATCAATTTTATTTCTACATACCAATAAAAAATGGGTAGAAAACGAAATTTTTAAAAGGTTTACTTCTACAAGCATAAAAATCAAGTATCTGTCAATAAAGTTATGCAAGATCTCTACAGAGAAAATTTGTGTGTGTGTGTGTGTGTGTGTGTGTGTGTGTGTGTGTGTGTTTTTTGAGACAGAGTCTTGCTCTGTCACCCAGGCTGGAGTGCAATGGTGTGATCTTGGCTCACTGCAACCCTCGCCTCCCAGGTTCAAGTGATTCTCCTGCCTCAGCCTCCCAAATAGCTGGGATTACAGGCATGTGCCACCATGCCCAGCTAATTTTGTATTTTTAGTAGAGATGGGATTTCACCACGTTGGTCAGGCTGGTCTTGAACTCCTGACCTCAGGTGATCCGCCCGCCTTAGCCTCACGAAGTGCTGGGATTACAGATGTGAACCACCACACCCGGCCTCTATAGAGAAAATTTTATGTAAGAAGGTCCAAATGATTTGGAAGATATCTCTTATTCATGATGTGAAACTCAATATTGTAAAATATGTTATCCTCCAAATTGATACATAGATTCAGTGCAATTCTAATAAAAATACCGACAGTTTCTCTCCTCCTCCTTGCTTTTCTTCTTTTTGTGTGGGAGTTGACAAGCTGATACTTTTTTATAGCCAAGATTTGAGCTGGGTGTAGTGGTGCGTGCCTGTAGTCCTGTCTACTTGGGAGGCTGAGATGAAATGATTGCTTGATCCCAGGAGTTAGAGATCGGTCTGACAAACATAGTGAGACCCCGTATCTTAAAAATTTTTTTTAAAAAAGAATCGAAGAAGACAACTGCCTTATTTGTTGTCAAAGCTTATTATAAAAACTACAGAAATTAAGATAGTATATTCTTGGTTCAAGAATAAAACTCACCAATAGAACAGAGACAAATGAATATTTGATACTTGGTTTATGACAAAGGTGGCAATTTGGTTTTTTTTTTGTTTGTTTGTTTTTGAGATGGAGTTTCACTCGTTGCCCAGGCTGGAGTGCAGTGGCGCAATCTTGGCTCACAGCAACCTCTGCCTCCTAGGTTCAAGCAATTCTCCTGCCTCAGCCTCCTGAGTAGCAGTGATTACAGGCACCTACCACCACGCCCAGCTAATTTTTGTATTTTTAGTAGAGATGGGGTTTCGCCATGTTGGCCAGGCTGGTAATGTACTATAATAAAGTGGACATCCCAAGAATGCAGGTTTACTTCAACATATTAAAATTAATTAATGTAATACATTATATTATAGAATAAAGAGCAAAACCCACATGATCTCAATTGATGCAGAAAAAGCATTTGGTACAATCCCAAACCCTTTCATAATAAAAATATTCAACATTCAGAAATAGAAAAGAGCTTGCTCAACCTGATAAAGGCATCTATGAAAAACCCACGGCTGGCTAGGCACAGTGGCTCCCGCCTGTAATCCCAGCACTTTGGGAGGCCGAGGCGGGCGGATCACCTGAGGTCAGGAATTGGAGACCAGACTGGCCAACATGGCGAAACCCCATCTCTACTAAAAATACAAAAATTAGCTGGGTATGGTGGCATGTGCCTGTAATTCCAGCTACTAGGGAGGCTGAGGCAGGAGAATCGCTTGAACCCGGAAGGTGGAGTTTGCAGTGGGCCGATATCGCGCCACTGCACTCCAGCTTGGGTGACAGAGCAAGACTCGGTCTCAAATAATAATAATAATAATAATTTCTTCATACCTTGCATACTTTGCATACAAAGTTGTTTCCCTCCATCCTATGATGTCTAATTGTTTTATTTATGTATACTTATTATAAGTTTTAACCCTTAGTGACCCTAATTTGCTGTGAAAACTAGGAAGCAGGCAATTGTGAACTGCCTGTCATATATCGGCATCTTGTAGTAGATTAGTAAATTTATGAATATACTATTTTATAATTTCAGGAACATATGCTTCCTAATATAGTACAGTCTTTCAGTGTGGCAAAGAACATGCTTATTAGTAGACCCAAATATATTTAGCTTCTCTATATCATATAAAAATAAGATGCCAGAAGTATATACGCTTAAATTTATGCTTAGTAGTTAATGTTTCAGTAGTTTATCTTACTTACAAATGGTTCAGACATTTAATGAATATCTACTGCTTAATTTAACCTAACTTTAAGTTTGCAAGTTACCAAATAAGATTTGGAAACTGATTCAGGCAGACATACTGTAACATCAAACAAAGCTAGCCATCATCTCAAGTTATTTTTCTTGTTGACAAATCAGGTAAGTGTAAAAAATGGCCAGGCATGGTGGCTTACGCCTATAATCCCAGCACTTTGGCATGCCGAAGTGGACAGATCCCTTGAGCCCAGGAGTTCGAGACCAGCTTAGGCAACATGGCCAAACCCCATCTATACAAAAATTGTCTGTCCATGGTGGCATTCTCCTGAAGTTTTAGCTACTTGGGAGGCTGAGGTGGTAAGAATTGCTCGAGCCTGGGAGGTTGAGGCTGCAATGAGCCATAATCATGCCATTGTACTCCAGCCTGGGCAACAAAGCTAAACCCTGTTTAAAAAAAAATAACAGAAGCAAAAAACCTAAAAATTTAAATATATGGTTCTTCTCTGTCTTTTTTTAAAAACTGCTATGCTTGATATGCATCAAGCAATTTATTTTTATTGTATATTTTATTCTTAGTTTAGATTTATAGTTTTATAACCTTAAACATCTAGTTGATATAACATTGTTTGACCAGTAAACCCAGGTAAAATAAAATTGTAGTTCTGCATTCTATTTAATGCTGACAACTCCAAAGACATTTCTGCTTTTATTTTATCAACAATTTTTTTTTTTTTTTTTTTTTTTTTTTTTTTTTTTTTTTACAGAGCCTGGCTCTGTCACCCAGGCTGGAGTGCAATGGAATGGAGCCATCTTGGCTTACTGCAACCTCCGCCTCCTGAGTTCAAGTGATTCTCCTGCCTCAGCCTCCTGAGTAGCTGGGATTACAGGTGTGTACCACCACGCCCAGCTAATTTTTGTATTTTTAGTAGAGGCGGAGTTTCACCATGTTGGTCAGGCTGGTCTTGAACTCCTGACCTTGTGATCAACCTGCCTCGGCCTCCCAAAGTGCTAGGATTACAGGCGTGAGCCACTGTACCTGGCTTTTTTTTTTTTTAATCTATATAAACAAGGTCTCACTCTGCTGCCCAGACTGGATTGCAGTGGTGTGAACACAGCTCACTGCAGCCTTGAACTTCTAAGCTCAAGGGATTCACCTGCCTCAGCCTCCCAACTAGCTGGGATTACAGGCGCCTGCCACCACGCCAGTCTAATTTTTTGTATTTTTAGTAGAGGCGGGGTTTCACCATGTTGGCCAGGCTTATCTTGAACTCCTGACCTCAAGTGATCCACCCACCTCGGCCTCCCAAAGTGCGGGGATTACAGGCGTGAGCCCCTAAGCCCGGCCTACTTTTTAAACTTTTTGTAAAGACCAAGTCTCAGTATGTTGTCCAAGCTGGTTTCAAACTCCTGGGCGCAAGTAATGCTCCTGTCTCA